>NC_000004.12:170171381-170796381 GCF_000001405.40 Homo sapiens | reverse complement strand
ATGTTAGGGGTCATTAGTAGGAAAAAACTGGTACTTTTTATCCAAGGATAAACTGGTACTTTTATCCAAGGATAAGTAAATGAATTATTGCAAAATCAAAGGCAACCAACAATGAGAGAATAAAGATGATGAATTTCTCTACCAACTGTCAAATTATCTTTCCCTTTCATTTTCTTATTCAGTTTTCAGCATATTCAACTGAAAAACCCTCACTATAGCTTTTTTTGACTACTCTTACATTTAAGCAAGGGATTTGAATATGTGGATCTAAAAGCCCAGCTTTATATTAATAAAAAAAGACAAGATGTGCAGATTTAAAAGATAGTCACACTTGAAATATCAGTGAAATTTGTTACAGGATGAACCAGAGGATCTTTAGTATTATGTAGGGATTTAAGTTTGGCATGACACATCCAGAATTTAGTTAAGTTCCTCCAGAATATATTGATTGTGATATATTAACCATGGAACTATATTGCCACACATAAACAAAAAGATGGCATGGGGCAATGAGAAAAAATAACAAAGTTTCCATGATGACAGCAGAGAGAAGCCATGATTCATGATCTTGAGAAAGCTGTCCACATCTAGAATGTCATTTGCTTTTGGGAAGAGACCTCCCTGGTCCAATGGGTATACAGTCCCAAGTGTGTGAAAGGCCCCCCTTGAGTTGAGAGATGTGAACCTAAGGTTCAAGGCCTTGAAATTTTGCTGCAGTGTGAGTGGTGAGAAGAACTTGATATGGTCCCTTACAATAGCATTCAAGGGACATCTTTCTCTGGTGTCATTTACAAAAGACCCGATTTTTAAGTTCTAGATTGTGAATGACTAGGTTCTAGGTTGTCATCTGCTGGTGCATCATGGAAGGCTTCATTTACCTGGTGAAAATATACATAGGCATCATGCATTAAAGCCCCGCAGTGTGTAGGCATATTCAAGTTTATGAGAATGAGCAATACATTATATTATATTATTAAAGATATAGATATCTCAATAGCTATTTTATAAAGGGTTGAGGGGTAAAATTGTGTTTTCCAGTAGGGTGGATCTGATGGTTATCATGGCCAATGGTAATACCTGTGGCCAAGGCAATCCAGTCAATTCAGTTAACTGATAATTTCAGTTTTAAAACATCATTTGTCCTTTTAATACTCCTAGAAGATTGAACATGATAGAAGGATGGTAATACCATTGTGTTTTTAATATCTTATAACTGTTTTATAACTCATCACGTGAAATCACATGATGTGTTAAAAATGTGTGTAGAAACACATTTTAAAATCACCTTTAACTACTTTTCTAGCATCAGCCATCCTACATGGAAAAGTTTCTATCCATTCAGAGAACATTCAGACTATTACAAGAACACTATGATATTACATTATGGTTAGTAATTGAAAGAAACCCATCTGTAAGTGTTCAAATTTCCAACAGGTGGCAAAAACTTACCACCTGTGTACCATCTGAAGTTTTTATTGCCTTCCTAGGATTCTGGCTTGACAAACCAAACGTTGGTTTTAAACCATTTTCATAAATTTAAAACCGTGAACACAACAATTTTTTTTCATACTTTGTATTATATTATCTGCTCGATGAGTCATGGAGAACAGTTTTTAATAATAGAAGCTTAGGATTCAGCAAGGACTAAGTGGATTTCCAGGCCCTCTATAAATCAGTACTTAACATTAAATTTACATCCTTTCAGATAGCAATTTTTTTTGAATCAGGGAAATAGCACTGTATTAAATAGGCTATCATAGGTCACTGGACTTGGGTCAATTTTATGGAGTTCATACAAATTGCATATCTTAACAGTTTCAGTTCTAGATGACTTATAATGAAAATTTATTTCCTTGGTATTTAATTAGTCCTTGTTCTATTTGATGTTGTGTTTTCAGTTTTATGAACCAATCAGTTTCTCCATTAGTTTTGGGAATTCTTACTCAAACCAATGGTATATCTTGAAGTTATCGGAAACTTCTACTTCTCAGAATTCATTCTAAGAATTCACTTCAAAGAGAAAACACTTTTGGTTTATAGTTACTTTCAATAGCTTTCAGGAAAGTGTCAGAGTAAAACAATTAACTGTCTGTGGATGACAAGCCTTAAAGTAGCTATGGTCAAAGATCTGATGAGAGGTTATTTTAATGCTATTAATAAGGAAATTTTATTACTTCTGCAACATAACAATATTTTAAGACAACTAGAATTAAGACTGAAAGCATTTTGCCAGGATTATCAGATTTCTAGGAATTTTATAAAATTTCTAAAACATATTAATTACATACTTATACAATATGATTTAAAGAAGATTCAACATCACTTTTTATTTGATGGTACTTTCCATGCAATTAAACATATCAAATAAATCTAATTAGTTTAACATTTCACTTTTTATAAGGAGAGAGAACAAATTCTGTTGAGATACTACCAGGACCTCACTAGAAATTCCCAAGGTTAGTTCAAGTTCAAAAGGACTTAATTTAGAATTTTATATTTGAAAGTTGTCAAGAATGTCAAAAAGTTTAAAACACATGTTTAAGTAGAATCACAAGTCGCTGTGAAGCAATATTTATTTGACCAGAGTGATATTTCAAAGGCTTCAAAGGCAAATACAGAAACCTACATTGCAGATCAATATGCCAAGCAAACTTTGTTTTAACAGAGAGAACCAGATTCTAGTTTTGCATCAGTGTTCTTTTGATATTAACGCTCAGTTTAAAAACAGTGTATGTTCAAGTCTTAGCTTAGTCACACACAAGTTTCCTATCACAAGGCTCATTTCCTACAAAACTTCTACACTTTTTTACATCCATTCTGTTTTTATTTTATAACTTTTTTCTTGTGGAGGAGGAGAAGGAGATCTTATAGTTTTCGTTTTTAAATTGTAGCTATGTGCCAAGTACAGTAATATGAAGCTCACTAATTTATTTTTTAAAAATTATATCCAGATGGTTTTTTCTGGCTGATGGAACAAGGTTACTCAGCTAGATGGCCAAAGATTTTTACTAATATTTATGAAAAGACTTTTAAGATTTCTCATTTCTCTTTTTAAGAGAGGCAGTTTTTGTTTTTTATTCATTTAGTCTTTTAGAAACTTCTGAATGCCCATCAGAAATATATTCCATTTTATTTTTTTTAGGTTTTGAATTGTTTTTTTCTAGTGTGCCTCTTGACTTAAAACTTCCCCATTGTGGCCACTGTAATTCTAAGTTGCATGTAGTAGAGTTAACCCATTCTTATAAAATTACACAGGTCCTGGGCCATTAACATATATATATATATATATATATATATATATATATATATATATATATATAACATTATCTCGTGTCCTAAAAAGTGGAGTCACAGATTCCTTAGATTTAGAGGAACCCATTTTCAAAAAGTGCCTACAGGTTGGTGCAAAAGTAATTGTGGTTTCATCGTTAAAGGTAATCGCGAAACCCGCAATTACTTTTGCAACAACCTAATACCTAAAGTCTCTAAGTGGATCTATACCTGTTATTTATCAAATTCAATATGAGTCCAGTAGCAAACGAATTGATTAAATAACCCTGTGAGATAAATACTATTATTGTCTCCATTTTAGATTTGAATAAACTGAGAATAAAGATTATATTAGTTTTCTATTTCTGTCTTAAATGAACACACATTTATGATCTCACCAACCCACATTTATGATCTCACCGTCTCTATCGGTAAGAAGCCCTGGCACACAATTTAGCTGATTTCTCTGCCTCAAAGTCTCACTGAATTGCAATCCATGTGTCAGTGAGAATTGCAGTCATAAGAGGTTTAAATGGGGAAAGATCTGCTTCCAAGATTCTCAAGGTTATTGGCAGATTCCACGGTTTTGTGGTTGCGGATTGAAGATTTCAGCTTCTTGATGAAGAAAGCTCTCAGATCATAGAGGCCACCCACAGTCCCTGGCCATTTGGCCCATAAAATATTATCAATTGTGGTTTTAACTTTTCTCATATTAAGTGTCCATTCATGTGATTATTGGCTTTTCCATTTTCCTCTTTTAAAAAAATGCCTATTTGTATGCCTTGTTCATGTTTTATTTGATTTTTTCGTTATCTTTTGTAAACTATATACACTGTGTATTAATCTTTGCATAGATTGTTTTAAATAACTTCCTCCAATTTCGAGTCTGTTTTTTTCATTTTTATGGTATCCATTGATGAATAATATTTTAAAATTTAATAATAAGAAATTTGTCACTCTTTTATGACTTCTTTTCTTCTTTTTAAGAAATAGTTTCCTAACAGAAATTATATTAAATCTTATTCAAGTAAATGTTTTAAGTAGTGCTTTTTACACTTTTTTACTCAGGTTTATTAAGATCTAATATATAGTACACTCTATTTCTGAATTTTTGACATACACTGTCTAGTAACTACCACAATAATCAAAATGTAAAACATTTTAATCCCCCCAAATTTCCCTAGTATCCCCTTCTACTCAATTCAACTGCAGCTGGCAACTAACAATGCCTTTTATTTCTATAGTTTTGTCTTTGGCACAATGTCATATAAATGAAAGTATTCAATGTAGCCTTTGAATCTGGATTATTTTACTTAGCAAATTACACTCGAAGTATACTCATGTTTTTGCATGTTTAATAGTTTTTATTTTATGTGCAAGTATTACTATTATATAAATGCTTCACAGTTTGTTTGCATATTTATCAGTTAAATATACACAGAGTTATTTTGTGTTTGAGGGGGATAGAGCTACTATAAACATTCTGAGCAGATTTTTGTGTAAAAATGAGTTTTTATTTCTCTTGAAATATTTAGGAGGGGGTTTGAAGAACTATATGATAAATGTATGGTTAACTTTATAAAACATTGCAAAACTGTTTTCCAAAGTGGCTGTACCATTTTAGTTTTTCACCAGCAAGGTATGAGAATTCCAGTTAATTCACATCCATGTCAGCACTTGTAATTGTCAGGTGTTTATTTGTCAGTTTGTTCTTGGTCATTTATTCAGTTTAAATTTTAGCCATTCTAATAGCCATGTGGTGGTGTCTTAGTCTGTTCTCACATTGCTATAAAGAAGTAGCTAAGACTGGGTAATTTATAAAGAAAATAGGTTTAATTGGCCTACAATTCTGCAGGCTGTACAGAAAGCATGATGCTGGCATCTACTCAGCTTCTAGGGAGGCCTCAGGAAACTTACAATCATGGCAGAATGTGAAGCAGGAGCCAGCACTTCACATGGCTGGAGCAGGAGGAAGGTGGGTGAGGAAAGGTATCATATGCTTTTAAACAACCATGTCTCACAAGAACTTACTCACAATCCCAAGAACAGCATCAAGGAGATGGTGCTAAACCATTCATGAGAAACTGCCCCCATGATCCAATCATCCCGCACCAGGCCCCACCTTCAGCATTAGGAATGACAATTGAACATGAGATTTGGGTGGGACACAGGTCCAAACCATATCAAGTGGTTTCTCATTTTGGCTTTATTTTGCATATTCTTGATGGCTAATGATATCGAGCCATCTTTTCATATGCTGATTTGTCATCTAAATATCTACTTTGATGAAGTGTCTGCTTAAATCTCTTTCTCATGTATTTAATAAAATATTTGTTTCCTAAACATTATGCCTTGAGACTTCTTCATAGATTGTGGATACAAGTCTTTTTGAGAAATCTGATCTAAGCATTATTATTCAAATATCAAAATATTTTTATTTTTATAAATTTCAATTTTTCTATTTTTTCTTATATGGATTGTGCATTGCTATCATAGCTAAAAACTGTTTGTCTAACCCAAAGTCACAAGACTCTATCTACAATTTCTTCTAGAAGTTGTATAGTTTTAGGTTTTCCACACAAGTCTAAGATCCATTTTGAGTTAATTTTTGTTTAAGTTGTGAGGTATTTGTTGAGGTTTGTTTCCAATTATTGCACACTCATTTGTTGAAAGGAACGATCCTTTGTCCATTAAAATGCCTTTCAACTTTGTGAAAAGAAAATCAGTTGACTACATTTGTGTGGGTCTACTCTGCACTCCGTTCTGTTTCACTGATCTATGTGTGTATCTTTTTACCAATATACATTCATGAATATACATTCGTTTCATCAATAAACACACATTTACTCTACTGTTCTGCAAACTCAGTGTTTTCATCACTGTACCTTTAGAATGTCTTGAAATCCTCAAGTGTGAATTCTCCAACTTGTTCTTTTCAAAATCGTTTTGGCTATTCCTGTTGATTTGCTCTCTAATATAAATTTCAGTATCTGCTTGTGGATGTCACCATCCACAAAAGAGCTTACTAGAATTTTTATTGAGATTAGAATTAAACTATAGATTGATTGAAAAAAAATAATATTTTAGAAGTATTGTGTCTTCTGCTCCATGAACACTGCATATTGCTCCCTTTATGTATCCTTTGATTTACTTTATGCAAATTTTGTAGTTTTTAGCATACATATTATATGTATATTTTTGGTTTTAAAGTGGATTTTTTTTAAATTCCAATTGTTCGTTGCTATTACATGGACATGCAATTAACTTTTGTACGTTCATCTTATATCGTGAAACTGTTCTGAACCTACTAGTTCTTGGAATGTTTGTAGATTTTTTGAAACTTTCCAAACTCTGGAGTCAATCAATCTGTAAATAGAAGTAATTTTACTTCTTTCTTTTCAATTTATATGCATTTGTTTATAGGTAGAGAATAAATAGACTGAATAAATCTATATGCTCATTTTCTTTGCTAATATTATGTTGAAGATATTTATGTCTATACTCATAAAACATAGTCTTTAGCATGTGTTTCTTGTACAGTCAGTGCCTGGCCTTAGGATAGTCCAGACCTCATATTTGACTTTAGAAGTGTTCTTTCCCCTTCTAATGCATTTATAAATTTTATGTATTTTTTCATCATTATTTCAAAGACCAAATTTCAGCCTTATAACAGCCATTTTAAATATATAAAAGAGAATCTCTGATTCTATTTTACAGATAAAAAATGGAACCTCCAAGGATAAAGTGATCTACCCAAATTTTAAAAGCTAGGATAGGATAGGAAGTGACCCTTTAAAAGTTCTTCTATTTACAAACTTAGTACTTTTTCAGCACACACATATTTTTATGTGGTAGCATACATGAGAAGTGTAAATATGGACTTCAACCAAACTTTCATTAAATATTTATTCATAATATTTTTCCAGCTATATAAAGGTATAACTGAAAAATAGAAATTCTATATATTTATTGTACACAACATTATGTTTTGGGTATATGTATACATTGTGAACTGATTACCACAATCAAGTTAAATAACATATCAGCTCACATGATGACCTTTGAGGGCATGGATGGTCAAAACATTTAAGATATTTTGGACACCAGAGAAGATGGCCGAATAGGAACAGCTCCGGTCTACAGCTCCCAGCGTGAGCGACGCAGAAGACGGGTGATTTCTGCATTTCCATCTGAGGTACCGGCTTCATCTCACTAGGGAGTGCCAGACAGTGGGCGCAGGTCAGTGGGTGCGCGCACCGTGCGTGAGCTGAAGCAGGGCGAGGCATTGCCTCACTCGGGAAGCGCAGGGGGTCAGGGAGTTCCCTTTCTCAGTCAAAGAAAGGGGTGATGGACGGCACCTGGAAAATCTGGTCACTCCCACCCGAATACTGCGCTTTTCCGACAGGCTTAAAAAACAGTGCACCACGAGATTATATCCCACACCTCGCTCCGAGGGTCCTACGCCCATGGAGTCTCGCTGATTGCTAGCACAGCAGTCTGAGATCAAACTGCAAGGCGGCAGCGAGGCTGGGGGAGGGGCGCCCGCCATTGCCCAGGCTTGCTTAGGTAAACAGAGCAGCCGGGAAGCTCGAACTGGGTGGAGCCCACCACAGCTCAAGGAGGCCTGCCTGCCTCTGTAGGCTCCACCTCTGGGGGCAGGGCACAGACAAACAAAAAGACAGCAGTAACCTCTGCAGACTTAAATGTCCCTGTCTGACAGCTTTGAAGAGAGCAGTGGTTCTCCCAGCACGCAGCTGGAGATCTGAGAACGGGCAGACTGCCTCCTCAAGTGGGTCCCTGACCCCTGACCCCCGAGCAGCCTAACTGGGAGGCAACCCCCAGCAGGGGCACACTGACACTTCACACAGCAGGGTACTCCAACAGACCTGCAGCTGAGGGTCCTCTCTGTTAGAAGGAAAACTAACAAACAGAAAGGACATCCACACCAAAAACCCATCTGTACATCACCATCATCAAAGACCAAAAGTAGATAAAACCACAAAGATGGGGAAAAAACAGAACAGAAAAACTGGAAACTCTAAAAAGCAGAGCGCCTCTCCTCCTCCAAACGAATGCAGTTCCTCACCAGCAACGGAACAAAGCTGGTTGCAGAATGACTTGGACGAGCTGAGAGAAGAAGGCTTCAGACGATCAAATTACTCTGAGCTACAGGAGGACATTCAAACCAAAGGCAAAGAAGTTGAAAACTTTGAAAAAAATTTAGAAGAATGTATAACTAGAATAACCAATACAGAGAAGTGCTTAAAGGAGCTGATGGAGCTGAAAACCAAGGCTCGAGAACTACATGAAGAATGCAGAAGCCTCAGGAGCTGATGCAATCAACTGGAAGAAAGGGTATCAGCGATGGAAGATGAAATGAATGAAATGAAGCGAGAAGGGAAGTCTAGAGAAAAAAGAATAAAAAGAAATGAGCAAAGCCTCCAAGAAATATGGGACTATGTGAAAAGACCAAATCTACGTCTGATTGGTGTACCTGAAAGTGATGGGGAGAATGGAACCAAGTTGGAAAACACCCTGCAGGATATTATCCAGGAGAACTTCCCCAATCTAGCAAGGTAGGCCAACGTTCAGATTCAGGAAATACAGAGAACGCCACAAAGATACTCCTCGAGAAGATCAACTCCAAGACACATAATTGTCAGATTCACCAAAGTTGAAATGAAGGAAAAAATGTTAAGGGCAGCCAGAGAGAAAGGTCGGGTTACCCTCAAAGGGAAGCCCATCAGACTAACAGGATCTCTCAGCAGAAACCCTACAAGCCAGAAGAGAGTGGGGGCCAATATTCAACATTCTTAAATAAAAGAATTTTCAACCCAGAATTTCATATCCAGCCAAACTAAGCTTCATAAGTGAAGGAGAAATAAAATACTTTACAGACAAGCAAATGCTGAGAGATTTTGTCACCACCAGGCCTGCCTTACAAGAGCTCCTGAAGGAAGCACTAAACGTGGAAAGGAACAACCAGTACCAGCCACTGCAAAATCATGCCAAAATGTAAAGACCATCGAGACTAGGAAGAAACTGCATCAACTAACAAGCAAAATAACCAGCTAACATCATAATGACAGGATCAAATTCACACATAACAATATTAACTTTAGATGTAAATGGACTAAATGCTCCAATTAAAAGACACAGACTGGCAAATTGGATAAAGAGTCAAGACCCATCAGTGTGCTGTATTCAGGAAACCCATCTCACATGCAGAGACACATGTAGGCTCAAAATAAAAGGATGGAGGAAGATCTACCAAGCCAATGGAAAAAAAAAAAAGGCAGGGGTCGCAATCCTAGTCTCTGATAAAACAGACTTTAAACCAACAAAGATCAAAAGAGACAAAGAAGGCCATTACATAATGGTAAAGGGATCAATTCAACAAGAAGAGCTAACTATCCTAAATATATGTGCACCCAATACAGGAGCACCAAGATTCATAAAGCAAGTCCTGAGTGACCTACAAAGAGACTTAGACTCCCACACATTAATAATGGGAGACTTTAACACCCCACTGTCAACATTAGACAGATCAACGAGACAGAAAATCAACAAGGATACCCAGGAATTGAACTCAGCTCTGCACGAAGCGGACCTAATAGACATCTACAGAACTCTCCATCCCCAATCAACAGAATATACATTTTTTTCAGCACCACACCACACCTATTCCAAAATTGACCACATACTGGGAAGTAAAGCTCTCCTCAGCAAATGTAAAAGAACAGAAATTATAACAAACTGTCTCTCAGACCACAGTGCAATCAAACTAGAACTCAGGATTAAGAATCTCACTCAAAACCGCTCAACTACATGGAAACTGAACAACCTGCTCCTGAATGACTACTGGGTACATAACGAAATGAAGGCAGAAGTAAAGATGTTCTTTGAAACCAACGAGAACAAAGACACAACATACCAGAATTTCTGGGATGCATTCAAAGCAGTGTGTAGAGGGAAACTTATAGCACTAAATGCCCACAAGACAAAGCAGGAAAGATCCAAAATTGACACCCTAACATCACAACTAAAAGAACTAGAAAAGCAAGAGCAAACACATTCAAAAGCTAGCAGAAGGCAACAAATAACTAAAATCAGAGCAGAACTGAAGGAAATAGAGATACACAAAACCCTTCAAAAAAATTAATGAATCCAGGAGCTGGTTTTTTGAAAGGATCAACAATATTGATAGACTGCTAGCAAGACTAATAAACAAAAAAAGAGAGAAGAATCAAATAGACACAATAAAAAATGATAAAGGGGATGTCACCACCGATCCCACAGAAATACAAACTACCATCAGAGAATACTACAAACACCTCTATGCAAATAAACTAGAAAATCTAGAAGAAATGGATAAATTCCTGGACACATACACTCTCCCAAAACTAAACCAGGAAGAAGTTGAATCTCTGAATAGACCAATAACAGGAGCTGAAATTGTGGCAATAATCAATAGCTTACCAACCAAAAAGAGTCCAGGACCAGATGGATTCACAGCCGAATTCTACCAGAGGTACAAGGAGGAACTGGTACCATTCCTTCTGAAACTATTCCAATCAATAGAAAAAAAGGGAATCCTCCCTAACTCATATTATGAGGCCAGCATCATTGTGATACCAAAGCCAGGCAGAGACACAACAAAAAAAAGAGAATTTTAGACCAATATCCTTGATGAACATTGATGCAAAAATCCTCAATAAAATACTGGCAAAACGAATCCAGCAGCACATCAAAAAGCTTATCCACCATGATCAAGTGGGCTTCATCCCTGGGATGCAAGGCTGGTTCAATATACGCAAATCAATAAATGTAATCCAGCATATAAACAGAGCCAAAGACAAAAACCACATGATTATCTCAATAGATGCAGAAAAAGCCTTTGACAAAATTCAACAACCCTTCATGCTAAAAACTCTCAATAAATTAGGTATTGATGGGATGTATCTCAAAATAATAAGAGCTGTCTATGACAAACCCACAGCCAATATCGTACTGAATGGGCAAAAACTGGAAGCATTCCCTTTGAAAACTGGCACAAGACAGGGATGCCCTCTCTCACCACTCCTATTCAACATAGTGTTGGAAGTTCTGGCCAGGGCAATTAGGCAGGAGAAGGAAATAAAGGGTATTCAGTTAGGAAAAGAGGAAGTCAAATTGTCCCTGTTTGCAGACGACATGATTGTATATCTAGAAAACCCCATTGTCTCAGCACAAAATCTCCTCAAGCTGATAAGCAACTTCAGCAAAGTCTCAGGATACAAAATCAATGTACAAAAATCACAAGCATTCTTATACACCAACAACAGACAAACAGAGAGCCAAATCATGAGTGAACTCCCATTCACAATTGCTTCAAAGAGAATAAAATACCTAGGAATCCAACTTACAAGGGATGTGAAGGACCTCTTCAAGGAGAACTACAAACCACTGCTCAAGCAAATAAAAGAGGATACAAACAAATGGAAGAACATTCCATGCTCATGGGTAGGAAGAATCAATATCATGAAAATGGCCATACTGCCCAAGGTAATTTACAGATTCAATGCCATCCCCATCAAGCTACCAATGACTTTCTTCACAGAATTGGAAAAAACTACTTTAAAGTTCATATGGAACCAAAAAAGAGCCCGCATCGCCAAGTCAATCCTAAGCCAAAAGAACAAAGCTGGAGGCATCACACTACCTGACTTCAAACTATACTACAAGGCTACAGTAACCAAAACAGCATGGTACTGGTACCAAAACAGAGATATAGGTCAATGGAACAGAACAGAGCCCTCAGAAATAATGCCGCATATCTACAACTATCTGATCTTTGACAAATCTGAGAAAAACAAGCAATGGGGAAAGGATTCCCTATTTAATAAATGGTGCTGGGAAAACTGGTGAGCCATATGTAGAAAGCTGAAACTGGATCCCTTCCTTACACCTTATACAAAAATCAATTCAAGATGGATTAAAGACTTAAACGTTAGACCTAAAACCATAAAAACCCTAGAAGAAAACCTAGGCATTACCATTCAGGACATAGGCATGGGCAAGGACTTCATGTCTAAAACACCAAAAGCAATGGCAACAAAAGCCAAAATTGACAAATGGGATCTAATTAAACTAAAGAGCTTCTGCACAGCAAAAGAAACTACCATCAGAGTGAACAGGCAACCTACAAAATGGGAGAAAATTTTCACAACCTACTCATCTGACAAAGGGCTAATATCCAGAATCTACAATGAACTCAAACAAATTTACAAGAAAAAAACAAACAACCCCATCAAAAAGTGGGCAAAGGACATGAACAGACACTTCTCAAAAGAAGGCATTTATGCAGCCAAAAAAACACATGAAAAAATGCTCATCATCACTGGTCATCAGAGAAATGCAAATCAAAACCACAATGAGATACCATCTCACACCAGTTAGAATGGCGATCATTAAGAAGTCAGGAAACAACAGGTGCTGGAGAGGATGTGGAGAAATAGGAACACTTTTACACTGTTGGTGGGACTGTAAACTAGTTCAGCCATTGTGGAAGTCAGTGTGGCGATTCCTCAGGGATCTAGAACTAAAAATACCATTTGACCCAGCCATCCCATTACTGGGTATATGCCCAAAAGACTATAAATCATGCTGCTATAAAGACACATGCACACGTATGTTTATTGCGGCATTATTCACAATAGCAAAGACTTGGAACCAACCCAAATGTCCAACAATGATAGACTGGATTAAGAAAATGTGGCACATATACACCATGGAATACTATGCAGCCATAAAAAATGATGAGTTCATGTCCTTTGTAGGCACATGGATGAAACTGGAAATCATCATTCTCAGTAAACTATCGCAAGAACAAAAAACCAAACACCGCATATTCTCACTCATAGGTGGGAATTGAACAATGAGATCACATGGACACAGGAAGGGGAATATCACACTCTGGGGACTGTTGTGGGGTGGGGGGAGGGGGGAGGGATAACATCGGGAGATATACCTAATGCTAGATGACGAGTTAGTGGGTGCAGCGCACCAGCATGGCACAAGTATACATATGTAATTAACCTGCACAATGTGCACATGTACCCTAAAACTTAAAGTATAATAAAAATAAAAAAAATTTAAAAAAAATGACACCAGAAAAAAAAAACATTTAAGATATTTTAAAATTAATTATATGCACAATATTTAAATGCATATTATATATGCATGAATATGTATACAATAAAGCATTATGAAGTTATTTATGAAAATGAGTATTTAAAATTCTGAATAATTTTTTAAAATTAAATTTATAACAAAACAACTTTAAGTATCTAATTGTAAATTGTTTATTGTATAAATTAGTGGCATCTATGGTTAGAGAAACATGGTGATGTTCTTTTTTAAAATAAAATTTGAGCTGAAACTTAAAGATAGTTCATATTTCTCTAAGTGGCAGTGATTCGATATGAGTGTATTATTGTTTCAGTAGCCAGGCAACATTATGGCCTTGAGCTATTCTAATTCTCAAAACATAGTTTAGGGCTTCTCAATTCCCCTGAGACTTTATTATTTCTAATAATCAGCTTTCCAGAGTTATATTACCATTACATAGCTTCATTTATATGTGAGACGTATTTAGCTCTCAAATAGCAAAATTTTACAATGGTTTGTCAGATGCTCCCTAGTGAGTTTAAATAATAATAATTTGAAGAATAATAAGAAAATCAGAATATTTCTTCCAAAATTAGCTTCAATCTCTGTTAAATTAGCCTCCAAGAAAAGAAAACAGCAACAACAACAAAAAAGAGTCATAAATAGTGATGCAAACGTATAGGACTGGGTTTATCTACAATTTCAAATACAGTACATTTCAGTTTAATGGCACCTTGAAAATTTTTAATAGCAATTCAAAATGATTTCCTCAATCAGACATTTTATATTTTTGGTAAATTGTGGAATGTTATTTTCCTCTTCTAAAACCACTCAGAACAATTCTCCTTCATAAATGCAAACTATTATCCATTTTTAATCATTTACAAATTATACAATTGTGTCACTGCAAATTTATTTTTCTAAAGATTGCTCTTCAATTCCAAGTTTCTGTCACATAGAAAATTAATCACATTGATCAAGACCGTAATAATTACTTTGAAAGGCTTTGCCTAAATCTTGCTAAATAATTGCAAAGAGCTGATTCTTCATGTTTTTTTTTAACCAACACATACTAGAGAAAAATGCTTAAAGAGAGATCTTACACATAAACCATATTAAATGGGTAACTATCAGAATTCCAGTAATTCCTTAAGTGGTTTTTTAAGAAAACATCTGAAATCTTAGTGATAAATAAAGCATCTAACAATGAAGGCATTTCCTAAACTATTTCTCAAATAAAAACAACCCCTCAAAAAAGGAAAGAAAAAGACGTGTAAAATTAGAGAGGAAAAAAGCTAAAACTGGAAGGAGGAAAATAAGTGAGCTAAGAATAAAGAGGAAGAGGAAAATAACGGCAGGAATGATGGAAGAAAGGGAAGAAACAGCTATCATGTTTGCAGCTGTTAGTTTTCTTCCATCTTAAGCCATTCCTAGTCAACAACTTTGCTGGACCTTCCTCACCGTCTAACCCTTAAAATATGGAGTCCCATAGGCTTCATTTTGTAATTCCTTTGCTTAAACTACACAGACTGCTCACATGACCTCCACCACTCTCATGGATATAAAAACCACTATATGCTATTTACTTCCAAATTACATCCCCAGTTTATACCAATCCACTTAACAGCCTACTGACTTATCAGTTCCACCTAGATATCTAAAATTAACCTTCTGTGGGACATGGTGGTTCACGCCTGTAATCCCAGAACTTCTAGAGGCCGAGGTGGGCGGATCACCTGAGGTCAGGAGCTTGAGACCAGCCTGGCCAATATGGTGAAACCCCGTCTTTACCAACAATAGAAAAAAATTACAGACATGGTGGCGTGTGCCTGTAGTCCCAGCTACTTGGGAGGCTGAGGCAGAAGAATCGCTTGAACCCGGGAGGTGGAGGTTGCAGTGAGCCCAGCTGGTGCCACTGCACTCCAGCCTGAGCAACAAGAGTGAAACTCTGTCTCAAAAATAATAAAATAAAATAAAATAAAATAAACCTTCTGTTTCCCACCCACAAACCTGCACTTCGGTCTTTCTCATCTCGATATAGAGTATCTGTTCAACAGGAGGAAAACTCTCACACATATTTAGAGGTCTCCTTGGTTATTTTCTTGCTTTTCTGCATCACTTGTAATGCAGCACAACTGATGTTGACTCTGCCTTCAAAATCTATCCAGTAAAAAATGTTTTCTCATTCTCAGCAGAGCCGTCAGAATACCACTTCTAAAATATCTGACAGATATTCTGCTTAAAATCGGTCAGCGGTGTCCATTCATTCTGAATAAATGTCAAAGGCCTTACAGCAGTTCCTTAGGTCCTCCATGTTCTGGCTCCCAACCACCTCCCCTCTTTATCGCATATCATAATCCCCATACTCACAGTACTCTGTTCAAATTTGATTTTAACAGAGGGTTTTCCCCAGATATTGAATGTAAAATAGCACTCTCTCACTACTTTAATGCACCATATTCTGCATCTGGTTTTATCTTTGTCCACAGCACTATCACCACATATCTTATAGTTATTTATATTCTGCCATTGCCTGCTACAACATGAGCTCAAAGCTGAGACTTGCCTATTTTATTCACTATACCTTGATAATTTCTCATGGAAACCATTAAAAATATTCATAATACTCACCTATCTCAACTCTACCAGAAGTCTAAGTCTCCTAAGGTATGCATTATTTTCTTTTATCTCATTCTACATATTTTTTATCATCCCCTTCTCACTCCTCTTCCCTTCCTTCCAAACTTGCTCCACTATGCCCCAGGAAATTCCTGTTTTTGACCAGATCATTCTATCAATCTTCATCTTCTTTCATAGCATTTTTTCTCCCATCTTAATTGATAAGGGAGTTTCTTCTCTTAAGTGTAACCTGATTATTTACCCTCATGCCATGTACATCAAACTTGTAAAGTAGGGTTAGTGTTCCTGCAATTCAGGGTTACCTCCAAACCACTTGTTTCCTCTGCTTGTAAAAGTCCTTCATTAAGTCCATGACATTCAGCTTTGCCATCATCTTTGCATTCGGGGGTAGGGGGTTAACCATAGACTCTCTTATCTTTTTCAACATTATATTATTACTAACCTTTCTATTCTTTGTAAACTTCAACTTACATATGATTAGTTCACCCTGCCCACTTGCCTCTAAGTTCCTTGACTTCTAGATCTCTAATGACCTTTATCTCCTTTTCATCCAATTATATTTTCATATTATATCATAAACCTTATAATTAGCAAAAATTGTATTACCTTCAAAACCTATTTTTACTTGAAAAATCTTCAAATATAACCTATTTCTTATACAAGCATTAACTGTATTAATCACTTGACACCACTGAGATCTTCAATTTCCTTCAAAAATTTACAAATTGCAACTTATCTTTTTCACAATCACATGGAAATTTTTCTTTCCTGGAGGAACTTACCAATCTTTTTCATACATGCAGATATGTAGAAAATTTTGCAGGGGAAATCACACCCTACACAAAATGGTCTCACCATATGCTCATGATCGCCAATTTCCATGGACACTCAGTACCGCTTAGTAACCTTATTTTCTTTCTCTACAGCATCTGCTCTTACTCTCTATGATAACTATTTTTTATATTTCTCACTTATTAGTCTTCTCATGCATCATTTAGCTTCTGACCTTGTCTTATATTTCCTAAGCAATTCATAAGCCTTAACATTTTTTTCTGTTACTTTACACTACCAAATACACAGCTATACCTCTTTTATTATTTGAATAAATTACAATAGCATTGCAAAGACTACGTGGCTCTCTGCTTATCAAACGTAAGTATCTTGTGCTATGGATGCAAAGATTTTAACACTTCTGTTATACATTTTCACTTTTTTTTTCCATGACAGAGATTCGCTCTGTCACCCATGCTGGAGTGCAGTGGCCATTCTCGGCTTACTGCAACCTCTGCCTCCCAGGGTCAAGAGATTCTCTAGCCTCAACCTCCCGAGTGGTTGGGATTACAGGTGCACACCACGACGCCCAGCTAATTTTTGTATTTTTAGTACAGACAGGGCTTCACCATGTTGGCCAGGCTGGTCTTGAACTTCTGACCTCTTGATCCGCCCTCCTGGGGCTACCAAAGTGCTGGGATTACTGCCATGAGCCACCGCACCCAGCCACATTTTCATTTTTAAACTATCAATCCCTCTTATTCTCCAGAATAGACTATTATTAGCTTACAGGCACGCTTTTGCTGGTATATAGACTCTACCTTGACACTTCGGTTGTTCCACATCCCATTTTTCTATAATTGCTTCAAAACAAACATTTCCAAAGAAACTTTTCATTCTGTCACGTTTTTATTCTTAAACTCAATACATGCATTTCTGCCCTTACCACATTCCTACAACTTCTCTTGTGAAAGTTGTTAATGGTCTTCATGGCTCCAATTCTTTTTCTTCAACTTTTATTTTAGCTTCAGGGGTACATGTGCAGGTTTATTACCTGGGTATATTGCATGATGCTGAGGTTTAGGGTATGAGTGATCCCAGGTATTGATCATAGTATCCAACAGTTAGTTTTTCAACTCTTGCCCTCCTCACTTCCTCTCCCATCTAGCAGTCCTCAATTTCTATTGTTGCCATCTTTATGTTCTTGTGTATCTAATATCTAGCACCCACTTATAATTGAGAACATGTGGTATTTGGATTTCTGTTTCTGCATTCATTTGCTTAGGATAATGGCCTCTAGCTGCATCCATGTTGCTGCAAAGAATATCATTTTGTCCTCTTTTATGGCTGCATAGTATTGCATGATGTATGTATACAACATTTCCTTTATCCAGTTCACCAGTGATGGGCATTTAAGTTAATTCCATGTCTTTGCTAGTGTGAATGGTGCTGCAAAGAATATGCAAGTGTATGTGTCTTTGGTAGAATAATTTGTTTCCTTTTGGATATACACCTAGCAATGGGATTGCTGGGCCTAATGGTAGTTTTGAGTTCTTTGAGAAATCTCCAAACTGCTTTCTACAGGGGCTGAACTAATTTACATTCCAACTAAGAATGTGTAAGTATTTTCTTTCCTCTGAAGGCTGGTCAGCATCTGTTATTTTTTGGCTTTTTAATAATAGACGTTCGAACTGGTGTGAGATGGTATCACATCGTGGTTTTGATTTGCATTTCTCTGATGATTAGTGATATGGAACATTTTTTCATATGTTTGTTGGCCACTTGTATGTCTTCTTTTGAAAAGTGTCTGTTAATATACCTGCCCATTTTTTGATGGGTTATTTGTTTTTTATTTGTTAAATTGTTTCAGTTCCTTATAGATTCTGGATATTACATCTTTGTCAGATGTGTAGTTAGAAAATATTTTCTCCTATTCTGTAGGTTGTCTGTTTAATCTGTTGATAGTTTCTTTTACTGTGCAGAATTTCTTCAGTTTAATTAGGTCACATTTGTCAATTTTTGCTTTTGTTATGGCTCCAATGCTTAATGGGCACTTTGGTAACCTGAATTCACACACTCCTTTGTTCTTTGTTCAATGTTGAACACTGCTTTGTTCTTGAAACACTCTTTTATTTTAGTGATTGTGATTCCTTACTATTATGGGATCCCTGGGGTGTTGCTTTACCAGCCAGAAACCTCTGCGGCCAGTGGTTCCTTTGCCCAAGTTTTTACTGGGGCCTCCTGGGCTTGTTCTACCCACTTGGCTTGGCAGGCAGCACTAGACTCACATTACGGGCTAGAATCTCATGCCTTCCAGGGGGCAAGCCAGGTGCAAAGCAGCAGGAATGTGTGAGTGAGCAAGCAGGTGGTCCAGCCACTGCACACAGTCAGGCACGCCACCTGCAGTGGGACAGGCAACCCCAGGTGCTGGCATGGATGCCAGCTCCTTATGAGACTGCAGCTGAACCAGACATATCACAAGCTGCTTCCAAGGTTGGCATGGGGAGTGCTGCGGCACCCGGAAGCTTGAAGACTCCAGGAACCACAGCGCTCCAGAGAGAGGATCACAGCCCTGGCTTGGGTAGCTCCTAGGTCTGTGCTCTCCAAAGGGCCACAGATGTTCTCTCCTTCTCTCTTCTCTCCTTCTTGTTGCCCACAGTGTGGCAAGCAACGGGGAGTTTCAGCCCTGTTTTTGTTAAAGCTCTTTTACCTCCACCATTCAACAGGTCCCTAGTTCTTGCCCTGTGTCCAGGAAGAATGAGGTATGTGGACAAGTTGAGGGTGAGCAAGGTGAAGAGGAGCTTTATTGAGCAACAGAACAGCTCAGAGGAGACCCACAGTGGGTCGCTACTCTCCAGAGGCAAGGTGTCCCAACGAGTGCTCAGCTCTCAGCAGAGAGGAGGCCCTGGAGTGGGGAGCTCTTATCCTCAGCTGGTAATCCCGACATCTGCTAAGGTCTCAGCAGAGAGGAAACCCTGGACTGGGTAGCTCTTCTCCACAGCTGGTGGTCCCAATATCTGCCCAGCTCTTGGCAGATAGAAGACTCTGGAGTGGGTAGCTCCTCTCCACAGCTGGTCATCAGGTCATCTCCCTAAGTCTGGCTGAATCCCGGATTTTTATGGGCTTCAGAGGGGAGAAAGTACATGCTGTTTTGTTCAATGGCTGCCATGGGTAGGCCCAGAAAAGGCACCATGCCTTCCCATTCGCATCCATCAACCCAGCCCCCAGGCATTAGGCCATCCATGGCCTGAAGGTGGGACTTCACCAGGGACTTACCTTTTTCTACCCAGGAGCCTGTCTGCCTCCTGCCATCCCCCAAGCTGTGCCAAGGGGCACCTGCAGGCCTGTGCCAAGCCACCCTCAGTGCCCCCTCAGGCTCCTTCCTGGTCTTATCGGCACCCAAAGTCTAGAGGGGGCTGAGGTGGCAGGAGGCTGGCATGTCAGCACTGTCTCGAGCTTGGGCGCACCTGGCCAGGTTGTGATAGCACCCAAGCTTGGCCTTAACTTTGTTCCAAGATCAGAGCGGGCACTGGGAACAGAAAGAGGCCAGGCAGTGGGAGCAGGCACTTCCAAACCTGTGGCCAAACAGCTACAACTTCACCCAGGATGGTAGAGCTCCTGCCTGCTCCTAGCCTCCAAGAGCACAGGGATGTCCTGGTCCAGAGCCATGGCTGGGCCCCCAGCAGCTGTGCCCAGGGAGCACGAGGCTCACACCCTGCCAACTAGGAAGCAGGTGGGGCTTCTGCCTGTTCCTAGCTCCCTCAGGCTCTGTGGTGCCCACAGTCCCTGCCACACCTCCCCTATTGCAGACGGTGTCATGGCAGCAGCTCCTCCAGATGAGCCACCACTGCCATCATTACTCTCTTACCAGAGATTTGAGATTATTTTCCTAGTCTTGATCTCTAAATTCCAGAGTGTTTGGTATTGAGACTCTTTGCTCCTTTCTCTTAACCTGTCCTGAGTGCATGCAACTGAATAAGGTATTTGAAACACCAATCATATGTAAATGACTCAATTTATTTTCCCAAAGAAGAGACATTCCTTTGAATAATATATTTATATCAAAAATGCCACTTGTGTAAATCACACAAATGGCAAACTTAACATATCCAAGATGTATTCATTATTTCCTACCTCAAATGGGTTTCCCCACCACGGTCTTCAATTTAGCAAACAACATCACCTTACTCAGTTGGTCAAGTTAATTGACCAACAATAATGTTGGTCAATTAAATATTAGTTTAATTTTCAATTCTGCTCTTTCTTTCTCTTTCTCTTGCTCCCCTTCATATCCAATCCACCATGAAGTCCTGGATATTCACTTCAAAAATATATATCAAACTTGTCCATTTGAGACATTACAAAATAAATCAGCTATCATTGGAATTTATTTTATTAAAGGGTAAATTGGTGGAGAATAAATTGAGGTTTTCATTGCATTTGGATGAGTTACTCATCCAAATTACTTTTTCTTAGAAGTAATGCAGAAGAAAGTGAAAAATAATTCTACCCATTTTCTCTATATACCTACTATTTTCTTTCCAAATTTTAATATTCTTTGATATCTTCCCATTTTTTAACAAAAATCTCTTGTAAAGTATACCTTATTGTAAAATAAAATTCATGTATATATAACCATGATTTTTATATTTACATTATTTATTATCTTATTTAAAATACATTCTTCCATTTTTTCTGTCATCCTAAGTAAAATCAGATCCAACCCAAGTCTTTGTTTTGGACCTGCCATAACTTTTCTCCAACTGAATGTTATTTACACCTAAGGAAATCATAATTTAATTATATTTGTTGAAAATTCAAAAGAAATAATAAAAAATAAAAGCAACCAGAGATTAACCAACCAAGCAAATATTGAGTGAAAAATAGCAATGAGGGAAAAAATTTTCAATATCTTCAAAGGATTTCTCAGTAATTATTGAGCTGACCATAATACAGAATGACATATTTAAATTGCTGAAAAAAACCCACTTCAATCTAGATTTTTATAGCCAGTGAAAATTTATTTTAAATGAACACAAATTAAACACACTTTTTAGAAAAGATTTTTTAGAATGAATTAATCTTCAAACATGTTGGCAATAAAAAATACATAACAGTTCCTCTAGAAGAATGAAAGTGATTCCAGAAAAGTGCAAGAAATAGTGAAGAGAAAGTGCTCATATATGTGTAAATATAAACACATAATAATTGAATAAAACTGAAAAAAATAGTGTCATAGAGATTTTAAATATTTCTTGAAGTACAATGCATTTCAAAAGTAATACAAAGGTTAAAATAGAATTAACAAATGTAAAAATGCAGCATTAAATCATAACTGCATATAATCAACTGTAGTACATAGTATACTACTGTCATAATTTCATAGCCACTTCTTGTTGCTATGGTAGTGAATTCAAATGTTACAAGTATGTGATTAAAATGTCATGTGACCTTAATCATCTATACATGACCAATTGTCTATTCAGCAAATTGCATATTGCAGTTAAAAGGTGATCTCTCATATTTCTCTCTCTTTCTTTTCATGGTGTTTAATGCAATACCATAAGCCTTAAATAACACCATGGGACCTCTACCAAATGCCATTAGTGATGCTGGAAGCACTTCCAAGAAGCAGAGAAAAGTCATGACGTCACAAGAAAGATTGAAGTCCGCAGCTGCAGTTGCCCACCATTTTAAGATAAATGAATCCACTATAATGACCATTGTAAAAAAAAAAAAAAGAAAAGAAACATTATGAAGCCATTGCTGCAGCTATGCCAGCAGGCACAAAATCCTTGCACTTTTTGTGAAATACCTTTTTATCTCATATTGAAAATTCAGCTTTTACCTGGGTGCATGATTGCTATAAGAAAGGCATACCTAAAGAATCTAATATGATTCAGGAAAAACAAAGTCATTATATGACCATTTAAAGCAAAAGGAAGGGGAAGGATCTAAAGCTGTAGTATTTAATGCCAGCAACGTGTGGCTTGATAATTTCAGAAAGTTGTTTTTCTTAAAATATGACAAGACAACAGAAGAAGTAGCTTCTGCTGATCAAGAGGCAGCGGGTGAATTCCCAGATGTCATTAAGAAAATCATTGAAGAGAAAGAATATCTGCCTTAACCGATTTTTAAAGTAGATAAACGTGACATATTATGGGGAGGAGATGCCAAAAAGAACACATATTAGTAGGGAAGAGAAGTGAGCAACAGGATTTAAGGCAGGAAATGGTAGGCTAATCGTATTGTGTTATGCAAACTCAATCGAGTTTATAATCAAGACTGCCCTTATCAAAGGCTGCTAATCCTGATTCTTGAAATGATAAACACTAGCAGCCAATTTTTTGGTTGTTCAACAAGAAAGTCTGGTCAATGAAAATTTTTTTCTGTATTGCTTCCATTGATGCTTTGTCTCTGAAGTCAGGAAGTACCTTGCCAGCAAGGGACTGCTTTTTAAAGTTATTTTGATATTGCATCATTCCCTTGGTCATCCGGAACCCCATGAGTTTAACACTGAAGGCACGGAAGTAGTCTACTTGCCCCAGATACAACATCTATAACTCGGTCTCTAGATCAAGGGATCATAAGGACCCTTAGGGCTCATTACACAAGGTTCTCCATGGAAAGAATTATCAATGTTCTAGAAGAGAATTCCAACAAAGAGAACATCATGAAAGTCTGAAAGAATTGTGTCATTGAAATGCTATCATTATAGAAAAAGCCATGAAATCATCAAAACTAAAACAATAAATTCCTTCTGGGGAAAGCTATATCTAGATGTTGTGCATGACTTCATAAGATTTATAACACAGTCTATCAAGAAAATTATGAAAAAAGATTGTGGATACAGCACAAAAAATGAAAGGTTAAAGCTTTGAAGATAGAGATCTTGGAAAAATTCAAGAGCTTACAGACACTAACCAGAGGAATTAAGAGAAGATGACTTGATGAAGATAAGCACTTTCAAACTTGTGCCAGATGATGAGGAAGGGAATGCCAGAAAACAACGTGACATCATACAATCTGGCAGCATGATTCTAATTTTTCAAGACTGCTTTTGACTTCTTTTGTGACCTGGACCTTTCTATGATATGGACACTGACACTGAAGTTAAATATTGAAGGAAATATCGGTACTGTAAAGAAACATGTTTGGAACAACAAAAAAGCAAAAGTGTCAGACAGAAATTAACATGCATTTCTATAAAGTTACAACATGTGTACCTGCATTTCCTGCTCCTCTTCTACCTTCTCCATCTCTTCTCCCTCCGCCCACCCTGAGACAGCAAAACCAGCCCCTGCTGTTCTTCTTCCTCCTCAGCCTACTTAATGTGAAGGCAACAAGGATGAATACCTTTATGATATTCACTTCCATTTAAAAATATTAAATATATTTTAATACTAAATATATTTTTGCTTCCTTATTATTTTCTTTATAATATTTTTTCTCTAGTTTATGGTTTGTTTTAAAAAATACAACATATAATACATATTACTTACAATATATATTCAATTATGTCATTCATAAGGCTTCTAGTCATTGGTAGGCTATTAGTAGTTAAGTCTTGGGGGAGTCAAAAGTTATATATGGATTTTCTACTGTATGGATTGCCAGGACTCTTAACCTCTATGTTGTTCAAACGTCAAGTGTATTTTAATGTTAGCTAAAAAAATAAATCTCTAAAGCAATAAAAATTAATTGAGATGAAGAGAAACCTTTCATAAGAATAAGACAGCTACAATTTAGGATGATATCACAATCTTAACCTTGTATGTGTACAATACCATAGTTCACGATATGTAAAGAAAAATTAACAGAACTAAAAGAAGAAATGGACAAATCCACAGTCACAAAAGAAGGCTTTAACCCATCTCATCCAATAGCTGATAGAATAAACCAACTAAAAACCAATTAGGCTATTGATTAAATAAGATCTAACCTGCACGAATAAAAAAAAACTTGACCCAGCCAAGATCTATCTGCTATACGTGTGTGTGTGTGTGTGTGTGTGTGTGTGTGTGTGCATACAAACATGTAGGAATATACTGGCAGTAGGGAAGTTTGTTAATATAATTACGCTAGGTATACCCTTTCAAATCCATCTATCTATCTAGAGAAGTCTTCCTAAAGCAAGACTGAGCCTAAGGAGCATCTTAGTAATTAATGTGCATCCCTATTGTAGCTGTTGTGCTTGTTGAATCAATGTTAAACTTTCAAAAATCATGTTGTGATATATTGAGATCTGTGTGTGTGTGTGTGTGTGTGTGTGTGTAGGCACTTTATTCAAACACATAACCAAAGTACTTTTATTTGCTTATTAAAAGCAACACACTCTTTATGATTTCACACAGTGAGGCACATTTCTCTTATTTTATAAATAGGAGGCTATTCTTTTTCACCGCTTGTACATGAAACAATCCCCAAATTGTATGAAATAAAATAATTTATATGATTTCCTCGGGCTATGGTAATAAATTACTATGAACTACGTGAGTTAAAACAAAGAAATTCATTTTCTGACAGTTCTGGAAGTCAGAATTCTAAAATAAAGCTATCAGTAGGACCATGTTCTCTCTCCAACCTTCAGAATAGAGTCTGCCTGGTGCTCCCGCCCTTCCTTGGTTTGTGGCAGCAGAACTCCAATCTCTGTCCCTCTCTTCACATAATCTTCTTCCCTGTTCTCTGTGCACAAATCTCCCTCTCCTTTCTCTTATAATGATACCAGTCATTTGATTTCAGGCTGAGGATTATTTCATCCAGGATGAATCAAGGATGACTTCATCTTGACATCCTTAATTAGTTCCATTAGTAAAGACCATATTTTCAAATCAGGTCAAATTCTGAGCTTCTAGGTAGACATGAATTTGGGGAAGGCACTATATTCAACCCACTATATATAAATTTTCTTTTTCCTTTCTCTCACTTTTTTGTTTTTTCTTATGGTATAACTATTATCCAGATTATGTTTATCACCTCACTGTCTTTTATGCAATTTTTTCAAAGTTAAGCTACAATTTTTTTTCTAAACAGCCAAAGAAATTGTCTTTTACGTATCACAAGGAAATAAAACGGTAGGCTCTAATTAGAGTGCTCTAGCTTCTCAGCTCATCTGTGGATATGTTTTCCTTGGAAAGAGAATTATCATTTGTAAGTGCTATGATAGAGCAGTTAAAAATAGGTATTAGAATGAAGTAGACCAATGTTCAAATCCTGGTTTTATGAAGTGCATGAAGCTATAAGCTTTCATGTTCTCATCTTTAAAGTGGAAAGCTATATCATAGAGTTGTGTAAAAATTATAAAAGATGATGGAAATAAACCTTTTTACATAATAGAAAAGACATAAGTAATCCATAAATTATAGTCTACTGCCACATAACTCACCCAATGAACAGCATAGTTAGTCACATACTATGTAATTCCAATAGTATGGTTTGCTTTCTGAGCTAAAGCAGGCAGAACAAGCCAGAGATGGAGCAATGTATAATTCCCATAATCAGATAGAGATATTCTACGGTGATGACTCACTTTGACATGGCAGAAATAGCCTGGATAAGCTTGTTCATCATTGCCAGAAAAATATCCAAACTAAATCATTAACTCAACCCCTCTTTGTTTCTGGGCTATGTTTTATTTATTCTTGAGGTTATTGAATTTATCA
Source organism: Homo sapiens (assembly GCF_000001405.40). Lineage (NCBI taxonomy): Eukaryota > Metazoa > Chordata > Mammalia > Primates > Hominidae > Homo > Homo sapiens. The sequence goes on along the minus strand of NC_000004.12, from coordinate 170,769,889 downwards.
TGGCAAATAATATTACCAGTTTTATAACATCTTATTTGTGAACAAAAACTTCAGGTATCAAAATATGCAATAAGAGGCAGTAATATGTATTGCTCCAGAACAATTACAAATTGAATCATACTTTAAATATCTAAGCTTCTGTTGCAACCTGATCAATTTTTTGTTTAATAAACCCCAGAATTTAAACAGGATCAAAACAGTTTACCCTATGTTATCTGCAACCTAAGGAAAAAATAATGTTGTAATTTTCCTTACTTTTAGAATTTAAAACTTATCAATTAAATATACATATTTGTCCAGGCTAGGTTTTATAATATTAAAAATTAGTCTCAGTCTCTCAGCTGAAGAAAATTTCTTTGCACTTGTAAAACACTGTAAACTGCCTAGATGCATACGTTCAGCTTAGCAACTCAGGAGCTTTAGACATTAAAACCAGTTTGGCATCCATAGAATAAAATACTCTTAAGCTCCATATACTACACAAACAACATACGTCCTGCATTCAAATCACCAGTATTATTATAGACAAGCATCCTTCCTGTTTTCCTAACATGACGTACAGCTAAAAAATCTGTTCAGATTTCTCGCTATGAAAATGTCATTCTCCAGCACATCATTCTGCCCTTTTCACTCTATAACAGGTTTTGTGCTTTTAATTGCTTCTAAGAAATTTCTACAAGATGTGTTTTACAGTAGAAATATAATTATTTTAAAATTTCTTCCCAGCATTATAAAACAAATAAAATTTCACTCTAAGAAAAATATTAACTAAGAATTAAGTAGACCTAAAACATTTTATAATGTTTAATACTATTTGATTTTATCTTTATTCCATTAAATAATATCTATTGATTCAAATTCTTATCATGGTAATAGTTGAAAATGTATTTGACTCACTCCTATATATATTTTTAATAAACTGACTTGTATTCTTAATTTGTGTCGGTCTTATCTCCTTTTTCTAATTGTAAATAATGCATTCTGTGTCCAATGGATGTAACAAATGTTTCTTAAATACGTAAACAGATTTATTCTAATGTTACTGAAAATATTTTATAGTGTTCTCAACATAGCAACAATTCTGTCTTTGTAGAAAAGCTTTTATAAAACGAGATGAAAACATTACAAACGCAAAACGACTGAAAATACTACAAACGCATGTATCTTTTTATTGACATTTAATGGTTTTAATGCCAAAATAAAAGCTTGGTAATCCTGATGAAACTGTTAGAAGGAAAATAAAGGTTGTATCTTACAAAGAAAGGCAGACTTGCTTCTTTAGCTTATATAGATATCATCATTGTTATAATTAGGTTATAGTTTGTAGAATAAATATAAAATAAACACAAGTGATATCTTCTCAAGCAATAGCTAGATTAAATCCTAAATTAGGTATTTACCTGAAGGGAAAGAGACAGAATTTTGAAATGAGATTTCAAGGTACACTTAAAGACAGATTTTTTTTAATGCATGGTGTTTTGTTTCAATATTATAAAAGAAATAGGATGTTAAATATTTAGTCTATAGAAACAAATTGCCTGTTTCTGAAACTTAGATCTGACACTTTCTATGTTGACATGTAATCCACAATGTTGAAGGTGAGGGTTGTTAGGAGGTATTAGGGTCATGGGAGCAGATTCCTCATATGGTGCCTTGGAGCCCTCCTAGCAGTAATGAGTAAATTCTTGCTGTGAGTTCACGCAAGATCCGGTTGTTTAAAAGAATGTGGCCCTTACCCCAACTCTCTCTTGCTGCTTCTATCACCATGTGACATGCCTTCTCCCTCTTTGTCTTCTGCCATGATTGTAAGATTCCTGAAACCTCACGAGAAGCTGAGCAGGTGTTGGCAACATACTTCTTGTACCATCTGAAGAACTGTGGGCCAAATATAACTCTTTTATTATAAATTACCCAGCCTAAGGTATTTTTTATAGCAAGCAAAATGTACTAACAGAATTTCTATATCTCACTTTTCATCTTGAAAATCTAGATAATACTAACTTGCACACAGAGTTGTTTGAATATTAAATGAATTAAAGCACATAAAAAGTATAGAAAATTTTCCTATTATTAAGAATTATAATTCTTATTAATATAATAAGAGGAAACATAGCCTTCCAAATGTTTTGTCGGTCAAAAAATGTTATTTTTAAATATACTTAGTATACACAATGGATATTTTCTAGCTTTAGGCACAGGATATTAACTAAACTAAATTTATATCAGATAGGAAAGTCTACATTAGAACTTCAGGTAAATGTTATGAAATAGAGACAGAACAAGTTTTTTTGTGGTAAATTAAAGATGGCTTAAACTTTTTAGTACTCCTCCCAAGAGTACTACCTACCAAGAGGAGTACCTTAGAGCCTAGGCTGACATTCATGACTTACTTAAAAGAAGGAATGTGACTGTAGGGTCTTTTGGGGGTTTCTGAGGCTAGGCATGAAAAGATTAGCAGCTTCTTGGAATTCTCATGGTAAGATGTGGAAAAAAATAGAGGTTCACATGAAGAGGAACCAAAGCCCTTGGCTGATGATTCAGTTGGTATCCCTGGCGAAAGCCTCAGTACAAAGTCAGAATCAATGTGCCAGACACTTGAGTGAGCCTTGAAAGTGGATCCTCCAGGCACTGAGACTCCTTAGTTGACATCATGGGAAACAAAAGTGAGCCACTTGGCTAAGCACCTCCTAAATTCCTCATCCACAAACAGTGAGCAAATTAAAACTATTGCTTTAATCTGCTAGGTTTTGTTGCATAGTTTGTTATGCAACTATAGCTGAGTAAAATGTGTCCAATTTTTTTTTAGGTGGTTAGATTATTTTCCTCTGTCATTGCAAAAAACTAATGGCCTGGTGCTTCACAGATAACAAAAACATTGCCCATAAGAAGTTCACTTCTCACCCCGGTCGCAGAAAATAGTGAGGAGAAAGCCCATCGATATAATGAAGGTGGACAGCCTTCAGCTTGCACAAACCCCTTAATTTACATTAAATATTTCAAAAGTCATAGAAATTCTATGTGAAAAAGTTTTCAATCAGAATGATCCCTTGTGTATAAGAAAACTCATCTTGAATACAAAAAATAAATAAGAAACACATTTTGGCATATTATAATTATGCAGAGATGATCAGACTTTTTGACCTTATAACACGTACCTACAAAAATAAAGGTTATGGGAAATTTTCCTGGCTAACAGCATTGAGATCAAATTCTGATAACAAATCATTAAATAGTCAAGTTGTCTTGAGAAATGCCCTATAGAAAATCCTATTCTAAAAAGATGAGTAAATGAGATTGCAGATGTAGGAGTATTACTGCTGCAAGGACTAGAACCAGAGATGGAAGATAACATATTGTTGCATCAATGTGTTGGCATTGACTATATAATACTGTACAGCATCCTCCACTTATATCAATATCTTGCCTTCTTTTCCTCCCCAATACCCATCACCACCTAACTAAAGCCATGAAGGCAGGGATTTTTCTTTTTTCCTTTATATGAAAAGCTACAACAGTGCATAGCACAGAGGAAGCTCTTCAGACATGTTAGTTTAATAAACAAAAGATAAATAAACGAGTATATGCATGTATACATACAGATAACCACATAAATCTGTTATAAACACAAAGTGAACAATATGGCAAATTAATTTCAATAGAGATCAAATCTAACATCAAATTATAATCAGTCATCATTTTATAGTCAAATTCCTTGCATTGCTATTTAATAACACATAATGAAAATTTCTCTAGGTTACCTAATATATATTTATCTTAATTTTTCACTTGTGTTTGTTTTGGCTTCAAGACATGTCATGACAGAGGAGAAACACAATTCTTTAAAAAAATTATTGATAGTCACACAGCTTATTTAAAGTCATTTTCTGTCATCATAAAAAGTATTATAATAAACAACTGTGTATGTATATTGTTACTTACTGGTGCTCTCTTTTTTTAACAGAATAGAGTCAAAACATTTGGATTCCTTATTGCCCAGTAGGTTTTACTCTAATTTTGGTCAATAATGAAGGACTGATTATGGCAAATGCTGTGACAAGTCATAATTCTACCAGAAATATAAGAGGACACTTCCTCATATTCTCAAAAGAATTAAGAACTAAAACTTTTAAAAAAAATATTGACCAGCACAAGAATTAAAAGCAGAGCCATATATTCAGTTTCACTGATCTAATTGATGGCTATGACAATCCAATATTTTATTGCAATATATTTATAATACAGTTTCATGCCCTGTAATCAAGTCCTTTATCCATTCTTTCTTTATCCATTCTTATCTAATATCTTATAGCTGTGCACAAATATTAGACTTCCATGTGTAACTTTATGGCATTTATCTAATTCAGTAACTCGAGTTATACTTAGAACTACATTCTAATTTATATGTTGAATTTGTGAGATCTGACAAGAAATTAAATCATTCATACCTTATGCTTGATTTTTCACAAAAACAATATATAAATAAGTCTGTAATCCCAGCACTTTGGGAGGCCGAGGCGGGTGGACCACAAGGTCACGAGTTCAAGGCCAGCCTGGCCAAGATGGAAACCCTGTCTTTACTAAAAGTACAAAAATTAGCCAGGCACGGCGGCAGGCGCCTGTAATTCCAGCTACTCGGAGGCAGGAGAATCACATGAACTTGGAGGGCAAAGGTTGCAGTGAGCCGAGATCGTGCCACTGCACTCCAACCTGGGCGACAGAGTGAGACTCCATCTCAATAAAACAAACAAACAAAATGTATAAATAAGTAAATTTAAAAATTGCAGTTACAAGCTTTATTTTAATATTTGCTGCTGGATGTTGTATTTTAATCATTTATTTATATTTCTTTTATATTTAGAGATGTTTTGGCTTTAATTTTGCTGGTTTTTTTGTTGTTCAGATGAATTTTTCCAAACGTAATTTCCAAGTTTTTTAATATACTGGTTTTCTTTTTGGCTTAACTTGTTGACTTAAGAATTGTATCAAGCCTGTAATCTCAGCACTTTGAGTGGCTGAAGCAGGGGGATAGCTTGAGCCCAGGAGTTTGGGCCAGCCTGGTCAACATAGTGACAGCCAGTTTCTACGAAAAATAAAAAAAATTCCAGGCTATGTGGCATGCACGTGTAGTCCCAACTACCTGAGAGGCTGAGGTGGGAGGATTGCTTAAGCCCAGGAGTCCAGGGCTGCAGTGAGCCATGAATGCACTACTGCACTCCAGCACTCCAGCCTGGGTAACAGAGCAAGACCCTGTCTCAGAAAAAGAAAAAAAAAATTGTATCAATAAAATACGTGGAATATGTGAATAGAGTTCTTTACCTGATTTATCTTTAACTTCCTAAAAATAAGTTTTAATCATTATATATGTAACACTTTATAACCAGTAAATTCTATATGATAATAATTTATTTCAAGTTTTACATCTATAGAAATATGTTAAATTTACCTCCAATTTTATTTTATTTCTTATATTTGTATTAGTTCTAATAATTAAGGTTCTATAGCCTAGAATGTGTTAAACCATATTGAAGTTATCTGTTTCTTAAACATTAGATTGCAGCCAATTGCAAAATCATCTTGTCCTGATGTCTATGTTAAAATTTTCACAATGGCTGATTTTAATGAGAGTAAAAACGATGTCTGCCTTGCTTCTTCTGTATCCTTAGAGCTAGGAAGAGTATATAAAACAGGCATTCAATAAATATTTGTTGAATAAAGGAAGCAATTCTTTATATGCTTATATACTTTATCTCACTTATTATTTATAACAATTTCCTAAATAATGATTATTTCAGATAGGAAAGATAAAGTTTAAAGAGGTTAAGACATTCACCTTAGCTCATGAGATTCTTCAAATGGTGGAGCTATGATTTCAAACCAAGAATATCTGACTCCAAACCCAATTATTTTAAACTCGTCACTTTTTTTTCTAACTTTTTTCCACATTCATTCATATACTTTTAGCAAGTTCCCTATGCTTCTGAAGGTAGTATTTTTCTGAAGTTTCATGTTTGTTCACAATACATTCTCCCAGTCCAATCCACTGGATCATATTTCCTACTCATTCAATAAATCTTTTAAACAGTCTAAGTTGATTAATAAATATGAAAGGCTGAAGATAATTAGATGAGACTGAGCTAAAGGAATTATACATTGAATACAGAGAAAACTTTTCTGTAAATCTTAGTTATTACTCTGGGGGAAGATTTTTAAAAAATTAGATGCATAAAGAATACTAGTAAAAACCATAATATAAATGAAAATTTAAAAAAATAGGTATGTAGCATGTATTTTAGCTTCTTTCTTAGATGGATAAATTATATTTAACCATCTGTTCACATCAAAAAGTTTCTAAGTTTGTCAGCGATATAATACAATAAAACACTCAACATTTTATGTAAAACAGCACTATTTTGAGGACTTGAAAGAAAATCACACCATTATATTTAATTTAATTTGAAAAGTTCTAGTGTTTTTTTTAAAAAAAATATAAACTTATGTATATGCAAATAGAAACCCTAGGTATAATTCCATAAGTGCTGAGAAGAAAATATGCCACATTTTGACTTGAGTTGAAAATAAATTACTATGACCTTTAAAAATATTACAATAAAGTACAAATACATTTAAAAAATGTAAGGAAGATTTTAAACCTGTACCTGTGAGTACTTTATAATAAAAGCAAAATAATGTTTATACTATTTACAAAGAAAACAATACTTGTAATATTTACAGTAGTTTTAGATATCCATATATTAAAAGTTTTATGTGGACATTTAATAATCAGAATAAAAGTTGATATGCTATTCAAGTATAATATAACAAATATATAACTGAGCAATCTAGTTTTATTTCAGGGCTAACAGAAAAACTTTTTAATGGATTTTTTTATTTGCTGTTCTTGTAAGAATAATCACACCATGTTTTTCTATAATTTTCTAATTGCTTGTAAATTACAAATGAAAATTAAATTCATGCAATTTTTAGTTATGTGTTATTAGTAGTTGTTTAATAGCGCTACAATTTTGGGAAACTTAACTTTATTGGTTGCAAAGAATGTTCAAAGAGGCATAGAATCATATACATATTTTGAAATAAGTTTCAAATTTGATATTTGAGTTGTTTTTACATTTTGTTTATATATTCTAATATAAATACAATATATAATAAAATAATGAAGAGTTTTAAATTTTTACTAAAAAAATCACAACGAGTTGTCACTTTACCAAAATAATGACAGATAATTGAAGATGTTAAATTAATGCCTGGGAAAAAATTTATAATCTGAGGTTATTACAGAAGTGACATTCAACATCTTGTATCATACTTTCCAACAATTATTCTTTTTAAAAATGTAACCATTAAATCATGTATTTATATCAACATTGACCAGCACATATTTGTTTTATTTTATGAGTTATAATTCACTAAAATTATAACTCATATCAAAGTAGACTTGTGGAGTATTTTATTCACGAAGTTTTACTTCTATTCTACAATTATTTATTTGAATGTTAATTTTTACATATTTAGCCAGCAGTATTTCTGTTAAGATGACTGAACTGTACTTTGTCAAATACAAATTATTCTTTGGTACTTACTCAGCTTTTGGTAAAAAAAAGACATTACAAGTTTATCTTGTATATTGCTTGTCCCAGCCCTGAAACCAAACAATCCTCTTAAGAAGCCTTAGTTTTCTAGATACCAGTATTTGAGTATTAGGGGTGCTCACTGCTACTATTACACTATTTCTCTCTTCGTTGACATGGCTAAAACATATGTATATTTATATTCACATCTACACATGCATCTTCTTCTATTTCCACATCTACCTGCATATGTATATATGTGTTTGTGTGTGCATATTAAACCATGAGTACGTATTTATACTTCCAATTCCAACCCAGCATTAAAGAATTTCTTCTAGTCATTTTGCTACCTTTTTTATAACTCCTTTTGCAAAATTAAAAACTGGTTTTCATTATCCACAGGATATTTGCTCTTTTTTTCAAACCTAGAATGAACATAGCCTTGAAAATGAGCCCAATTTAATTGGGTAAGATTATGGAGGAATTTATTCCGAGACACTATCAAAAACAATAGAGCACTGAGCTAATAATAAGCAAGGGCTACCAACTGAGTGTGACACTGACAGCCATGGACAGCTTAACAGAAAATCAGGAAAAGACAATCAAAAAATACACTATCATCCAAGCTGGTCATGTTCAAGGTTGCATTCTCCGAAGAGCAACATCGTAAGTTATACACTGCAAAAGAAATAAACTTTACCTCAATAGTCTAGCCAAATCAGGGAACAAATAAGCAAGAAATTACCTAACAGAGAGGGGGAATTAGTATCCAGAGTTTCTACAATATATTATCTAAAATATCAACAAGTTGACAAGATAGATAAAGAAATAGGAATATAACACTGCTACACAGAAGTAAAAAGCAAGCAACAGAAGATATTACACATAGCAAAGAATTCAAAGTTATTATAAATATATATATTCAAAGAAGTAAATTAAACTATTTTTAAATAAGTAAAAAATAGTATGATTATATCATCTAATAGTGAATATTGATAAAGACAAGTTATTATTAGTAGTAGTAGTAGTAGTACTTTTTAAGATGGGTTTTGGTTTTTCAGTTAGCCTGGAGTGCAGTGGCACTATTTTGGCTTACTGAAGCTCCAACCTCCCAGGCTTAAGTGATCCTCCTGCCTCAACCTCCCAAATAGCCGGGAATACAGGTGCATGCCACCACACTCAGCTTTTTTTTTTTTTTTTTTTTTTTTTTTTTTTGAGAGAGAGATGTTGCCATGGCTGGTCTCAAACAGCTGGGCTCAAATGATCCTCTTGCCTCAGCCTCTCACAATGCTGGGATTACAGGCATGAACCGCTGCACCAGGCCAGGAATTATTTCTTTAAAAATAAAAATAATAAATAGAAAGCTAATATATCAAACTAAATGAATATATGTTTACTTTTTTATTGCAGTTTCTATAAAAGATACAAAAGTATATAAAGTAGTCATTATGCAAATGTGTTATTAGTTTTGTGATATACAGTATATAGATGTAATATGTGTAATAATTATAGCACAATAAAGGTGAGGAACGAATAGATACAGTAGAACTAAGTTTGCATATCTCACTGAAATTGTCTGAAATAAATCTGAATTAGAATTAGAAGGTAAAATGTCTAAGTGCTAAGAAGACACTAAAGATGCAAAAATATTGTGAAAAAACAATACATTTAAATGCTACAGTAGAAAATAATTAGTGCAAAAGAAAGAAATAAAGAAGGAAAATAGAGGAACAAAAAAGAGATGGGGAATACAAAAAACAAAGTAAAATGGTGGATGTAAATACAACTATATCAATTATGTTGAATATTAATGGATTAAATAATCCAATCAAAAGATAACATTTTCTGACTGGATTGGAAAATAAAAATTCAACTGTCTTCAGGAGAAGCACAAAGAGGTTAAATTGAAAATTTAAATTTTGATTTAAATTTAATTTAAAAATTGAAAAAGCACAAAGAGGTTAAAAGTAATGAATGAAAAAAGATGTATTGTTCAAATAGCATCCATAAGAAAGCTGAAGCTGCTATGGTAATATTGTAATGCTAAAAGGTTTGATCCACCAAGAAGATATACCAACTTTATAACAAGTTAACAACAAGGTACCACAACACACAAAGCAAAAATTGAGGGAGAAATAGAAAGGTCAACAATAATAGTTGGACACATCGATACCACACTTTCAATAACAACAATAAAACGACAAAGAAATAGCAGACTTAGCAACACTATAAACAACTAGACACTCATAAAAGATTCTACTCAGCAACAGGAGAGCACACCCAGAATATTCTCCAGCATAGATAATATCTTGAACAGTGAAACAAGCCTCAATACATTTTTAAAATAAATGAAATCATATAAAGAATGATCTCTGACCAAATGAAATAAAATTAGAAAACAATAATGGAAAGAAAATTGGGAAATATAAATTTTGTGTAACTTAATATTCTCAAATAACCAATGAGTCAAAGGAGAAATCAGAGGGGAAGACAAATACTTTGAGATAAACCCACGTAAAAACATTATACAACAAAATATAAAAGATGTACCTAAAGTAGGATATGCAGGAAAATGTATAGCTTCAAATACTTGTGTTAAATATAATAAAAGTCTCTAATAAACAGCCTGACCTTCCGCTTAAAATACTGGAAGAACAGGTGTAGACTAAACCTAAAACAGAGGCAAAGGCAGAGGCAGGGCAAAAATAAAACCTAATGGTGGGCAATTATGAAATAAAAAACAGTAAACCAGTAGAGGAAATCAATGAAGCAAGAAGCTGATTTTTTGAAAATAGTAACAAAATTGTAAAAACTTTTAGCTAAACTAACCAAGAAGAAAAAGAGAAGACTCAATTACTGAAATCAGAATGAGATATCAGACATAACTATTAACAGAAAGAAAAAGAATTAAAAAATACTGTAAACAACTGATGTAATGGACAAATTCTTACAAAGACACAAACAGCCAAATCTGTCTTAAATAGGAATACAAAATCTGAATAGTTCTATAATAAACTGACTTAGTAATATCAAAACTTCTCACACAAAAAAAGTCCAAGCAAGATGGCTTCACTGGTAAATTGTACCAAATGTACCACAAAGAACTAATATCGGTTCTTCATATACTTGTCTAAAATTAGAAGAGGAAGTAGCGCTCCCAACACATTACATGAGGCCACTATTACCATGCCACCAAAACCAAAGACATCAACAAGGAAAGAAAATTACAGAACAATACCTCTTTTTAATGTCGACTCAAAAAGTTCCCGAAATTACTAGCAAATAAAATCCAGCAACATATATGAAGGATTACAGACCATCACCAGGTGGATTATTGAGTATACATCTTTGCTTTAATATGACAAAATCAATTAATTTTAAACACTATTACTAGAATAAGGAGAGAGTATGTGATTGTTGCGATAGATCCAAAAAATGAAAAAAAAACATTTAAAATAAATTCATTTGGATGACTATAAACACTCAATATAGTAGAAATTGAGGGAACTTTCTCAACTTGATAATTGATGTGAATAAAAAAATCCCAAAATAGCACTATATTTAGTGGTGAAAAAAATGCATGTTTCTACTCCTACCTCAATTTCAGGAACAAGATGAGAATGCACACTCTTGCTACTTCTATTCAACATTGTAATTTTGTTTGTACTAGAAAAATTAGACAAGAAAAAGAAATTTAAAACGTTCATACTGGAAAGAAAAAAGTAAAACTATCTCTATGTTCAGATAACATGAACTTACACATAAAATAACTAAAGAAATCCAGATTTAAAAAATACTAGAGACAGTAAACAATTTCAACAAGGTTTCAGAGTATAAGATTAATAAAGAAAAATAAACTAGCATTGAAAAATATAAAAGAGAAATTAAGAATATTTTACAGGTACAATAGCATTCAGAAAAGAAAGACATAAATTTAAGCAAATAAATGTAAAACATAATCTGAAAACTAAACAACACTGTTGAAAGAAATTATAAATAATATAAATACATGGAAAGACATGCTAAGTCCTTGGATCAGAAAACCTTAACATTATTGAGCTATCAATACTCCTAAAATTGATTTGTAGATTTAACACAATTCCTATCAAAATTACATATTTTTATTTTTATTTTTGCAGAACTAGAAAAGCTGATTCTAAAATTCATGTGGAAATATAAGGGATCCATAATAGCTAAAACAATCTTAATAAGGAACCAATATGAATGTATAACACTTCTTAATTTCCAAATATACTACAAAGCTGGATGGATATAGAGATCAATGAAATGGAATTGAGAGTCCAGAAATAAACCTATATATTTATAGCCCATTGATTTTTGACCAAGTTCCAAGGCAATTTAAGGTTTAGAGAATAGTCATTTCAAGAAAGGGAGCTTGAACAATTTCATATCCACTTGCAAAAGAAGAAAATTAGACTGCTTCCTTGCACCATACACAAAAATTAATTCCAAATATATTAAAGATCTGAATGTAAGATTCTAAACTATAATTCTCTTAGAAGAAAACATAGATGTAAATACTTATGACCTTGAAATAAGTAATAATTTCTTGGATATGGCATCCAAAGCATAAGTGAAAAACATAAATCAATAAATTGGACTTAGTCACAATTCAAAACTTCCATGCTGCATAGGACATCATCCAGAGTGTGAAAAGGCAATCCACTGAAAGGGAGAAAATATTTGGAAATCATATGTCTGATGAGGAACCTTTATCCACAATATATAAAGAATATAGAAAATTCAATAATAAAAGGCAAATAACTCATTTAAAAACGGAAATGCAGATCAAAACCATATTAAGATATCATTTCACTCCAATTAAATTGGCTACTAACAAAAATATAAATAATAACAAATGCTGGTGAGGATGTGGAGGAAAGGGAACTCATGCTCTGTTGGTGGGAATGTAAACTAGTACAACTGCTATACAGAACTACCATATAATCTGGCAATTCCGCTGTTGGGTGTATACCCAAAAGGTTTTTTGTTTTCCAAGATGGTGAATTAGGGGCTCTTAGTGTGCTTCAGCTACTTGGAAACAGCAGGATTGTGCATAAAGATTAACTATTTGAGCTTTAATTCAAGAAGAAAAATGGGTATCCCCCCGAATTGTGAAGGACACCTCAAATCCCAGGGAGAAGACCACCAGCAAACAGGCCTCATGATGGTATCCAGCTGACTTTGAGTGAAGTACCAGTATGTGACAGAGGCAGACAGCCTCCCTCTGTGACTCACTTGTCCATTGGGGATCTGAGCAACCCAGGCTGAGAGAGAGCACTTTGTTTTTCCCAACCCCTAAAGCTAACTTGGGGAGACACTTGCAGACCCAGGACAGACAGAAGGATACCATTTTTAATCTTGGCACATACAAAGTCAGTCATTATTTGGTGACATTGTCCACAGCCACCTCTTACCTATAAGAGTCATCTACTGGCTTGTAGGTTGAACTGCACATCCCAATATAAAACCTGCCCAAAGAAATTCACAGGGCTATAGAAGCAAAGCCAGAAGACCATACACAGCATTCTGTACAGTCGTATGCACCACCTAAATAAGGAGGGAAGGGGAAAGAAAAAACAATAATATTATAAGAAAATTAAGAAAAAGAAAAATTCCCATCCACACAAACACAATAACAAAAATTAGAAGTGCCAGCATCTGTAGAGGAGAAGAAACCTGAACAAAAATTCTAGCACCATGAAAAATCTGAATATAGTGACCACCAAAAGATCATACCAGCTCTCAGCAATGGTCCCCAAACACAATGGAAACTCAGAAATGACAGATAAAGAATTCAACGCATGAACTGCAAGGAAGCTAATGAGATCAAGACAAGCTTAAAAATCAAAATGAAGAGACTTCTAAAGCAATCCAGGAAATGAAGAAAGAGATAAACATCTTAAAAAGAAATCAGTCATAGATTCTGAACTGAAAAACTCACTTAAGGAATTTCAAAATATAGTTGAAAGCTTTATTAATAGACTGAATCAAGCTGAATAAATAATTTCAGATCTTGAAAACTGGTCTTTCAGATGAACCCAGACAGACAAAAATAAAGAAAAAAAATGTTTTTAATGAATGAAGCTTTTCAGAAATAAGGGATTACGTTAAGTGACAAATTCTATGAATTATTGGCATTCCTGGAGAGACAGAGAAAAAGCAAGCCACCTGAAAAACATATTTGAAGGAATATCTTGCTAGAGAGATAGGCATCCAGATACAGGAAGTACAGAGAACACCTGAGAGATACGATACAAAACAGACATCACCAAGGAAAATAATCACCAGACTGGCCAAGGTCAACACTTAAGAAAAAACCTTAAAACAGATAGAGAAAAAGATCAGATCACGTACAAAGCAAACTCCATCAGGCTAACAGCAGACTTCTCAGCAGAAAACTTAAAAGCCAGGAGAAGTTGGTAGCCTATTTTCAGCATTCTTAAAAAAAGATAATATTTTCAACCAAGAATTTCATATCCTGCCAAACTAAGAATCATAAGCAAAGGACAAAAAATATTTTCCAGACAAGCAAGCATTAAGGAAATTGTTACCACTAGATTGGCCTTACAAGAGATCCTTAAGGATGTTCTAAACATAGAAATGAAGAATGAAGCCTGGTACTCCAAAAACACACTTAAGTATTGTATTCATTTGTTATCACTCTGCTATGAAGAAATACCTAAGACTGGGTAATTTATAAAGGAAGGACGTTTAATTGACTAACAGTTCTGTAGGGCTGGGGAGGCTTCAGGGAACTTACAATCATGGTGGAAGGGGAAGCAAACACATCCTTCTTCTCATGGTGGCAGGAAGGGGAAGAATGAGAGCTGAGTGAATAGGGAAGTCCCTTATAAAACCAGCAGATTCATAAGAACTTACTTACTATCCCAAGAATAGCATGGGGAAAACCTCCCCCACGATTCATTTACCTCCCACCAGGTCCCTCTCATGACACATGGGGATTGTGGGAACTGTAATTCAAAATGAGATTTGGGTAAGGACACAGCCAAACTATATCATTCCACTTCTGGCCTCTCTCAAAGCTCATGACCTCACATTTCAAAACACAATCATGCTCTTCCAACAGTCCCCCAAATTCTTAACTCATTCCAGCATTAACTGAAACATTCAAGTCCAAAGTCTCATCTGAGACAAGGCAAATCTCTTCTGCCTATGAACCTATAAAATCAAAAGCAGTTTAGTTACTTCCTAGATACAATGGGGGTACAAGCATTGGATAATGCAGCCATTCCAAATGGCAAAAAATGGCCAAAATAAAGGGGCTACAGGAACCATGCAAGTCTAAAATCCAATAAGGCAATCATTAACCTTAAGGTTCCAAAATGCCTTCCTTTGACTCCATGTCTCACATCCAGGTCACACTGATGCAAGAAGTGGCTCCCACAGCCTTGGGCAGCTCTGCCCCTGTGGCTTTGCAGGGTACAGCCCCCACTTGGCTGCCTTCAAGGGCTGGTGTTGACTGTCTGCAGCTTTTCTAGGCACACAGTGCAAGCTTTCAATGGATCTACCACTCTGGGGTCTAGAAGATGGCGGCCTTTGTCTCACAGCTCCACTAAACAGTTCCCCAGTAGGGGACTCTAGGTGGAGGCTCCAACCCAATATTTCCCTTCTTCACTACCTTAGCAAAGATTCTTTATGGCAGTTCTACTCCTGCAACAGACTTCTGCTGAGGTTCCCAAACTTTAATTCTTGTCTTCTCTGCACACACAGGCCTAAAACCACATAAAAGCCACCCAGGCTTGGAGCTTGAACCCTCTGAAACAATGACCTGAGTTGTATGTTGGCCACTTTTAGCCAAGGCTGGAGCTAAAGCAGCGGGGACACAGCACCATGTCCTGAGGCTGCATAAAGCAAGGAGGCCCTGGGCCTGGCCTAGCAAACCATTTTTCTCTCCTAGGCCTCTGGGCCTGTGATAGGAGGGGCTGCCATTAAGGTCTCTGACATGCCCTGAAGACATTTTCCCCATTGCCTTGGTGAGGAACATTCAGCTCCTCGTTACTTATGCAAATTTCTGCAGCTGGCTTGAATTTCTCCCCAGAAAATGGGTTTTTCTCTTCTATTGTATTCTCAGGCTGCAAATTTTCCAAACTTTTATGCTCTGCTTCCTCTTGAATGCTTTGCTGGTTAGAAATTTCTTCTGCCAGACATCCTAAATCATCTCCCTCAAGTTCCGCATTCCACAGATCTCTAGGGCAGGGGCAAAATGCCTCCAGTCTCTTTGTATAGGAAGAACAACCTTTACTGTAGTTGCCAACAAATTCCTCCTCTCCATCTGAGACCTTGTCAGTCTTAACTTCATTTTCTACATCACTATCAGCATTTTGGTCAAAGCCATTTGACAAGTCTCTTGGAAGTTCCAAACTTTCCCACATCTTCCTGTCTTCTGAGTCCTCCAAGTTTCTAAGAAGTTCCAAACTTTCCCACATTTTTCTGACTTCTTCTGAGCCCACCAAATGGTTCCAACCTCTGCCTGTTACCCAGTTCCAAAGTCGTTTCCAGATTTTTGGGAATCTTTATAGCATCAACCCTCTCTCTGTGGGACAAATTTACTGTATTAGTTCATTCTCATACTGCTATGAAGAAATACCCAAGACTGGGTCATTTATAAAGGAAAGAGGTTTAATTGACTCACAGTTCTGCAGGACTGGGGAGGCCTCGGGAAACTTACAATCATGGTGGAAGGGGAAGCAAACACATCCTTCTTCACATGGTGGCAGGAAGGGGAAGAATGAGAGCTGAGCAAAGGTGGAACCGCTAATAAAACCATCAGATCTCATGAGAACTTACTCACTACCATGAGAATAGCATGGGGAAAACCTCCCCCATGATTCAATTACTTCCTACTGGGTCCCTCGCATGATGTGGGGATTATGGGAACTACAATTCAAGATGAGATTTGTGTGGGTACACAGTCAAACCATATCAAGTACATACCTCACAGACTATATAAAGCAATTAGACAATAAATACTGCAAAGCAACCAGCTAACAACTTCATGATATGATCAAAATCTCACGTATCAATATGAATTTGAATGTAAGTGGTCTAAACACCCCTACTTAAAAGACACAGATGGCAAGTTGAATTAAAAAAACAAAACATATCCATCTGCTGTCTTCAAGAGACCCATCTCACACATAAAAACACCCATAGGCTCAAAGTAAAGCATTGGAAGAAGATCTACAATGTAAACAAAAAACAAAGAAAAAAAAGTGGGGGTCTCTATGCTTATATCAGGCAAAACAGACTTTATACCAACAACAGTAAAAAAGGACAAAGAAGGGCATTGTATAATGATAAAGGATTCAATTTAACAGGAAGATTTATCTATTCTAAATATATATGCACCAACATTGAAATTCCCAGATTCATAAAACAAGTACTTCTAGACCTATGAAGACTTAAACAGCCATGCAATAATAGTGGGAAACTTCAGCGCCCCACTGTCATTAGACAGATCATCAAGGTAGAAAACTAACAAAGAAATTAGGGACTTAACATCGACACTTGACCAATTGGATTTAATATGTATAGGTATATATTTCACAGACTATGAGATTGACATAATTGGTCCTGTTTATTTTTTCTTTACTTTTGTCCTGGGAAGATTAAAAGCAAATATCTGCTTTAATGTTAGTAAAGTATAGTACTACTGACCTGCATGTCTCATTTATAATTTTCAGATTTTAATTCAATTTCATCATACTGATTATATTTAACATTTATGAATTAAATATATGTACATATATCATACACTATATATTAAATACATATATTTATTTAAACCTTATTTATAAGAATGAGGAAGCATTTAATAAACAAAATTGGTATTCTCAATTTTATAGACTTTTAAATACAAACAAATCTTCTGTAGATGGTTAACATATTAATAATTTTATGACAATCCAATTCATAGCACCTATACCATATATATTATTTTAACTATATTATGAACTTTGTAATTGTTAAGGTCAATTAAATTTTAAATTTCTAGGAAGTTCCATTGCCCCCAAATCAATATTGAAGATTAAAATTCCATTACATTTTTAACAATGCATCAGACATTAACTACTATTTAGAAGAGTTCAAGAATTATTGTTTCAGTAAGAATGTGTTAAATAAAGGTAAAATTGTTTACAGGAAATTAAAGCTTATTGTGATGTTTTTCATGCTTGTGCAAATGCAGAACACTAAATTAAATTTAAATATTTATACAAATCATTTTTTATTGATCAAGAAAATCTATAAAATATGTTTAAACCATTGATTTATAAGTCTTTAATTTACCACCTAGGCCATATTTCCATGGTAATATTATCAATATTTGACCTGATCTTGAAAATAAGCTCCTTTTCTCTTAATGATCTGCACAGTGATATATAGTCTCTTTTACTTTCTCCAGTATCAGTAAATTGCAATAAGTAATTTGCTATGAAATGATTAACCATATGTTTTAACATATAAATTTTAAAATAAAGCCAAACTGTGGGAGAGGGTAGCATAGATTTAATACTCACATTTATGAGATTTGTGGGAAAGTGACGTTGGAAGCCATCAGGAAAACAAAAGAGTTCTTTTCAACTCCTAAGCAAATCTGGAATTTCCAGTATCAAATGTCAATGCACTAATGTTTATGAAGGGTGCAATTCTACCTTCCACAGGAAAGGATGGTTGTTGTATCAGCCTGTGGAAATGCAGCCTGCAGTGGTGAAAGGCAGGCCTTGAATGTACACAATTGTCAAGGCACAGTAAAAGTATAATTGTGCTTATTTATCCTCCCAAAAATATTCACTCTAAATAATTATTATGAAAAAAAAAACTTTTGTCAAGGGAATGGAACATACACATTTTTGCTTCTCTCATGTTCATCTGTATTATAAAATTATATGGGCTAGACACAGGAAAATCCAAACAAGGAACAGTCTGAGAATTAAAAGTGTTTGGGGAATGTCAACATTTAAAGTTTTTGTAAAACTTATAAAGTATCTGATTAAATTTCCAATATTTATTACCAGGGACTTCTTTGTAATAAGAAATCTAATCTTGTGTTAGAAATTCCTCTAGATAATTTTTTAATGCTTCAAAAATCCAAGAACTAGCTCAAGTTTTAAATCTACTCATCATTTTTGAAGCCATAATTTTACAATAACAATAATAATATGTTTTAACAAAATTACAAATTCAGACTTTTTTATTTTAGAGATAGAGTCTTGCTCACGCAACCCTCCTGCCTCAGCCTCCCAAAGTGCTGGGATTACAGGTGTGAGCCACCTGTACTTCGTCAGAAAACTCAAACTTAAAACTCAAAATTTAATCTGGAGAAAAAGATAATATATCATTTTCAGCAACTCTACAACCCAGGTAGGTTTCTCCAAGATATTATTCACAACAACTTACGAGACAAAAGATTGACAAGGATTTTTTCTGAGAATCGAAGATAAAATGTGCTTTAATGTCCAGATGTTATCAATCCACTTTGGGGCATATCTCCATAGAGATGTACACCGCTCAAGGCTGATGTTTGGGGACACCGCATCCCCTAGAGGCCATTTATCCCAGAGACATGGGTAAACATTGCTGAACATGCAGCTTTGTCTTTTATGAACCCAGGCAATGGAGTGTGGATCTGTAATATACTGCAGTCCAAAGCGAGTGCTGTCAAATACCTCTGCCCTTATCAGGCTCTTTATTGAATATCAGAACTAGATAAGGGAAAAAACCCTTAGGCAACCTATTTGTCTTAAACTTGAATAAAATGAGAAAAAGATAAACAGAAATAGCCCAAGGTCTAGAAAACAAGTTGGTCCCAGAGACAGGAATGGAAAATAGGTCTTCTGTCTCCTAGTTAAGAGCACTTACTACACCACTACCCCTTCATGTTGCATAGTACTATAGAATATTGAAAACTGCCAGGATGGAAAAGACTTACAGGTTTTAAAAAAAAATCTAATTTATGTTTTCATATTAATTTGTCCCAGAAAATAAAATATTAAATAGTTCTATAAGCCACTTTGGTTTTTTTCTTTATTATTTACTTTTTATTTCTGTGCATTATAAAAGGAAAAAATACAACAAAATATACTAAATAATAAAATCATCTCTCCAGGCCTCGCGTCTCTCAGCCTCTTACACTCCCCTTCTCTGAAGCAACCACAGTTAACAATTCATTTGTAATCCTTCAACACCTTTCTAATTTTTAATCTACAAATTATGTAAACTCTTAATTCATGTAGTGTGCTGAATTAACTTTATTGTGGGCATCTTTCTATGTCCATACCTATAGTTTCATCTTCTATTACTTATATTCTAGTATAGAATAATTTTTCATCGGGCCTCGATTAGTGGACATTGACGTTGATATCAGATGGGAACGTCTTTAGCAGTAAAGCAGAAACCCCGAGTATAGTATTTTAAACCAAAAGAGTTGTTTTTCTTTTTTTTCTTATAACAAAAAGTGTCTGGTAAACACTTGCCAGCCTTGGTGTAGTGGCTCTATAATATCAGTGATAGCGTGTCCATGATTCTCAGCCTTTTCCCTCAGGTTTCAGGAAGCCTTCCCAGGCTGTCATCACATTGACATTCGAAGGAAGAAGACTGGACTCACCTCTCTTTTACGAGGAAAGTTTCTCAAAGCTTCCTTGGCATGCATCTCATTGCCATAAAAATGTCAAATGGTCACTTCCGGTGGCAAGGGAGTTTGGCTAAGGAAGTAAGGAATTCGACTAAATGAGCAAGGGCTTGGCGTTTTTTATTGAATTGGCCAAATAATGGTCTTTTTCAAAGGTTGTTTCAATTTCTTACAAAATTTCCACAGTAAAAATCTTTGTAAGTACTACTCTGTTTTTTTTTTTTTATGTGAAGATAGGAATGACAAATTCCATATAACGAGACAGAAAAAAAAGAGGACATGGGAGTGAGAAAGTGTGAGGCCAAAAGAAGAAATGAGAAAAGGAACAAATAGGAAAAGCAAAGGAGAAGAGAGGAGACGAGGGGAGAGGAGGGGAGGGGAGGGGAAGGGAGGGAAGAAGACTTGGAGGGAGAGGGGGGAAGGTAATCTGGAAGTAAAAAGTTCAAGGCTGGCATTAAATTGAGGTATGTGACCTGCCTAGTTATTTGATCTCAAGTAAAGCTTATGTTCCTTTCAGAAAAAGTAAGCTATCCAGAGCCAGAAATTCCAGGTCAGCCAAACTGTTCCTTCCTGGAAGTCCTTCTGTATCCACCCTTTTTTTTGTAGGAGTAATGTATGGTAGTGAGGTAAATGCAAATTAAAATAACAGTGAAATATCATTTTACACCCTTCAGGATGACAAAACATTAAAAACTATGACAAAAAAGGATACACTTTTACTCAGTTAATCAAAATGAGAATCATCATAGACTTCTTGGAAAACACTGTGGCAATATATTTTAAATTTAAGGAGATATATATATATATATATATATATATATATATATATATATATATATATAGATGACAGATGATAGAAAGATAAAAAGATAGAGAAATGCCCTTCACACAGTACACATTCTTAGGAATCTATTCTTTACAAAAATTATGAAATAATATAACTAAGATGTTTATTAAGTTATTAATATTGGCCATAATGGAAACAAAATAAATGTCTATAATTGAACTTGGTAAAGTAAAGCACATAAATACCATGGAATATGATGCGTCTATTAAAACTGGAGAAGACTCAGAGAGATTGCTGTAAGATAAAATTCAATTGAAAAACTAGGTGTAGAAAAGGTAGATGTGTACTATTACCTACACCATTTAATTTCAAATATAAAATAAAACATTGAATGTGTGTCTTCATGTGTGTGTGAAATATACACAGTTTTATGATCATGAAGTGTGGAAAAACATGAAGGAATATATATGAGACTGATAATACAGGTTAGTTAGGTAAAGGGAGCTGAGACTGACATGGGTGGGAAAAAAAGAATAAAAGGTAAACAAAAATGAAAACAACAAAGACTAAATTACAAAAGACAACATATTTGTAATTATGATAGTTAGTTCCCCAAGATGTCCTCCTAATGAACCATGCCTCCCACTACTTTCAAATGCGTGGTCCTCATCCCTTAAAACTGGGCTAGCCGGTCGGGCATAATGGCTCACGCCTGTAATCTCAGCACTTTGAGAGGCCAAAGTGCGTGGATCACCTGAGGTCAGAAGTTCGAGACCAGCCTGGCCAACATGGTGAAACCCCATCTCTACTAAAAAATACAAAAATTAGCTGGGCATGGTGGCACACACCTGTAATCCCAGCTACTCAGGAGGCTGAGGCAGGAGAATTGCTGGAACCAGGAAGGCGGAGGTTGCAGTGTCCTGAGATCGAGCCACTGCACTCCAGCCCGGGCCAACAACAGCGAGACTCCGTCTCAAACAAAACAAAACAAAACAAAACAAAACTGGGCTAGCCTTAGTGACTTGCCTATCCTATATAACCTATAGCATCCTATGGAGTAGCATTCTGGGACTTTCAAGGCCAATTCACAGGAGATCTTGCAGTTTCTTGCTGGGACTCTTGGACACTCATTCTCTGGATTCCACTTCTCAAAATATGGCCACCAACTGTAATAAGTAGAGCAGGCCACACGGAAAGGCTGTGTGGACATTCTGGTCAACAGCCCTGGCTAAATTACCAGCTTACAGGCAACATTAACTGTCATTTATATAAGCGAGCTACCTTGGACATTCAGGCCAGTTGCACCTAGAGACGATTCCAGCCCAGGAAACCATCTGATTCAGCACATGAGAGATTTCGATGAGAACTAATCAGCTAAAGCCAGTCAATCCACATAAATGGGAGAAGAATTAGGAATTTTTTTCTTTTCTTTTCTTTTCTTTTTTTTTGAGATGGAGTCTCACTCTGTCGCCCAGGCTGGAGTACAGTGGCACGATCTCGGCTCACTGCAACCTCCGCCCTCCAAGTTCAAGCCATTCTCCTGCCTCAGCCTCCTGAGTAGCTGGGATTACAGGCGCCTGCCACTGTGCCTAATTTTTTGTATTTTTAGTAGAGACAGGGTTTCACCGTCTTGGTCAGGCTGGTCTTGAACTCCTGACCTCATGATCCACCCGCCTCGGCCTCCCAAAGAGAATTAGGATTTTTTAAGCTACTGATTTGGAAGTATGTTATACAGGAAAAGATAATCGTATTTATACATTAATATAAAAGTACCTATTATGTGAAAATAAATTTAAATATTAAATAGGAAGTTATTTTCAAAAGTGAGGAGAAGGGGACTTGGTCTTGATCTAGTTTAAAATAAAAAAGAAAAAGAAAAACTAAAAGAAGAAAATGTGATTGATGGAGAGTAATATTGGTGTCAGAGTTAGGCAGACCCAACAGCTCTAAATCCCTCATCTGCTTCTTCCTAGTTGTTGAGGTTCCTTGAGCCTCAGTTCCCCTTCAGTATCTGAGGAAAAATTATCATTTGGCACATAACTTGTAAAAAAATCAGAGTCATTTAATGTTGAATTCTCCACAAAACTCCTCTCTCTAATACAAAACACCTCTCTGTGTAGCATCACAATCACAAACAGAGATGTAGAATACAGGAACTAAGACAGGTATTGGGTGTAATATGCATTGCCATCTTGCTTGTGGTAGTCGCAACAGCTGATATATTTGTATATTTCTGTGCCAATCCCAAAATGCCCTGATCATTGTAAACTTATAGCAGTTTTTCTTTTTTTTCCAGTATGGTAAAGTACAACTTATTAATTTTTTTGAAGATTACTTACAATGTTCATTCTTTCATAAGATTGTTGAATTATTTTCCATTTTCCACTCATTCTAACACATTGACAATAAAAAAATACAAAAAAGTATTTGAATTAAATAATATTTAGAAATATTTTTGTAAAGAATTAACATGCTTATGATATAAAGACATGTCAACAAAGAAAGATTAATCTTTATTAGACATAGTAAGATTAAACCATATAAGAAGTAAGTAAGCCTGAACCTTGATGAATAAATATACTTTTGTTAGGAAGAGATGAAGGAAGACATTTTAACAAAGAAACCAATAGCCAAGTAAATGTGTGAAGACAAGACACTACAAGTCCCATGTGTATAATGCATGAACAGATTTATGTCTGGCTTTGTGACAGTTTAAAACTGAATAGGAGTAGTCACACAATTTCCCAAAAATTCTTGTAGCATTTTAAAAATAAATTTATAATAGGGTGTTCTCATTTTAAAGAGAAGTTCAGGGTGACAAAACGTAGCATATTATTAAGTCATTTTACTATCTTATGTCAAGAGATTAATGTCACAAAAATTACCAATTTTTGTTTCCCTTATTTTATTGTTTTCTTGAACAATGAAACACATGTATTAAATAATTAAAGGCCTGTGAATATATTTTCCAAACTTATTTTTATTCTGTAGTATGCTATTTTATTAAGTAAATCTTTTCTTCAAAATATTTCAGGCGATAAAGTGGATTGAGATAATTTGTATGGAAGACTGCATAAAATAAAACAATTGCAGTTATTAATGCCAAATGAGTACAGCATGTAAAAAGGGTAATAATTGTTATGCCTTTTTATATCTTGAAAGTGTTGGGAAGTTCCCAAATCTGATTGTAAAATGAAAAGATTAATTTGACAAAATGTAACAAAGCATAAGCATGTTTTTCACATGGTTTTATCACAAGAATATGTCATGTTTTTCTATGCCTCCTTTAAATGTTTCTCAATTGGAGTACCTTCTGGATCCTGGAAGACATTGTTTTCACTCACTGCCTTTTTGTATCAATTCTATAGAACACTGATCTCATTAGAATAAAACTGTGTATGTTAATGGTATAATTACACTGTACATGCAGATGGAGGCAATGTTAACATTCAAAGATCTCACTAAATTTTATAAAGGGATGATTTTGACTAATTTCATGAGTGCTCTTACCTTGACCATCCTTCTGTTTTCTGTTGTGAAAAATCTAGAATTTCCAGAAACATCAGAATATCATAGATTAACGAGAGGCAAGATTTTTCATAAAGCTATCTTCATACTCAAGAGGAATCAATGAGAAAAATTAATCTAAATCAATTCATTATTTTAAAAATTGGGAAAGTGATGGGCATGGTGGCTCATACCTGTCACCTCAGCACTTTGGGAGGTCATGGCTGGAGGATCACTTATGTCCAGGAATTCAAGACCAATCTGGGCAACAGAGTGATACTCTTTTCCAAAAAGCAAAACAAAACAAAGACAAACACTTTTTTCTTTCATTAAGGCACTCTATTCACATGTACAGTTGTTGTTTTTTTCTTTCTAAATTTTTAAAGTGTGGGTTTGAATATTCACTGTGGGTTGAGACAAAATTTAGAAACCTGACTTCTTACTCACCTGCAAATACAGTATTTTCTGCCAGAACCTTTCCTTAGTATTTGGAAGCAGATCTGAGCAATAGATAGGAACAGAACTAAACAAATTATTTGCTTTAGAATGGCCCAGATTTCCTTCAGGGGATTAAAGAGAGAAATGAACAACATAAGAAGGAAAGGAAGAAAGAACAAAGGCCAAATGACTGGGATTTCCTGGAGTGAGAGGAAAGAAGCAAAGAGAGAAGTTTGAGGAAGTATCTGCCGTTCATATGAAGGTTATTTATAGTGACTGGAGCAAAAACAATGATTTAAAATATACTTCAATGTATTAGGAACACATGGCCTACTCTTTGAAAAATGTGTCACAGATGTTGATAAAATTTTGAATAAATATTCATTGCTATTGTTTGCTGAACCGTGTTGCATTGAATACACCTTTGTACAGCATTGAATCATGTGGGCGCCAATTGTATAAATCTTTCTTCTGTATGCAGGTGTGTATTTAGCTGACTATTGTGGATTAGCAGTAGGACCTTTTGCAGTTATTTATACGAGGTAAAAAGAAATAAGGAGAAAGAAAAGAAAATTTGCAGCTACTTTGCAATAAAAAAGAAATAAAAGACATCAAACAAGAAATACATGAATATGTGAATCTCAGTAAGATATCTGGAAATACAGGTTTAATAATTTATTGGCCTATACTTTTCTAAATTTCACCCTTAATTCTGCCATTAATTCCTCAACTTCGTTCCCAGATCAGGATCTGTACTGTTACAGGAGGTAGTTAGTCAGACATGAGCAGGGCAGGAGAGAGCCCTCGGCCACCACCAGGAATATCTGGTGATGGCCAAACAGTTGTTAAGCTGGCTGTCTAAAATATTAATTGGTCACAGCTGGAGCGAGGGAAAGGCGGTCTCCAAATAGACAAAAACACCTGAAACTGGTAAACAGCTGCTTCCGAATAAGATCTCAGAGGTTGGGTAAGTGCGTTCAAGCAGGCACCCTAAAAGGCAAAATGATGGCGCTTAACTAGTATTTGACCTTCCTCTGCAAACATCCGACTGATAAGGGAAAAACGCCTCAAGTGAGCATGCGCACAACTTCCGTAAACACACTGTGCATGTGGCCCCTCCCAAGTGCTGGCAGGCCACTGCACGTGCGGACAGCCCAACCCAAGGAAAAATCAGTGGGGAAGAAAAAGGGGAGAAGGAATGCAACACCCCGGAAACATGCCAACATATAAAACCGTAAGTCAAAGGTCAAACCATGCACTAGAGTCTCTCAAGTTATCCATTTGCCCCTCTTCCGAGTGTACTTTACTTCCTTTCATTCCTGCTTCAAAGCTTTCTTATGAAATGTTCACTCCTGCTCTAAAGCTTGCCTTGGTCTCTCACTCTGCCTTATGTCCCTCATTCAAATTCTTTCTACTGAGGAGGCAAGGATTGAGGCTGCTGCAGACCTGTATGGATTCGCTGTTGCGAACTGTGCCACTTTAAAACAATACACCGAAATAAGAACAATACCTATATACTATGCATATGAGGCTGATATAAGGACTTCTTTGTCACCTTTGGGTACCAGAATAGATGTTAATGGGAAGAATACTGGGATGAAGAGACACATAATCTGCATTTTTTTTTCTTTTAGTTTTTGTCTAGGAATCCACAAGTTTTTAAGAACAATTATTTTACAGCTTTTAAGAGTGTTTCTTTTTTTAACTACAGTTTCCAGGAAATGGGAAAATATGTATATCTGACATTTCTCATTAGTGAGAATGAGAATGATATCTGTAATGTCAAAATGTCCTTTATTACTGGAAAAGTTCTTCCAGGGCTGTATGGGATTTTCATCTTTTGTGATCTGCTGTTTTTTCTTCCTTATAGAGCAGCTATGAGTACCATCACTGTGCTAAGAGGAATGTGGGTTCGAATTTCAGCACTAGCACTTCTTCACTGGATGATATTAGGCAAGAGGTTTCATCTCTTTAAGCCTATGTTGTAGAAAAATACCAAGCTAAGATACTGAATTGTGGTACCAAGAAGGACAGAGATGAAATCCTGGATAAATGGACACTAAAATAAAGCAGATCTGGGTTTGAATCCTGACTTCAATACTACCGGTGATGTGATTTATATGCCTAGGACTTGTGCTTCTAAGGCTCAATTTTATGCCTACAAAATCTTTATTAAAATGCACACCTTGAAGATCACTATAATTAAAGAACATATATAATGTATATGTTATATAATAAATAATTTGTCTAATCTTTGCCCCTGATTCCTGGTAGATGACCACTAAACTAAGTCTTTGGAATTTCTCAAGTGATAGTAGTGTCTTTGTTATTCATGGTGGGACCGTCAAGCATGAATGGTTATGATAATAGAGGACTCAGGATGAGAGCTGATCACCCCAGAAAGACCAACTTTGTAATGAGAGGATTGAGGATTTGAGCGAAGTGATATCTCCCTGATCACCTTCAGGAAGATGAGACAAGCTGAAGATTAAATTAAAGCCTGTGACCAATGATACAATCAATCATGCTTACATAATGAAACATCAATAAAAATTCTGGATACCAAAGTTCGGTGGCTCTTCCTGGTTGGTGAAAACATCAATGTGCTAGAAGGATGCCAATGGGTGCTGCACCTGATTCTACAATGTAAGGGTACAGAAGCTCTACATGTGAAACCCTCCCAGACTCCTCCCTATGTGTGTCTTCGTTTGACTAGTCCTGATTTGAACTTTTATTTAAAAAAAAAAAGTAATTGTTAGTAGAGCATTTTCCTGAATTCTATGAGTCATTTTAGTGAATTACCAGACCTGAGAGAGATGTGGGAATCCCTGAATTTGTAGACAATTAATCAGAGAATGCGTGGCCCAGGGACTCCCAAATTTGTGGTGGACATCCAAAGCGAGGCAGTCTTACTGGGGACTGTGTGCTTGTACAGTGTCTGCGCTAGCTCTGAGTGGTTAGTATCAGAATCACATTGCAGCATTGCTGTATATAACATGCCTAGCACAGTGTGTGGCTCATAGGTAACTGATGATGATAAGCATAACATTAATATTAGTATTCTTATGAATGGAGCAAAGGTAATCAAATACAAAGGCAGGTACCTTCCTAACACAGCTCCTTAATTGTAATTGGGTAAAGTTTTCAAATATTGTGTTCTTTATATTTGTTTTTAATTCAAGTGATGTAAGTTAATTATGATTTACAAACAAAAATATATATTATTTTATATTTCCCAATGTTGGAAGACTTTTGTAACAAAATTTCAAAGAAAATTTTTAAAACTTAGGATAATCTGACTTAAGTTGCAAACTCAACATAGTTGTTTGTATGTTTCCAAGAGAAACTGAATGATGAGAAATTTATGAGTACTATTTTTGTTTCCACAATAATAGAAAAATTATAGCATAGTCCTAACATGCAGTGCAATTGGTCAAATTAAACTTTTAAATGTGGTAGCATACATAAGTCTGTGCAAAATGAAGCAGGTAAGTGACTGTAGTATGTAACATAAAATAAATTCTGCCGCTGGGCACAGTGGCTCATGCCTGTAATCCCAGCACTTTGGGAGGCCGAGGTGGGCATATCACGAGGTCAGGAGTTCAAGACCTGCCTAACCAATATGGTGAAACCCCATCTCTACTAAAAACACAAAAATTAGCTGGGCGTGGTGGCATGCACCTGTAGTCCCAGCTACTTGGGAGGCTGAGGCAAGAGAATCACTTGAACCCAGGAGGCAGAGGTTGCAGCGAGCCGAGATCATGCCATTGCACTCCAGCCTAGGTGACAGGGCGAGACTCCATCTCAAAAGTAAAAATAAATAAATAAATAAATAAATAAATAAATAAATACATACATACATACATACATACATAAATAAATAAATCCTGCCATTTCCTCTGTAGAAACAGTACACAAGAGTGTCCCAGAACAAAACTAAATCAAATCTCCCATGCTACGTAGACCCTTTCTTCCAGTCACACTTAGCAGAACAAAATTTCTTTAAAAATTACTGTTTCCGATGCTCAGTAGAAAATAGAAGCCCCTGTGGTTCCAAAGCACACCACTTTATTCTGAAAACATGAGCAGTCTTAAAGAAAAAATACAAATTAATCAATAATGATTTTACCACAGACCACTTATCTGGAATAAATAACCTCAAAAAGTGAAAATGTTGAGGGCCATTAACACTACTCTTTCATTAATACCCAGGAAATGACTCAAACCACAGTCATTATAGCTATTCCACATCAATTTTCAAGAATCATTTGGAATAATAAGTGATGTGGCATTGACATAATTCTAAGCATACATAGCATGTCAGGGGCATAGTATCAAAATACATGTTCAACAGAATCATAATTTTTCATGGAATTATCAGGAATTTTTAAGCATAGATAATTTTCTCATATAATCTTATGCACAAAAGTTTTTAAACCCTCTGCATTTACTTTAATTAGCAAGGTTTTCTCTAACAGACAATCCTTGTTCTTCATGAGGTACATCAAAGTTTACTTTACCTGAGAATGAGAGGTCTAAGTGATGAACGCCTTGGTAACAGAAAATATTAACACCTGAAACAAGAAAAACTCTATGTTCTTTGACAAGTTGATAATAAATGTCCTTCTGTTCTTTGCTGTTACATGAAAGTCAGTCATGAATGCCTTTCACTGTACATGAAGACTGGGGTAATGAATAGAGACTGCACATTTTTGAAGAATTTTCTATGTTCAGAAAGAAAGAAAAACACAAACTATTGTGGAAGAAATGGCAGAGGAACTTAAGGCTGAAAAAATTATAAGTAGAGTTGCCCTTATGGCCCTTGCCATATGGTAATTCCTTAGGGAACCATTTTCTTTCTAGGTTTCCATTTAGGGAATGCTAGAGGTTCAGACTGTTAATTAGAATAGATGAAAGCATTTTGTCTATAGGGAATATGACTATGCTTGATCACTGTATAACAGATTAACAGAAACCTGGAAATGTTTATTCAGAGCTCTTGATAAATGTATTAGTCTGTTTTCATGCTGCTGACAAAGACATACCTAAGACTGGACAATTTACAAAAGGAAGAGGTTTAATGGACTTACAGTTCCACATGGCTGAGGCAGTCTCACAATCATGGCAGAAGGCAAGGAGGAGCAATTCACATCTTATATGGATGGCAGCAGGCAAAGAGAGAGCTTGTGTAGGGAAACTCCCCCTTATAGAACCATCAGATCTCGTGAGACTTATTCTCTATGACAAGAACAGCACAGGAAAGACCTGCCCCCATGATTCAGTTACCACCCACTGGGTCCCTCCCACAGCAGATTGAAATTCAAGATGAGATTTTGGCAGGGACACAACCAAACAATATCCATAAATAAAATTAATTTTAAAAATTATATATCTACCCAAACTGACAGAATATGCTAAATATTATTTACAAAAAACCACCTGAATATAGCAAGGGATTATTCATTTGTATTAGGAGCAGTAAGCTGAGAATAGGAAAAAATATATAAACTTTATATCTTCTATTGAGTAATTTGGCTTGAAAAATTAAATATCATAATATAGACTCAAATCTAGATGATTTTTCTAAATACATGTCCAGCAGAGTGGCTGGGATGGCAAATTGTTTCATTACCCCTCTAAGTTTTAGGATACTATTCTACAAAACATCACCCAATAATTCATGTGTAATAAATAATTTTAAAGTTATGCTATAAACTCTTACAATGGCTACTTTTGAGCCTCTTGCAAGATTCTTTACTTTCAGATTTTGCAAAAAGGTTTATAAAAAGAAGCAAGGTTTGGTTGTCACTCTAGCTATCATTGTGTCATGTGAACACATTGCCTATACTCAAGTCCTTCTAAGCAATTTTTAATATTTCTCTTTTCCTATATGCTTGAACATTGCCTATTGTACTTTGCGACGCTGCCACTGCCTGAAATAGCATCTTTGTTCCCCTCCAATGCTGGAACATCTGCCCATGTTTAAAACTATATCCTTCAGAAAGCCTGGTCTGAGCATGGTTATTCGGTGAGGGGCCTCCCTGTGTGCCTCCATCACATGCTGTATCAGAAGACCTACCAGGTGGTGCATAATTATTCAGTAACCTGAATATGCTCTGAGCTCAGTGAGGTAAAATGCTTCTTCCCTTATCTCCAGACTCACAGCACATAACACAGAGTCTGTCAGTAAGGACCAAAAAATATTTGTTGACAGCTTTTGGCTTTGGCAAAGTACACGGAAATAACATCAGTCCTTAACCCCAAGATGCTTATTGGATTTTTTAAAATGTGAGAACTCAGAAACTAAATTTCTATGGGAGAATAAATTAACTATAGCCTTTGTCCTTACAGCACATAACTTAAGTAGCATGTATCTTTTATCAGAGCCATCCCCAAATATGTCCCAAACAGAATCTTCTTATTTTAAAATAATAAAAAGGGCCTATATATTAGTGTACAGTTAAATGCTAAGTCATTCTAAAAATATATGCAATATTAATAGTCAAGATTAATAGAATTCCTTGTTTACTTAAAATTAGCCAAAATTGAGCTAATAAAACATAAAAATAATATTGTAAAAACATAACATAATATTGTTAGAACATAAAAATAATATTGTAAAGGGTTTATTTTAGATAGTAATTCATAATATGCCCAAATATGTCTGTCGACTCCTCCCTCACAACAAGTCGTCTAATTTCACCTCAGAAAATATCTAGCAACTTACACTCAGAAATGTGTAATGGAGATAGCACAGGACACGAATAACAAACACAGGTAATTTTTTTTATGTTTTATTCACATCTATCCCCAAACAGGTATTATTAATGTTGTTGAGGCTTAAGTAATGTTATATACTGTTTTTCAAGGCCATAAAATTCTTCATTATGAGAATTCAATCCTGCCTTCTGGCTCCATGTATGATATTGAGTTTCACCTTTGTGCCTGCAGAAAACCTGGGCCATCATCAGTAGTGCAGCAACTAAATGAGTTATATGGGACCCGCCACTTAACCTCCATTCACCTCCATCTCCTGACTAGCAAAATTAGAACCATTTCCCTCCAAGGTATCTTGCATCCCATGCAGTGAAGGATAATAACATTTTAAAACATGGCCTCTTCCTGATGATAGATTCTTTTAGACATCCTTTATATTTTATTATTCTTCAAATTATTTGAAAGTTTTCATTTTTACACACACGTAATAGTCAACTTCCAAAATTATTTGGGAAACAAAAAAGTAAAGAATGTCCAAAAGATTCTACCATCAAGGAATGTTATTATCTGGTGCCACTGATGACATTAAAAAATGGATAGCTTATAGTATTCAATACTAAAATGGTGTTTCCTTAAAAGAGCTTCTCAGTTAGTAATTATTTTTACCAGTTACTGTAACTCATTTATCCATTCAACAAATATTTCTTAATGCTTAGAAAACGTCAGATACTGCTCTAAGTATTAAAATACAATAGTGGACAAAAGAGACAAAATTTGGATCTTCCAAGGGATTTATAATTCAGTGGGGGAATTAGGCAATAATAAAGAAATACAGAAAAAACATATAGCATGTTAGATCATGATAAGTGCTATGGAATAAAAGTAGAGGAGGTGATAACAAGCATTGCAGGAAATTAAATATCCTGTTTCTGTTTTCATGAAGTAGAGCTGATGCTACAAAGGAAAGCTTACTTGGAGAGACAACCTGAACGCCATTAAGTTAAAGGTAAGAGATTTATAAGAAATAACAAAAAAATCTGAAGAGGTAGGAATATGCAACTACATATGGGGATATATATATATATAGCCATGTTTTCAGCATCCACACTTATGTGTTAAGTGTATCTACACACACACAAACACACACACATAAAGTCAGAATCAGCATGTGTGACAAGAGCATTTATAGAAAGTAATACAAACCTCATTATGTGCACATACATAAACCCAATAAACCACAGAATGAATAATTTGTGGTTAAAGAAAGGTCTAAAATTCATTTTTACTTTGTGACTCAATCTATTTCAAGTGAGTAGGGACATTGTGATTCATGAACAATTCTAATTAAGAGTAAAGCCAAGATCTAAACCCTGCACATTCAGTTGTAGCTTCTTAATTGACCTTAGAATAGTTATTGCTGGTTTTTAATTTCACAATAAAATACATTGTAAAAAAAATGTAGCTTGACAATTTGCCGTACACATATATGGAAGAATAAGAATAATGCTTTCTGTCTCTCTTGCCACAAACACACACACACAGAGTTAGATTCACGCAAAAATGGCCATCCAATCAGGCAATTCTGTATAACAATACTTTTTTAAAAACTGTCATTTGAGAAAACCTTGAAATTAGGACTACATAAACTCTTTTCTAATCTGAGTGCAAAATTTGTCATATATATGTCATATAAATGTCATATCTTTCCTTATGACCAGAATTTATCCCTGCATTTACCACTAGGTATTTCTCTATTCAAAATACATTATTTTGGATTATATTTAGGTATTGAAAAGAGAGAACCTCAAAATATCAGAGGCTTATGTTTATTCACTCACAAAAATAAAAGTGCAGAGATCGATTGACAGTCCTGAGCAGGCACAGTGATTACAAACTCACCCAGGACCCAGCCTTCTTCCACATCTCTCCTCCATTATCTCTGCATATGACTTCCATTCTTATGCTGGAAAATGTTTTCATGATGGCTGCTAGAGCGCTAGATATTATATTCATACTTCGGGCAATAAAGAAGAGGAAGGGAAGAGAATCAAAAGGGACACATCTCTTAAATAAATCTCTCTTTCAAGAGCTGACCTAGAATTCAGATAAAATACTTCATGTTGATTAAATCTAAATACCCCTTGCTATGGTCTGAATGCATGTGTCCCCACAAAATTCATATGACAAAATGTGAATCCCCAAGGTGACGATATAAGGAGGTAGGGTCTTTAGGAGTTGATGAGGTTAGGAAGGCAGAACCCACGTGAATGGGATTACTGCCCTTATTTAAAAGGCCCCAGAGAGATATCGCCCCATTTCTGTCATGTGAGGCTACAGTGAAAAGACATCTTTCTAGGAAGCAGGCCTTCACCAGACCCCAAGTCATCTGGTACCTTGATCTTAGATTTCCCAGCCTGCATAACTGTGAGAAATAAATATCTGCTGTTTGTAAGTCACCCAGTCTATGGTATACTTTTAAAGCAGTTTGAATAAGAAACTTCTTATTGATTAAAAATCATGGAGTCAAACCTAACTGCAAGAATGATTGAAATGGGAACATGACCACCATAGATAAAATTGAGACTGTTTAACTAATGAAGAAATGGAGAGTAGATATTAGGTCGATAACCAGCTGTCAATCTCACCTTCAGCTTGTGAAATTTAATGATCCTCAACACTATTAAACCCCTTAAAGGATAATAACTCATAATAGAGCTATGGGGAAGCCATGAAATTGATCTTTTTATCTACTCAGTCACTTGTTAATATTTATAAGGACCATGTTCCTAAGCACAGACTTTTAGTCCACAGAAATATCATAATTGCTGGCATACACACACAAAACATACATGCACACACACATACATGCACATAGAATCACTACTATGCAAAGTTGGTATAAGGAAGGCTGTGAAGCCAGAGGGGTTCTAAAGTTTCCATCCACTTATATTCACTCAGCTTTTGATCACCCTTTGTAGCTGTATAACATTTTTTCTGTCCTTGGACTATTTATCAGCTTATTCTCAAGGAACAAACTGTTCTTCACAAGTGTTTCTTGGAATGACAAGTTGTTCAGAGTTTACCTTCCCATGCACTGGCTGCATCAATCAATAATTCCCATGACCTCCATGGGATGGATGCTGGATCATCATTCCTTTAAGTCAGATTTGAGCTGATAAAAATAGAAGCATATGAAATAAGCAGTGGAAACATACCATATATCTCTAGCTTTTTGGCTGCCAAATGACTGCAAAACACACTCTAATATACTGATAAAACTGGAGCATAATATTTTCCAGAGGTCTGAATGCTGCTATGGGATGGAAGCACGTGATTTTATAATGCATTTCATGCAACGCAACTGTAGCCAACTCCAGTCCTTTTCATTCACTCCAGCGAGGTGGCACCAATATCTTCCTGAGCCTGAAATCGTGCTCATCATAATCAGTGGTATGAGAGTAGACAGGACAGCCTAGTTATTTTTTCACATTTGACATACTCTCAGGAGTACATGAATTACACGTGGCAAAATTGCCTTAAATAGGAAAAGTTTCTTCTCAACCCATCTAACAAAATGAAGAAGATTAAACAATTATCAGGATAATTAATGCACTCAACGTACTTCTTAAAAAAGAAAATGTATCAAGGTAATTTGAGGAAAAGTGGTGATTTTACCTAATTTTCAGAGGTAAGAGTAGCTACAAGACTTAGAATGTAGTTCTTGCATGTAAATTATAATTCTGGGCACCAATCCCAAGCCTAATGTAAAACTATCTGACTTTATGGTCTCTTCACTCTTCACTCACTTGCCACTAATAAGAAAATTGGCTCTTGGGTTTAGCTATAATACAAAAATGTCATACAGATCCTAGAATGGTGGCAATCTCCAGACTAATAACTAAAATGAGAAAAAGAACAGGACCCTTTTGGATAGTTCAAAAAATATGCTTCAGCATGTAAGATAAGACTTCAGAGATAGACTAACATCTAAGGAAATTAAAGAAGACCTCTCCCAGCAATAAAAGAAAGAATTTTATTTCATTTAATGCCTCTCCCAAATGATCAATTTTCTACCACAATGAAAGATATAAGAAGTCCCAGAATTGTGAACAAGTTAAAAAATATCCACATTCCTGATGTCTTTCATACTCTCATATCTAAACTGAAATTTTGCTGAGCCCATGACCAAAGATTGTCTTTCAGATTAACTTTGTAAAAGAGAACCGGACTCCATGCACATCTTTTTTTCCCCTAGAATTAAGTTTAAAGACAACAACCATTTAAAATTTTATTTTATTAAATAAACTAACATTTAAAATTTTTGACATGGCCATTAAATGATAAAATGGAAGACTCCTGCATATCCCAGAATAGCTAAATTAGAGATAGATAGATAGATAGATAGATAGATAGATAGATAGATAGATAGATGATAGATAGATAGATACCACTTTTATATATGCACATGCACTGCGTGCACATATATGTTTATTACGTGGTTCCCACATAACGGTGATCTGCATGCTTCTTTTCCTAGTTGCTGTGGATAGGCTGCCTGTGGACCTGTCTGTGAATTGGCTGAATAAGTTGGAGGTCGAGGAAAGAACAGCAGGGAGGAAGTTTAGAGAGTCTAGTGCTTCAAATTGAGAAGATAAATGAGCCAACCTTGATGAAGGTCAAAGGCAACTCTTACTAGGACAGTTTAGGTGAAATAATATGAAATAAGACTCATTGCAGTGAGGTAAAGAGAGGGTTGATAAACATGAATAAGTTATAGTTACACCCAGTAACATGGATAAAGCTCATTAAACATAATGTTAAGGAAAGGAAGTCAGTCACAAAAGCACATTTACCCAATGTATGATTCCATTTATGTAATGCAGTAGACATTCCATTTATGTAGCATTACATAAATGGAATTATACATTTCAGACATTACATAAATGGAATTATACATTGCTAAGATATTGTCTTTAGCAATGTCTACTGCAACAGTAAAAGCACAAAGAGAATAAAAGAAACAGTAAAAGTACAAAGAGAATAAAAGAAATGATTACCATACCATCAGAATCGTGATTACATTTAGGGAAGAGGAATGGGGTTGTGACTGTGAATGGGTATACACGGTAGGGACACATTTCTGCAATGACGAAAATGTTCTAATTCTTGAGCTAGACAGAAGCTTTGTTGGTAGTATCTTTTCCATTAAATAATAAATTGTACATTATGTGTTATGTCTATTTCTGGATATGTGTCATTTGCAAATAAAAGTTTGAAAAGGAAAGGAAGGTAGGACAAACTTCTACTTTCATCCATGAAAAAGGTACTAGCCACAGAGCTATCGAGTGACATGATCTTTAAGAGTAGGGAAACACATGAAGCAAGCCCTACATTGACCTGGTTTTCTTCTTTGGAGGTGGAGCTTGAACACAACATGGCAGTCTTCTGAACTGAGAAAGTAGATGGAATTAAATAGAGAGAGAGAGAGAGAGAGAGAGAGAGAAACCAGCAGAGACAAAACCATGTCTGTCAGGATCAAAAAGGGCTGCCAGTAACTTAGCTGTCATCCAGAACAAAATCGACACCCTATAAATGAAGAAGAAATAATCTAGATTCCCTACAGTATATATTCACAATATCTAGCATTGAGTTACAACTAGCTGGTATGTAAAAAAGCAAGAACAACCAATCCATACTCAAAGAAAAAAGGTATAAATAAAAACAGACTATGCAATGACTCAGATGTTGAAATTAGTAGACAAGGACTTTAAAAGAGCAAAGACCTAAGGGTAAATATAGAGATAATGAATGAACAAATGAAGAAACTCCACAGACAAATAGAAACTGAATGGAAATTTGAGAACAGAAAAGCACAATATTAAAGTGAAATTTCACTGAATGAGCTTAACAGTTTGGATAATGTAGAAGAAAGTATAACTGAATTAGACCAATCAATAGAAATTATTCAATCTCAGAAACATTTTTACTTATCTTAAAATTAGAGGTATTGCATACAGAATTGGGCCAGTCAGGTTTATGGAATTTTCTCCAGCCCCTTATATCGTCTGTGGTATATACAACTGGGCAGGTAGTTTGACCTAACCAAGACTGCATTTTAGCCAGGAAAATGTACAGAAGTGAGGGAGGAGGCAAGGTAGAGATTATACAATGTGACTCAAGTGGATTAAAGAGTCTAGGAAAAGCGTGAGGAAGATTAGAAGTATGAAAAAATGCTAAGCTCAATGAACAGTATGTCCAAGGTGGATCACTGATTCTTTGAGTCAGGCAGCTAGAGGCAGTGAGCTGGAAAGATAGAAAGTAAAGATCAGAAAGTGGGAGGTATAAAACTGACATTATGGAGGGATTTCAGGTGCAGATAATATTGCGGTCTAGGATGCAGCATTATCTTGTAGAACTTTCTGTGATAATGGAATTGTTCTGAGCTGTCAAATATGGTAGTCACTAGCCATCTGCACCTACTGAGCACTTGAAATGTGGCTAGTGCAATTGAGAGACTGAATTCCTAATTTTTAAACGTTGTAATAGTCACCTGTGATTATTGGCTACTATGCTGGGCAGTGCAGGCTAGGGTCTGACTGCAGAAATGAGTCGGTGAGACCAGATAGCAAACATTATTTTTTAGGACACAAAAACAGGGCATTGGAAGGACCATCAGTGTGGTTATTGAAATCACAAAATCTTATTGATGCAGGAGAAAAAGACAATGAACCTGGAGTAACTACTTTAAGGAATGAAGGAAGGTAATCTGGAGGACTGCAATAAGCAAGGCTGCTCTAATTCTTTGGCCTGAAATTCAAACCTGAAGGCTTTAGGGAGAAATATGGGAGAAATGGTCTCAAAGTGGGAGTGAGGATCATGGAAGATGCTTTCCTACCTGAAGGGGCTGGGGTGTATGTGTTTT
Organism: Homo sapiens; assembly: GCF_000001405.40. NCBI lineage: Eukaryota > Metazoa > Chordata > Mammalia > Primates > Hominidae > Homo > Homo sapiens. The sequence continues at coordinate 170,731,259 of NC_000004.12, read as the reverse complement.
GCTCTAGAAACAGCCTTTACTTGGGAGAGCTGCAGGGAGCTCAGGAGGAAGTCAGGTTTCAGTGAGAGTGACAGTGAAGAACATGGTCAGAGAAGAGACTGACACATTTTTTTCCTTCCCTAGATAGGCTCAGAGAGGTGAAGTAAATTGTTCAAGATCACAGAGCTTAAATAAATGATGGAGGACTTGAATCTTGTTATTTTTATTCCAATGACTGTGCTTGCAATGATTATACCCGGCTGTCTAGCAGCCACTGCAGTGCCTAGAATATCCAGAGCATCTAGGACCTATTAATATTTTTCAAGTTCATATTCCATGAACCGAGCACTGCAGAATGGCCATAACTATGGCCTAGCATTCAGCCCTAGTGGCTACATACAACTTCATATATATTGTGTCTCTTTCATGGCAGAATGCAGATGACTTCAGGTACAGAAATCTTTGTCCCTTTGGATTTGGCCTATGTTGCTATCCACACGAGGCCTGTGGACATAACTTTAATCTTCCTGAAACTATCCTTTATTCAAAAACGCTAAAGTAGAGTGACTACATTTCACCACCTTGTTCTTTTCTTCCCTAAATTTCACCCCCTATAGTTTACTTTCCAGCCTTCCCAAAACATTCTTTCATACTGACACAGACAGCAATCATTTTGGACGCTTTTAAAGTCATATAATTTCTCCTGAGTTCTTAAAGATTCTTATAAATATAGTGCTAGACTACATTGAATCACAGAGAAAATTTGAAAGTTGGCTATAGAAATGCTAATTCATTTTCTTACTAGAAATCAAAAACAGAGTGTGAAACCATCTTTTTTTTCAGAAGTTACAGAAGCTTGATTATTTCTAGAGTTTTTTATACTTTGCTCAAATGACTATTTCTATTTGCTGACTTCTTCAAACTTAGGTTTAGAAATGTCTCTGTTACAATTTTTTTATTAAAAAAATAAATTTGAATCACCCATCCTCATTTTTATTTTATTTCCAAAAGTCTATATATATTAGTCTGATGCATAGATACAGAGTGGAAGTGTGGCAAAGAAAAAGAAGTCAAGGAAGAATAAAACACAAAAGGACACACAAGAGCAAGGGGACTTGAAAACATACACCTTAGAAGTGGAAGGCGTGAAAATGAATCTGAGAGGCAGCAACCTGAGAGAGGATGTGTACCCAGAGGTGACATCATGAAGAAGCATAAAATAAAAAGAACCTCCAGACCATGAAATAACAAAAACCTGAGAGCAGTTACTGGCAAATGGTAGCACTGAACCTCTCAAGCGGCCTGGGATGTATCCAAGGCAGGGGAAGGTAAAAATGGGGGGCACCAAATAAGAAGGGACCTTTTGACAGATAGAAACAAACGTAGCTTTGAGGGCAAGTACTAATTACTGGATCTTTATTAAATGATTTGCAGCCCTGATATTAGGCATTCCTCCAAGACTCACTATTCGAGAATAGAAGTTAGTGATGAAGTCCCATGAGAAATCTCACATTTTTACCTAGTTTGTCCACTTAAAGATTTTCTCACTTGTTGTGCAGTTACCTAAGGAATTGCTGATATCAGTACCAAGGACCCGTGGCTTGCTATCTAACATCAGATCTGACAATGAATATGAGAGCCATAAATAAGAAACAGAACAAGTGGCCCAGTGCTGAGAGATAAGAAACACACTGGGAAGTAAAGGGCAAGGCAGGATTACTGAAAACGTCTCTAAGACCCGGGACATATAGGAAGCAGGGGTGTCTGGAGTTTGTATTTACTGCGTTGGGCCTCTAGAGCTACACAGGCAGAACAGCCTCTCTAAAGATTTAGGGCCCAACCACCGAGGCATCAGCAAGACAGTTTTATGGAGCTGCAATGTGGTCACAAAACTGAACTCCAGGCTGGGGGAAAGGAGTCAATGTTAGACACAGATTCCCTTCTCTACAACTGACTCAAAGAAGAAGAAGACTGAAAGAATTGTCAAAAATCAAGAGCATATGTTTATTATGAGAATACTGTAGGCTGTGTGCAGACTATGTCCTTCCTCTGTGGTGGGATATTTTTATTTTTCTTAAGTAATTTAATAAATAAAACATGACATATTCAGATACATAAAATAAACATCTGTTTTGTGTGTCTGCAAGTCACTGTGTGGATATGGACACAGACGTGAGAAGCCATGCTGTAGAGGGATTAAGAGCATAAACTCCGCAGTCACATCACTTTGGTGCAAAACCTGGCTCTATACCTTACTAGCCACATCACTTTCAGCAAATTCCATAATTCTTCAGTTCTTAGGTTTCCTGAGGATTAGATACAGTAGTCATCACCAGATTCCTATCAGGTACACCAGACACATCGTAAGTGTTCAATAAGTGTTGGATCTCTTATTATTATTATTTGCAACATTATCTAGGGGCTGGGAAAGCCATCTCTTTAATAGAGTAAGCCACAATCATTTATTTGGATTTGACAATGACACTTAATAAAAGAAGACAATTTACTAGAGCTATCAAATGTTTTTGCAAAGAAGTGAAACATGGAATAATTAAAACAAATGTAAACTCAAAGGAAAATGCAAATGATAGAAAGGTTGGTCAATTTGAGTCATTGGATTTCATTATTTTGATGTTAAAAGCTTATTGAGCTTGCTAAGTCAGGAGTGTTTCTGATTTTCTAAACATATCTACCATAGATCAAATTTGAAGTTGATACTGAAACTCGTCTTACTTCACTGGGAAAAATTGACATCTGGGTAAACCAGTGGAGCATCACTAACTGAATTGCAGCCCTGATACTAAGTTTTCTCTCAAAACTCATTCTTTCAGGCAGAAAGATAATGATGAAATTCCATCAGAAATCTCAGATTTTCACCTAGCTTGTCCACTTAAAGATTTTCTCACTTGTTCTTTAATTACTTAAATGTCTCTAATGCCTCTCATTGCTAGTATGTGTTTTACAGGTAGAATTTGCTTTAATGAATCTGGTATATTACAAACTATCTGATTTTCCTTTCCTGTATAATGAGGAAGGAACTTTGTTGCTTTGCTTTCTCTTTTGATTTACTTATATTTAAAGTAAGTGTATTTTCCATTGTGTTTATCAAAAGTTAGGTTTTTTTAAATGTTTTCCTTGCCTTTACATTATTCTTAAAACTGTATACACATTTGTTGAATCATGTTTGAGATATCGTTCAGCATATATATAACATCATATTATCAGATCCCTACAGATAAAGCAATCATGTTTTCTAAAGTTGTTCTTTTGTGGTATTTTTGCATGCAATCTTTTTTATCTTTAATGTTTCTTATCAGCTAGACATTTTCCAACAAATTTCAGAAAAAAATTAATTTATCCCCACCAAAAAATTACACACACACGTGTGTGTGTGTATATATAGTTATATATACAGTTATATACACTATATATAAATATAAATATACACACATATATACATATATGTGTGTATATGTATGTATATACCTATATGTATATATGTGTGTATATTTTAAGACTATATATAAGTTATATATACATATATACAGTTACATATATCTAGTTTATATATATAGTCTTGAATTACACACACACACACACACACACAGGGAGATTAAAAGTGATTATATGATTAAAGTTTGTTATATAAAATGATGTAACAAATTTTAATCATTTAATAAATTTTTTATAAAAAATAGCTGTCGGAAAATGGCCTTTATAATCATTATCTACCACTTTTAAATAAAAAAATGCATGTCTAACCATCTCTGTTCTTGTTAAAGCAGAATTTGACATCAATTAATGAAGAAGTGTGAAATAACTCAGGAAGTTTAGAAAAAATGTATGGTATTTATAATCAAGAGTAGAAAATTGTTGAATGTAAGCAAGTCAACAAGTAACTGTCATAGATGAACTTATCTTAAGATTCTGGCTTGCATATTGTTAAGCATTGTAGATTTTAAACTATTTAAATACTTTGCCATAATCCTTTCCCATCTTTCAATTGCATTTTAAAATATGTAATAATTCATCTGACATGTGTTTCAGCTTTTTAAAACTGAGACATTATGAAAGAATCTTAGAGAATATTTGAAATTAACTAGTAAGAATAATCTTTCAAGTCCCTCCATATTTCCACTAGGAAGTTGCCTTTTGAACTTCGTTACCAATAAAAAAGAAGTTTTCTAGTATTCCAACTGTTATAAGTTTTCCTACTGAATTTTAAAGATTAAGCAATTTCATAGAAGGATCAGTTTGAAAGGATATTCATCTTTGTGAACAATAACAACAGAATTTTTGCAGAAGAATAAGAATTCATGGCTAAGACTAAATTGATCATAGATTTTTGCAGTCTTGAGTTTACCATCAAACAAAACCACACAAGTTTCCCAGTATTTAGGTATTAAAATAAGATTGCAACAAACCAAATACCTGAATTATTAGCACTATACTTCCCATTCGCTCAAGCAGGCTTCAAAGTTTTCCTCATCTCCAAATATTCCTGGCGATTTTACATAGTATTGGACCTGTCCTCACCAAGTCCCTGGTTTCTTTGTTCCAGTATTCACTCAGGACACTGATCATCTTAAGACTCAATTCTGATAATTGCCCAACCATGGAGGTGTGCAAAATGCAGAGTGATGAGACAACTCAGCCAAGTCAGAAGGAGAAAATTCTCTCTCCATGTTTTGCAATTAAGGAGATGCCACAGTAGGGCTGCTTCACCTCTATAGTGTAATAGAGTTAATGTTTGTGTCCTGGAATTATTCACAGTTTTCATGAACCACACATCTACACTACATCCTCTCCCAAATAATCTATATTCCCTAGAATATACTGAATGTGTTAAGCAGCAGCTATTACTCCAAACCCAGAAACACCATTTTCTTAAAATGATTGTCTTGATATAATTAAATTAATTAATTAAATTTGTATAAATTTACAGGGTACAAGTGCAATTTTGTTAGATGAATAGATTGCATGGTAGTGAAGTCTGGACTTTTAGGGTGTCCGTCACACAAATAATGCACATTGTACCCATTAAGTAATTTATTATTATCCACCTTCCTTCCACCACCTCACCCTTTCAAGTCTCCATTGTTTATCATTCCACTCTTTACATCCATGTGTGTACATTATTTTGCTTGCACTATATGAGTGAGAAAATGTGATATTTGTTTTTCTGTGTCTGACTTGTTTTACTTAAGATAATGGCCTCCAGTTCCATCCACGTTGCTGCAAAAAACATTTCATTCTTTTCTATGGCTGAATAGTATTTCATTGTGTATACATGGCACATTTCTTAATCCACTCATCTATTGATGGGCAGTTAGGTCCATTAGCAGATTCTATGTATCTGCTACTGTAAATAGTGCTGCAATAAACATACGAGTATGGGTACCTTTTTAATATATTAATTACTTTTCCTCTGGGTAGATACCCAGTAGTGCAATAGCTGGATTGAATGGTAATTCTATTTTTAGTCCTTTGAGAAATTTCCATACTGTTTTCCATAGAGTTTGTACAAATTTACCTTCTCACCAACAGTTCCAATTTGTCGCATTGAATTCCTTCTTCTCTTTGCTGCAGTCAGCCCCTGTACATGGAATTTCTTTGCTTCCTTGACCACTATGAATCCCTCCATCCCCTTAAAACTTTGGTCCGTTCAAACTGTAATTGTGGACAGACCACATAATTTTCCCGAGGAATCCCCTGGACAGCAGTATAAATCAGCAGATTGCAAATAGATACTGGTAAGGAGATGTACTAACCACACCTAGATGAATGGTAAGCTCAGCACTCATCCAGCAGGGAGCCCTACTCCAACTATTTGAACAATTTTATTTAAAAAAAGATTTACTATGTTCCATTCTGCCTTCTAGAAATCCCTTCACAAGTTAAGAAATAGATAAAACCAAAGCAATTTGAAAATTAATGCTAAACTGGAATGCTTGCAGCATTTTGAAAATTTTATTACAGGTCATGTAAATAATTGATCAAAAGTTTCTGAAATGCTACAAAAATAAAGAAAATGAAGGCTTTTATTAGACTTAATAGGCTTTTTTCACTCTCATAATAATCTAGCTCTGAGAAACATACCAATTGCATGCTATTCATGCTCCAGCAAGTGACCTGTAAAATTAACAATCCAATCACCTGTACAGACAGGCTCTAAAATTTACTGAATTTTTATGTGGCATTCTATTTCGTTAGTGAAACTCCTGACTTTTCTGACATAAGTCAACCTAATTATCAGATGTTACTGGTGGAATTATCAACTCTAAAGTGGTCTTAGCATTTTGCTTCTATCAAAATTAAAAGCTAACAAATTATTGAAATAAGTAAGGAAAGATGAAAATATTAATTTGTATGATAACTGGCATTTTTATGTCCATATGGTGGCTTAGTGAATAATAGATTAATGATGAGGCTTTTGATGATGATGATAAAATAATGATGTGAACCACACAATGTTATAAGGAAATGATAATAACAAAATCTGCCTATGCTCTAAATCATTGAGATTTGGAAGTTCTCTCCTTGTATTGCACAGCCTATGACCATTGATATGCATACATACATTTGATGTTATCCAATCATATGTAATACTGCCAAGATGAAAGTAAAATAAAAAAAATGGTGATGGATGTTTGTGTATTTTTCCCATACAGCATGTCATCAAATATTCAAAAGGCAAATAGTATACTAGATCCTTTCAAAAAATCTTACATGCTTAAATAGTAGGAAGAAGGTTTAATAGCACAAAATTCACAGAAATTATGTTCTAAAGTTAAAAATAACTTCAGAAATGGAAGATTTTACCTGTCACAGAGCAAACCCTGACTCATTTTTATGAAGACTGGATCTCACATACTTATAAGGCTTTAGAGGAGTCTTGCCTCTGTCAGAGGAGCTCAGCGGGTATTAACTTCCTGCTAGGGATTTGATGATTTCTCCTCCCATATGTCTCTTTTTATAGAAAGGGAAAAAGCTCCACTAGGTATAAAGGTTTTAAAGTAAATGTCTTTTCACATATTGAACATATTTTAAAGTTTTTCATGTATGTATAATAAAGCAATTCTGTATATATAAAACTAGTGAATATCTAAAAATAGTGTTATAATAAATTCAGTGAAAATCAGACATTGGTGCATTTATCTGTGGCCTTGAATACTGACCCTCCTACATGTACACATACAACTTGAGCTCAGCTCTCATCAAATGCAGATTATCTCTCAATTTTCTAAATTATCAACCTTATTTAGTTAGAGCAATAGAAGGTTTTTTGTTTTAATAATAGCAATATCATGACTGTTTTCTAAAAGTAGAGGACTCAGTTCCTTCACTGTAGTTAGAGGTTATAGGAAGTTGAATGTATAATTTAATAGAAATAAAGTATTGATTTTTTTCCTTTGTCCTTGGCATGTCTCAAGATAGTGGAAAAACCTTCCTATAATATACTCCTATGATTCCACCTAACCTTAGAGATGCACAGCATAACAGATACATCAAGCGGTGTGTGAAACTGTGGTCATTCCTGACTAGGAAAGCTCCTGCTTGGGTAAAATAAACCAGAAGCCACGTGATCCACTTTGGGGAATTCAAAAGATGTCTTTATGAAGTGGCATCTCCTCTCTTGGCCAGATAGAAGTTGATTAATACTTGCCACAAGTAATTTACTGTTGGTTATGGCACTGAAGTTCACATGAAAAGTCACATGCATGTTAAATCTTCTCATGACTAAGGTCTTTACATGAGCAAAAATTGGGCCATTTATTGATTAGAGTAATGCAGAAGCTGCCGCCTAACTTTCCTACAGTTCAAGCTAGCATGTTGTTTGTGGTAGACCATCAAAATAAGGGCTCAGGAAATTTTTCCATAAAAGGTCAGCTAAACAATTTCAATTCTGTGAAATATATGGTCACTGTTGCACAACTCAGCTCTGCCTCTGTAATACAAGAGCAGCCACAGATACAATACAACCAAATGAGTGTGACTGTTTATGCATGTAGGAATTTTAATTTCAAGTAAATTATGCATGTCACAAAATATTATTTATTTTTCAACTATTTAAAAACGTGAACACCATTCTTAGCCTGTGGGTCCTACAAAGACAATCAATAAGCCATATTTGGCTCATGGATAATAGTTTGCGGGCCATGATCTGGTGATGAAGACTCCAAATTTAGCATGTCTAAAACAGAACCCTAGAATCTCCTATTTTTCCATCCCAAAAACAGAGTTCTCCAAACTCCCTAATATACAAGGTTCCTAATATGGTTTGGCTGTGTCCCCACCCAAATCTCATCTTGAATTGTAGTTCTCATAATCCCCACATGTCATGGGAGGGACCAGGTGGAGATAACTAAATCATGGAGGCAGTTTCCCCCATCCTGTTATTATGACAGTCAGTAAGTTCTCAGGAGATCTGATGGTTTTATAAGGAACTTTCCCCCTTTCTGCTTGGCACTTCTCTTGCCTGCCACCATGTAAGATGTGCCTTTGCTCCTCCTTCACCTTCTGCCATGATTGTGAGGCCTCCCCAGCCATGTGGAACTGTGAGTCCATTTCACCTATTTTTCTTTATAACCTGGGTATGTCTTTATTAGCAGAGTGAGAACAGACTAACAACTCCACATCTTAGTAAATCCTGTTTGTTTGGTTGCACATGCCAAAAATGTTGTAATTTTCCTTTATTTGTCACATTTCCTTTTACATTCTAAATCTAATCCTGTCAGCTGAATCTTTGAAATACATTCAGGATCCTCCTTCTTTTCAGCAACTAGGCACTTCCACACTAGTCAAATCATTACAACGTCTGACCTGGTCTGTTGTATTAGCTGTTCCTGCCTGCATTCTTACCAAACACAATCTATTCTCCACTCAATACAAAATGGTCTTTTTATTTTTCTTCTCCAATTTTTATTTTCATTTCAGGAGGTACACATGCAGGTTTATTACATGGGTAATTTTCATTGTCACTGGGGTTTGGTGTACAAATAATTTCATCACCCACCCAGGTACTAAGCATAGTACCTGAGAAGTAGTTTTTCAACCCTTACCCTCCTTTCACCTTCCCCCCTCAAGTAGGCATCTCTGTCCATTGTTCTCCTCTTTGTGTCCATACGTACTCAATGTTTACTTCCCACTTATAATTGAGAACATATGGCATTTGATTTTCTGTTGTTGTCTTTGTTAATTCACTTAGGATAATGGATTCCAGCTGCCTCCATGTTGCTGCAAAGGACATTGTTTTCCCTTTTTGGCTGCAGAGTATTCCATGGTATTTATGTACCACATTTTCTTTATCCAGGCCACTGCTGATGGGCATCTTGGTTGATTCTATCTCTTTGCTATTGTGACTAATACTGTGATGAACATATAAGCACATGTGTCTTTTGGTAGAACAATTTATATTACTTGGGTATATACCCAGTAATGGGATGGCTGGGTTGAATGGTAGTTGTTTTAACTTCTTTGAGAAATTGCTATACTACTTTTCACAGTGGATGAACTAATATAAATTAGTTCACCAACAGTGTGAACAAATTTACATTAGTGTAAGTTTCCACCAGGAGTGTATAAGTGTTTCTTTTCTCCCTGACATGTTTCTTTTCTCATCAACATGTTATTTTATGACTTTTATTAATATCCATCCTGACTGGTATGAGATGATATCTCACGATTTGATTTGCGTTTTCCTAGTAATTAGTGATGTCTTTTGTCATATGCTTGTTGGCCATGTGTTTGTCTTCTTTTCAGAAGTGTCTGTTCATTTCCTTTGCCCATCTTTTAATGGGGTTGTTTGATTTTTGCTTGTTGATTTTACATATTTTACATTCTTTATAGATTCTGGATAGTAGACCTTTGTCATATGTATAGTTTGCAAATATTTTCTCTCATTCTGTAGGTTGTCTGTTTACTCTCTTGATAGTTTCTTTTGGTGCGCAGAAGTTCTTTAGTTTAATAAGGTCCACTTTGTCAATATTTGTTCCTGTTTCAATTGCTTTTAGAGACTTTGTCATGAAATCTTTGCCAAGGCCTATGTCCAGTATGATATGTTCTAGGTTTTCTTTTAGTGTTTTTATAGTTTTAGTTCTTACATTTAAGTCTTTAATCCATCTTCTGTTGATTTTTGTGTCTGGTGTAAGGAAGGGGTCCAGCTTCAATCTTCTGCATATGGCTAGCCTGTTTTCCCAGTACCATTTATTAAACAGAGAGTCCTTTCCCCCATTGCTCTTTATTGTCAACTTTGTTGAAGATCAGATGGTTGTAGGCGTATAACTTTATTTCTGGACTTTCTAACCTGTTCCATTGGTGTATGTGTCTATTTTTGTATGAGTTACATTGGACTTGTACTACAGTTTGAAATCAGGGAGTGTGATACCTTTGGCTTTGCTCTTTTTGCTTAGGATTGCTATGGCTATTTGGGCTGTTGGGCTCTTTTTTGTTCTGTGTGAATTTCTAAAGCACAAGTAAATTGTACTCCACTCTTCTGTTTAAAACACTCTTATGGCTTCTCATCTTATACGGAAGAAAAACCTCAGTTCACACCACGGCCTATAAAGAACTATGCATGCTGATCCCTCCTTTGCAAATTGTGTATCAATATTCCAGGTACACTCTAAGCACTATGTCTTTCTAGTGGGAACACAAAAGCAAATTATACAGTTGGAATGATCACGTAGATTCCACAGGTAGGATCCATGTCTTAGTCCCTTTGGACTGATATAACGAAATATCATAAACTGGGGAGTATATCAAAAACAGAAATTTATTGCTCACAGTTCTGGTAGCTGAAAGCACAAGATCAAGGTGCCAGCATATTTGGTATACGGTGATGGCCCATTTCCTGATTTATAGATGGCATCCTCTTGCTGAATCCTCACATGGTGGAAGAAGCAAAGGAGCTCACTGGAGCCTTTTCTGTAAGGGTATAAATCCCATTTATGAGACCACACTCCCTTGACTTAATCACCTTCCAAAAGGCTAATACATCACCTTGGGGGTTGGGGGTTCAACATATGAATTTTGGGGAGACACAAACATTCAGACCATAGCAATCCATTCTTCATGTTTCCAGGATACATTTTTCTAAACTTATACAATAAAAATTAAAACCATCTTACCCCCTTTTACAAAGCTTATTATTTCAATTTAAAAGGAAAAGAAATTGATCTAACATGGCTTGTTTTTCCTAAGACTATTAAAACATGGCTTCTGAGTTATGTCTAAATCAATAGTTTCCAAACTTTAGTGTACATTAGCATCACAATAAGGGATGGAGATATTAAGTCTTATCAAAATGTAAATGCTGTAGTCCTCTTGGCCTCCCACTTTCTGATTTGGAAGACTGAACTCAGGAATGTGCATTTTTAACATCAGTTCAAGCCATTCTAAAGTCTGTTTATCTACTTTTAGAAATACTGGTCTAATAATACAAAGTATGTCTTTAAAGAAAATAATAAAAATTTGCAGTGTTATTTCTAACTAAAAACTCTTAAAGAGCAGAATTTTTTTTACCAGTTTAACTGAATTAATAACATCTCTCTAAATAATGTCAACAAATGTACCTTCCATGGTTAACCAATTATATAATAGAAGTTAAGGCCACACGGCAGCAGTAATATGATGCTCTCCACAATCCGTGAAATTTATCTTCAATAATTATTCTGCAAACTAAACTACAGGTTTTGTGGTTGTTGTTTTAAATAAACTAAGACCAGTGCTCTTATTAAGGGCGACCACGTATCACAATCATGTTTAAAGAGCCTGGGAAACTATAAATTGTGTTTCAGTTTTTGCTTATTATTACCAAGTCTAGTTTTAAAAGGATAGTTTGGTGCAAACAAACAAAAACATGCAGCACATAAGAAAAACTAGGTTCTGTTTTCCTTAGCTTTCTTTTCTCTTTGGCTGTTGCATAAGAGATAGAGAAAGAAAAAGAAACCTGAAAGTTTTATGAAGCTTGGAAAAGGTCGTCGATATGAAATGGCTGTCACACTTCACCTTCACTACTTCAGAAATAATTATTGCTGCTTAATGGTTGACAGGCTGGAATCAAATTTTACAGTCTAGATATTTGGGAACGAGGGGCGGGGAATGACAACAACTAAGAGCTCCTGTCAGCAAAGGTTCACTAAAATCTTGAAAAGGGTGAAGCCATCTATTTGGCGCAATAAAAACATACAAGACCTCACAGACTGCCTGCTTTGAAAACAATTTTCTTTCTCTGAAAGTATGAGGAGGGGTTTTATTAATTTTTTAAATTAATTTTTGCTTTTAGAATCTAATATCTTCTTTATTACAAGAATAATCAAAGTGAAAAGGGGCTACATAACATCAAGTTTCATGTGTATGTGTGTGTTTTGTTTTTGTTTTTTGAGGTTTTTTTTTTTTTGGCTATGGATTTTCTCCATTCCTTCCATGAAGTCAGTGTAACTGGACAGTATCTAATACAAAGATAAAAAAATGAAACTTATTTTGCACTCCTTATTTAATAGCAGAGAAAATACTTTTCCAGTCTGAGGTTAAAGGTTTAGTTACCTTTATAAGAATTTTTAATAAAAATACTTTAATATTTTGTAAGTAAACTAGGACAGGTTCTGTTTTTATCACGGTATTTTCTAAATTAACATTATTATTTGGTAGATAATTAAAACTGATGTGTATAATATTTCTGAATATTGTTTTTCTGTATTCAATTTAAGTTCAATTACTGGGAACATTCAAAATGTCCAATAATTTATCTTCTGGTTAAAAAAACTTTAAATAGAAAAAGTAAACTTATAGATTAGAAATTCAGTGGAAGCATACAATCTCCATGTTCCTTACGTTATGCCTGGAGCCACTGCATTCTCCTCACCATGCAACTACAAATCATTTAATGTTGTATCAAATCTAGTATATAAAGTGATTTACTTATTGTGTTAAGGACACTGTCAAGTGGAGGAACATTTTGATTCTATCAAAAGATCACTTTAATATACAATGATTTTGAAAATATTAAATGGGAATTTGGTAGTCTAGATAGAATCAGAGTGTTTATTAACTTAGTTTTGTATATATTTCATGATTCACAAGACAGCTAATTCCATTCAGAATAAAGATTATTTTATGGCAGAGCATTTTAATAAACTTATATTGAATGATTACTGAAATTATCATTCTATCTATGATGAAAGAAGTATCCCGACAAAAATTTAGTCTTTCTTTCTAATTCACTTCATAAAGAATGTTGGCTTTGAATTAAGGCAAATAAGTTATATTTTTGCTCCATAATACAGTTCTTGGCATTTATTATGAAGTTGTTAAGGAAATATATTTCATTCTTTTCCTTATTATAACATCATAAAATCTGCTGAATAAGTAAATTTATTACAATATTCTTCTTATTTTACTATTTTATTAGGAGCAGAAGTGCTATTAAAAGCTTAATATATTAAATTAATATATTAAGTATATACTACATAAAATACATATATAAAATGATAACACAGAATTAATGTAGTATATAAAAACTAGGATTAAATACTATTAGTGTGCTTTGAGTTTACAGTATAGTTGGCCTAAGTATATATATCAACATATTCTATAAATTTCTTCAATTAATAACACATATTTATTGATTTTCATTATATCCACCTAATAGTGATATATGATATTGCATCAGCAGACACAATTATTAAAGAACAATGAACTAAGGCGTAATTTTTACAAATTAAATACAGTGAATTAACATTACATATTGTTGTTATAAATTTGTTTATTCTATAAATTAACAAAAACTCAATATTCTGGAAAGCTTTTGATAATGGGATGCACCTTCATGATGACAAGAGATGTAAGACTTTGAAAAGTAAAGAAATTGAATTATTTCTCTAGAAATAATTTTTAAGGTAAAAGTGATCACTGTCTTCTACAAAATGAAATCAGTAAATGCACAAAATTTGAAATAGCCTTGCTTAAATATTTTTAATAAAATTATTGAGGTTTCACTGATACCTAATTATACCATAAATCAAAATGTGCCATATCAAAATAAAATCACCAAATATTTTTACAACAGCCAATTTCCATGTTATTTATTAAATTAAACGTAAGGTCTAAAAAGAAAATTTCCTGAAGCTTTACACAGTCAAGATGAGGAGAACATAAAACTGGGCCAAGTTTAGCTAGCATTTTGTCTGCAGAAAATGAAACTGTGATCAACAGGAGGCAGCATGGTCCCACAAAGAGCCAGTAATATTAGATCTCTGCCATCTAATAGAATAGCCTAAGAAATTAAGGGCAAATAGAAACAATTTATCATAAGCCTCCCTTGTCCACACATAAGCTGATCAAATTGAGATCTCATGTCAGATACTGGAAAGAACAGAGACCACTAGTTGTACACAGCATTAATAAAAAGGAGCTGATAGCATCAACCAGTGTTCCCCTATCATAAGGTTTTCTCCAGGAGTAGATATGGCTGGTGGCTTAGATGCTAGTGATTCTTCTCAGACTATAGCTTAACTAGGATGAGGCCCATTATCGGTGATGTTCAAATGTGTATGCCGTGTGATAAATCTTGTCTCAAAGCAACACACAACCCCACAATCAAATCATCTCACAGCACCCAATTCTCATTTTTCCTGATATCAACAGCAAGGCCCTTTTCTCACCAGTTCCTCTGTCTCAAGTTTGTCTTTAGAGTTAGGGTATACTTCTCATGACGCCTTGACTCTGAGACCTAATTATGAAAAATTAGGCCTAATTCATATTGGTTCAACTATTTGGTCTTTTTCAATAAGATAAACTATAATAACAGTTTTATGACTGTTATTTTTTTCTTTGTTTTACCTGTGGAAATAGGTAAAATACTGGTCACTCTAGAAAGTGATGAGTCTTGCAGAAAGAAAATGCATTAGGCCCTGAGATGGAGAGAAGACAGTGCTTCTTCTTTTGAAGATTCAAATGGGGAAGAGCTGGCTCTGGTAAAAGCATGCATTGATACTGAATCCTCTGTGGTCCAATACTATTGGCATTGAAGATGTGCCACTGGCAAATGACTAGATGTGTATACATAGAAAAGAGCCAGCCACTTGACGTATAACACCACAAACTAATTTTTTAACATCTGGAAAAGCTGCCATTTCTCCTCGTATAGAATATTCAGTGGATACCTGGACTGCTCTGGTATTTAGAATATGCCATGCTTTACCTACCACAGCAGTGGCTGGAGGGAGGGAATATTCTTCAGACCTCCTGCACAGTTGTATTTGCAAGGTAATGGCATATTTAGAAGATTACAGCAATGAACAATTCTGAAAGAAACCAAGAGCAGTAGGAGAGTTCACAGAATTCTGCCATTTGGGAAAGTAGCTTTTAGGGGCGCAGCGGATTCACCATGCCCTCCATTAAGTGATGGTGGTGACCAGCACTAAGCAGGAGTGATTCATGAAACCTGTGTGTATTTTTCGTGTTTCTACTATTCCTGGGTGGGGGGGAGAATGTGGGAGAAAAAACATATTTTTCATTCTAAGAATGATATATTGTCTCAGAGTCACTGAATTTGATATTTTAAAATACATTATCTTCTTTAGTGCCTCAAAAGTGAAATTGGAAATAGGGCATATTGGTTGCATTATTAAATGATTGCAATCTGTAAACAAATTTGGCAGTATTTTACTACTCTTTCTTGGTGAGAGTAGAACCTTAGAAACTCAACAACACATTTAAATCAGGTTATGTTTTCATTAGAACTGGCAGACAACATCCGAATTTTGCAAGGTTACATACATAGGCACATATATGTATGTACATATGTATATTCATCATATATCTGCAACAGAATAATATTTTGATGGATTAGCCAGTATGTTTTATTTTTTTCTATTTAGGCAGTCTATAGGGCATTCTTTGTGTTTTTGACTCATAAAAGTGTTGACACATCAGAAAGATGATAAAGCTAAAACAACAGTTCTTAACTTTCGAGATTCAAAAGCCTAGATCTCAGGAGAATAAATTTGAATGATGAATGGCAACTTTACATTATGATAAGGAGAACAACTTTCTGCTCAAAACTGCCAATATCAAAAAACAACACAAAGTTCCCCTTGCCTGGAAGGATAGAGAAAAGAAGAGTATCAAGAAAGAAGAAAGAGCTGAGTGGACAGCGTGGGTCCTGGGGAGAGCAGGGTCTTGCATCTGTGGCATAGTTCAGAGGAAATGAAGGTGATGGAAACAGGATATTCTCCAGAGGGCAAGAGAAGAGATATAGGAATTCTAGAATGGAGGAAAACTGTATTTTCTTTGCAGGTAAAGTCCAGGAGACAGCAAGATGCCCAGGAGAAATAGGCTAGAGGAGCTTAATGGTTATCCACACAGGTGATACCTTCTCAGCAATGCTACGGAATAAGAAAGAACGTGAAACACCTCCAGGCGAAATGGAGTAGAACACTGAATTAGTCTAGTTTTAACTACCCTGTAAAATAACATCACTATAGGAATTTATTTTCATTTATAAGAAAATGATGTTATCTTTTTTACACAGCTGAATTTTTTATTTCGTATTTAGTGTCAAGCCTCCCAGAGACAGAGATTTGTCCGGGATGTCTAAAAAACTTAGTACAACCCATTGTCTGCATCATAGACTCAAAATTCCAGAGTAGACTTCGGACTCAGTCATCTCGAGGATGTAGCTATAGTCTTGTGAGCTATTTAAAGTGAGATGGATTTTCATCTATAAATGTTGTTTTCAAAAATAATTCCAGTGAATTATGATAAGGCTGAGTTAAAAAGACAACATTAAATTACCTTAACATTTTAAACGAGAGTCAATGCTGAACTTTGTTAACAAGAATGCTTATGAAAGGAGGGCCATGGAAGAGGATTTTTGTTTGTTTGTTTGTTTGCTTGCTTGTTTGTTTGTTTTTTGAGACGGAGTCTCGCTCTTTTGCCCAGGCCGAACTGCAGTGGCGCGATCTCGGCTCACTGCAAGCTCCGCCTCCCAGGTTCACGCCATTCTCCTGCCTCAGCCTCCCGAGGAGCTGGGACTACAGGCACCCACCACCGCGCCCGGCTACTTTTTTGTATTTTTAGTAGAGACGGGGTTTCACCGTGTTAGCCAGGATGGTCTCAATCTCCTGACCTCGTGATCCGCCCGCCTCGGCCTCCCAAAGTGCTGGGATTACAGGCGTGAGCCACCGAGCCCGACCAGAAGAGGATTTTTAAAAGCCTCTTGGATTCTGAATTTCTAAGAACACAGCCATATTTAAATGTAAAAGCGAGCTCAGAAGTATCAGGCCTAGACCGATCACATTTACCATTTAAATTTATTCATCCTTTTATCTGCCCAAAAGTGAGGCTGGGACATTGGCAAAAAGACTGAGGAAAGAAGCCCACCGTGCTCTGATGCCAGGTTGAGTGAGATCACTGCCCAGCTTCAGAGGAAAAGCTCCTTTAAGGCAGACACCAAGAGGAGGAGCACAAGCATACTCCCTTTTGAACTGCATTTAAAAAAATTAAACATGTCATTATAGCTTAAGCCCGAGAGGAAAAAACCTACCACGAGTAGTGTAAAAGCCAAGTTGGGCTCAGGGGATGTCCTCCAAACCAGACAGGACCAAAGGGTAAAGCCATGATTTTTCTCTATCTCTCGTCAGATAAAAATCTTATGAGCAAGAGAAAAAGCTTCAGTTTCAATGGGAGATTTAACCTATATCATCTACTGCCTTAACAAAGAGTTGGCCTACCTCACCATTCCTCTCCTCAATTTTTACACTTTAATAAACAAATAGATTTAGATGGGTGAAATATGAACCTAGTCTAACAAAAGAAAACAAATAATAATTTTTCTCAATGAAAACAGTCAAACTCTGTAAAGTATTTGAAGAGATTTATTCTGAACCAAATATGAGTGACCATGGCCCATGACGCAGCACTCAGGGCATCCTGAGAACATGTGGCCCAAGGTAGTCAAGGTAGTCAGGGTGCAACTTGGTTTTATACAATTTAGAGAGGCATGAGACTTTGATCAAATACACTTAAGAAATACATTGGTTTGGTCCAGAAAGGCAGGACAACTTGATGGGGGAGCTTCCAGCTTATAGGTAGATTTAAAAATTTTCTGGTTAACAATTGGTTGAGTTTATCCAAAGACCTGGGATCAATAGAAAGGAATGTCTCGGTTGCAAGAAGATGTCCTGGAGATCAAAGTTTTGTCATGCAGATGAAGCCTCCAAGTAACAGGCTTCAGAGAGAACAGGTTGTAAAATGTTTCATTTCAGACTTAAAGTCTGTGTTGATGTTAATGCCAGATAGGTATGATGAGGCATGTCTGACCCCCACTTCCCGTCATGGCCTGAACCAGTCTTTCAGGTTAATTTGTTGTTGTTGTCGAAACGGAGTCTCACTCCGACGCCCAGGCTGGAGTGCAGTGGCGCGATCTCGGCTCATTGCAAGCTCCGCCTCCCGGGTTGACCCCATTCTCCTGCCTCAGCCTCCCGAGTACTGGGACTACAGGCATCCGCCACCATGCCCCGGCTATTTTTTTGTATTTTCTAGAGACGGGGTTTTACCGTGTTAGCCAGGATGGTCTCTATCTCCTGACCTCGTGATCCGCCCCTCTCGGCTTCCCAAAGTGCTGGGATTACAGGCGTGAGCCACCGCTCCCGGTCCTTTCAGATTAAATTTTAACAGAGCCCTGGCTGAGGAGGAAGTCTATTTAGATGGTTGGAAGCTTTAGAATTTTATTTTTGGCTTACATTCTAAATCTTACATTACACCAAAAGAAAAATTGTAGTATGAGAGAAATGTGCATGAATGGTAGGACATACCAAAAAATAAATAAATAAACTTTTTTTTTGAGACAGGGTCTTACTGTGTCACCCAGCCTGAAGTGCAGTGGTGTGATCATAACTCACTGCAGTCTCGAACTCTGGAGCTCAAGCAATCACCCCACCTTAGCCTCCTGAGTAGCTGGGACTATAGGCATGCACCAACCCACCTGGCTAATTTTTTACATGTTTTTGGTAGGGATGTAGTCTTGCTATGTTGCTCAGGCTGGTCTCGAACTCCTGGGCTCCAGCGTTTCTCCCATCTTGGCCTCCCAAAGTGCTGGGATTACAGACGTGAGTCACTGCACCTGGTCTAAACATTTTGTTCCTTCTTAGCTCAGCAAGTCATATGTGTCACATAGTTGCCATAAAGGTTCATGTGATTTTAGAAGGCATTGATATATAAATGCATGTCCAACAACAACAACAAAGCAATGGTCAGTCCTCTGACTCTGCAACAGAATATTGTGTTTTGAACTTTGGGCCAAATTTTTAAAAGGAGCATTGACAAACTAGAATGCCTATGTGAGAGAGTAGAACTGAGCCAAAGGGACTGACCCAGCTCTTTGAAGAATTGTTGAATTAACAGCTTTCACATAAACATTGGAGCACCACAACTGAGTACAAAAAATACAACATGTATTGGTTTGTGAATATTTATCATAAAAGGATACAAGATATGTTTTACTGAAGGCAGAGAATATGAAGAAAAGTTAAGTCACATTTTTTGGTGAAAACCTAAGCAGTACATGATACACTCACAAACAAATGTATACTGTGGATGAGTTGCTCTTTGTAATCATGGTAACCAATGTCAACCAGAATACAAGTGGGTATGCAATGAATTCAAGTGTAGAAAAGTTCCTACTCTGATTACATTGAGAAGGCTACAGGTTGAAGCCATAAAATACCTCATCAATACTGACTACTCCTTTGGATATTATATCCATGTATTTCATGATATGCTTGCAGTCCCAAAACTGGCATAACATTCACATTTTAATATCTAATACACTAAATAGATGACTGAATTCATCTCTGCTTCATAATCAATCCAAATTGCTACAGTTGATTAAAGCCAGAGTTTCAGATTATTTCAAAGTCATAGTAAGCATGAAGGATGATCAAGGTAACTGATCCACCATCGGTGAAAGGGTTAGATTTAATAGAATTTTTAGAAAGAAAAATATGTGACAGACATCATTCTAGTTTCATTAAGAGAGATTAGCAGCAAAACTCGTGCTGTTTTTTACAGAGCTATACATTATACCAGTGGGTACATTGAGATCAATTTGTACCATCTGGTATACAGACAAATTTTATGAATAGCAATCTAATAAAAAATTAATAAAGTCAAATTTATAGTACTTACCACTATAAAAGTAATATTCCCAATAAGCACAATGACACAGACCAGCTGGTGTATGCTTCCTCCAGCTACTGAAATTGCACATATGGTCATCCAATGTCAATAACATATTCTCAATAAGACACTGAAGCATATGTGAGTATTTCTAATTTTATTTATAATTATGCTTTATATTAGGTTTTACATGATTAAAAAGATTGTCTTACCACTCAAACGTGTCATTTCAAATGGCCTCAAAGTGGATCCCATTAAATGGAAGGCTGGATGAGACAAGCCTGGAAGTCAGTGACTGTAAGTAGGCTTTACAATCACGTTGAAACTGAATGCAAGTTACAAGAATGGAAGACACATTACCTTCCACAGAGAAGCTTACCTTCTTTTAAAAAACTAGACATATAAATAATAATTAAAATATACCAAGTGAAACTGGAGAAGCATTAATAATATGCATGAACTAACAAAATAGCAAGGAAGAGGTAAATAATTCAATCTTGGGGTCAAAATGGCCTGTTCAGGGGAAAAGAAAGCATCATAGGAGGGATACATTCATAGTTGTTCTATTTTATTTTTATCATTCAACTTGGATTTGAAATACTGTGCCTTAGTTTAATAGCCAGTCAAGGAGAGGCAGCATTCCAAAGAGAAAACTGTAAGTGTATGTTATTGGTGTGATGACAGAGAAATGAGCATCTTGTAATGCTGTTACGATGCAAAGTGTGAAGCAGAGTAAAAGGAATGCACCTGGAAGCAAAAGCAGGTGTCACATCATGAAGGGACTCTCGTGCTCTATTAAAGAGCCCGATTCTATTCTGTGGACAGGAAGAGGTCATCGAGAGGCTGAAATTAAGGTACTAATAGGTCAAAGTTGCATTTTACAAAGTGAATTGTCATAAAAGTATAGATACTGGATTGAAGGAAGAGGAAATCATAGACTAGGGAAACACTTGGTAGATGACTGAAATTATTATCTGAGTGACGGACAAGGGTAAAGTCTGAGTAATTTGCTGTAAGTTGGAGTAACTGAAGATGATGCATTGTTCTCTGGAAGGATACATACCTGTGCCACTAACAAAGTCAAATAAACAGGTATAATTATAGATTTAGGGAAGAAATAATGACATTGGCTAAGAACTTAGTCTCAGGTATGTGGGAGACATACAGGTGAAGATACCTAGTAAGTAAATACATGTATATTATTTTCTAAAATTGGCACAGATGCGGGCCGGGCGCGGTGGCTCACGCCTGGAATCTGAGCACTTCGGAAGGCCGAGGTGGGCAGATCACCTGAGGTCAGGAGTTCGAGACCAGCCTGGCCAACATGGCAAAAACTTGTCTCTTCTAAAATACAAAAAATACAAAAATTAGCCGGGCATGATGATGGGCACCTGTAATCTCAGCTATTCAGGAGGCTGAGGCAGGAGAATCACTTGAACCTGGGAGGCAGAGGTTGCAGTGAGCCGAGATTGCACCACTGCACTCCAGCCTGGGCGACAATGAGACTCCGTTTAAAAAAAAATGGCACCAACAACTTTTCCTTTGGTAATACACATTCTGCTATATCTTTAGGACATGTGTATCTGGAAGTTTATGGGACATGTCCATGCTTATTTAAAATAAAATTAGTTTCAATACATACTAAATTAATTTTCCTTAAACATTTTTAAACATTAATCAAATTAATTGTTACTTGGTTACAGTATAAGAATGTCAAAATGCATATAAACATTTGAACTGTAAAAATTTAATTGAATAATGAATACTTTCTTTCCGGAAAATAGCTTTAAAGTGGAACAAAGATATTAATAAATAGAAAACAGTCTGTAAATGTATGAGTAATTTTTCTGTGCTTTCTTATAAAACAGTTTTCAGTTTAAATGCTCATTAGAAAGTTCTGTACAATAAATGCGTTATTTTTTATTTTTAGCCTGTGTTTTATTATTTAATTACATTTATTTACAATTACAGATATATTTTTTCTTATTTTTTAGAGGCAGAATCTTACTCTGTTACCCAGGCTGGAGTGCAGTGGTGCAATCATGGCTCACTGTAGCCTCAAGTTCTTGGGCTCAAGCAATCCTCCTGGCTCAGTGTCCCAAGTCGCTGGGACTACAGGTGTATGACACCATGCCCAGCTAACTTTGTTTATTTTTTGTAGAGATGGTATCTCACTACGTTTGCCAGGCTAATCTTGAGCTCCTGTGCTCAAGTGATCTTCCTGCTTCGGCCTCCCAAAGTGCTGGGATTTCAGGCATGAGCCACTGCACCTGGCTTATAGGCAATTTTTATCCAAGATTTTATATGAAATATGAAGCCAGGACTAATAATCCTGGATTGATTATTCACACAGCTATTGAATCTCCCCAAAGGGAGCATATTCTATCTGCCCATCTGTGCTATACTCCGGGCCCATGTCTTAATGGATGATTACACTGTCACAGATAATTTTCCCACAGAGTCTTTTACTGTTATTCCTACATCATCTCTATTTTTGTTGACCATGTTGAGCTAACATGATTTTCTGCTACCACAACCTTAAGATGTGTATATGAGTAAATGATGGTAGATAAACTTATCGGATATTTAAAGTAAAGGAGACATGTATCATTTCCTTCAAAGACTAGGTATAAGCTCATTTTAATTTGTGTAGCTACTATGTCTGCTTTTTAAACAGCATATAAATTGTATGCAACTACTGATATTGGTATGAAAATGTTCAAGAAAAAATATAGGAATAACTCAAGCGACTATAGAATTTACTACTATATATGTGTTTATATACGCATATACACAAAGAGAGAACACAAGATACAAAAATGGAAAAATTTTACAGAGTTATAGAAAATAGCACCATCTATGCCTTCAGTTTCTAGAAAGATAATTTTATCCTTTGAACTCATTTGTTTACAGGTATCTTTCTACTTTTGCTATATCAAATTTGTCACTCAGGTGGCCAACATCCTGTATTAAGACCTGGAGTCAGAGTGACAACATTTTAGATCATGCTAATTTGTCTTTGTGATTCTTTATATTACCCTTATAACCAATATCTATCTTAAACTTGGCTAACTTGTAATATTTTAATAGATTTAATTGCTGCAATATTTGTGGCTCTTTTTATCAAGGAAGTTAATCTTTGACTTCTATTGAGTCTGCAGTAAATGATGTCTGGCTCCTGTGTCTAAAACACTGTCAATCAATGTTAGATGTTCAGATCAAATTTTCAATTTACCTACGCTTACCTGAATCTTGCCATTACCCTTGACCTCATATTTCCCTCTGCTTTTTCCCCCTTTGCTACTGCCATCTAAAACAGAATTCCTCTTTCTGTACTTACTTTATACATCGTTGCATATCTTACCTAAAAACAGGCTGAATTGTGTTTGTCTCTTAGTCTTATATGTAAAAGGAGATGTAAAGCAAATTTGCTACTTTAAAATCTTTATTAAACCTTATAAAAGGTACTTTGTTAAATAAAAAATGTTCTTTACTTACATGTAAACTCTGTCTGAAGCTTTAAGAGCAATTTACTCCCTCTAATTTAAATTATCTAGGAAAGGCAGCTTGGTTCAATTCTACTGTCAAGTTCATTTTACCGGTTTGTAGGTATGTTGTTCATTTTACCAGTTTGTAGGTATGTTGCTCCAACTCAACATGTTCTATTCTCTCCAAAATAGAACATAGGTAGCATAAATAGCGTTATGTTTAATTAAGAGAAAGCATGTATGTGACACAATTACAAAAGGCAGTGATAAAATTGGAAAATAAAACTTAGCAACCCTAACTAGGAGTTCAGTACTGTTTTATCATAACAACAAAATCTCAAGTGAATATAATAAGAAAGCAGCAGAAAAACATCTCGAACCGAACACAAGAAATTACCAGCCATCTCTTTCTCTGTGACTATTACCAGCACCCAAGAGGCCTCTAATTTCCTTTTTCAGAGGTATGTCTGTTTCTTTACACTCATTTTTGTTTTTCTGGGGAAGGATCCATAGGTTTCATTAAATTTTCAATGAGTTTGTGGCCTTGTAAAGTTTAAGAACTATTCCTAAGGACCCCTGAAGGAACATAAATTCAAAGTCCAATTCTTCAGGTTTGAGGCAGAGTTTTCCCTGACTGTAAAGAAAAAGATTAATAAAATAAAATAAGCTATTCAAGTGTAAGGCAGAGGTTGTGTTTGCTTTGGTTGGAAATATGGTTTTTTGTGTATTTTGTCTGTTTGTTTTTAGAGATTGGTTCTCTCTATGTTGCCAGGCTGCATACAAACTCTTCTCCTACGTCAGCCTCCCAAGCAGCTGGGACCACAGGTGCACAGGTGCACACCACCACAACCAGCAGCTTTATAGTTTTGATCATGATATGCAAAAGCTCTCCAAACACTTGCCATATTGAGTACTTGCCTATTCCCTCTTATTCTTCCCTGTATTCCTTAAGTATGCTGAAAACTGTGTGGTCTTTGCCTTGGGTGAGCTCATCTTCACTTCAAACTCCAGTGCTTACTTTTATAAGCTGGTAGCCCTAAATCAGTATTTAGAGTTCTGATCCCTCTCTCAAACTCTAGGATGTTTTCATTATTTTGTTTTCCTTTGAGATTGCACTCACCCAAATTTAGCCTCTCTGTAGAGCTTCTGCAGCTACTCCCAACAGTGAAATTAGAGAGGTGCAAACTTACCACCGCCCAAGTGATGACTCCCAATCACTCAGGTCTCCCTACACACCTGTGACCAGAGTTCACCTGTACAGATGTTTGAGGACAGTGTTTTGGAATTACTAGAGCACTCGTATTTTTAAATTGCTCTAGAAATTCCTCTGTCAGCTGGTGTAGCATCTAAGTGGGGCGGGAGGGGGGCCCTTCCCTCTCTGTCCATTTTAAGCTGAATTGTGTTGAAGAAAAAAGCCAGAAGTAACCAGTGAGTCTAACTCTATGATGATGGATGAGTATATTCAATTCCGTTAGGTCATCTGCTTTCCTGTTTTGACTCAGTCCTCTTTGATCTTTTCCAATAGTTCACATTGTAAGCTATTTACACTAAAACAAACCTGTAACCACAATATCAAAGCAAACCAAGTTTGGTTTGTTAATAGGCTAGAAACAGTGAATAGTTTCATTATGTTTTAATGTAATGAAAAATGAATCACCGATCCCACCACACTAATATGAAATGAACTGAACAATCAAGAGAAAACTGCAAGGAAGACCAAACCAAACAACTATAGGAGGAAAATCAGGGGAAGAAAGCCAGTGAATAAAATGTCTTAAGGAGTAAGGAATTATCAACCTAGTCTAATGTTGTTGATAGGTCAACAAAGAAGAGGACTGAGGACTGGTCACTGGATTTAGTAATGTGTGAGTCACTGCTAACCTTAAAACCTGAATTTGCACAGAGAAGCCTAAAGGGAGAATTGGAGAGTAGAAAACAGTTAGAAACTGATGGTACAATCAACTCTCTGGAAGATTTTCATTATAGAAACAAAAAGAGAAATGAGTCAGTAACATTAAAAATACTTTCTTTTTTTAGATTTAATTTTGTATTGATGTATAATAGAAATTCATATCTTAAGGTACATGCAGTAATTTAATATGTTCATGTAATTCGTAAGGATCAAATCAGTGTGACTGGGATATCATCACCTTAAATATTTGTATTTTCTTTATGCTATAAAAAATAATAAAAATCTGTCATTTGCAGCAACATTGATGGAACTGCAAGTCATTATGTTAAGTGAAATAAGCAAAGGACACAAAGATTAATATCACATATTGTCACTTACATGTAGGTAGATTTCATTAAGACAGAGAGTAGATTGGTGGGTACCAGAGGCCAGGAACAACAGTGGGGCAGAGGGGATGAAAAGAGATTGATTAATGAGTACAAACATACAATATGATAGAAGACCTAAGACCTTGTGTATGATAAATCAGTAGGGTGACTATAGTTTATAATAATCTATTGTATATTTCAAAATAGCTAAAAAGGGTAATTAGAATGTCTCTAGAATAAAGAATACTTTCTTATCCCAGCACAATTTATTGAAGCTGGACCTCTTCTTTACACTGTTACAAAAACCAACTCAAGATGGATTAGAGACTTAAATGTAAAACCCCAAGGTATAAAAACCCTGGAAGACAACCTAAGCAACACCATCCTGGACATATGAACAGGCAAAGATTTCATGACAAAGACACCAAAAGCAATCGTAACAAAAGCAAAAAATTGACTAGTGGCATCTAATTAAACTAAAGAGCTTCTACACATCGAAAGAAACTATCAAAAGAGTAAACAGACAACTTACAGCATGGGAGAATATATTTGCAAACTATGCATCAGACAAAGGTCTAATAGCCAGCATCTATAAGCAACTTAAACAAATTTACAAGAGAAAAACAACCCCATTAAAAGGTGGGCAAAGGACATGAACAGACACTTTTCAAAAGAAGACATACATGCAACCAACAAGCATATGAAAAAAAGCTCAACATCACTCATCCTTAAAGAAATGCAAATCAAAACTGCCTGGAGATACCATCTCACACCAGTCAGAATGGCTATTATGAAAAAGTAAAAAATTAATGGATGCTGGTGAGTTTGCAGAGAAAAGGGAACACCTATACATTGTTGGGAGTGTAAATTAGTTCAACTATTGTGGAAAACAGTGTGGCAATTTCTCAAAGAGCTAAAAGCAGAACCATCATTCGACCCAGCAATCCCATAAATCATTCTACCATAAAGATACATGTTCATTGCACCACTATTCACAATAGCAAAGGCAAGGAATCAACCTGAATGCCCATCAATGACAGATTAGATAAAGAAAATATGGTACATATACACCATGGAATACAGTGCAGGCATAAAAAAAACAAGATCATGTCTTTTGAGAGAATATGGATGGAGCTAGAGGACATTATCCTTAACAAACAAATGCAGGAAAGGAAAACCAAATACCACATGTTCTTACTTATAAGTGGGAGCTAAATGATGAAAACTCATGAACACAAAGAAGGAAACAACATACACTGTGGTCTACCTGAGAGCAGAGGGTAGGAGGAAGGAGAGGAGCAGAAAATACAACTATTGGGTAATGGGCTTAATACCTGAGTGATGAAATAATCTATATAACAAACCCCCATGGCACAAGTTTACCTATGTAACAAACCCGCACATGTACCACTGAGCCTAAAATAAAAGTTTAAAAATTAATTAATTAATTATAAATTATATCTTGACTCAACAAATTATGTTTATTTTCCCTGCACTCAGCAAAAAGGTGTATAAATATTGAGAACCTGTAAAGAGTAAAGAGCATAACAACAAAAAAGAATATCTTTTCTTCAATGGAAGAAGTAAGATCATGTTTGCCTACTGATTTACTAGAGAAGGAAAATGATAAATCAGAAGAAAGGAATGTTCCTGCAGCATAGCCTTGAGTGGGCTAGAGGGGACAGGATATAGTACACAGTGATTTGGGGGAAAGCAACTGAGATAAATTACAGACAGTTCATCCATAGGGAGGCAGAGAGCCAGGGTCTATGAAAACAGATGAGGTTAAGTCTGTAAATATGGTCAAAACAGCTTGTGGAAATGCTCTACTGAGTGTTTCTATTTTCTTAGTGAAATAGAATCCAAGGTCATCAGCTGAAACTGAGAATGCAGGCAGAGGAGTTAGATGTTTGGGGACAGGCCAAATAAGAAATAGTTCTCTATTTGATGAGGTTGAATAGATAATCAAGGCAGTCCACATAGAGCCTTAAAGGCCACAGCAAGACATCTGCATTTTATTTAAAGTGCAATAGGCAGCTATGTTTATAATCAATCTTTCATTACAATTATCTGCTGATAGTGTTCTATCCATTTCTAAGAGAGAACAAGTTTGTGTATGCCATATTATATTTATTTTGGCATTTCATTTTAGATGATAGATAGATAGATATTGAAGCAGAGATAGAGATATACATAGATACGGATGGATATCTATATAGTTACATGTGTCTGATCAAGGATATTGGAATTGGTGAAGATAGGTCATAGGATCAGGAAATAAATTTAAGAGCTTGATGGTGAGAAGGTGTTATTAAATCTAGACCAATAGAATTTAAAACATACATCTTCAAAGACATATCCAACAATTTGAAGACTTAGTTTATCTTAATTTAAAATTAATGTAGATGAAAATTTTAATTAAATTTTATTGTATTCTATCATTTATTATATTATACTCTATTGTATTGTATTCTATCATTTATTATCATTTATTGTATTCTATTGTTAGACCAGAACTTCCTTGTTGAATATAGGGATATACGCAGATATACATAGACGTGTCTATATACATATATGTGTGTGATTAAGGATATCACACATATGTAATTATAGATATCCTATAAGAAGTCCTTAGTAAGGACTTTTTTATGTTCATAAATTTTACCTTACCAAGATGACAAAACCTCTCTACAGAAAATACCATGCTCTAATTTTATTTCTCATATAGCACATTTTTCAAATATATTTGTTGGATTTCATAGAGAATCTATACACTTCTGAGTTCTTAAGAATGTGTCTTATCAATAACACCTTTAGATATGGCTTGCTCCTTTAGCTGGAATATACACTGAAAACTTCAATACTTACAAAAATGTGTTTTGAATGTTATGTTTTCAAAGTTGGAAAGACAGTTTCCCTTTGATTAGGATATTATGGATCCAGCTCACTTATCTAATCAAAGTTCCCAGGCTGTACCTAGAGAATTCTATTAAAAAACAAAGACAACATCAGCTGTCATCTACCTGCTTCATAAGAATATTGTATGAACTAATGAGATAATTCCTGTAAATCACTTTAGTTCCTCAGAGATAAATGCTCAATAAAGACAAAATAATATTATTATCCAGAGGCTGCCTGGCCCTTTGTCTATACACTCCTTGTTAGGGAGATATCAGTCGTATACAGACATCTGCTGCTGTGAATTGGTACACACCTCAAGATGTAGTTTCAAACTTTCACGAAATGGAGTCCTTCATAAGTTGGACAAGTTGCCTCTCATTTAGATTATGTATGTCAGTACTCAACAAGGGAGTTCTGGTCTAATGACAGAATAGAATACAATAAAATTTAATTAAAATTTTCATCTACATGAATTTTAAATTAAGGTGAATACATCTTTAAATTGCTGGATAAGTCTTTGAAGATATATTTTTAAAATTTGATTGGTCCATCGGGAGGCTGAGGCATGAGAATCGCTTGAACCCGGGAGGCAGAGGTTGCGGTGAGCAGAGATTGTGCCACTCCGCTCCAGCCTGGGTGACAGAGCAAGACCCTGTCTTCAAAAAAAAAAGAAAATCTATTGGTCCAGATTTAATGACACCTTCTCATCAAGTTCTTAAATGTATTCTATTCCCTGATCCTATGCTATGACCTATTTTCACTAATTCCAAAATCTTTCCTTATATGTAATATGAGAAAAACAGTATTAACTCCCAAGGTTGAAACAAATATGATTCATCTCTCCTGTGTCCTGTTCTGCAGTAAGTACCAATAAAATGATGATTCTTTCTAGATCATAACTTGCTCCCTGACAAAACCACAGTAATATTCTATGGAATTTTGTACACATATCTCTGGTATTTATAACATTTATTCTTTGTAATGCATTTATAATTTGTAAACATATCTATTAAACAAAAGATTATGAATTGTTTAATAATTTTTCATGTCATTTATTTGTGTATTCCTAGTATTTAGCACATTATGAGACAATAGACCATATTTTCAACCAAAAAATAAATCTTAATAAAGTTATAAAAATTCAAATAAAACAAAATATGTTCTCTTACCACAATATAATTAAATTAGAAATTATTAACAGAAACATATCTGAAAATATTCAAGTATTTGAAAGTGAAGTAACACTTTAAAGTAGCCCATTGTCAAGTTCAAAAAAAATCAAAGGAGAGTTGGAAAGTATTTGGAACTGAAAGGAAATAAAAACATATCAAAACTTGTGGTCTATAATATCTACTTGGATTTAAATGGTCACATTAAATGAATACATTCTGCTGCTATTTACTTAACTCATATAAATAAAATTTAAAATTCACCTAAAGAACTCTTAAATGTTAGATATGCCAATAATCATTCCTACAGCCTGCCCAATGTAGCTGTTCCTGGAAGAAGGCATACACCATGGGGACAGTATATTTGGAATTTCAGCCAGTAAATATCACATAACTAGGCTATTTCACTAGACTGTTCCTTTATTCCTGTGATGGTATAAACTTCCTTGGAATATGGGTTACCTTCAGATACTTAAAATGAAAATTCTCATATTGCAGGCTGAAAACTTTTGAAGATGAAGAGTTTACATATTATACCACTCTATATTCAGGATGAGTCGCTAGAGTTTATTCAGTGTGGTGTAAGTGAGTGAAAATCTCTGAACTGTTTTATTCTGCCTGAATTCAAAACAATAACTATTTGCTCCAGAATTTATCTCTGAGAGATACGTGTTTCCTCTGGAAAAGTTTTACACCAGGAGATACAAGATGAACAAAAGCAACAAAATCAATCTTGAAAACAGAGAAAAGGAGCATTGATAGGTCAAATCTGAGAAACCACAAGTTATCAAACTTTTTATGTATTTCCTTAATCTATTTATTGTTGATCTGCTTTATCATAAAACCAGCGCTTCCCCTTGAGTAGTTAAAATCTAATGGAATGAATATGTATAAGGGTGTTATTCGACAAGGGGGTGTGTGTGTGTAAGCACACTATTTCATTACTTTCAGTAGATGCTCTAATACTCTTATGCGTGGGCGTTTGCAGTAAAAGCCCATTGAAAAGGAACCTAACCACACTTGTGTGTGTGTTTTGGGTGAGAGGTAGATGAGTTTGGAACAGGTAAAATTTTGGTGAGAAAGGGTTTCTAGGTATCGGGAGCAAAGTTACAGAACTCAGACATTGCTGCTGTTGAAATGAAATATTCAAATTTAGAAAATGGGAAGCATTTTCTATGGAAGAAGGTAAGTAGAAAGCTGTTTATAGATGGCATTTCCTCCCGAGGTAAATTAAACTTTATTCCATAAGGAGTTAGTATTTGTTTTGGAGGATGGGTGAGCGAAGGCATTTAGGGAACAGGAGCTACCTCATAACATGATTGGATTATAATCAAGAATGTAAAATGACAGTTTTCCATTTTAGATATGTAGGTGTTTGAGAAAAACAATACTAAAGATAAGAAAGAAAAAAAAAAGCCCAAACAAGAGTCTATGTGACAGAAGAAAAATTAAGATGGAATTAAGACAGTGGCAGTGGGGATAAGCAAAATGTGAAGAAATAGAAAAACAATTAAAGAGATGAACAAGGATTAATAACTAATTGGCTATACATAGGGAGAAAAAATCATGTATAAATTGAAGATCTGGTGATTGATAACAAGGTAGATGGTGGTGCTCCCGTCTACCAAATATGGAACCTGTTTCTTCCACTACATCAGAATAGGGACAACGTATGTTTTTGTTCACCATTTTTTCTCCAGTGACTAGCATAGTGCCTGGTTCAGAATGGGTTTTCAATAAAAATACGTTGAAAGGATGAAATGTAAGGGTAGTACATTAAGAGTGGAAGGTAATTAATTTAACTTTAAACAATAGAGTTTGACATATCTGTGAAAGACTCATGCATGAACACCTCACTTAAGTTTGAAAAAGTAGTTTCTACCCCGGATAACGTTAAACGTGAATTAAAGACTAATTCAGTTATAGGGGAATGTTCTGTAAATATCCACATTAGCATAACTCCCTCATTATATTTATGGGGTCCAGGACAGAAATACAAATGGAATTCCATATACCACAAATACATATATTTCAAAATCACAAAATGAAACTAATATATTGCTTAAAAGATATGTTCTAGACTCCTATGCTGACAACTACACCATTATGATGACAGATTTGAATACAGTATTCTCAGAATCCTTGAAATTCCCAGCAAGAATGCGGAGAACTAGCTAGTGCTCTGGATCATGATCGGCATCCCTTCTCGTTCTACATAGAGCTCTGTCTTTAAATCAACTGCCACACACTCACATGTCGAAGATCCAAATACCCCTTGCAAATGCCTATCCCATTGCCAACGCTGATGCCCAAGGATGCACACACTGGCTGCGTGGGCTGCCCTCAGAAAGATGTGCCCGAGGAGGAAAATTACTCCTGGTAGATTAGAGAATTCCAGAATCCCAGCTATCTAGACTAGACTAGAAGGGGGATGAGAACAGACAGCACACCTCACAAAAGTGTTTCCTCTTGCATTCGTCTGAGAGCAATACTCCATATTGGAGCGGCCCTGAAAGGCTATAGAAAAACAGGAAGAAAAAAATTAGACTGCAGAGTGAGAGGGAAATGAAGGTGACAGACCCAGAAAAGCAGTATAAGAATCCCTTAAAAGACAGAGAGAATTGAAACCTAGGGATGTTGCAGTTCATATAAAGCCAAGCTAACCTTTTTGCACTTGGTTTCCATGTGGTTCTTCTCTGGTTTCACAATTTTTTTCATAGATAATTTGAGTTGGTATCAGTTCCTTGTGATCAGATAATCCAGACTAAGAAAAGATCATCATTAAGACTATGAGACTGCCCAAAAAGGAAATACAGAATGCAAAATGGGCTAAAAATATACCCTGTTATTTCACGAATTTAAACTGATCTATTGCATAAGGGACATGTGGACATGGTCCAGAGGAAGGAATCAAAGACTCAGAACCAAGATTTACTAACTTTACCAGCCTTCTTTAAACTGTTTCCATTCTCCCTTTTGTTTATTCTAAGTATTAGCAACAAGGAGTTATAATAGGAATCAAGAAATTCACCTTTCTGATATAAGCTGACTAGTACACAGTCATTGCCTATTTTCTTAATTGCAGCATTTAATAGTCCTCTCGTATTTCTTCACATTCTCAGAGAACCAGATACCTGACTTTATTAAATAATGTTCTCAGAACAAACTTGCACGTAAATGCACTCTAACAAAGGTCTGTGCTGATGAAAGTGAAAGAAAGGAGAATGTCAAGAAACAAACAGAAAAACAAAAACCAAATTGCTATTTCTCAATTCCACTAAGATTTCTTTCTCAAGAAATCAGAATATGACAAAAAATGAGAAACAGAAGTATTGTGGCAAAGAGAAGTTGCTTTGGGTGTTGAGAGAGGAAAAACAAATAGAAAAGAAACACAAAGAAAATAATCACATTGCTTGGGTAGATAAGTTTTCACATTTCCAAAAAAGAGACACAAAGAATTCTGTAGGAGTTAGTGAGTGATTTTAGAAGTCCATCAGGCATAATGGGCCAAACCTCCACACAAATAAACAGAAAATGTAAAGCATCATTTGAGTCCTTGCATTGAGGGAGCAAATTGTACAAATCGAATGTGAAAACAAGTAAATTGTAAAAATGTTATGTCTGTCCTGAGACTAAAAAAGCCACTGACAGATGAAGAAATTCACTTCAACCTAATCATGAGGGACCTAAGTGCTAAACAGAAAAGAGGTAAATAGGCTAGCTGCTTTTAAATTTGTGCATCAGAGAAAAAACAACAACAAAAACGCTGTTGTAGTAACATGCATATCACAGAATCCTCATGCCTATAAATAGAAAATGTACAGAGATAAAGAAAAAACAAATATAAAGCAATCCAGGTCTGAGAGAGGAGCATATTTATGAAATGAAGGGATTATGTATGCATTAGGAGTAGCATGAACTCAATGTACATAGAATGGAAAATAGTTCAGAAAATGCCTTAGCTATCATGTCAATCAATCTTCTTATTTTACACCTGAGGAAACTAAGAAACAGGAAGAATAAATGTTATCTGACATAATGGATTACTCACTCTCAGTCAAGGCTATATAAAGTAATAAGGCAATGTCCACAATTAGCCTGAAGCTGATTTTAAATGTTCAGTGTACACTAACAAAAACAAGAAAATGAACAAAAAATTGAAGTGTATAGATATTTTCCCTTTCAAAATTCACTTATTAAAATTTTTATCCTCTCAAGGAAATAAAGTCTTAATTTTTTAACTTAAAAAAGTTAAAAATTAATTAATCAAGCCCATGTTTTACTTAGCACAGGGCAAATATGGAATTTAAAAAGTGAAAGACGTCCAATTTTTTTAAATTCTTACAGTTTGTTTTGGTACATAACAAACACCAATTTTTAACTTTGACGTTGAATACAAACAGTCTAAATATGTTCTATTTTATTTTTATTTTTATGATTTAGTTTTATGATTCCTACCTGTCATAGACATTTTGGTTGAAATCTTAACTCCCAATGTGGGAGTAGGGCCCTTGGCAGGTGGTTAGGTCATGAGGGCAGAGCCCTTATGAATGGAATCAGTGCCCTTATAAAAGAGACCCCAGAGAGCTGCTTCCTCTCTTCTGCAGCAAGGACACAGCAAGAACACAGTGAGAAGAATCATCTATAAACCAAGAAGCAGGCCCTCACCAGACAGCAAATCTGCTGCTTTCTTGGTTTTGTATTTCCAAGCTTCCAAAATTGTGAGAAAATAAAATTATTTGATTTATAAGCTATTCAGTCTATGGTATTCTATTTTAGCCTCCCAAACAGATTAAGACTCTACCCCACCAACATAGATTGAAACAAGGGAACAATGAGTAAGGCTATATTAGATATGCTGAGGATCCACCCCCGCACAAGGTATACATACACACTGTTTTTCCTCGTTTATGATCTTTCAACCCAAAGACACAGTTGTAGAGGTTCTTGAAAATCTAGGCCGGGCATGGTGGCTCACGCCTGTAATCCCAGCACTTTGGGAGGCCAAGGTGGGTGGATCACAAGGTCAGGAGATCGAGACCATCCTGGCTAACATGGTGAAACCCCGTCTCTACTAAAAATATAAAAATTAGCCAGGTGTGGTGGCGGGCGTCTGTAGTCCCAACTACTCAGGAGGCTGAGGCAGGAAAATCCTCGAGCCCAGGAGGTGGAGGTTGCAGTGAGCTGAGATTGCACCACTGCACTCCAGCCTGGGCAACAGAGCAAGACTCTGTCTCAAAAATAAACAAACAAATAAATAAAAGAAAATCTATATGGCCTCCAGAGGAATTCTCCTTTGGGCACAGTGAGGGTGAGTATATGGCCCTGGGATGCCAAGGTGAAGAATCCTTTGTTTTACAAAGACCTCTGATCTCACCTCTCCATGTATACAATGCCTGCATGACAGCTACCGGTCTCTCCTGTAAGCTCAGCAAGTTTATCCAACCTTCTCTCTCTCCATTTACCCATGAGCTTCTTTCTATTAGATTCACCCCTCCGCCCCTGCCCCCAATGATCTCACCTTCTATTAGAAGCCTGATTCTATCTGATCCTCCACCACTCCTGGGGTTCTTTGTTATCTATATTTTCAGTGTTTCTGGCTCACTGTGTATTTTGCCCCATTTCAATTATACTTGACTTACTGTTTGCACAACCACCACTATGCTAAAAGACATATCTTAGTCTCATCATCACAGGTCAATAAGTTTCTTAAAGAGTTTCTAGCATATCACTCACTTCTCAATATCAGTCTTGTTGCCAACCAACAACATGATCTCCTCGTTGGTCCTGAGATAGCTACTGACAATCAGATGGTGACAGTCTTTGCACATGCTGAATTCTGCCCTGGTTTCAACTAGGGCTTTTGTTGCATGGACAAATTGCATGGCAGGTGTCAGACAAGATTACGATAGACTTACCAAGAATCAAGCAGCTGAACCCCTCCACTGTATGAGACATCAATCTAGTGGGCACCAATATTAACCCCTTCAATGTTATTTTGCAATTGTATTTTTCAACACCGTGTTGAAAATATTGCATTCATAGATGATTCCATTTTTTATGACCACAGATTCTTAGGCTCCCATGTAATCAAAAGGGACACGAGGCTAAGCAAGTTTCCCAGACAAAGCTTCCCTAGGGGATTCTTCTCAAACAAAAGGGAGGCAGCACTGGGATGATAGTTCTCTGGCTAACTCCCTAAGAACAGGTCTTTGCAGTGTCTTTAGAAAGGGTGACATGAATATGCATGAGATAGGCAAGCATCATTACATGTGCAGGGTGGAGCACGGGGTACACAGTTGCAGTGAGAAATCATGTTAGTACATATATCACATGACCAAAAAATGGTGGATAAGCCCCTCCTAATAAATCCGCTGGGTGGGGATTTCAGTAGCATAATGAGGCATGGGATAAAGATTGGTTAGTTATTCTTCTGCTCTTGTGCACATGCTGGCAATAGAGTTAAATCCCTTGAGTAAGACTTATAGCGGGATGCTGCTTATCTTAGTTTCTTCAAGGTCTCATGGTCAGTGGGGATGGCACCACAGGAGCTGGTGCTGCAAGGTCTGGTTATCAGCAGGTATAGGAAAAATGGGGGCCAAATCCTGGTGAGGACTGAGTCTTGTCTCTACTCTGTCTCGCAATGTCTCTTGCCCTAAAAACCTGTCTATTTTTCAGCATCAGAAAAGAATGGAATGATTTATTTATGTTGCTGAAAATTGTACAGTCAACTATTTGGAATTATATACTGTGGGATATGATGAGGTTTCTCTTCAAATAGCTGATCAATCCTTTATTCTTTAATTCGTAGTACCCCCACACACACCCTTTTTTCCTTTTTCCCTTTTCTGCCTTTGTTGCATGCCAGGACACTCCACAGTACCAGGCTTATCAGTACCAGCTCAAGTACCTTTCCTTATTTGGAAAGGAGACTAGCTCTCTAGCTCATTGCAGACACCCCTTCCCTTTTTATTCCCCTCTGTCCCTTATGTGCCCACCTTATCTAAAGAAAATTCAAATGTCTAGCCAACCAGGATTAGTTCAGATTGTGTGACCCGACCCCGGCCAATGGGGAAAGGGTACAGGACTTGTGTCAGGAATAAAGGCTTTTGTGCCCCTTTGTTCAGGTGTGCTCTCATGGTTACTGGCCAAGGAGAAGCACCCCTCTGTGCAGAAGTAAAATTGCTTTGCTAAGAATCCTTTGTTTGAGTGTTCAATCTCCTTAGGATTTTGAGCATTATTCCCAACATATATGGATTACTTTTAGTGCTGCAGGAACTCAGAAATCTGTTTCTGAAATACACAAATACCCCTAGAACCCATCCAAAAAAACTTTGGAGCCATTTTGTTCATTCTCCATAACTCTTAGGGAACCTTATTGTTGTAAGGTATGACTGTGTCTCGCTGTGTCTCACAACAATACCTACAGACCTCCATTAGACAATCCCTCCAGCAGATAAGTGTATCTCATGCTGAAGGGAGACAATCCCTCCACTAGATAAGTGTATCTCATGCTGAAGTTATAAGTTTCCTTTTACCTGGTCTCTCCTACAACTGCCCAGACTGCCACTGTGATATGGTGTAATATGGTTTGGCTCTGTGTCCCTACCCAAATCTCACTTTGAACTGTAATCCCCATAATCCCCAAGTGTCAAGGGTGGTACCAGGTGGAGGTAATTGGATCATGAGGGTGGTTTCCCCCATGCTGTTCTCGTGATAGTAAATGAGTCTTACCAGATCTGATGGTTTTATAAGCCTCTGGCATATTCCCCTTCTTGCACATACTCTGTCCTGCTGCCCTGTGAAGAAGGTTCCTTGCTTCCCCTTTGCTTTCTGCCATGATTGTAAATTTCCTGAGGCCTCCCCAGCAATGCGAAACTGTGAGTCAATTAAACCTCTTTGCTTTATAAATTACCCAGTCTTGGGTATTTCTTCATAGCAGTGTGAGAATGGACTAATACATTGTGAAATATATATTCGTTCTTCCTCCACTTTTTCTGGTATACAATACCTAAAATCCTTGAAATCGCCAATGTACTGTGTTTTTGTATGCTAATATTGACTAATAGCCTCAGGATGATGATTGATCACTGGAAAGACTTTCAGCCCCACCCCTCAGGCTCCAGAGATGGAAGAGGGGCTGAAGGTCTGGTTGATACCAATGGCCAGTGGTTTAATCAATCATGCCTAAGTAACAAAGACTCCGTTAAAACCCAAGGGGACAGGGTTTGGAGAGTTTCTGAATAGCTGAACACATGGAGGTTCCTGGAGAGGGGTGCACCTGGGGAGGACATGCAAGTGCCACACACCTTCCCCCATACCTCACCCTATGCATTTCTTTATCTATATTCTTTCTAATATCCTTTATAATACACCAGTAAATGTGTTTCCCTGAGTTCTGTATGCCACCCAGCAAATTAATCAAACCCAAAAGGGGGCTGGTGTCTTAAACTGGAGTGATCTTGGGTACTTGAGCCCTCAACCTGTGGGATCTGACACTATCTCCAAATGATAACGTTGGAATTGAATCGGAGGACCCCCAGCTGGTGTCTGCTGCTTGATGTTTGGGGAAAAACCTCCACACATGTAGTCACAGAAATGTTCTGTGTTGATTGTTGTGGCATGGGAGCAGAGGGAAAACAGCTTGAGAGGTTTTCCCAAACAGCTGCCTTGTGAACAAAGCCTTCTCTCTATGTCAAAGTATTCTCTACTTCCTTTGCAACTTTTTTTGCTATGTTCTCTTTACCCAAAGAGTCTTGGAGGTAGCAGGGTATTAACAGATCAAAAAATTGAGATAGTGGAACGAGAACGTAAAACCGAGAATGTATACCACAGGGATAGATGCACACACCTCAAAAAAAATGCCTTAAAGGTTAACATTCAGATTTTCCAGAAACATAAATAGTGAATAAGAGTTTAGTTGCTAGCAATTACTAACTAGAAGAAAGCATACATTAAGCGAATGACACAGAGACTGGA
Organism: Homo sapiens; assembly: GCF_000001405.40. Classification (NCBI taxonomy): domain Eukaryota; kingdom Metazoa; phylum Chordata; class Mammalia; order Primates; family Hominidae; genus Homo; species Homo sapiens. The sequence goes on along the minus strand of NC_000004.12, from coordinate 170,692,282 downwards.
TTCTATGTCAAAAGAATAATGAAACCTGAAAGACATTTGTAGTAATAGCGGGTGCAGTAGCTCACACCTGTAATCCCAGCACTTTGGGAGGCCGAGGCGGGTGGATCACCTAAGGTCAGGAGTTTAAGACCAGCCTGGCCAATGTGGAGGAACCTCATCTCTACTAAAAATACAAAAATTAGCTGGGTGTGGTGGTGCATGCCTGTAATCCCAGCTGCTTGGGAGGCTGAGGCAGAAGAATCGCTTAAGTCTGGGTGGTGGAGGTTGCAGTGAGCCAAGATTGTGCCACTGCACTCCAGCCTGGGCAAGAGAGTGAGACTCTGTCTCAAAAAAAAAAGGCATTTGTAGTAATTATAAAACAATATAATATTTTACACAAGTTAAACTTAGAAGACAATCTTGGATGAAACTATGTGAGGTGTCTGGACATATAAAAGACAGCCAGAGCTATGTAGTTAAAAGAATGTGGAAATCAGTTCAAGGGACCTGAATTCTAGACTTTAGTCTCCTGCTTGAAGACCTGTGGGCCAGTTAGCATCTCACTCAATTGTTACTTGATCTGTTGTACATGAATGATGTCACATATTACACTTCTCAGTACTGTAGAAAGAATAAAATTAGCAACTTAGAGGAGAATATTGTGAGAAATGTAAAGTATGCTATAAATCCATATCTTAATTATTACTTCAGCAAACCAATATCAAATTGTAATTATTTCAGAATCAGATTATAATAATACAGGATTGTTGTGATATTCCCTTTTCAATGCTTATCAGAAACTCTGCTTTTAGATTCCAACTCAATCAACCATCTCAAGGCAAACTAGGCTTTCTCATAAAAATGGAATTTCCTTGGCTGAGTTATTCCACAGAGAGGCAGAGTTTTCTTTTTATCATGGGCATATATTACAGTGAAGATGCAGTCTGGAAAATTTTATTCTGGGAACAGAAGACTGAAAATATGTGGACAGAGAAAATGAGAATTGCAGCCTCCATGTGCATATTTCAAAAGCCCATGTACTGAAAATTGTGAAACTCCAAAGTCTCATCCTAGACCCATAGCAAAGAACATTACTTCTGCCATGCAATATCAACAAGGATTTTACACAGGACAAATGTACTTTCTAGACACAAATAGAAACAATCGAATACTGCAGGTAGTAGTTATTTTTCTCATCAATTCAACCATTTGCTCATGTTTATGGAATTCCTTTGCTCAAGAAAAATATGGTAGGTATCATTATTAATTTACTGTATTTTGCTTTTTATTTTGCTTAACAAAGTTAGTCTGGGGATGTTCATGATATAATTAAAATATAAATACTTAATGTTTTATAAATTCTCTCAACGTAAGTAAAAATCAAGCACATTAAAAGTTTATTTTATTAAAAACAACAGTGTCTTTTATTTTAACATAGTGAATTCAATATTGAGTTTATCTCCTAAAATTGACTATGATGAGAGTAATGGGGGGAAAGGGAAACAAACTTCAAAAGACAAAAAGAATAAAAAAGGAATGGCAGCAGATATGTTGTCAAGGGAATTTTTATAGATGGAAAGGAGAAGGATATATTGCAACTCACTAGGCAGACCAGAGATAGTTGAATGCTAAGACAGCGGTCAGGAGGAAAAGGGGAAAATGTCAAAATGTTTTGTGACACAGAACCATGGTATTGTAGTAGGATGAGCTGTGGACAAAACCCCTCAGACACCAGGTTAAAGAAGAAAGTGGTTTTATTCAGCCAAGAGCATCGGCAGACTTGCGTCTCAAGAACCAAGCTCCCCGAAGAAAGAGTTCCTGGCCCTTTTAAGGGCTTACAACTCTAAGGGGTCCACATGACAGGGTAGTGATAGATTGAGCAAGTATTTCTCTATACTATTGTCTGTGATCTATAGATAGCACAAGCGATTAGGATGGAGGTTAATCTTTAACCTACAGGCCTGGCCAGTGGAGACAATCAGTCTGTTATTTTTCAGTTTTTACTTCCTCCTTTTCTTTGGAGACAGGAGACAGTAAGAGAAATGGCCTCTCTCCTCATTCCTCACTTTGAGAACCTCACTCACTAGTGGGAGTTCTCACTCTCATCCTCACTATCCAGGTCTTCCTGTGAGACAGATCGATAGTGATTCATGTAATACACTTGCACTAAAGCTTTCTGATGAACGAAGGTGGCAACAAAACTTCTTAGTAGTTGGAGAAACAAACAAAGGAGCAATAGGCAGGTTCCTAACACTATTACTATACCTATTATAAGAGTTTTAAATCCTCCTAGAGCTGGAAACCACTTTCCAAATAGGGATCCAGCATCAAACCCATGCCAAACCTTTACTGGTACATGTGCTAGTTTTCACATTTCACTGGCTATACTTTCGACTACCTGTCCTTGATCATCTATCTGTAAGCAGCAGTTAATGAGATTGAATTTTCCACAAACTCCTCCTTCAGCTGCTAGCAAGTAGTCTAGGGCCAACCTATTCTGATAGATGGCATTTCTCATTTGGGTTTCCTGCTGGGCTGAAACAGTCAAAGCCTTTCCAATTTCATTACTGATTATTTCTAAAACGGCCTGCAACTGTATGATCCAGTTGAGCATGTAATTAGGGGTTTGGTATCCTTGTGAGCCATCTTCTGCCCAGATAGCAGGCCCATAATGTTAAAGATTCTCTCAGGGGCCATTCATCATCTTTTCAATTACCTACGGCTATGCTTCTTTTTTCTCGGGGGGCATAGACAGGGAAACCTAGAAGCTCACCTGTCTTTACAGGTAACAAGAAAGAGGATGGCTTAGTGGTACCATGACACAACTCCCTGTCTATTGGTCAGGTAGTTTGGTGTAGGCTGTATGCCCACATATTCAACACAGTCCAGCAGGAACCGTCCAGTCCCGATGAAATTCTGGATGGGCCTAAACAGTTTGCAACTTAGGAAACTTACTGAATGGGTTCTTTTCAGCATGGTTTAAGCCCCACCAGGTGACTATCTTTGCTATGCTGTTATATAGCTTTTGTCCTAGGCAGCTGAGCCTAGGGATCAGTTCAGGGACAGTGAAGTTTTTTCCTTCTCTAGCTACGCAGTATTGTCCAATAATGGATGTTTTTAAGACCCAGAAGTTGCTAGTTTAGGACTTCTGGACTGGAATTATGTCAGGAACTGTATCAGTAGGCACCAACTCTCAGGCTTTCCAAGGCCATTGGTCTCCCATAGTGGTTCCCCAACATAAATAACAGGAAGTAACATTGAGGGAGTGAGCTACATTTTCTGCCAACTGGAGAAACCTGGAAGCTCGGGTGCTGGTAGATTCAGCTCATCATAAAAGGTCTGAAACACTGGTTTGGGAGAGTGCCTGTGGACCTCCCCTTGGACTAAAATATTTACTCGGGGATCCAGTCCAGTTCCATTGATTCCTAGAGTTACATACTCTCCTGTTTTCCAACGGGGATCAAGGGGATAGGTAATTAGTAGTTCTAATGGGTTACAGTGACCACTAGTGCAGAAAGAGTTACTCCTTCCTTTTTGAAGGTGGACAGGGTCCTTCTCATCTTTTTTTTTCCAGGTGGCATAAATGACACAGTAACTACATTCATCACTACACAGTCTCAATTCATGACAATATACTTATTTTCTACTATATAGCCCCTTTCCCAATCTAGAGAACCACGTCTTATTCTATTTCCATATGGGTCACTGTTGATTGCCTCACAGGCATCAAATTTTAAGATAATTTGTTTGGGGATGCCTTTCTCTTCTGTTCCAGTTACAACTTTACTCGTATCAGCTTTTCCCCAGCTGCCAGTCCTCAATCTTATTTCAAAAACAGTAGTCATAGGGGGCTCAGATGGGTTATAGCACACATCAGGCTGGTCATTTCCTGGGCTACATATCTTGTACAGAGTAGCATTATACAAACAAGTTCCTTTTAGAGTCCCAGTACATTCATAATAACTATAAAATAATAGGACTGCAGCAACCTTTTGTCCTATCTCATTGACTTGACGTATACACTGGGAACAGTCCTCAGTCTGAGGAAGGTCAGTTGAAGTCCTTACTGTACAAGTCCAAATTTTAAAGAAAATGAGTCCCACGATGAGTTTCCTCATGCTTTGGTCGTGCGTGGACCAGTCAGCTTCCAGGTGTGACTGGAGCAGGGCTTGTCCTCTTCTTCAGAGTCACTTTGCAGGGGTTGTCCAGGCTTGCTCTCGCCTCCCAGGTGTCAGGTGCTGCAGGTTTTACGTGGCTGTGGTGGACCCAGACTGGGATTCCCTCTACCTTTATGGCTGTGGGAGTGGTCAAGATGACAGTCTGGGGTCCTTTCCACTGTGGCCGCAAGGGGGCTATGTTCCAGTCTTCGATCCACACTCAATCACCTTTGCTGTCTCCTGTACCAAGTCAGCCACAAATGCCGGCCCATTGTCTGAGCTGATCCATAAGGGCACTCCAAACCTAGGAATGAGATCTCAGAGAAGCACATGGGTTACTTCACAAGCTTTCTCAGTTCGTGTTGGATAGGCCTCCACCCACCCAGAGTATGTACACACTAGAACTAGCAAATACTTGTTACCTCCACATTTGGGCATCTCGGTGAAGTCTACTTGGAGATCTTCAAAGGGGGCTACTCCATAAGCTTGTATGCCAGGCAGGACGTTTGGACCTTGCCTAGCATTGTGCTGCTGGCAGGTGTCACACTGCTGCACCACCATTTTGGCAAAGGCTGACAGTACCAGCCTAACAACTTTTCAAGTGACTCTTCGCCTAGGTGGGTGGTCTCATGCACAGCCAGTACAACTGCGGTTCCTAGCAGCTGTGGCATGGCTATTCTTCCGTCCAATAACCGGATCCGTCCCTCTGGTTGATGAAATGCTGGGGTGAAAGGGATAGCCAATTGGACTAAAGCACAAGTGCCACTCCAGTTATTCAGCAGAGTGTCCAGTAAAGGTCCACCACAATACCACCACACATCCACTCGGGGATGAACAAGGGCTGACTGACTGATAAGCTCTTGAAAATTCTTAAGCTCACTGCATCCCTTCAGGTCTCCAAGGAATGCTAAATTTCCTCCCTGTGGTGAGAGACATGAAGTGAACTTAGTGTTGGGAGACGGAAGCTGGATGGCCCTCAGGGGCTGACCTGCAGGGTGCAGAACTTTGGGATATAGCAGAGAGAGAGCTTGGCATGTCTTATTACTGCAGGCTGTAGAATCCTGGAAAAGAGCTACCATGCAGTCCACGCCTGGTCGACTGAAGGACCACCTTAGTGGAAAGGGGACAATCTGGGCCTCTGGCCTGCCATGTGCACAAGCATAACAATTGCTTTTGTTTAACGTGCGGACAGAATATTTGATCCATTCCAACTGGGCATTTGCATCTTGGTATCTTGTCTTAACTGCCAAAGTTTGTTTTAGTCTTTAACTTCTATGATCCTCTAGTAAAATGAATGTATGATTTTAGGAAATTACAAAAACCAGTTGGGGCAGTCCATCCTTGCTCTTTAGTGGTCCACAGAACATTGGACCAACTATGGCATAAAAGCTCTACATCGGGGGCAAGACTCCTGGTTGGCACTGGGGTCTTTATCGAAATCTCCCCGGATTAAATGGTCCTAATTTACTAATGCCCAGTCTGAGGAGAGTCAGGAGGGACAGGTACTCTTCTGAAGTAGAGAGCTGTCTTTGACTTGGCAAGTCCCCACAGGGTATAACAAGGCAAGCACTAGATTAAGGCAAGACTAGATTAAGAAAATGTGGCACATATACACCAAGGAATACTATGCAGCCATAAAAAAGGATGAGTTCATGTCCTTTGTAGGGACATGGATGAAGCTGGGAACCATCATTCTCAGCAAACTATCGCAAGGACAGAAAACCAAACACCAAATGGTCTCACTCACAGGTGGGAATTGAACAATAAGGACACTTGGACACAGGAAGGGGAACATCACACACTGGGGCCTGTCGTGGGGTGGGGGGAGGGGGAAAGGATAGCATTAGGAGACCTACCTAATGTAAATGATGAGTTAATGGGTGCAGCACGCCAACCAGGCACATGTATACATATGTAACAAACTTGCATGTTATGCACATGTACCCTAGAACCTGAAGTATAATAATAATAAATAGAAATAAATAAAAAAAGCAAATCCCCAACACCAAAAAAAAAAAAAGGGAAGCATTAAATGCAATAGTTTGAGGCGAAATTGACTTTGTTATGTTAATAAGTAGATGGTCAGCAATAGAGCGAGGAAAGATTAAAGAGTAATAGAATAGATGAAAGAGTTAAATTTTTCTTAGCTTTAGTTTGGTAGGGTTTCCCCTGGGACTACGGCCCATGATTCTGGAGGGGGTGGTGCTTTCTTGACTCAGGTGTGATGAGTCCATCCCCATTTCACTGTATGAACAGCAGTCTCAGTGATTAGCATCACAAGGTAGCGTCCTTCCCAGGCTGGCTTGAGTTTTCCTTCTTTCCACCCTTTGATGAGAACATGATCTTCAGGCTGGTGCTGGTTTGCCAGAAATTCTAGGGGTGGTACATATGCTAAAAGACTTTTAGTTTTGAGGAAAAGGAAAGTGGAAGATAAACCAAGTGTATAATTTCTAAGAAAATGACCATTTGTTTTAAATGTGGGGACATCAGCAGTGGACTTTATAGTTCTTGGTGCCTTCTTACTGAGAAATTTCCTTTAGCACCTATTTTTATTAGTTTTTAGATCAAAGAAAGCCAAACACCATTTTTTTTTATATTTGACAATGCTTCCTGTATAATTTTTATACCAGATAAGCTAAATTTCACCTTTATATTAGTGTGTTATTAATGTTAAACTTAGTTTTAATAAAACTTTGTAGGCATATTTATTCAATTTTTAATGTCTGACCATAAGCTAAGATTTTTTATAGACTCTTTTTAACCTTTTATAATTTTTTGTTAAAGAGCAGGCCAGTGCTTTAAGAAAAGCCCATTGTATTTTTATTTTAATGTCCAGTTCACAAAAAAACTGGATGATACCACTTTAACTTCAGCCAATATGTTTACACACAGAATTTCCTTTACTACTAACGTTTCAAAACTTGCTTAAACCTTCAAAACAAACTTTTTTAACCTTTTAATGTAGGTAAAAATCCACCTTCTTATGCCTGCTTATAATCCTTTTACTAAAAGTATATTTTACTTTCCTTGTACACCTTGCACATAAACTGTTTCTTCAATAGTTTTACATTCAGTAGACCTAATAACTTTTAAATTATACAACTTTTCTTGCATAAGTTCCTTTTTTGTAACACACGTTTTTTTTCTTTCACGACTTTCACAGACTATTCTTCGACGTCTCAACTTTCTGACTTATTGCAAACATTCCTTTCTTTAAACAACCAGTTAATTTATTTTAGGACAAGAATTTACCATATAACATTCTTTTTACATAAATTCTCCCCCTCCCCCTTTTCTTCTTCTTCTTCTTCTTTTTTTTTTTTTTTCTCAATCACCTGGGAGGAACCATCTATCATCCTGTCCTGAAGGGGGTTCCTCCTAGGTCTGGTCAGACCTTTGTATAGTAATTAAGATTTAAATCCCCTGTTAGGAAACCTGCTAGGTTAAGGGAATTTTCAGTGGTTAATGTTGAACTTGAACTAAGACTTTATTTGATTTACTTAAATTCACTGAGAAGTGCTTTCCATGTCTGACAATCTGGAAATTGTTTATGTCTGACAATCTGGAAATCTACAGAAACAACAATGACAAAAGGATGCAATTATTAAGCCACAAGGAAAACAAGAACTTAACACAAGGGAAAAAATGAAACAATCATATGACAGTAGATGGCTCCCATATGGGTAAACACAAAATATGCATTTTATCTAAATATACAAGATAACTGTATTTGTATTGAGAGGCTAGAGGGAGAAAATATTTGCATGGGTCCTGGGAATGGGGGCATGATAAATGCAAACCTGTTTCCCGTATGAATAAGTTAGTAAAATATACAAATGGCAGTTGTTTAAAAATAGGGAGGTAAATATCAGAAGAAACAGATAAAGATTTGCGAGTGACTGCCTTGGGAGAGCAAAAATAGTGGGGCAAGAGAATGCTGTCTTTAATTATTAGCTATATAGAACTAGTTGATTTTTTAAAAATTTCATACAGATACCTACTTACACAATATAAATTCATGTTCAACATCTATATGCATATGAAAAAGTACATACTAATTTTATTATATATATATTTATTTTTTCATTGTGATGGGGTCTTGCTCTGTTACCCAGGTTAAAGTGCAGTGGCATGATCATAGCTCACTGATGCCTCAAACTCCTGGGCTCAAGACATCCTCCTGCCTCAGCCTCCTGAGTAGCTGGGACTACAGGTGCACACCACCTTGCCCAGCTAAATTTTTTAATTTTATTTTGAAGAATCGGGGTCTCACTATGTTGCCCAGGCTGGTCTTGAATTCCTGGGCTCAAGCAATCCTCCTGCCTCGGCCTCTCAAAAGGCTGGGATTACAGGCATGAGCCACCATGCCCAGTTATACTATTTTTTTTGAAAATTCAGAAAACTATAAAGAAGAAAATAAAAATAATACTTAACCTCAATAGCCAAAGATAACATTTTTAACATTCTATTATTGATACGTCCAGTGGTTATTTTTGGTTATTTTATCTTTTACAATGTTAATTTTTCTCTATATGCAATTTTCTTTTATTTAATGTTACATCATATGCATTTACTGATACTATTAGTACTGTATTTTTATAAGCATAATTTTATTGGTAAAATATTTTCTCATATAAATTTTATAATGTAATTACCTATTTCCCTCTTTTTGTATATTTACATAATTTTCTATTATAAATAATGCTATGACTCACATTTATGAATATAAAGCATTTTCTATCTCTCTGATTATTTGCTGCCGTTTTTAATATTCAGGAATCCACTGACTGTCACTCCCAGCTTTATCAATTCATAGGAGCTTTCACACCTGAAATCATTTTAATAAAATTTTGTCCCAATAAAACAATTTAGTGGTACTGTTAGTTTCGTTATAATGAGATGTTACCTATGTAAATGATTTTCCAGTTCTTAGCTTTTAGGAGTGTGCCATCTCCCTCTGGGAGACTTTTCACTTTCTAGTACAACTTCAAGTCCTCTTCAGTGAGCACTAAACCAAATAAGTTATTCATTTTTCTTGCTGCATTTGCCTCTTCTGTCATTGAATTCATTTCAGTCTCTCTCTAGGGGCTTATAATCTTCCTTTCCTGCGTTCTCACTTCACATATATTTATGAATCTGTCCATTTTTCTTCACAAAACATGCATTCTTTTTGAAGGTCTCATGATTTATTTGATCATATGTGCCTTTGTCCTACATGGGTAATATTGATTTAGATTTCTTATCTTCTCAGCCTTTTAATTTTGTGCAACCTTCATGTTTTTCCCCAGATATCAATCTTGTTCGTTTTCTTCTTCAGCTAATGTTTATTAATGATGTCCACCTTGTTAAACTCCCCAGGAGTCAATAGAAACCGTAGGTTGAGTCCCCACTCTAGGCCAGGCATTGTTTTCTTCACTACAGCCCTGATAATTGGGTGTTAGTTGTGTTCCATTTCACACTACAGGAGACAATCAGCAATTGTAAGGTGAAACATTTAGACCCGTTAGTTATTTTAAATAAAGGGAGGGCTTCCCATTCCACCCCTGGGAAAGTGGAGATGGGAGAGTTGGTGAGTGGTTATTATAAATAACTAAACTGAGTCAGACTAATTTATGTCAATTTGTTTGTGTCCAGTTAGAATTTCTGCATTATTTTTTACCAAATAAAATGAAGTAAAGTTGAAATTTTTCTTTCCATTCTGTGCTTAATGACTATATTTTCACCTGATGTTGCTATTGCCTGAGTAAAAACTTTGTAGGAGTCAATTAGCAACACTAAAAAACAAACACTGACCGCTAGGATCTGGCTCCTTTCACTCGCATCCCTATGAAGAGACCGCCAAACAGGCTTTGTGTGAGCAATAAAGCTGTTTATTTCACCTGGTTGCAGGCGGGCTGAGTCCAAAAAGAGAGTCAGAAGGGAGATAGGGGTGGGGCTGTTTTATAGGATTTGGGTAGGTAAAGGAAAAAGGGGGTTGTTCTCTGGCAGGCAGGAGTCGGGGGTTACAAGGTGCTCAGTAGGAGAGCTTTTGAGCCAGGATGAGCCAGGAGAAGGAATTTCACAAGATAATGTCATCAGTTAAGGCAGGAACAGGCCATTTTCACTTCTTTTGTGGTGGAATGTCATCAGTTAAGGCAGGAACTGGCCATCTGGATGTGTACGTGCAGGTCACAGGGGATATGATGGTTTAGCTTGGGCTCAGAGGCCTGACATTCCTGTCTTCTTATATTAATAAGAAAAATAAAATGAAATCATGGTAAAGTGTTGGGACGGTGAAAACTTTTTGGGGGTGGTATGGAGAGATAATGGGAGATGTTTCTCAGGGCTGCTTTGAGCGGGATTAGGGGCAGTGTGAGAACCTAGAGTGGGAGAGATTAAGCTGAAGAAAGATTTTGTGGTAAGGGGTGATATTGTGGGGTTGTTAGAAGAAACATTTGTCATTTAGAATTATTGGTGATGGCCTGGGTACAGTTTTGTATGAATTGAAAAACTAAACGGAATAAGAGAAGGAGAAAAACAGGTATTAAAGGACGTCAGGTGGATCAGAGAGATGCAGTCATGAGGGTCAGGTGTGGTATCTGGAATAATGTGGGAGGCTGGATTGAAGTCCGGGCCAGGAACAATGGTAATTGTGGGACTTAACAGAGTGAGTACAGCTGAAGGAGCCGGGGAGCAGAAAGTATATGTATCAGGTGTGAGGAAGAAAATAGATTTTGGAAATTATGAGAGCTGTAGAGAGTAAGCTGAGCATAGTTTCTGATTTTAAGGGCCTCTAAAAGTATTAGGGTGGCAGCAGCCACTGCACGGAGACATGATGGCCAGCCTAAAACAGTAAGGTCAAGTTGTTTGGACAAAAAGGGTACAGGACGCGATCCCTGTGCTTGTGTAAGAATTCTGACTACACAGCCCTGCACTTCAGCTGTGTGTAATGAAAAGGGTTGGGATGAGTCAGGGTAAGATAGGGTGGGGGCAGTCTCTAAAGCTGTCTTCAAGGAATGGAAAGAGGAGTGGGGAAAGGATTTAGGATCTATGGGGTCAGCTAGGTTTCCTTTTGTGAGTTTATATAATGGTTTTGTTATGATGGCAAAACCAGGTATCCAAAGGCAAAAGTATCTTACCATGCTTAGGAAGGAAAGGAGTTGTTGTTTTGTGGAAGGGTTTGAGAGATTAGTCAGACACGATCAGCAGGGAGAGCACCTGTGTTTTTATGAGAATTATGCTGAGATAGGTAACAGATAAGGAAGAAATTTAGGCTTGACTGAAGTAATGGGGGCTGTCTGTGAAGCCTTGCGGCAGTACAGCCCAGGTAATTTGCTGAGCCTGGTGGGTGTCAGGGTCAGTCCAAGTGAAAGCGAAGAGAGGCTGGGATGAAGGGTGCAAAGGAATAGTAAAGAAAGCATGTTTGAGATCCAGAACCGAATAACGGATTGTGGAGGGAGGTATTGAGGATTGGAGAGTATATGGGTTTGGCACCATGGGTTGGATAGGCAAAACAATTTGGTTGATAAGGCATAGATCCTGAACTAACTTGTAAGGCTTGTCTGGTTTTAGGACAGGTAAAATGGGGGAATTGTAAGGAGAGTTTATAGGCTGTAAAAGGCCATGCCGTAGCAGACGAGTGATAACAGGCTTTGATCCTTTCAAAGCATGCTATGGGATGGGATATTGGCATTGAGCAGGGTAAGGGTGATTAGGTTTTAATGAGATGGTAAGTGGTGCATGATCGGTCGCCAAGGAGGGGGTAGAGGTATCTTATACTTGTGGGTTAAGGTGGGGGGATACAAAAGGAGGATGCAAAGGGGGCTTTGGATTGGGAAGAAGTGTGGCAATGAGATGTAGCTGTAGTCCAGGAATAGTCAGGGAAGCAGATAATTTAGTTAAAGTGTCTCAGCCTAATAAGGGAACTGGGCAGGTGGGGATAACTAAAAAGGAGTGCTTAAAAGAGTATTGTCTGAATTGGCACAAGAGTTGGAGAGTTTTAAGAGGTCTAGAAGCCTGGCTGTCAATACCTACAACAGTTATGGAGGCAAGGGAAACAGGCCCTTGAAAAGATGGTAACGTGGAGTGGGTAGCCTCTGTATCGATTAAGAAGGGGATGGACTTACCCTCCACTGTGAGAGTTACCTAAAGCTCGGCATCTGTGATGGTCTACAGGGCTTCTGAGGCGATCAGGCAGCATCAGTCTTCAGCCGCTAAGCCGAGAAGATCTGGGAAGGAGTCAGTCAGAGAGCCTTGGGCCAGAGTTCCAGGGATTCTGGGAGTGGCTGCCAGGTGAGTTGAACAGTCCAATTTCCAGTGGGGTCCTGCACAGATGGGACACGGCTTAGGAGGAATCCTGGGCTACAGGCATTCCTTGGCCTGGTGGCCAGATTTCTGGCACTTGTAGCAAGCTCCTGGGGGAGGCGGTTCTGGAGGAACACCTGGCCACTGCGGTTTAGGCATTTGGAAATTCTTGTGTGCTGGAGATGTGGCTGGGGTTTGTCTCACAGTGGAGGCAAGGAACTGCAACTCAGAAATATGTTGCTACTTGGCCGCCTCTACTCTATTATTGTACACCTTGAAGGCAAGGTTAATTAAGTCCTGTTGTGGGGTTTGAGGGCTGGAATTTAATTTTTGGAGTTTTATTTAATGTCAGGAGCAGATTGGGTAATAAAATGTATATTGAGAATAAGACGGCCTTTTGACATTTCAGGATCTAGGGCTGTAAAGCATCTCCGGGTTGCTGCCAAACAAGCCATGAACTGGGCTGGATTTTCATATTTGATGAAAAAGAGCCTAAACACTATCTGATTTGGGATAAAGAAAAAGGAGCATTAACCTTGACTATGTGTTTAGCTCCAGCCACCTTTTTAAGAGTAAATTGCTGGGCAAATCAGGGAGGGCTAGTCACAGAATGAAACTGTAAGCCGGACCGGGTGTAAGGAGGTGAGGTGATAAAAGAATTATAGGGTAGAGGAGCAGAGGCTGAGGAACAACTGGGACCTAGCTCGGCCTGGCAAGGAGGGGAGAGGTCAGATGGGTCTGTAGAAAAGGAAGATTAGAAAGACTCAGCGATGCTTGGGGTTGGGACTGAGGGGACAGGTGGGAGGGAAAGAAGGAAGATTTGAGATGAGTTGCATTGGGAACAGAGACTAGGGAGGGACCGATGTCTAAAAGAATGCCTGGATGTCAGGCACCTCAGACCATTTGCCTATTTTACGACAAGAATTATTTAGATCTTGTAGGATGGAAAAATTGGAAGTGCCGTTTTCCGGCTATTTGGAACTACTATCGAGTTTGTATTGGGGTCAAGCAGCATTGCAGAAGAAAATAAGATGCTTAGATTTTAGGTCAGGTGAGAGTTGAAGAGGTTTTAAGTTTTAAGAACACAGGCTAAGGGAGAAGAAGGAGGAATGGAAGGTGGAAGCTTGCCCATAGTGAAGGAGGCAAGCCCAGAGAAAAGAGAGTAGAGACACAGAGAAGGGGTGGGGGGTTCTTGCCCTCCAGAAAAGCAGAGAAGGGGTCGGGTCACAGAAATAAGGGATCGGGGTGCAGAGATAAGAGGTCGGGGTTCCTGCCCCTTCTCCAGAAAAGCAGGACTTGCCGCTAAGGGTGAAGGAGAAGGGGTTGAGGGGTTCTTTCCCCTCCCCTAGAAAAGCGGGACTTACCGCTAAGGGTGAAGGACCAAGGCAGACGTCCCTGCGTGGTCTGACACCTCTGAAACCTGGGTGAATAATCAGAGAGGCGTCCCTGCAATGATTAAACACCAAGGGAAGGCTGCCTACCCAAGTCCATGACCGGCGCCGGAGTTTTGGGTCCATGGATAAAATGTGTCTCCTTTGTCTCTAACAGAAAATGAAAGGAATTGAAATTAAGAGAAAGGAGAGATTGAAGTGTGGCGCCAAGATTGAAAGGAGAAAGAGGTTGAGGGATAATGAGGGAGGTTGGAGAAGAGAGTAAAAAGAGGCCACTTACCGGATTTGAAATTGGTGAGATGTTTCTTGGGCTGGTCGGTCTGAGGACCTGAGGTTGTAGGTGGATCTTTCTCATGGAGCAAAGAGCAGGAGGACAGGGGATTGATCTCCCAAGGGAGGTCCCCCGATCTGAGTCATGGCACCAAATTTCACTCGCGTCTGTGTGAAGAGACCACCAAACAGGCTTTGTGTGAGCAATAAAGCTGTTTATTTCACCTGGGTGCAGGCGGGCTGAGTCCAAAAAGAGAGTCAAAAGGGAGATAGGGGTGGGGCCGTTTTATAGGATTTGGGTAGGTAAAGGAAAAAGGGGGGTTGTTCTCTGGCAGGCAGGAGTGGGGGTCACAAGGTGCTCAGTAGGGGAGCTTTTGAGCCAGGATGAGCCAGGAGAAGGAATTTCACAAGATAATGTCATCAGTTAAGGCAGGAACCGGCCATCTGGATGTGTACGTGCAGGTCACAGGGGATATGGTGGCTTAGCTTGGGCTCAGAGGCCTGACAGCTCCCTAATACGCAAATGAATAGTTGCTGGTGGAAAAGTGAACCTTGGGAAAATTTTGCAGTTCATGAGGTCAAGAGATTGAGACCATCCTGGCCAACATGGTGAAACCCCATCTCTACTAAAAATACAAAAATTAGCTGGGTGTGGTGGTGTACGCCTGTATTCCCAACTACTTGGGAGGCTGAGGCAGGACAATCGCTTGAACCCGGGTGCGGAGGTTACAGTGAGCTGAGATGGCACCATTGCACTCCAGCCTGACAAAAGAGTGAAACTCCGTCTCAAAGAAAAAAAAAATTATGTCAGTCAATCTCTAATACTGAGAAAAAAATATTTAAAAAGCAAGATCAAGTTAAACATCATTACTTTTATACAGTGTAATCCATTTATACCTTAAAATTATGCTGTTATCTCTAAGAAGTGCTAAATATGTAATTATTTTAATGTTTTTCCATTGTTTGATATCAGTAGGCATTTATTTATTTTTGCTTATTTGTTTGTTTTAGAGACAAGTTCACCCAGGCTGGAGTGCAGTGGTGACCATAGCTCATTGCAGCTTTCTACTTCTGGGCTCAGGGAATCCTCCTGCCTCAGCCTCCTGAGTAGCTGTAGGCACTGCCATCACACCCATCTTTAGCAAGTGTTTAAAGCCTTGTGTGATTAATCTTCATAATGTGCCAACGTAACGTAAAGGCTCTGATACTGATGGTAATTCCTTCATACTCTTCCCATCTTTTACTGATAGGAAGTGGTATAGTTTGAACCAGCCGAGATAGTTCAGAATAGCATGAATTAGGGATCACTAACAACAATAATGCTTCATTCTTATTCTTTTTTTTCATATTGGCCATAATCTTGGCCTTAAGTTTGACCTACTTTGATTTGAAAATTTTTCTTCAAATAATTGTAACATTAAATCCTTCTGTTTCGTTTCCTATATTCATAAGCAAGAGACCTTTCTGGTTTGTACTATACATATCCCAGACACAATTTCTCCATTTTTACTGGATTTTTGCTGGAATGTATATTTTTGTGTTTATATCCTGATTTTTTCCTCTTTTGTGTCTTCTCGATACCTGCTACATTTTACATTGCACCACATTTTGAAGCTTTTTTTTCTGAACCTCTTTATTCTTACACTCTGCATCTCTCCCTCTCTTATCCCAACCCTCCTTCCCAGCTTTTCGATATGTATGTATGTTTTCTTCTCCCCATCTCATTACTTATCTTTACCACAGTCATGCCCCCCTTCTCTAGAGACACTGATGATATCAATAGCAACTCCTCCCCAGTTTCTCCCACCTAGAGGTAGATTAGATCTGTTGTAAAAGTGACTTTTCAATTTGATACACTGAACACAGTTGCATATATCACTAAAGTCCCCTAGCTCAATTACTTTGCATTTATATTGGCACCAAAATTACAGTTGTTCTCTGCCCACATCTGCCATTTTTGATAAATCTCCCAGTCCCAATGTTAGTTCTGGTCCTCTAAGAAGACCTCAAGAGGAAGTTAACACCTACAAAGGTTAAAAGGAAGGAAGCAGAAGTAGATAGGTGAGTCTTTAGACTGTGATGCTAATCTGACAGCTGTGAAAGTGGAGGGGGAAGGAATAAGGATTTGGCAAGAGCCTCAGGCTGCAGCTGAGTTTTAGAAACCTTTTGGCCAGAACAACGGGGAATCCCCAAGCTAAAGTCCTCCATTAGAAGAACTGGGCACTGTAGGAACAGGCTGGCACGAGTCCCCTCACTGGGCTCCCACAATGGCTAAGAAGATTGTAGGAGGACCATGTTTTGGTTCAAACTCTGGGGTGGACCTAGATGGGCAAGAGTCAACTCTACTCCCTGCAGCAGGCTACCTAACTGGGATATCCTCATGGCAACATTTTCATGGCCACAACAGCCCCCTGGTATTTCCCAATGAGTCATCAGACATGGTAAAACCTCCTGGCTTTTTCAGCATTAGTCTGTCCTTTTATCTTTGCCTTCTTTGGGTCCTCATTACTATTCTGTGTTCCTGCCTCTCACAATGACTCTGAGGATTCTGGAAGCACCCACCATGCTAGAGTAATCTAATCTGTATCTGTTACAATGCCCTAGGATGGTGAGGGGGCAGCTTATAAAGAAGTGTCGTTATAGCCTGCTCTTTATCATTAGATCCCAGGCATGGCACTGACCCTTCTCTTAGTTCTGCCAGCACAGAAGAAAACAGTTTGTAACTTTTAATGAGATTTTTTTAGGCTTATGTTAATTTACATGAGAGAATTACAGCATGGTAACTTAAAACTAACAGTACATGTGGCTACTCTCAGACCCCACAGGCTCTAGCCGGTCCTCCTTGATACTGTACTTCTGTACTTACATATTTAGAACACTGCTTTCCCCTTTTGCTCTCCATCCTGCCTCTTTGTGAAAAGGACCAGTTTAACCTGACCAATGTGAGTACCTGAAAAGAGAGCTAAATCTTAGAATTAGGTCTCAATAGCTGGGACCAAAGAGAGTCCCCCATCTCAGGCCCTGGATTTACCTCAACATGGGAACACAGACAGTGGGGATTTTTTGTCCATTCAGAGAAATCTGGACGTATACACACACTCTTGTCTGGTAGCTCCCAAAACACAATCTATTAAAGCATAATATTCCAACATTAGAACATCCCGTTAAGTCTGGATTATTGACATTTTCCCTTCATGTGCCAATCATTCCTGGTCTGGTACAAGGTGAACTTTAACCACTTCGATATTTCTTCAGCCTTCTAGAACATCATTTCATAGCTCCTGTCAGTGAATTTTCAAGCAAGAACAAACACAGCAAGCAACTCTTTAAAGTAAAATCTAAATCCACATGAGCAAAAGAAACCTTCTTCCTTATAAGCAGAAAAGCCTGTAAAGAAAGTGTTCCGTCTCAACAATACACAACTAGGTAGTTGTGTACCACTTCCTTCCTCAGTCTAAAACCTCTTCATTAAAGCTAATCGCTACTGCGAAACTTCCCCAAAGAACAATAAGAACCTTGCTTTGCTTTGATAAAAGATCTTTTTAAATGGTTACTAAAAATAGTGAAATGGAACATTCAATGGAGGTAGTTATTACCTCAGAGATTAAAAATGCTTATTGCTTTCAAATGTCATATTTTCCTAGATATTGCCAGTTCTACAGAAAGCTACAAAAATGTCTAAAGTTTCAGCCAGGGAACTTTTAACACATATAATCATTAAATACAATATCTTTAAAGCACAAAATGTCCTATTCTTTTTCATCTGTAAATCTGTGCAATATAATCTGTTAATGTAAACCACTTGCTGAATCTCCTCTGTGACTCACCTTTACTTTGCCACTTCCTAAATCTCCCAGAAATGTGGAAAGTACTCTTTGTAAAGAAGTCTCAAACCAATTACAATCCAAATACAATTATTACAATGCTAAATTATTTATACTTAATAACTTAAATGTTAGAAAATTGTCTCTCTTATCTAGCCAAATATGTTTACCGTTGACCTTAATTCTGTTCTCTGGAAACACACAAAAAGCCTGACTTACCAAATACCAGATAACATTTATCATTTTTTTCCTCTTCGTATTAAGCAAGACCTTTCCTTTAATCATTTTGCATATTATGTGGCGTGGAATTTTTTAACAGCCAGGGCTTGGTTAGCAAAGAAGCTTAGATGTTTTCCACTATTTACTATATGCAAAATGTTGGGGACATCTTTAAGTCGAATTCTTACATCTCTAACATGTAAATATGGAGATATTAGTACCTACTTCATAAGGTAATTATGAAATTTAATTATATGATTTATTTAAATTTTATAGCACACTACTTGGTACATAATATTAGCTATTGTTATCTTGAGCACTTTTCTCTGTGTAATCTTTAGGTTGTATCTTTCTTAAAAGAGGGTATTCATATTTGAACAAATTACTCAATAGGTGATCTGGCAGCACCAGTCTCTAATTAACATAACTGAAAAGCACATTCTTTGTTAATAATTGAATATCACATTTTCATTCAGATAAACATTTCCTTCCAAAGAGTGTGCTGAATGCCCCCTCTTTTAATCAATCACATTAGTCTCCAACAGTGATTAGCAGGTCAATGTGGAGGGCAGAAAGTACAACAATGAGATGATGAAGACATAATCTCTAACTGTTGGATGCTTACCAATTAGGAAGGTATATGACATAAAAACAAACAGTTGTAAGTATTATACATAAAACATGTATAATAGGAGCTATGAAAGAAATATGTAAAAGGTGTTACCAAAACACAGAGATAATTACCAAGTAGTTTTTCCTGGGAATATGCCAGGGAAGATTGTATTGAAGAGGTATTTAATAGGATTTCTAACATATCCATCCATTCGTCTTTCCATCATCCATTCACTTATTCAATACCTCTTTGTTCAATGGTTGCTATCTTCTGGCACTAAACTCACTCTAGTAATTGCTACAGGCAATACAGTGAAAAATACATACCCCTTGTCCCCAAAGAGCAAACTGTCTATTAGAAGAGTTAGATAAACAACCATTTCAGTATACTATGGTTAGTGCCACAAAGTACAAGATGTTAAGAGAACACATTGACTTGGTTCTAAAATCTGACCTCGATTTAGCAAATAAATATACAGAATGTTCATTTAAGTTTGAATTTTAGGTAAACAACAAATAATTTTTTAGTATAGGTATCTTGTATAATATTTGGGACATACTTATACTAAAAAAAAATTTGCTCTTATCTAAAATTTAAATTTAAATGGGTGTTCTGTATTTTATTTGGCAACCCTAAATCTGAGGAATGAATTTAATAGAAGTTCTCCCATGCCCAAGATAAACGAGGTAAAATAGAGACATATGAGGTAGAGGAAATGGCATGTAAAGGGCTGGAAGTGACTCAGCAAACTGTGAGGCAGGCAGAAGAAAAATGAACCCAGAAAAATTATGAGTATATTGTAAACCATACTCAGGAATTTGAACTCTATTCCTTAAAGCAACTAACAGCTATTATATTTAAGGGATTTCAGTAGGAGACTGACATGATCAATGTGCATTTTTCAAAGAGTGCTCTGGTTGCATTGCTGAGAGCAATTTAAGGGAACAAATCTGGGGGCAGAGAGGAGGAGTCAGTCTAGATAAGAAGAAATGCAGGGCAGGGCACTCTTATCAGAGAGGAGTTGTTAGGAAGGCTCAAAGACAAAGATGTGAAAGTCATAGTGCATTCAGAGAACAGTCTGGATTGCAAGGTACAGGGTAAGAGAAAATTAAACTGGAAAGTGAGGTTGAGGCCAATTTTCTAGGGAGCTTATATGGTGAAGACTTTAGACTTAATCCCTGGAAAGCAGTTAAAAGATTTTGAAGGGATTATCCTTATTATCCAATTTCTCACTTTGAGAAAACGGGCAGGTTAGCCTGACTTCTGAAAATTTCAAGTGCAAAATGTCAGTGATGGTTTTGTGATGGGGTGGAAACCAGATCGAGTTAGAGAAAAAATAATTAAAGCATCCTCATTCTAATCAAATGATTTAAGATAAAAAATATGTGTTAAAACTGACCATCTATCTTATTCTGTAGAAATTGAAGGATTAAAGTATCCAGATTAGTATTCTGAGCACAAATAAACCCCAGGACAGGCTCCTAAGAACAGGATTATGCTAAGGCTTGCAAACATTTTTTCTTAAACTCCATGCTTCTCAATCCATCTTCATCATCATCGCCATCATCACAACTAACATATATATAATGTTTTACTATGCTTCGGCCAGGAATAGCCACAGGAACATTATGAGGGAAGTAGTATTGTTTTATCCTCATTTTACAAATAGAAATCAGAGGCATATGTAAGTTTGCAAACTGTCCAAGTTCACATAGGTAGTCAGTGGCAGCATGACTCAAAAGATTGGAGATGTACTCCCACATTAAAATTCTCAGTAGATCTGAAAATCATTGTCTGAAATCAGCTAAACCCTTAAATAATAAATAGAACCAATCCCACCTCCACCAAATATGACTTTAAAAGAACTATAAAATGCCCACTAGAGAGAAAGAAAAAGAAGATGAGAAAAGTAAGTATCCTCATTGCCTATTAGTATTATCAATTTGGATTGGTTGTCAAAAACAAAATTTTAGATTCTCCATAGCCAGGTTGCAATTCCATCAAGATTTTGATAGAAGCAAGACCTTTCTCATCTATTGTGTGTTTCATGTATCATCCATAAATCTTGTCAACATTTCAGAAGAAAGAAACAAAATATCTAGTTCTGTGAATGTATCAGTACCCTATGAGGAGATCTGCATTTGACAGGCAGATCTGTAACCAAACTTTCAAAAGCAATGCAGGGATCAGAAGTCCAGCCCATAGAGTTTCACTTCCTCTACTTTTACAGCGGAATAACCAATAAGCTAATCTCTCTAATTAAACTGGTAGATAAAATGCAAATATATCTTTATAAATGTATTCAAGAGCTGTCATGAAAGAAAGAAATATGCTGGCTAAGATGTAAGCAAATTTAGTTTTTCCTCCAGTTAGAGGTACAGATAGGTAAAACATGTGCTAAACTTGACTTTGAATTGAAAGTTTCAGAGTGCTGTGGGGATAGAAGAGAATGCCCCAATTCCTCTCAAACTGGGGAGTCTAATATGTTGGTTTCCACTATAAAGCAAGGAACAAAAGAGAGCTTCACTCTTAGCAAATTAGAAATAAAAAAAGCTCTACATCTAACTGTGGTAATAAATGATAAAAATCTTTCTCAAATCTTTATCCCTGTATATGAAGACGGGGAGGAGAGAAGATGAAAAATCTTCCTAGAAAATTAATAACCAGAACCTATCATGTAAGTTTTCAGGCCTAATTCACAGCACCTGGATAATAAGAAAAATGTGAAGTCAAGAATTTAGTTTAAAATGTAAATTGGTAAGACTCACAGGCAGTTGACAGAAGCAAAGAAAATCTTTTTTGGAAGAATCTACCATTTTCATAAGCCTAAAAGAATTTACAAATATAAACCTCCTTTAAAAGGCAATTAATAATCAAAAATTATAAAACATATAAGAAAAACCAATATATAAGCAAGAATAGGCAGAAACAGATAACAGAAAGAGACTCACAAAGCCTTCAGAAATTGAATTTGCAGGAGAAGCATGCATTTCTGAAACTATTTTTAATATTTCCCAAGAAATGAAAGAGGCTTAAAACATAAGTAAAAACAACAAGTTTTGCAAGAATAAGCTGTATGTCCAGAAATAAATATCTAGTAACTGAAATTAAAAGCTCAGTGGATTTAGAAATTGCTAAAGAGAAAATTAATAGAATTATAATGGTCACAGACCAAGGACACAGACTCAAATTTAATAGGAAGTTTATAGAACACTTTCAACCACCTTCCTCAACACACCACCACATCCATAGGGCACCAGTACAATTACAGTGGATCAGAGGATTGCACTGAAAGAGGTGCAAGGTAAAGATTCAAGGAGAAGACAAAAAACAAGAACACTAGCAGAAGTTGGAGTCTCTGGCACTTACAAATAGAGCAAACATTAGACTTAGTCAGATTAACAATAAAATCTCACACTAAAGACCTTTTTCTCAGTCACTATTACCCGAATATATCATGTCTAGTTTTCTACCAAAAAAAAAAAAGAAATTAACAGTCAGAAAAAACACAGTATGAAGAGACAAAGCAAGCATCAAAATCAGACTCAGCTATGATACAAATGTTGGAATTATAAGACAGAGAATTTAAAACAACAATAATTAATCATTTAAGAGTTCTAATGAAAACAAGAAGACAACATGCATAAATAGATGGCCAATGTAAGCAGAGAGATGGATATTCTTGTTTTAAAAATATCTAAACAAAAGTCTAGAAATCAAGAATGCTGTCACGGAAATGAATAATGCTTTTGATATGCTCATCGGTAGGTTGAAGATGGCTAAGGAAATCATCAATAAACTTCAAGATATGACAATAGAAACTGAAATGCAAACAGAAAAAGGAATGAACAAAACAAACAGCATCTAAGAACTGAGAGATAATTCTAAATTTGTATTGTACACATAATTGGAATACTGGAAGGGAAAAAAAGAGAAAACTGAGCAGAAGAAATTTTGAAGGAATAATGCTGATAATTTTACAAAATTAATGAAAACCACCAAACCACCAATTCAAAAATCTAAGGTAACACCAAGGAAGGTAAATACTAAAGTGTTAAAAGAAAATCTTCAGAGAGAATAAAAATGATGTAGCTCAGGAATGTTAGAGGAGAAACAAATGAATCTTTCATTTTCCCTGTTCTTTATTGACCTAAAATTAAGTACTTGTTACTAGTAATAATAATAACAATGGATAATTATACATATAAGTAACAGCAATATAATTAGAGATGAGAAGAAGGAATTGGGAATACTCTGTTGTAAGATACCTGCACTACTGTGAAGTCATATAGTGTTCCCACAGGATAAACATGTATTTAGACACAGACTTTACAACATTTACAAAAATAAACTCAAAATGAATCACACACCTAAATGTAAGTTGCAAAAGCATAAAACTCTTAGAATTTAATATAGATGAAAACCTATATGATATTGGGTGTGGTGATTTCTTTTTAGATATAACATCAATGGCATAATCCATCAAAGAAATACTTAATAAGCTGGATTGCATTAAAATTAAAAATGTCTGCTCTGTGAAAAAACTGTCAAGAAAATAAGAAGAATACAAGCCACAGAATGGGAGCAAATATTTGCAAAAGTCATATCATATGAAGGACTACTATCCACAATATACAAAATATATCTTAAAAGTTGATAATAAAAAATAAACGAACTGATTTAAAAATGGATAAAAGATCTGAACAGACACTTTATCAATGAAGATATATAGATGGCAAATAAGGATATGAAGAAATACTCCATAGCATATCACTAGGGAACTGCAAATTAAAACAATATACCACTAAACTACACCACTACAATGAGATACCACTGTTAGAATGACCAAAATTCAGAACACTGACAACACCAAATGCTGGCAAGGATGTGTAGTAACAGGAATGTTCATCTATTGCTGGTAGGTATGCCAAGCAGACACTTTGAAAGACAGTTTGGCAGTTTCTAACAAAACTAAATACACTTTTGTCATATGATCCAGCAATCATGCTCCTTAGTGTTTACCTAATGAGTTGAAAAGTTATGTCCACACAAAATATGCATACTAATGTTTATGGCAGCTTTACTCACAATTGCCAAGACTTGGAAGCAACCAAAATGTCCTTCAGCATATGAATGAATAAACTGTGGTATATCCAGATAATGGGATTTATTCACTGCTAAAAAGATATGAGCTAGCAAGTCATGAACAGACATAGAAGAAACTAAAATACATATTACTAAATGAAAAAAGCCAATCTGAAAAGGCTACATACTTCATGATTTTAATCATAGGACATTCTGGAAAAGGCCTCCCTGCAGCCTATTCATGTCTTCCTTTCCCCTACCCCTGGTCACCAGCTGATCTTTTTACTGTCGTCATAGTTTCCAGCACAGAAGCTTCCAAAGCAGTGAAACTGTTCTGTGTGGTGCTATAATGGTGGATACTTGTCGTATACATTTGTCAAATGTGTAAAACCAAGAATGTGTAACACCAAGAGTGAACTCTAACAGAAATTATGAACATTGGATGATAATGATGCGTCATCATTTATAACAAATGAACCACTTCAATGTAGGACATGGATCGAGGGGCAGAGAATATATGAAAATTCTCTGTACTTTCTGCCCAATTTTGCTATGAACCTAAAACTGCCCTAAAAAAAACAGTGTATTTAAAAGGGAATAAAAGTAAAAACAGAAATAAAGATAATCATGGTAACACTCATCAGAAGAAAGTTAGAGTAGCTATATTAATTACAGACAAAGCTAATTTTAGATCAAGAAATTTATCAGGATAAAGAGGGGCATAAGAAATAATAATGGGGTCAATTCTCTAGGAAGAAATAACATTCCTTAATTGGTATACATCTGACACCAGAGCATCAAAATAAGTAAGGCTAAAATCATTTTCACACAGCAGTCAGAGGCACCCTTCTAAGTGGACCCAATGCACTGAAAGAGAAGCACACTCAAGATGTAAGAATGAAGCAACTTTGTTTTTTCCCCATTTCTCCTACAAATCTGCTCTGTGGTGCTTGATCTTTTTCTCTCTGTCCTGTCACCTTAGACAGCCCCATTTAGTTAGTAATTATTAATAACATGTCCACCCCAGAAAAATAATAAAAGCTGTGAAATTTAAACATATTTCCCCTGGGCCAGTGTTACGTGTTACATGTGAGATGCCTGCAGTGGGGAAAGGACTTTGTCTGCTTTTCTCCCTGCTAGCTATGTGGTTTCTGGCATCTCCATGATGGGAATGAGAAGACCAAAGGACAAGAAGGGGACAGAAAAGCTCTCTGGACTGGCACTCAATGAATATCAGCTTTTACATGCAGATTTACACTTCCATTTCTGTGGCTGTGAAAGGGGTTTACCACTGACTGTGGGATTTGCCCATATAGGCCATCTCTGAGATCACCACTTCCACTTCCTTGGCACAGATGATGCACTCTCTGCAGGGCCACTGACATCTGCCACCTCCGTCTTGTCTTTTCCAGTAGTCCGTGTGTGGGCATCACCCTTGATAAAATCTCTTTAGGAAAAATAACTTCAAAGTTACTTGATTGCTTGATCTCCAACATGCTCACACTCATCTTCTCTCTCTCTCTGTTGCTCTCTCTCTTTCTCCTCATCAGATTAATGAGAAATGTGTGATCAAACTCTTACACCCAAACCACAGCTTATAGTTTGCTGTTAACAGATTATTGCAGTGAGATTCTTTTCTTTTTCCCAGGTCTTTGTTCCCCAAACTATAGGGGACAAATATTCAGTTATCTAAAACTCCAACTCTCTCAAAGAGAGAGGTGGCACATTTCATGGCACACTAATTCCTTCCACATAAATTGTCTCTCCAGTCTCTCACTTCTGTATCTCAGTGTCTCTACCCTCTTCAGTAGTCTGCAGATTGATAGTCAGCTAAGAGTTGCAAAATCCATTGTTGGAGACACCCTTTGCAAATCTTCCTTGAGCAGTCTACCCCTCAGAGAATTTGGTACTTATTTTCTTGAGGCTTTAGCAAAAACAGAAACAGAAAATTATCATTTTAATATCCCCATTTACATAATGCAATTAAGATCATGTTAGTCCCCAGCTTGGAATCTTTTAGTAGCTTCCTACTGGCGTTTGTAGAAAATCTCATTTCTTAGAGTGACATACCAGGCTCTCCATCACCTGATTCTCCAGTCTTGATTTTGCCTTTCCTGTTCTCATACCAGAGTTCCAGAGACTGATTTTGTTTCAGTTCCTGAATTAATCCCTGCTCTTTTTTTCTCTCAGATCCCAATTTTGCCATTGCCTCTGCCATGCTGTTGCCTCCATTACACTGTGTTTTGCCTATGTATCCTTTAGGTCTCGGTTTATATATTATTTACAACAGTAAGCTTCCTCTAAACCTTCTTTTGGCCTCTCCATGACTGAATACTAATTTAGGTCCTCTTCCTAAGTACTCATAAGCACCATTCTCCTACTGTGGCAACTGTTTCTGCATATTTGTCTTCTAAGCTAGTACATGCACAGAATAAAGACAGGCATCATATGTATTTAGCTCAAGGTCACATACTCAGAGTCTAGCACAGTGACTAATAATATTAGCACACAGGTACCCAATAAATATGTATTGAATTAATCAATTAACCATTTGGTTTATGCTTGGCACCCATCATTGGAAAAAGTCATATGAAATTGGGTAACATGAGAAAGAATAATAAGAGCTACAAACAGGATTCTACTCATTTGCCAATTTTGCATTTCGGTGCATTTCAAAAGTACAGTTTCAAAATTTTCGAGAGATCCCTAGCAATTCCATTACAAAATAGAGTAGTAGGATTTAAAATAATTGCAGACTCTGACTTTTTAATGATCGCCGTTCTAACTGGTGTAAGATGGTATCTCATTGTGGTTTTGATTTGCATTTCTCTGATGGCCAGTGATGATGAGCATTTTTTCATGTGTCTGTTGGCTGCATAAATGTCTTCTTTTGAGAAGTGTCTATTCATATCTTCACCCACTTGTTGATGGGGTTGTTTGGTTTTTCTTGTAAACTTGTTGGAGTTCATTGTAGATTCTGGATATTAGCCCTTTGTCAGATGAGTAGATTGCAAAAATTTTCTTCTATTCTGTAGGTTTCCTGTTCACTCTGATGGTAGTTTCTTTTGCTGTGCAGAAGCTCTTTAGTTTAATTAGATCCCATTTGTCAATTTTGGCTTTTGTTGCCATTGCTTTTGGTGTTTTAGAAATGAAGTCCTTGCCCATGCCTATGTCCTGAATGGTATTGCCTAGGTTTTCCTCTAGGGTTTTTATGGTTTTAGGTCTAACGTTAAAGTCTTTAATCCATCTTGAATTAATTTTTGTATAAGGTGTAAGGAAGGGATCCAGTTTCAGCTTTCTACATATGGCTCGCCAGTTTTCCCAGCACCATTTATTAAATAGGGAATCCTTTCCCATTTCTTGTTTTTGTCAGGTTTGTCAAAGTTCAGATGGTTGTACATGTGTGGCATTATTTCTGAGGGTTCTGTTCTGTTCCATTGGTCTATATCTCTGTTTTGGTACCAGGACCACGCTGAAATAGGAACAGTTTTACACTGTTCTTGGGACTGTAAAGTAGTTCAACCATGTGGAAGTCAGTGTGGTGATTCCTCAGGGATCTAGAACTAGAAATACCATTTGATCCAGCCATCCCATTACTGGGTATATACCCAAAGGATTATAAATCATGCTGCTATAAAGACACATGCACATGTATGTTTATTGCGGCACTATTCACAATAGCAAAGACTTGGAACCAACCCAAATGTCCATCAATGATAGACTGGATTAAGAAAATGTGGCACATATACACCATGGAATACTATGCAGCCATAAAAAAGGATAAGTTCATGTCCCTTGTAGGGACATGGATAAAGCTGGAAACCATCATTCTCAGCCAACTATCGCAAGGACAGAAAACCCAACACCGCATGTTCTCCCTCATAGGTGGGAATTGAACAATGAGAACACATTGACACAGGAAGGGGAACATCACACACACCAGGGCCTGTTGTGAGGTGGGGGGAGGGTGTAGGGATAGCGTTAGGAGAGATACCTAATGCTAAATGACGAGTTAATGGGTGCAGCACACCAACATGGCACATGTATACATATGTAACAAACCTGCATGTTGTGCACATGTGCCCTAAAACTTAAAGTATAAAAAAAAAAGTAAGGTACTAGAATGTGAAATTCAAAAAAAAACAAACAAAGTCATTTTCAGATTAAAAATAAATAAATAAATAAATAAATAAATGCAGACTCAAAACACAATTTTAAACATATTTTGGGTTTCAAAGAGGAAGTAAAATGAAACTCGCTTTGGGGCACATTAAGGCATAATTGTTGGTATATAGTGAAGCTAGAGTATTGAAATAATTTGCAGCACAGGATCTTGAACCAAATAGGTCAAAATTGAATCATTTCTTCACTTAATATTTTCTGTCCTTTCAGCGTCTTACAATTTCAATGATAGGCAGAAACTAGCCTTTTTGTCCTCCTTTAAAATGAACTGGGAATTAAATGAGGGTGCCTATTTCTAGTCTTGTTGAAGATGATAGAGGATATATGTTAACTCAAGATTTTGTAATTTAAATAATAAATTAGCTGATACCTCACAGTAAAATGTTGGCTTAAAGAAAATCATAGTGTTTCTCCTTTAAACAAAAGTAAAATTCTTATTAACCAAAACACTTTGAACTATTTTTCCTCATTTATTCAATTTGTCATTCTTTAATAAAATCAAATTAGATTAGTTAGGCTTTACTAAGTCTCAAGAAAACTATATTGCTCTTTACCTTGGCTATTGGTAAGAATTTGATATAGCAGTTAATGATTGGTTTCCATCTCTGTCAAAGAAGGGAAGTTAATCTGTCACTCCTGTACTTCTTAGGGTGGTAGTGTTTGAAGGGTAGTCGCTGCTGTAACCCAACTGGAAATGTACTCAAGGTCACAAGTCATCCAGACCTACAGACCACAGACTAATTTATGCTTTTTTTCCCCTCTATTCTCATCTTCCTTGCTTAATCATCCAGCCAATATTGTTACTTCCACTGTTTTTCAATAGCAACTGAATTTGCTTCTATCAATTGCTGAAAAGAAAGGAAGTCTACATCACTTTAGTCTCTTTGATTTCACTTTTGTAAGTTCATTTTTCTATTCTTAGCTAATGAATAGATTTTTATCATAATAGTGTTTTATTCATAACACATTTAAATATTGCATTTTAATTTCTTTTTTTAACTCTGAATAGATATGTGTGATTCTAAAGAGAGCCAAAGTAAGCTTATTCTTAAAACAGTGAAAATACAACTGTATATTAGAAAAAGGCAAAAGAGTACCAAGTTATAAAAAACACGGTCAGAAAAAATTCCTAATAATCAAACCAAAATCCCAAATTGGTTTTTATTGCCAAACATTGCAGGTGTAACTAAATAATTTAAACTGTAGAAAGAGAAAATGATTGCCTGATTAGATTTTTCCCTTGTCTCTGTAACTGATAATATAAAGAATTAAAATAAAAAATGCAATGAAACTACATAAAGCAAACGTTAGAGTTATTTTCATCTTATAATTTGTGATAGCACCACAGACCAAAAAAGACAGAAACAAAGTTTTCCAGTTCGTTTGTTTAGCAATTCAATTGGTTAAGTGCATTGCCTCTGAAAGTGTCTAAACTGTCTTCCTATCTCTCTGCCTGTTAGTCTTTAATCCCATAGGCACTTCAAGGCAAACAGAATCAGTATGCTTCAGATTTGTTGTTACTTAAGTCACTAAAGTATTTTTTTTTTCTAAAAAGTTAGTTCATGACAAATGAGCTTTTCAAAACATTTTTTAGAACTTTCAAGATCTTGTCTTTATGAAGCAGCTGCATTGTCTGGGGTAAATACCCAGGTTCATCGTCTCCTGCCAGGAGAATTTAGGACACAGACACACACGAGGAATGTAGGAACGGAGGTTTAACAGTCAAAAGAAAGAAAAAGGAAAACACCTCTCTCTCTAGTGAGAGAGAGAAAAAGACCGGCCAGTGGAGGATGTGCCAGATTTTATAGTCAGGTTTGAGGAGGAGGTGTCTGATTTACATAGGACTCACAGATTGGTTTGATCAGGTATGACATTTACATAGTGCAGGGAAGGCTGGTGGCCCCACCTTAATCTTATTGTGCAAATGAACTTCCCCTTTGACCAGAGCCACCTTATCTGCTCCTTACTATACAGGTGGCTAACAAAGAGAAGGGAAGATGGAGCTGCCATCTTGAACATGATTGGCACAACTGATGGCATCTATGTCTGCCTAGCTTGATTTTACAAGCTGCTCTTGGTTAGAAAGGAAAATGCTTTGGGGTTGCTTTTCATTGAAAGAAAAGCTTACCGAGGACTTCCGTACTCTCACTATCTGCCTAAGTAATTTCTTCTTAACTCCTGTATTTAGAGACAAAAAAGTCACGTTTCTCTAGATTTCACTGGACTGAAATCCCAGTGAAGTATGTCTAACCTTAGAATACCATGAGTCTGAAAAGATTTTCAACTTGACAAAGTACATTTTCTATGATTATTCTCCAGTGCTGTTCAACCTTCTCTCTCTTTTGATGGATTTGATATTTAAGAAACTGCACTTTGACTTCAATTTGAAGGCTGTCCAAGTGCTTACCATTCACTTTATAAGATGACACTTTTGTTTCCTAGAATCTGTGTTTAAAAAAAAAAAAGATGACACCTAATGGGAGTAACTCATTGACTCTTTGATTAGATTTATCTCTTTTACAATTTGTAACTGTGCTTATATTAACAGTAATAAAAATATGTTAATTACTTGCAATTAAATACTTGCAACTGTTCTTATATTCACAGTAATAAAATAATGATAATGACAAAAGTAATCCATTACTAAGTCTTTACAGTATGTGTCAAGGTCATCATACATTATCTAATTTAACATTCTCCACAGTCTTTTGGATTACATATTATTGGTCCTATTTTAAACATAAGGAAACTAAAACTCTCAGAATTCAAGACACTTGACCAATTTTGGATTGCGAGAAAATGTAAGGAGTCAAATTGTGAACCCAGATCTATCTAAATCCAAAACTGGTGCCTTCACACATGCACACAAACACACAAACACACATACACACACCCCAAAGGCAATAACCATAATTTATGTCTGTATTTAAATTGACTCTACATCTGAGGCACATAAACTTTTGGTTTTTTAATCTCTAGGAAAGTAAGCTCAATAATTGAGAGGTGTCAAAAGGAAGTAGGCTCCGGAGGTCAAGAGGGCAAGAGAAAGCAATAAGAGGCAAAGAATAAGAGACAAGTTTAAGAAAATACATAATAAAGCCAAAATGCCCTGCTAAAATCTCAGAATCTTTCTCTCTCCTACCTCTTACTCTCTCTTAAACACACACACACAATTTTTCCCACCCACACACTTTTAACCCTTGTGCTTTTTACCTTTATTCCTCTGGAATATCTCTTTCTCATTATATAAACCTAAACATTGAAAAATTATTTCTCGTTATAATATTTAGTATTTCTACAATGTAATTTCTACATGTGGTATCATTTCTTGCATAATACATAAAATATGTATGTTATTTTATGCTTTTGTTTTGACGTATTTAACCTTATTAAATTTCTTCTTTCAAGAAAAAATATTTTTAAAAACTTGAAGTGGCTTTTTACTTAAGCGTGTCTCTTTATGGCTCTTTCCCACAATGCAATGGGTGCTCACATCAATATTCTTGTGAATCTTATGGACATGGGCCTGTGAAGGGCAAAGCTCTGAATGGTAGAGTTACCAGAGCACTGCAGTGCCTCCAGGCACTCAACTTTTACTTCCAAAGGCTGCCACAACCCAGGAATCCCCAGTACTAGATTTCCCCACTGAGACTTAGCTATTATTTCCAGAAGTCTTCAGTTTAAAGATATACAATAGCTAGGATTTAATTTATTATTATTATTTACCTGATCAGTTAAATTTAATTTGGAAATAAGGTGTATGTGCTGACATAATGCCAAAACTGACATTTAAATTTTGAAGTGAAGTTGGATAAATAATTATTTTAACGATAATTATAGTAACAAAGGGCCTGGTACGGTGGCTCACAACTGTAATACCAGCACTTTGGGAGGCCGAGGCGAGCAGATCATGAGCTCAGGAGTTTGAGACCAGCCTGGCCTACATGGTGAAACTCCGTCTCTACAAAAAATACAAAAAAGTTAGGCGTGGTGGCTGTCACCTGTAGTCCCAGCTACTCTGCAGGCTGAGGTGGGATGATTGCTTGAACCTGGGAGGCGGAGGTTGCAGTGAGCTGAGATAGTCCCACTGCACTCCAGCCTAGGTGACAGATGAGACCCTGTCTCAAAATAACAATAATAATAATAATAATAATAATAATAATAATAATAATAATAATAATACTAGTAACAGTGCCTTAGGTTAAGAGTCCTGGGAGGCAGAGCTGAAGGCAACCCCTGTGAGGAGCCTGAGAGCTGAGAGAAGAAGGTATCACTATTGGGAGAAAAACATCCTGGCTAATACGGTGAAACTTCGTCTTTACCTAAAACCATAAAAACCTTAGAAGAAAACCTAGGCAATACCATTCAGGACATACGCATGCGCAAGGACTTCATGTCTAAAATACCAAAAGCAATGGCAACAAAAGCCAAAATTGACAAATGGGATGTAATTAAACTAAAGAGCTTCTGCACAGCAAAAGAAACGACCATCAGAGTGAGCAGGCAACACATAGAATGGGAGAAAATTTTTGCAATCTACTCATCTGACAAAGGGCTAATATCCAGAATCTACAATGAATTCCAACAAATTTACAAGAAAAAAACAAACAACCCCATCAACAAGTGGGCGAAGGATATGAACAGACACTTCTCAAAGAAGACATTTATGCAGCCAACAGACACATGAAGAAATGGTCATCATCACTGGCCATCAGAGAAATGCAAATCAAAACCACAATGAGATACCATCTTATACCAGTTAGAATGGCGATCATTAAAAAGTCAGGAAACAACAGGTGCTGGAGAGGATGGGGAGA
The DNA here is from genome assembly GCF_000001405.40 of Homo sapiens. Taxonomy (NCBI): domain Eukaryota; kingdom Metazoa; phylum Chordata; class Mammalia; order Primates; family Hominidae; genus Homo; species Homo sapiens. The sequence goes on along the minus strand of NC_000004.12, from coordinate 170,659,462 downwards.
AATAGGAACACTTTTCCACTGCTGGTGGGACTGTAAACTAGTTCAACCATTGTGAAAGACAGTGTGGTGATTCCTCAAGGATCTAGAACAAGAAATACCATTTGACCCAGCCATCCCATTACTGGGTATATACTCAAAGGATTATAAATCATGCTGCTATAAAGACACATGCACACGTATGTTTATTGCAGCACTATTCACAATAGCAAAGACTTGGAACCAACCCAAATGTCCATCAATGATAGACTGGATTAAGAAAATGTGATACATATACACCATGGAATACTATGCAGCCATAAAAAAGGATGAGTTCATGTCCTTTGTAGGGACATGGATGAAGCTGGAAACCATCATTCTCAGCAAACTATTACAAGAACAAAAACCCCAACACTACATGTTCTTACTCATAGGTGGGAATTGAACAATGAGAACACTTGGACACAGGAAGGGGAACATCACCCACCGGGGCCTGTTGTGGGGTGGGGGTAGCGGGGAAGGAAAGCATTAGGAGATATACCTAGTGTAAATGACAAGTTAACGGGTGCAGCACACCAACATGGCATATATATACATATGTAACCTGCATGTTGTGCACATGTACCCTAGAACTTAAAATATAATAAAAAAATAAAAAAAGATTGGCCTATGATACTTGAAAGGAAGAGAACGTCAATCCTAGAGAAAACTTTCAAATAATAATAATAATAAAAAAAAAAAGAAACCCCGTCTCTACTAAAAATACAAAAAAGTAGTCGCTCATGGTGTCACGCACCTGTAGTTCCAGCTGCTCAGGAGGCTGAGGAAGGAGAATCACTTGAACCCAGGAAGCCGAGGTTACAGTGAGCCGAGATTGTGCCACTGCATTCCAGCCTTTTTTTTTTTTTTTTAGACAGAGTCTCACTCTTGTCACCCAGGCTGGAATGCACACAGACAGAATAAACTCACTTGTTCTGGAAGTCTGTTGAGTAGAGAATGTAATTCTGCTTTTAACAGTCACTGGTGTATAAAACGGGATATTGGTGTAACATACTGGGTAAAGTTATAACTTGCTCTTCACCACAAAAATATTTCTGATCACCTGCTGCATGCAAAAATGCTGAAAAAACAAGACAGAGAAGCAGTCAGTGCTATAATGGAGCCAATACATATCAGCACGCAAGAACCGATTGTGAAATTTCCAAGCATTTTCAGAGCGACTTGTTAAATAGAGATATTATTTAAAATGAAATTATATAAATTTACAATTAAATAAGTTTTATTTTTTCAATATAATAATTACTCAAAGCTCATTATTTTCTACCTATTTTACATTTTACTATTATCTATGCTCTTGATGTTATTTATGTCTATTGCATCTGTGCAATGGAAATACAATATAAAGGTGTGCCGCTGTGCATTTTTCCCCAGCTCTGTTCTCAGTATTGTCATCTTAATACCTTGGAGTAGGCTGTGGTGAGACTATTTACACAACAGATATCAGCAAATGCTGCCAATCAGGGTTTGAGTTTTTGCCGTGTTGACTGTCAAGGAATAAGAAAATAATGGAGAACATGTTCATAAGGAAGATTTAACTTAAAGTGTGTTGTCTGTAGCAGTTATGCCATCAATAGCACAATAATTAGAGTAAATAATACTCCAGTATTTGAGAACTATTATGCAACTTAACAAAGTCACTCATACTAGTGACTAACAAATGAAGTCCTCAAACATGTTTTTTGTGTTTGTCATTTCACTTTCATCTGACTCATTGACATAAATAAAAGTATCAATTAACATTCATATTTTAACTATACTCACCCATTAGTTGCAGTGATAAGTTTACTGTGGACATAATATTTTAGTAAAAATATCAACAAAAACATTATGTGAGCATCAATTGACTACATTGGATTTAAAATATGGAATATTGAATACTTACGTATTATTGCATATATTGTATGTAGTATATCGTATCATATGCTACACAAACTTTATGTTAGTAAAATTCATAAGAAACCTATGTAAATATATATGTGCGTACACCTTTTATTGGGCAGGGGAGAACTGGTTGCTAAACATGTATGAACACAAGCCTGGAGTTGCTGAAATAGTGTATTGTTTTAAAGATAATCAAAGTGTAGTATGAAGAATATGAATATTGTAGTAATATAAATATGCCAAAGTTTTTTGAAAACACAGAGGAGGAAATGTAATCTACATTGCGCCCAAACAGGCCACAGGACAGTTTTCCTTGAGTAGCTGAGTTATGTAGGCTTTGGTCTGTGTTAAAATAGCAGAAGCCTTCCTATAGTTAACAATACTACATTGTGCACTTAAACATTTAATGGAGTAGATCTCATGTTAACTGTTCTTTCTACAATAAAAATTAGAACTTTTTTTTATAATGATTGCTGAAGCAATAAGTTAAATATTATTTTATAGGCAACAAATCAATGACTAAAGAAGTCTGGCATGCAGAACTTGGACAATTTTGTATATTTGTGCAAAATGGTGTTAATGTAGAAAGTTAAAAGAAAATATTGTAGTTTAAAGGAGAATTTGAACTGCAATATTTTTCCGAACATATTCCTGCACAGAGAAGGATGGATGATGTATATAAGATTATATTAAAACTAGATGCTGCTAGAAGTAAGACATTCATTTGTAAGATGTACGTTGGCATAAAATATTAACTGACAAGATATCAAGATATCTCCCACCCACCAGATGTACTGAGACTGTAGAATGTCAATCTGGACAGGAAGCTTTCATAACTGCCAGACAGAAAATGTGTTGAGACAGTGCAGAGAAGTTCTCTCCCTGTGATTGGAACTGAGGGGAGGGGTGAAAAGAATGGGCATTTCCCACACTCCTAGAAAAACTCCTTGACAATGACCCATAAGGGGAACTTCTGTGGGGCATTTCTGGGGAGCCACAGAGAAATTTTTTTTCTTCTCTTCCCTGCACACTTCCAGAAAAGATTACTTAGAACAGGTGTTCCTAGATATCCAGAAAAACAATCAAATATGCAAATGTGGGTTTGCATATTTGACATATTTGCACATATAAAATATGTGTTTGTGTGTATGTGTGTGTGCACTTAGAAATCTATGTGTGTCATGTGTAGGTAAAAGAAAGAGAAGAGAAAAAACACATTTATGAAGATGCCAGATAAAAATCTGGACAGGCTCCACGGCTCACGCCTGTAATACCAGCACTTTGAGAGGCGGAGGCGAGCAGATCTCTCGAGCTCAGGAGTTTGAGACTAGCCTGGGCCACATGGCAAAATCCCATCTCTACTAAAAATACAAAAATTAGCTGGGTGCGGTAGCACACACCTGTAATCACAGCTACTCGGATGGCTGAGGTAGGAGAATCACTTGAACCACAGAGGCTGAGGCTGCAGAGAGCAAAGTCCATGCCACTGCACTCTAGCCTGGGCAGCAGAGGGAGACTATGTTTCAAAAAAAACAAAATTAGAATCCATGCCCTCCTAGTCATTTTCCTTAATATTTATTCCCTATATTCTTCCATTAAAAAAGGTATCAGTTATTTTATTTGATTCTAGGTCTAAGTGCTATTTTTTTCAAATATATATTCTTGTCTCACATTCAGCTCTGGGTTTGGGTTATTTACAGAGAAATGCTTGAACATCAGAAAATATTGCTTTTTGGTTTTTTTTTTTTTCCGTTCTTTTTTGTTTCTAGCTCCTGCATCAATGTACTCCCTTCTGGATTCCACACAGAAGTTCACATAAGAAACACATTCTGAAAATATTTCTTCATCTTCATCTCTTCACAATAGCTCAGCTTCTAATCCACTTTTATGTGTGACATTTTGTACCTGAGTTCTTCAGTGAAATTTTACATTGATCTCAATATTACAATTTCCCTGAAGGTTTACCGCTTTCATCTTCTTGAAGGAAGAATATATGGTCACAAAATAAACTTGTTAATAAAGTGACTGTGTTGGTTTATCTCCTGCATAGTATGTATGGGTTGTATCTTTTCATCTTATCTAGAAGCATAAAAATTTATGTTATCTCTCACAAACCAATAGAGAGCAAGAACAAAATTGAGATTTTAAGAGAACATTTTTAACCACTCCACTGAGGTATAATTGACATACAAAAAGCTGTACATATTTGCTGTGTACAACTTGATGAGTTTGGAGATAAGTAATCACCCATAAAGCCCTCATCACATTCTATGCCATAAACTTATTCACCACTTCCAAAAGTTTCCTCCTACCTTCTTTATTTATTTTTTGTGATAAGAACATTTAACATAAGATCTACTATCCTAGAACATTTTTAAGTATAAAATTCTGTATCGTCAACTGTAGGTGTTATGCTGTACAGTGGATCTCTAGGGCTTATTTATTGCGTATGAGGAAAACTTTGTACCCTTTGATTAATACCGCTCTATTTTCCTCTCCCTCTAGTCCTTGGCAACCTTCATTCTACTATTTGCTTCTATGAGTCTGATTATTTTAGATTAGTCACATAAGTAATGTTGAACTAAAGGGGGAAAAAATTCATGCAAACTTAATATAAGTAGAGAGTTTATTTGGGCCAAGTTTGAGGACAGCCACCCAGGGGCATAGATTCCAGTTGTCCTGAATATATGCTCTGATTATGAATGGGTTTTTAAAGGAAAAGGAGAGACCATTCCTAAGTTTTTGTTTTTTTAACTGAGAATTACATTAAAATAACATAAGCTATTAATTGATTATACATTATTCTCTGTATCACAAATTTCATGATCATGAAGATAATGAGTGAGGCAATTGCCTTTAAACAACTATCCCTGGGGCATGGGGATGGGGGACATGACTGAAGTTCCATACTCATGTCTGTCTGAACTGGATAAATTTTAACATACCTCACAAAATTCAGACTGCTCTGAGCTATTTTTCTTTTCTCAGTGGTATCATGTAGTATTTGTCCTTCTGTGTCCAGCTTATTTTACTTAGCATGATGGCTTTCAGGTTTATCCAGGTTTATCCATGTTGTTGCAAATGGCAGGATTCTTTTCATTTTTAAGGCTGAATAATATTCCATTGTAATTCAATAGTATTCATTACTATTGAAATACATACTATTTCATTGTGGTATATATTGTGAACCCCAAATATCTGAGATAGGTCTCAATCAATTTAGGAAGTTTATTTTGCCAAAGATAAGGGTGTGCCCCATGACAGCTCAGTTTTACACATTTTAGGGAGACATGAGACATCAATTAATATATGTAAGATGTACATTAGTTCCATCTAGAAAGGTGGGACAACTTGAAGCAGGGAGGGGGCTTCCAGGTGATAGGTAGATATGAGACAAATTGTTGTATTATTTGGAGTTTCTGATTAGCCTTTCCAAAGGAGGCAATCAGATATGCATTTATCTCAGTGAGCAGAGAGGTGACTTTGAGTTCTGTCTGTCCTTTGCCCACAGGGAAATTCCTTGTGAGGGAGGTATGTAGCTTTTTTTTTTTTTTATCTTAATAGCTATCTTTTTTAGGAATAGAATGGGAGGCAGGTTTGCCCTGAGCAGTTCTCAGCTTGACTTTTCTCTTTGGCTTAGTGATTTTGGGGTCCCAAGATTTATTTTTCTTTCAGAGTATATACCACATTTTCTTTATCCACTCATCCATTAATAGACATTTAGGTTGCTTCCAAGTCTTTGCTATTGTGACTAATGACACAATCAACATGGGAATGTAGGTATCTCTTTGAGACCCTAATTTTAATTCCTTGGGACATATAGCTAGAAGCAGGGTTGCTGGATTACAGTGTAGCTCTATTTTTAATTTTTTAGTAACTTCCATCCTGTTTTTCATAGTGGCTGCATCAATTTATATCCCCACCAACAGTGTATGATGGGTCCCCTCAAAGACAGAAACTTTATCACATTTTAGATTAAGTCCTAGAAAATACATAACTAATGATAATAACATTCAAATTTTATCTATACCCTGATTCAAACATAGGAGGAGGGCAACTAAGGAAAACCATAAAGATGGGGTGAAAAACCACCAATTGAAATTGTAAGTATATTTTCTCAATGTTAGTGCTGACCATTAAAAAATAGGTAAGGGCAGATTTTATCAGTCAAGATAGGCTAGATCATGCTGCTACAGTAAACTACCTTAAACCTCAAATGACATAAAACTGTGTACTGTCTTGGTTTCCTGTTACTACTCTAACAAGTTACTATAACATTAGTGGCTTAAACAATGCAAATTTATCTTAGAGTTCTGGATGTCCAAAGTATGAAATGGATTCCATTGGGTTAAAACCCTTCTGGAGGCTCTAGGTAAGAATATTTTCTTGGCCTTTTTGAGTTTCTAAAGACTATCTGCATTCGTAGCCTCTTCCTACAGCTTCAAAGCCAGCAATCACATCAGCCTGACTTCCACTTCAATAAACATTTTAAGAATCCTTGATTACATTGGGCCCACCCAGATAATTCAAGAAAATATTTCCATTTAAAGATTCTTCACTTAATCACATCTGCAAAATCCTTTTGGCCATATAGAGTAACATATTCACAGGTTCCAGGGATTAGGACACAAACATCATTGGAAACACATTATCTTATCTATCACAAACAGCTAAGGTTTGTTTCTTGCTCATGCTTGTGGCTCATACTCACTGAAAATCTGCAGGGCTCACTGTAGTCAGTTAGCTAACCAAGCTTCAGAATAGCTAATATTTTGAGCATTGCCAGGAATTTCAACACAGTGGAAAGAGAACTCACTGAAGCATTTAAATGCTTGGCCTTTACATGATACAAGTCACTTCTGCTTATAAATCATTGGTCAGAACCAATCACATGGTCTCTCCCAAATTCAAAGTGTTATCCCACAATGTGACAGGATGGCAGAATCTGAAATATTTTGTCAGAGGTATTCCTATCACATCCTCTGTCTTGCCCCTAAATACTCAAGATTATTCCCCCATGCAAATTACACTCTCTCTTTCCCAAGAAAATCTGTGCTTCTTGTTAATGTTTTTCAGCAAATATTGTCAATGCTTCACCATCCAAATAGTATTTAGATACCAGTCATGATCAGACTACCCCAGAAACATGTGGAGAAGAGAATTTTGGAAAATGTACTTCTAGGTTTCTCTTATGTGATAAAGAGAAAACCTTAAAAGAGGTTGATGAATTTAGAAAATAAAACTAAGGTGTTCTAATAAAATTACCCTTATTGTGTTGTTTACTATAAGCTAAGTGTCTTCTCATGCAATTGTGATATTTAATCTCAAAATTATTCCATAATAATTTGGTGTTGTTACTCTGATGTAGAATTGAATAGTCTGCCTAAATAGTTAGTAAATATTGACATCCAGAATCAAGTTTAAGTCTTCTTTTATTCCAAAGACCAAGGATGTTTTCTACTTCCCTCGACCATGCATATTTATAGGCTCACTCATGTATATACTGAGAAGTTCAGTCACTGATGCCAGTAGCTGAGTCAGAATAGATTCATGATGGAGAGATGGTAGCAAGGTTATGGTCCTTTGAGGCATGATTATCACTGCCCACTGGGAAACCATACTGCCTGATAGCAAAACTCTAAACATGAAGGCAGAAAAACCTAGACTGTATTCTCAGCACTGCCAATAAATCAATGCCTCTTTAAGAAAATCACTTGATCTTTCCAAGTCTCCCATCCTGATGTATACAAAAGTGAATAATATCATTGTCAGTCTATGTTACCACAGGGTGAAGATAATTTGTGGTCACATAAAAGGAAACTATAAACCAAACTATTTAGGCATAAACTTATCCATTCATGTACTCATTTAACAAATAACTATCCCTTAACTATTTCTTAATAAACACAATTTGCATTCACAAAATCCTTTAGAAATAGGGAGAGGGAGTTGGGCATTACTTGTTAGTATAGTTTCATGGATTATGTTATATTCTCACAATATATGCCTAGATTATGTTATATTCTCACAATATTAAAAACAGAAAATACTTTGTTAACTGAGAAAAGCTTTAGGACCTGCTTCACAGATGAGAAAAGTGATGATTTGCACAAAGATAAATTTTTGGCACAGTTTTTATTTATCTTTATGAAGTTATTATAGTAACAGTTTATTTTCAGAGAATTATATTAATTAATTTACATTAACTTATTTTCTTCCTAAATATAAACTTATAGAGGGGAATAATATAGTAATAGCTATCTTCGTAGTCATTATATTAGCACTAAAAGTTGAGTTAGACTACATATTTCAAAATAAAAAATTCATTAATGTATACAGCAACATAGATTTCAATAAAAAATGAAATTAATACAATATTGACCTAAATGACAAGTTTGTTTCTCTTATGCTAGCTATCTTGTTGAAATATAAGCATGTGTTTTGTTCACTGTATTTTTTCCCTTTCCTGCATTCCAAGCATATTACTAGACCCTTATAATTTTCTTGCTTTGTGGCTTTTTGCATGTAGAAAACTATATTTTAGTGAAATCTTAAGTTCATTGAAGACCTAATGCCAGGAATCCCAGAGCAAGAAGGGATATAGAAAAGAGATACTTCATCAGACAGAAAAGGGGTTTGAGGGCTGGGAACCTGAGCGCTGTCTAGAGTTTGTTACCTGGAAGTATAGCCAGAACTCCGAGAGGATGAATGGTTGGTGTCTCTAGGACAGCTGGAGCTCATGCACAGCATCTCTAAGCAGCAACTAGAATAACAGGTATTATGTATGAAAATACTTAATACTTCTTAATGCAATGTTATTATTTCTGTGTTTAAAAGAACCTGATATTTTAGTCTTGTATATCTTGATAACAAAATCAATGTTGTAGCTCATCAATATGTGCAAAAGAAAAGACACCACAAAGTGCTGTCTACAAGTTTAGACAGATCTGCCCTGTACACATTTCAATAAGCAACTATATTCTGTCTTTGTAAAACTTCTCCTACTTTAAACACAATTATTACCGTATTTTAAAGACCTTTGAACAAGTGAAATATAAATACCATAGTATCAAATTGACACTCTGCATTGTATTGTGGGGCAGGTGTTGGAAAATGTCTACAGTGTTATTAATTGTACTTCTGATGATTATTTAAAGATGAGGAACTCATGGGGGAACTATTTGGAGTTAGTTCATAAATGTCTACTAAACATTTTCCCACTGTTGGAAATAACGTTTCCAACAGATGGAAACTCTTATATAGAAGTATATTCAGCTCAGTAATTATCACATCAATTCACTTTTCTAGAGGATCCAAGTTTTACAAAGAAATTACATTGCATTATTTAACTTTTAATAATCACAGGAAATTAAATTTTCTTCAGTTTTATAAAGCACTATTTTTTGGATAACATTTATTATATTAATTTTATCATTTTATGATGTTATTTTGTCACAGACTAAATGATTGTGTCCCTCAAAATTCATGTATTGAGGTCCTAACCCTCAGTATGATGGTACTAGGAGGTAATTAAATTTGTGAAGGTGGAGCTTTCTTGAATGGGATTATTGCCCCTAAGAAAGAGATTGCAGAGAGTGCCCAGCTTTCAGCCACGTTGAGGACACAATGCGATCTTAGGGAATGTCTTCACCAGAACCTGACAACACTGGCAACATGATCTCAGACTTCCAGCCTCCAGAACTCTGAGCAATAAAATTCTGTTGTTTATAAGATACCCAGTCCATGATACTTTGTTTTAGCAGCCAGAACTAAGGCATATATTTAACACTTATATTTTTGCTAGATTGACATTTTGTCTGATATTTCTAATATGTTTTAATTTTAACATATTTAGTTTTATTGATTTTTCCTATACTATATAGTCTTCATACTTTAATATAATACTATCATTATTGCCATTATTAGTGATCAAGCAGTTAAACATTATGAGTATTACTAGTTTGCCTCCTTATTGCAATCCCTCCTCTCAGCCTTGCCAAACTCACTGGTGACCCAAGAAGAGCAGAAACTCATGAGAACTAACTGTAAGACCTGAAATATTGATAAATACTCAAACAACAGATGTCTCAGAAGAAGTGACTCCAGGGATCTTCCTCTGGTTTTGATGGGAAGACACAAACCAAGGGACAGTGTATACTAGTGATGGAGATTAAATTTCCTGTCAGCCCAAAGAGATAAGAGGAGGTTTTAAACACAACATAATAGACTTACAATCAAACTTAAAGAGATCTGGAGAGGAATATTTCGTTCCATGTAGAGGCAATGAAGAAAGACTTCTCAAAAGCTGTGTTGTTTACATGAACTCAAGCAGTAAGAAGACTATTTGTCAGAATACACTAGAGAGCAGGCCAGAGGTAATGCAGACTTAAAAATGGATATGAGCATCTTGCTACCGCTTTTATAAATAGGATTGTTTTATTAATTTCCTTTCCAAATGGTTCCCTTATAATATGTGGAAATCCAACTGGATTTCATATATTGATTTTGTTTCTCACATCTTTACCAAATTTGATTGTTTGTTCTAATGTCTTTTTTGGTGAAGTCATTGGGTTTTTCACATATAAGATTATGTCATCTGCAAACAGAGATAATTCTACTTCTTTTCATTTGGACTTGGATTCCTTTCTTTTTTTTGTTGCCCAATTACTCTGGCTAGGACTTTCAGTATTACATTAAATAGAAATGATGAGAGTGGGCATCCCTGTCTTATTCCTGATCTTATAGAAAAAGCTTTAATTTTTTTAACTTTGATTATGATGTTAGCTGTCAACTTGTCATGTATGTCCTTCAGTGTGTTAAAGTACATTCCTTCTATAGCTAGTTTGTTGAGTGTTTTCATCATGAAAGGGTATTAAATATTGTTAAATTATTTTTCTGCATTTATCGAGATGATCATGAGATTTTCATTCTTCATTATGTTAATGTGATGTATCATATTTATTGATTTGCGTATGTTGAACAATCCTTGTGATAGAGACAGGAGACAGCCAAATCCCTAGACAAATAGGGAAGGGTCCCACAGAACCTCTGCCCCATCCAGGTCATTGTGCACAGGAAGCTTGCCTTAATATGCCCATGGTAAGAAACCCCTTCCCTTAACACATGCGTAGTAAGGGAAATAAATCAATGTGAAATGGCTCAGACTAGGGGCCTGCAGGCACACTGGAAGAATGGGGTGGAGCCACCAGGAATTCATACCTTACGCAGGGGAGGAGCCAGGCCTCATCATCTCATGTGTGGTGGCCTGGTATTCAATTTGTGAAGTGGTAACCTGCATGCAGGACCCCTCTTTTTGTTAAGAGGTCTCCTTTTGCTTAATAAATTCTGTCCTCACCTTTCAATGTGTCCACATGCCTAATTTTTCCTGGTCATGAGACAAGAAGCCAGATTTAGCTGAACTAAGGAGCAAAAAATCCTGCATCTATTGTATCCCAGGGATCAATTCCCCTTGATCTTGGTGTGTGGTTCTTTGAATGTGCTGTTGAATTTGGTTTGCTAGTATTTTGTTGAGGATCTTTGCACATATGTTTATCAGGGATATTGAAATGTAGTTTTCTTTGCTTGTAGTGTCCTTGAATAGCTTTGGTGTCAAGATAATGCTGGACTCATAGAATGAGTTTGGAAGTATTCTCTCCTCTTCAATTGTTTTAAACAGATTGAGAAGAATTGGTGTTAATTCTTTAAATGCTTGGAGGAATGCAATAGTGAAGCCATCAGTCTGGTCCTGGGCTTTTCTTTGTTGGGAGTTTTAAAATTACTGATTCAGTCTCCTTACTGATTGCTTCTATTAGATTTTTTTTATCCATAATTCAGTCTTTGGAGGATGTATACATCTAGGACTATATTCATTTCTTCTAGGTTATTCAATTTTTTGGCTTTTAATTGTTCATAGTAGTCTCTCATAATTTTTTTATTTCTGTGGTATCACTCATAAGGTCTCCTTTCCATTCTTGATTTTATTAATTTGAAGAAATTAAACAAACACAAATAATTGAAAAAAAATCCTGTGTTCATGGACTGAAAGATTTATTCTTGTTAAAATGTCCAAAATACCAAAAATGATCTACAGATTCAATATACTCTCCATCAAAATCCCAATGGCACTTTTAACAGAAATACACAAGACAATTCTAAAATTAATATGGAATTGCAAAAGATCTTGAGTAGCCAAAGCAATGTTGAGCAAGAACGACAAATCTAGAGGCAAACTACTTTCCTATTTTAAAATATATTAAAAAGCTACATTAATTCAAACCATACAATGCTAGCATAAAAACAGATATATAAACCAATAGAACAGAATAGAGAACTCCAAAATAAACTCACATACATATATATGTGTGTATGTGTGTCTGTGTGTATATATATATATATATCTGATCTTTGAAAAGGTGCCAAGAATTTGCGATGGGAAAAGGATGGTTTCTTCAGCAAATGGTGTTAGGAAAACTGGATATCCACATGAAAAGAAAATCAAAAAGTAAAATTGAACTCCTACCATACACCATACACAAAAATAAACTCAAAATGGGTTAAAGACCTAAACTCAAAACTATTGCCTTTGGAAATGTCTAACCTGTGTTTCCTATATCTTTGCCTATTAATCCTTAAACGCTTAAGCATTTTAGGATAAACATAATCAGTATGTTTCTGATCTATTGTCACATAGGCTTCTAAAAAGTTAGTTCATAACTAGAGCTTTACAAGCCATTTTAAGATACTTTCAAGATCTTTTCTTTAGAAACAATAAAAGCTGAAATGTAAATCCTGAAACCCCTAGAGGAAAGCACAGAGGAAAACTTTTTTACATTGGTCTTTGCAATAAACTTTTTGGATATGACACTAAAAGCAGGCCACAAAAGGAAAAATAGACATATGAGAATACATAAGACAAAAAAGCGTCTGCACAGCAAAGGAAACATTCTACAGAACAAAAAGTCAGTTTGCAGAATGGGAGAAAATATTTGGAAACCATATAACTGATAAGGGGTTAATTCCTAAAGATATATGAGACCACTGCAGTTTCAAATAGACAAATAATAACCCAATTGAAAAATGGCCAGAGGATTTGAACAGATATTTCCCCAACAAAGACACAAAAATTGACAAGATGTATATGAAAATATGCTCAATTATTAAGTGTCAGAGAGAGAAAAATCAAAGCTACAAGGGGATATAGTATGTCTGTTGCAAAAAAATATAAATAAAAGATTACAAATGCAGAGGATATGGGGAAATTGGAACTCTTGTACATTCTTTGTAGAAGTGTAAAAGCAGTTTGGTAGAAGGCAAAGCAGTTATAGTAAACAGAATGAAAGTTCCTCAGAAAATTAGAAGTAGAGCTATTATATATAATTCAGCAATCCTATTTTGGGGTATATACCCAAGGGAATTGAAATCAGGATTTTGAAGAGGTATTTGCACTCCCATGTCCATTGCAGCATCGATCACAATTGCCAAGACATGACAACAATCCAAGTGTCCACTGACAGATGAATAAAGAAAAAAAAATTACATATAAATATAATGAAATACTATTCATCCTTTAAAAAGAAGGAAATTCTGCCATTTGTGACAACGTGGGTGAACCTAGAGATATTATGCTAAATGAAATAAGCCAGTTACAGAAAGACAAATACTACATGATTTTACTTAAATGCAGTATCTAAAATAGTCAAATTAATAGAAGCAAAGACTACAAACAGTGGTTGCTGAGGATTGTGGGGTAGGGAAAATGGGGAGTTGTTCAATGGGTATAAAGTATCTGTTTTGCTAGATGAATAAGTTCTAAAGATCTTCTGTATAAAACAGTGGCTATAATTAACCATATGGTATAGCACTCCAAAACTGGAGTGAGATTTTGAGGTAAATCTCATATTAAGTGTTCCTAACACACACAAAAAAGAGAAAAAAACCCAAGAGGACACCTGGAAACTTTAAGAGGTTTGGATATATCTATTACCTGATTATATGATAGTATCATGGGTATTTTTATTTGTCCCAACTCATCAAATTGTGCACATTAGATATAGGCAGTTTTTTATATATCATTTATACCTTAATAAAGTTGTTTAAAAAAGAACTAAATAGAAAAAAAGTTTTTTAAATTTTTTTATTATTATACTTTAAGTTTTAGGGTACATGTGTACAATGTGCAGGTTTGTTACATATGTATACATGTGCTATGTTGGTATGCTGCACCCATTAACTCATCATTTAGCATTAGGTATATCACCTAATGCTATCCCTCCTGCCTCCCCCCACCCCACAACAGTCCCTGAAGTGTGATGTTCCCCTTCCTGTGTCCATGTGTTCTCATTGTTCAATTCCCACCTATGAGTGAGAACATGCAGTGTTTGGTTTTCTGTCCTTGCGATAGTTTGCTGAGAATAATGGTTTCCAGCTTCATCCATGTCCCTACAAAGGACATGAACTCATCATTTTGTATGGCTGCATAGTATTCCATAGTGTATATGTGCCACATTTTCTTAATCCAGTCTATCGTTGTTGGACATTTGGGTTGGTTCCAAGTCTTTGCTATTGTGAATAGTGCCGCAATAAACATACGTGTGCATGTGTCTTTATAGCAGCATGATTTATAATCCTTTGGGTATATACCCAGTAATTGGATGGCTGGGTCAAATGGTATTTCTAGTTCTAGATCCCTGAGGAATCGTCACACTGACTTCCACAATGGTTGAACTAGTTTACAGTCCCACCAACAGTGTAAAAGTGTTCCTATTTCTCCCCATCCTCTCCAGCACCTGTTGTTTCCTGACTTTTTAATGATCACCATTCTAACTGGTATGAGATGGTATCTCATTGTGGTTTTGATTTGCATTTCTCTGATAGCCAGTGATGATGAGCATTTTTTCATGTGTTTTTTGGCTGCATAAATGTCTTCTTTTGAGAAGTGTCTGTTCATATCCTTCGCCCACTTGTTGACGGGGTTGTTTGTTTTTTTCTTGTAAATTTGTTTGAGTTCATTGTAGATTCTGGATATTAGCACTTTGTCAGATGAGTAAGTTGTGAAAATTTTCTCCCATTTTGTAGGTTGCCTGTTCACTCTGATGGTAGTTTCTTTTTCTGTGTAGAAGCTCTTTAGTTGAATTAGATCCCATTTGTCAATTTTGGCTTTTGTTGCCATTGCTTTTGGTGTTTTAGACATGAAGTCCTTGCCCATGCCTATGTCCTGAATGGTATTGCCTAGGTTTTCCTCTAGGGTTTCTATGGTTTTACATCTAACATGTAAGTCTTTAATCCATCTTGAATTAATTCTTGTATAAGGTGTAAGGAAGGGATCCAGTTTCAGCTTTCTACATATGGCTAGCCAGTTTTCCCAGCACCATTTATTAAATAGGGAATCCTTTCCCCATTGATTGTTTTTTGTTAGGTTTGTCAAAGATCAGATGGTTGTAGATAAGCGGAATTATTTCTGAGGACTCTGTTCTGTTCCATTGATCTATCTCTGTTTTGGTACCAGTGCCATGCTGTTTTTGTTACTGTAGCCTTGTAGTATAGTTTGAAGTCAGGTAACGTGATGCCTCCAGCTTTGCATTGACTTGGCGATGCGGGCTCTTTTTTGGTTCCATATGAACTTCAAAGTAGTTTTTTCCAATTCTGGGAAGAAAGTCATTGGTAGCTTGATGGGGATGGCATTGAATCTATAAATTACCTTGGGCAGTATGGCCATTTTCACGATATTGATTCTTCCTACCCATGAGCATGGAATGTTCTACCATTTCTTTGTATCCTCTTTTATTTCACTGAGCAGTGGTTTGTAGTTCTCCTTGAAGAGGTCCTTCACATCCCTTGGAAGTTGGATTCCTAGGTATTTTATTCTCTTCGAAGCAATTGTGAATGGGAGTTCACTCATGATTTGGCTCTCTGTTGTATAAGAATGCTTGTGATTTTTGTACATTGATTTTGTATCCTGAGATTTTGCTGAAGTTGCTTATCAGCTTAAGGAGATTTTGGGCTGAGACAATGGGGTTTTCTAGATACACACTCATGTCATCTGCAAACAGGGACAATTTGACTTCCTCTTTTCCTAATTGAATACCCTTTATTTCCTTCTCCTGCCTGATTGCCCTGGCCAGAACTTCCAACACTATGTTGAATAGGAGTGGTGAGAGAGGGTATCCCTGTCTTGTGCCAGTTTTCAAAGGGAATGCTTCCAGTTTTTGCCCATTCAGTATGATATTGGCTGTGGGTTTGTCATATATAGCTCTTATTATTTTGAGATACATCCCATCAATACCTAATTTATTGAGAGTTTTTAGCATGAAGGTTGTTGAATTTTGTCAAAGGCCTTTTCTGCATCTATTGAGATAATCATGTGGTTTTTGTCTTTGGTTCTGTTTATATGCTGGATTACATTTATTGATTTGCGTATGTTGAACCAGCCTTGCATCCCAGGGATGAAGCCCACTTGATCATGGTGGATAAGCTTTTTGATGTGCTGCTGGATTTGGTTTGCCAATATTTTATTCAGGATTTTTGCATCAATGTTCATCAAGGATATTGGTCTAAAATTCTCTTTTTTGGTTGTGTCTCTGCCAGGCTTTGGTATCAGGATGATGCTGGCCTCAGAAAATGAGTTAGGGAGGATTCCCTCTTTTTCTATTGATTGGAATAGTTTCAGAAGGAATGGTACCAGCTCCTCCTTGTACTTCTGAAGGAATGGTACCAGCTCCTCCTTGTACCTCTGGTAGAATTTTGCTGTGAATCCATCTGGTCCTGGACTTTTTTTGGTTGGTAAGCTATTGATTATTGCCACAATTTCAGAGCCTGTTATTGGTCTATTCAGAGATTCATCTTCTTCCTGGTTTAGTCTTGGGAGGGTGTATGTGTCGAGGAATTTATCCATTTCTTCTAGATTTTCTAGTTTATTTGGGCAGAGGTGTTTGTAGTATTCTCTGATGGTAGTTTGTATTTCTGTGGGATCGGTGGCGATATCCCCTTTATCATTTTTTATTGCGTCTATTTGATTCTTCTCTCTTTTCTTCTTTATTAGTCTTGCTAGCAGTATATCAATTTTGTTGATCTTCTCAAAAAACCAGCTCCTGGATTCATTAATTTTTTGAAGGGTTTTTTGTGTCTCTATTTCCTTCAGTTCTGCTCTGATTTTAGTTATTTCTTCCCTTCTGCTAGCTTTTGAACGTGTTTGCTCTTGCTTTTCTAGTTCTTCTAATTGTGATGTTAGGGTATCAATTTTGGATCTTTCTTGCTTTCTCTTGTAGGCATTTAGTGCTATAAATTTCCCTCTACACACTGCTTTGAATGTGTCCCAGAGATTCTGGTATGTTGTGTTTTTGTTCTCGTTGATTTCAAAGAACATCTTTATTTCTGCCTTCATTTCTTTATGTACCCAGTAGTCATTCAGGAGCAGGTTGTTCAGTTTCCATGTAGTTGAGTGGTTTTGAGTGAGTTTCTTAATCCTGAGTTCTAGTTTGATTGCACTGTGGTCTGAGAGACAATTTATTATAATTTCTGTTCTTTTACATTTGCTGAGGAGTGCTTTACTTCCAACTATGTGGTCAATTTTGGAATAGGTGCGGTGTGGTGCTGAAAAAAATGTACATTCTGTTGATTTGGTGTGGAGAGTTCTGTAGATGTCTATTAGATCTGCTTGGTGCAGAGCTGAGTTCAAGTCCTGGATATCCTTGTTAACTTTCTGTCTCGTTGATCTGTCTAATGTTGACAGTGGGGTGTTAAAGTCTCCCATTATTATTGTGTGGGAGTCTAAGTCTCTTTGCAGGTCATTAAGGACTTGCTTTATGAATCTGGGTGCTCCTGTATTGGGTGCATACATATTTAGGATAGTTAGCTCTTCTTGTTGAATTGATCCCTTTACCATTATGTAATGGCCTTCTTTGTCTCTTTTGATCTTTGTTGGTTTAAAGTCTGTTTTATCAGAGACTAGGCTTGCAACCCCTGCCTTTTTTTGTTTTCCATTTGCTTGGTAGATCTTCCTCCATCCCTTTATTTTGAGCCTATGTGTGTCTCTGCATGTGAGATGGGTTTCCTGAATACAGCACACTGATGGGTCTTGACTCTTTATCCAATTTGCCAGTCTATGTCTTTTAACTGGAGCATTTAGCCCATTTACATTTAAAATTAATTTTGTTATGTGTGAATTTGGTCCTGTCATTATGATGTTAGCTGGTTATTTTGCTCATTAGTTAATGCAGTTTCTTCCTGGCCTTGATGGTCTTTACATTTTGGCATGTTTTTGCAGTGGCTGGTACCGGTTGTTCCTTTCCATGTTTAGTGCTTCCTTCAGGAGCTCTTTTAGGGCAGGCCTGGTAGTGACAAAATCTCTCAGCATTTGCCTGTCTGTGAAGTATTTTATTTCTCCTTCACTTATGAAGCTTAGTTTAGCTGGATATGAAATTCTGGGTTGAAAATTCTTTTCTTTAAGAATGTTGAATATTGGCCCCCACTCTCTTCTGGCTTGTAGAGTTTCTGCCGAGAGATCCACTGTTAGTCTGATGGGCTTCCCTTTGTGGGTAACCCGACCTTTCTCTCTGGCTGCCCTTAACATTTTTTCCTTCATTTCAACTTTGGTCAATCTGACAATTATGTGTCTTGGAGTTGCCCTTCTCGAGGAGTATCTTTCTTTGTGGCATTCTCTGTATTTCCTGAATCTGAATGTTGGCCTGCCTTGCTAGATTGGGGAAGTTCTCCTGGATAATATCCTGCAGAGTGTTTTCCAACTTGGTTCCATTCTCCCTGTCACTTTCAGGTACACCAATCAGACACAGACTTGGTCTTTTCACATAGTCCCATATTTCTTGGAGGCTTTGTTCATTTCCTTTTATTCTTTTTTCTCTAAACTTCCCTTCTCGCTTCATTTCATTCATTTCATCTTCCATCACTGATACCCTTTCTTCCAGTTGATCACATTGGCTCCTGAGGCTTCTGCATTCTTCATATAGTTCTCAAGCCTTGGCTTTCAGCTCCATCAGCTCCTTTAAGGACTTCTCTGCATTGGTTATTCTAGGTATCCATTCGTCTAATTTTTTTTCAAAGTTTTTAACTTCTTTGCCATTGGTTTGAATTTCCTCCTGTAGCTCGGAGTAGTTTGATCATCTGAAGCCTTCTTCTCTCAACTCGTTAAAGTCATTCTCCATCCAGCTTTGTTCCGTTGCTGGTGAGTAGATGCGTTCCTTTGGAGGAAGAGCGGTGCTCTACTTTTTAGAGTTTCCAGTTTTTCTGCTCTGTTTTTTCCCCATCTTTGTGGTTTTATCTACTTTTGTCTTTGATGATGGTGGCGTACAGATGGATTTTTGGTGTGGATGTCCTTTCTGTTTGTTAGTTTTCCTTCTAACAGACAGGACCCTCAGCTGCAGGTCTGTTGGAGTTTGCTAGAGGTGCACTCCAGATCCTGTTTGCCTGGGTATCAGCAGTGGTGGCTGCAGAGCAGCGGTGGCTGCAGAACAGCCGTGGCTGTAGAACAGTGGATATTGGTGATCTGCAAATGCTGCTGCCTGATCATTCCTCTGGAAGTTTTGTCTCAGAGGAGTACCCAGCCATGTGAGGTGTCAGTCTGCCCATACTGGGGGGTGCCTCCCAGTTAGGCTGCTTGGGGGTCAGGGAGCCACTTGAGGAGGCTGTCTGCCCATTCTCAGAACTCCAGCTGTGTGCTGGGAGAACCACTACTCTCTTCAAAGCTGTTAGACTGGGACATTTAAGTCTGCAGAGGTTACTGCTGTCTTTTTTTTTGTCTGTGCCCTGCCCCCAGAGGTTGAGCCTACAGAGGCAGGCAGGCCTCCTTGAGCTGTGGTGGGCTCCACCCAGTTTGAGCTACCAGGCTGCTTTGTTTACCTAATCAGGCCTGGGCAATGGCAGGCGCCCCTCCCCCAGGCTTGCTGCCACCTTGCAGTTTGATCTCAGACTGCTGTGCTAGCAATCAACAAGACTCCGTGGGCATAGGACCCTCCGAGCCATGTTCGGGATATAATCTCCTGGTGTGTCGTTTTTTAAGCCCGTTGGAAAAGCGCAGTATTAGGGTGGGAGTGACCCGATTTTCCAGGTGCCCTCTGTCATCCCTTTCTTTGACTAGGAAAGGGAACTCCCTGACCCCTTGCACTTCCTGAGTGAGGCAATGCCTTGCCCTGCTTCGGCTGGCGCTTGATGCGCTGCACCCACTGTCTTGCACCCACTGTCCGGCACTCCCTAGTGAGATGAACCCAGTACCTCAGATGGAAATGCAGAAATCACCCATCTTCTACGTGGCTTACACTGGAAGCTGTAGACCGGAGCTGTTCCTATTCGGCCATCTTGGCTCCACCCTCGAAAAAAAGTTTTAAATAACTACCTCAACACCTGATAACTGATAAAACAAGAAGAAGATAGAAAATGAAGAAGAATGTGGAAAATTTTAACATGATAAATTCTTGGCATAATTGATCATATTTAGAAAACAATTACCAAATGAATGTAGATTATATATTCTTTTCAAACACACAAATCACTTACAAAGATTCATCATATGTAACTGCAAAGAAATGCATAATTCTTAAAAGTTGGAATAAGCATATTTCCTAATATGTAACTAAATAGAGAATCAGTTAGAAAATGATAAATATTTTATAAGTTTCGAAATTCAAAAATGTCTGTGTAAAAACATATGAATTAAAGAAAGAGTTACAATCATGTTTTAACACATACAAAATAAAATATAAAAGTGATGGTGGCAGAAAAACTTAGAGAAAAATGCATAACTTCTGTACCAGTCAGGATTCAACCAGAGAGATGAACCATTGAATGTCATATGTTAATATTAAGAGATTTATTACAAAACATTGACCTTACAGAATGTTGGAAGCTTTTTAAGATGTCTGTAAGACACCTGATGTTAGAGCTTGTTATCCACAGAGCAGACAGTTGAGATGTAAAGGTGGATGAAGGGTCGAGAAGAATGAAAACAAGCTAGAATTCACAAACAAAGCCAAAACTCAAGAGACAATATTGAAACCCAGATTAGTTATTGCTGTCTCTGACATTGGTTGTATGAGTGTCCTGTAGAAACCAAGCCTCTTTTCAATGGAACTAAATACATACACCTGACTCCAGAGTCACAGACACTGAAGAAGTAACCAGAAGAAGGTGGAGCAATTGCAGGTGCAGACTCTGCCTTACATCAGAGGGGCAAGTCAGCAGGTCAATAGCCAAAAAAATCAGGAGATGAGCTACAAAATGAGCTGTTGCTTCATTCATGTACTCTGTTATTGTACACAATCCTCTTATAACCCACTTTAACTGGAAACATACAGGGAATTCTGGGAAATTTAGCCAAGTTGACATATTATAAAGCCATCACATAATCAGATGTATATATCAATAAAAAATAAATGTTGTAAATGAGAACACACGGACACAGGGAGGGGAACATCACACACCAGGGCCTGTTGGGGGCCAGGGGGCAAGGGGAGGGAGAATATTAAGACAAATACCTAATGCATGTGGGGCTTAAAACCTAGATGATGGGTTGATAGGTGCAGCAAACCACCATGGCACATGTATACCTATAACAAACCTGCATGTTATGCACATGTATCCCAGAACTTACAGTAAACTTTTAAAAAAAATATTGTAGATTGTTAATAGACTGGGGATCCCTTTGAATATATTAAAAAGAAACAGCATAATAGCAACAAAACAAGCCAAAAAAAACTATAAGAAAAATAATAATAAAATAGAAAACAAATAAAAATAGGAAGGATCAAGATCAAGCCAGAAACTTACCTTTGGAGAGTTTTTTTAAAAAATTGGCAAACCACTGGAGCAATATACAGAAAGAGAAAAAAAATCAAGAAAGAAGATTCAAGACCTAGCGTCACAAATGAAAATAAGAGCATTATCAAAATGCTGCAAAAGAGAATTTTAAGAGTAAATTTATGCTCCTGCATTTTAAAATTTAAATAAAAAGTCAAATTCTGAGAAAAATATTAAGATAACTCACAAACGTGGATAGTCCTATCTATAGTTATTAAAGTAATTAAATTAGTATTCAAAGTCTTTTCGAAAACTCTAGTTCCAAATGACTTCATTGGTGAGATCTCTCAAGATCCACTTGCATTGTCTTATCCAGCAATTCCACTCCTACGACACAGATACAAAAGAGTACAAGAATACATGAATAATCTCCACAATGAACAACATCAATAACAATGTTTATAGCAGGACTACTTTTAATAGCTAAAAATTAAATAACGTGTGCATCTACAATAAGATGGATGAAAATTACTCTATCACTTGAGGACTCCATAGTAAAAAAAAAATCAAGCAAACTACAGCATCGTGCAACATCTTGAAAGAAATTCATAAAACCGTGTTAAGATAAAAAGCAGAAAATAAAAAGGCACAATTTTCATTAATGAATCTGTTCATGCAAGTTCAAAAATAAGGAAACTTATTTTTAGGAATCTAAACATAGGATGCAAAATGCTAAGAAAGGTAGGAATGTGTTTTTTATTAAGGTAGTCTAACAGGAAGAGATGGAGTTGTGATTGGGGAGAATTACACAAGAGGGTTGGGCTTCTAGGTTTCTGGCAAAGTCTCCTTTCTGGTTTTCAATTATAGCTTCTTGGTTTTTTATTTTATAGTTATTAAAATACATATATTAAATTATTTTGTCTGAATGCAATAGCTTGCAATGAATGAAGAGAAGGTTTAAGCTGAAAGAAAGCCTACTCTATTCATAATATATGTTATATTTCAATTTGGGGGAATCAAATTATAATCTTTCCCAAATCAAGGCAATCTACACAGGTAAATGCAAGGAGAAGTTAGTAGGATTCTGGTGAATTCATACTGCTGACATCCAAGTCAGGTCAGAAATTACTGATTTCATTTATTTTCTGTCTAGCCAAGAAGCAAGATTGCACTCTAAAGAAGCCAATGACAGATCATCCAGTAGTAGTTACTACTGGTCCTACTCAGCTCTTGAGTGCTCTTCATGAGAAGAGATTCTTATCATCACTCTTCCCAAATTGGGTGATTATCTAAGAGAGAATAACTGTATGAGTTGGTCTTTGCCATTTAGCAAATCTGCTAATTAAAGCTCCGAACTGAACTCCAAGCCTACTCCACGGGGGTACCATGCCTCAGCTGGACAAGTAACAACAATACCTGACATATAATCATCCAAAGTGTAAGAGAAAATTTTATAGGGGGTAAACTGATTTTGTAATTTACAAGATCAGTCTAATTACTAGATTTTTCATGTTTTAAGTGAGACTCAAAAAGGTTTGGTAGTTTGCCTATGGTTAGCCACCCAAGGAATACAAAAGACACATCTGAATTCCAGTCACCTCCACCCCTGGTTTGTATTTTTCCTTTCATACAACCTATATGCTGCTCACCAAAATTGGAGGTTCTGTTGCTCTTTCTATATTTTTCCTTTTTCTTTAAAATTATATATTTTAGTTAATCCCTTATATCCCCATATGAATTATTTACACAGTTAATCTTTTCAAGTGTCAGATTCCTTAATGGAGGAAAAAAGATTTCATTTTATATCCATTTTCTCCTGAAAATGTTAACTATTACAATAAACTAGTAACTAAAAACAAAACCAGCCTAATTACTTATAATTGAATTTCTACTTTTTAAATATCTCTGACAGTTAAATATACTGAAAATTAAAAACAATGTCTTATTACAACTCCTAGTCAGCTAATTTGAAAAAAATTATATAAATGTGATTGGATCTTTGTAATGGCATTTGTATTATATATGCATACACATAATATCACTCCTATATTTAATGCCAATTTTATAGAAAATAAAAATTTTAGTGATTACTGTATTTCAAAAGAGCAACCAGTACAGCATACACCTTATCTCTTTACAAAGTGGCAGATTATGCATTATGCATAGTTGAATAAACCACATAGGTCCCCAAATGCAGAAAATAGTACTCTTATCTCCCTGTGAATCATGCATTGAGAGTGAGAACAGCAACATTATACACAGTATGCATCTAGAAATTATGCCTGGGTATAATCAGTTAAATATTGAGTACAAATGTGAGTGCTGGAGATGAAGGTGAGAGATGTATTTAAGTTGACTTTAAAAACCCACAAAAAAGAACTTCTTTCTAGGAGTCACTCTATTTTTGGAAGGTAGACCTCATGAAGAAAACTAAAGTTGAATTTTTAAGATATTTTCTTTGTTGCTTACTCTTATTCCATAAAACATCTTCTCTGTAAAACCTTATATTAATTATATGCAAAACCTTACACTTTTGTATAAATTCCCTTGTGGTGACTTAAAAGACCATTTGTGATTCTCTCTTCTGTATAATTTTAGAGAGCTTTTAAATGTACCTGGTGCCTATTATCTTACTCAACCAAAGTTGGCACTGCCTAACACAATGAAAGAGCTAAAATCTACACTGCATGATAAAATAAAATGAGTTTTAAATGTATCATGCTTTAAATGTTGTTTTTTTCTGATTATAAAGTACTATATGTTCAATGTATAAAATTCATAAAAAATGGAAAAGTATTTTTAAAAAAAACAGAATAAAGCACTCAATTCCACCCTCTGTAAGCAACAACTTTTAGTATTTACACTTATTTCATCTCACTCTTGGAATAGTAAAGAATATTGCTGTTTGTCTATTATTGGTATGTAGGAATGCTTGTGATTTTTGCACAGTGATTTTGTATCCTGAGACTTTGATGAAGTTAATTATCAGCTTAAGGAGATTTGGGGCTGAGTGAACAGGCACCCTTCAGAATGGGAGAAAATTTTTGCAATCTATCTATCTGACAAAGGGCTAATATCCAGAATCTACAAGGAACTTAAATCTACAAGGAACATTTACAAGAAAAAAACAAACAGCCCCATCAAAAAGTGGGTGAAGGATATGAACAGACACTTCTCAAAAGAAGACATTTATGCAGCCAACAAACATATGAAAAAAAGCTCATCATCACTGGTCATTAGAGAAATTCAAATCAAAACCACAATGAGATACCATCTCACACCAGTTAGAATGGCGATCATTAGAAAGTCAGGAAACAACAGATGCTGGAGAGCATGTGGAGAAATAGGAATGCTTTTACACCATTGGTGGGTGTGTAAATTAGCTCAACCATTGTGGAAGACAGTGTGGCAATTCCTCAAGAACCTAGAACCAGAAATACCATTTGACCTTGCAATCCCATTATTGAGTATATACCCCCAAAATTATAAATAATTCTACTATAAAGTCACATGCACACGTATGTTTATTGCAGAACTGTTCACAATAGCAAAGACTTGGAACCAACCCAAATGCCCATCAATGATAGACTGTACAAAGAAAATATGGCATATATACACGATGGAATACTATGCAGCCATAAAAAGGATGAGTTCATGTCCTTAGCAGGGACACAGATGAAGCTGGAAACCATCATTCTCAGCAAACTGACACAGGAACAGAAAACCAAACACCACATGTTCTCACTCATAAGTGGGAGGTGAACAATGAAAACACATGGACACAGGGAGGGTAACATCACACACTGGGGCCTGTTGGTGGGGTAGAGGGCTAGGGGAGGGATAGCATTAGGAGAAATAACTAATGTAGATGATGGGTTGATGGGTGCAGCAAACCACCATGGCACATGTATACCTATGCAACAAACCTGCACATTCTGCACATGTATCCCAGCACTTAAAGGATAATTTAAAAAAAAGCATACTGCAACAACCTCAGTGAATTAATTTCTACTGCATTTCAAGCCTACCATATCCATTTCAAATACAGAGGAAGGAAAAGAAGTGACGAACACTGGTGAAGTTCCTGCCCTCATAAGGTTTATAGTAATAAAGAAAAAATCTGAAAATGTATATAATATTATGTCAAGTAGTAATAAGTATATAAAGACAAAAGATGGCTAGTCATGGTGGCTCACACCTGTAATCTCAGCACTTTGGGAAGCTGAGTCACACTGCTTGAGCTCAGGAGTTTGAGATCAGTCTGGGCAACATGACAAAACCTCATTTCTACCAAAAATACAAAAAAAAAAAAAAAGCCAGGCATGGTGGCGTGTTCCTGTAGTCTCAGTTACTCAGGAGGCTAAAATGGGAGGATTGCTTGAGGTGGAGGTTGCGGTGAGCTGAGATTGCACCACTGCACTCCAGCCCGAGCAAGAGAGTGAGACCCTATCTCAAAAACAAAACAAAACAAAAAAGACAAATGAAGCAAAGTGTTAGAGGTACTAGGGATGCTATTGTAGGTCAGGATAAATTTTTTTTTATAATTAATAAAAACTTTAATTTTAAAACTCACACATAACTAGTGGACAATGAAGCATGATTTTCTGCAATGTGTGAAAACTAGTTTACTTGCATCAAAATTACTTGAGGTCAACTGAGGCATTTATTAAATGCAAATTACTGAAACCCACACCAAAACCTGTGAACCATAAATCCTGGGGAAAGGGCTCAGAAATTTGCATGCATTAAGAAAATAAAGGAGCTTATGTTAAAGATTATGCAAGGCTCTCCTTTAATGTCTACTTTTTACACAGTTTTGGTAATGTTGAATGGTACTTGAAAGACCCTACTTCCTTTTTTATCATTTCATTCTCAACTTTTCATGTTTCTAGAAAAATCCATAATTTTAGAATAGTTTCATTTTTAAATCTCTTTTTCATACATGCAGGGACATGACATTTTTAATCAACTTCTCAATTTATGATGTACATAATATGGTATAGAGAGTGTTATAATTATGCAAAGAAGATATATATCCAACTCTCAAATTTATTTATTTAAACATCTATAACAACAGCTTAAATATTAGAAAAGAATAAGTAACTGGTCAGTTTATTACTGGAATAATAATTGGTAAAATCTAACTATTTAGAGGCAATGTACCTGAGTATAAAATAGCTATTGCATTAATACTTTTAAATATTAATAGAAACTATTCTGAGAAAAAAAAGCTAACTGCTGGTAAAATTTTATTGTTCACAATAACTTTCTGTTTCAGCCAGAAATGTAGTGAACCTTTTGGATAAATTATGGTTTAGTTGATTATTGCTTGGTGGAAAATATAATTTTTTTTTTAATTTTGAAAGGAATTTTTATATGAGCTGAACCACTTTTAATGCGAACTTTCATCCTCATATAAATTAATATGATAAGACATAAGCCATAGCAAAGAGGATTTATAATGAAAATTGTGATACCACTGTCACTCTGAGAGAAATGACAAATTTTGTTATAATTGAGATTGTGGTGTTTTGTTAATTCAAATGTTGAAGTAGATGATGGGACCAAGATGGCAGAATAGGAGATATCATCTTACATCCTCTCCCAAGAAAAACAGCTATAGACAGCTATTCACAAAGCAAAACAGCCCAGAGAGAGCTATAGGACCCATTAAAAATCTATGGCAATACAATGTAGAAAAAAAAACTCAAAGAATATTCATATAGCAAGAATTATTGGTAAGGCCAACATACCTGAGACAGCAGGAAGTGGCCAGAAGCAAAAAAGAAAGGCAGAGGCTATCAGCATCAGCCAAGAAGTGGAAACCACTGTAGTCTTCAACAGCATGCTTCACAGAGAACACTGGCATCTCTTTCCACCTAGGTAACCGAGAGTCACTCCTGGCAGGGAAACCAAGAGAGGGAGATGTAGCTGAACCCTATGCCCCCAGTAGGTGGATGATGTTCATTAATTAGGGGAAAGGAGCTACCACCTCTCCCAATTCTGCACATGTGCAACCACAGAGCTGTGGGTACTCCACAAATGCTCACACACACACCCTGGCTCTGTGGCTACACTGGGCTCACTCATGTTGCAAACACCAAAGCCAACACCATAGTAAGCTGGTTTGTACTACAGCCCCTGAGCCAAGCCCTTGCTGCATGTACCCATGTTCCAGCCACTGGCTCAGCCACTGTAGAGAGCTAGACCATACACTGACTACAGAGCTACTGTAACTTTGCTCATGCCTGTGTTCCCATTCTTAGCTACCTGGTTACTTCACAAATATCTCTACCATACATACTATTATCGACTCAACATTAGGGTTGTCTGTGCTCAGGACACCAGAGTAAATACTGCCCCAATTCCAGAGATGTACTCCTTCTACATGTGCCCATGCTTCAGGCCTGAGCTCCGTGGCTACTCCATGGACACATCACTTATCAAACACCAGTGCAACCACCACTGCAAGCAAGCCAACAGGCCAGATTCAGTGCCAAGAGAGATTCTGGCAATCTTAGCAGGTATGGCCACCAAAGGCCTTAACACCCCTCAGTGTCATTGCTGACATTCATAACATCAGCCACTTTTCAATCTTTATCAACAACAACATTATCAATGCTGCACAGAGACTAACAGCTGGCACCTTCATTGGTGCGAAAACCACCTCATCTCACCAAGTAAGTGTCCTTGCATACCCCCACAGAGAGACATTTCCACAGAAAACCTACCCTGTAAAGTCTACAAAAGGTGATCGCTCTAGCAAATGTGCAGACATCAACTTAAAGCAACAACAAAAGAAACAATATGAAAAACACAAAAGATTTAATAACACCAAAACAACACAAAAATCCCACAGTATCTGATCCCCCCAAAATAGATATGTAGAAACTTACTGACAATGAATTCAAAATAATTACTTTAAGGAAGCTTAGCAAATGTCCAGAAAATACGAGAAATAATTCAATGAAGTAAGGAAAACAATTAGTGACCAAAATTAGAAATTAAATAGACTGAAATTTTTTTTAAAAAAGAAAATTCTGGTGCTAAAAAATACAATAAATGAAATAAAAATGTAATAGCATAACAGCAGAATTGATCAAGCAGAATACATCTGTTAACTAAAAGACATATTATTTGAATATATGTAGTTAGAGGAGGAAAAAGGAAAAGAATAAAAAGGAATAAAGAAAGCTTATGGGATTTATAGGAAAGCATCAAAGAG
Source organism: Homo sapiens (assembly GCF_000001405.40). Classification (NCBI taxonomy): domain Eukaryota; kingdom Metazoa; phylum Chordata; class Mammalia; order Primates; family Hominidae; genus Homo; species Homo sapiens. Next base: position 170,630,577 of record NC_000004.12, on the reverse strand, counting down.
CTAATATTCAAGTTGTAGGAGTTCAAAGAAGAAAAAGAAAGTGGTAAAGGGTGAAAAGCTTATTTAAAGAAATAATAGCAGAAAACTTTCCAAATTTGCAGAAAGTTAAAAATATCCAGGTACAGGAAGGTCAGAACTCTCCAATCAGAATCAATTCAAGTATGACTGCAACAAGACATAGTATATTCAAATCATCAAAAATCAAGAGAACTTTCTAAAAGTAACAAGGAAAAAGAAGCAAATTACATGTATAGGAGCACTAATATGCCTGGCAGTAGACTTCTGAGTAGTCACCTATTCAAAGTGTTGATATAAAACAAGAAAAAAATCTTCCAACCAAGAATACTATACTCTGCAAAGCTATTCCTTAAAATGAAGTAGATATAAAGATTTCCCTAGACAAACAATAAATAAGGGATTCACTGCTACCAGACCTGTCTTACAGAAAATGCTAAAGAGGGTTATTCAATCTAAAAGAAAAGGATACCAACTAGTAACACAAAAATACATGAAAGTATAAAACTCACTGGTCAAAGTAAGTACACAAATGCAGAATACTCTGATACTGTAATGGTGATGTATAATTCACTTATATTGTTAGAATGAAGGTTAAAAACAAAGCTTTTAACAGTAATAATAGCTATAATAATTTATTAAGGGATATACAACAAAAAATGGTGTAAATTTTAATATTTAAAACATAAAATGTATGGGGGTAGAAGCATAGAGTAATTTTATGCAATGAAAGTTAAGTTGTTACCAGATTAAAATAGCTGTTATAACAATAAGATGCTTAAGGTAAGCCTCATTGTTATCACAAAGCAAAAGCCTATGGTAGATTAAAAAAAAGACAAAAAGAAAGAAATTAAAGTGACCCTCTAGATAAAGACATCTAATCACAAAGAAACATAGCAAGTAAGAAAGAAAGGAACAAAAAATTTACAAAACAACCAGAAAAAAAAATCAACCAAATGGCAATAGTCAATCCTGAAATGTCCATAATTACCTTGAATGTGAATAGATTAAATCCCCTAGTCAAAAGACAGAGCATGGCTGAATGGATAAAGAAACGACACCCAACTATACACTGCCTGCAAGACACTCACATTACCTTTAAAAGCACGCATAGATTGAAAGCAAAATGATAAAATAAAAATATTCCATGCAAACAACAACCAAGAGGAAACAGGGCTAGCTATATATTTACCTAATACAATGTACTTCAAGACAAAAACCATACAAAGAGACAAACAGGGTCATTATATAGTGATAAAGTGGTCAATTCATAAAGAGGATAAAACAACTGTAAATATATATACATCCAACACTGGAGCATCTAAATATATAAAGCAAATATTTATAGATCTGAAGGGAGATTTAACCCACAAGACAATAATAGTATGAGATTTTCATAACCAACTTTTAACAATGGACAGATAATACAGGCAGAAAATCAATAAGACAACATTGATACTGAGCTACAAACATGAACCTAACAAACATGTACAGAATATTCCATCCAACAGCAGCAGAATAATATTCTTCTCAAGCACACATGGGACATTCTCCAGGACAGATCATATGTTAGGCCACAAAACAAATCTTAACAAATTTAAGAAGATTGAAATAATATCAAGTATCTATTTTGACCACAATTATATGAAACTGGATGTCAAAAAAGGTAGAAATTTTGAAAAATTGACGTGTGCAAATGCAACACCGTGCTCCTTTAAAAAAATGGATCAGGCCGGGAGCGGTGGCTCACGCCTGTAATCCCAGCACTTTGGGAGGCCGAGGCGGGCGGATCACGAGGTCAGGAGATCGAGACCATCCCGGCTAAAACGGTGAAACCCCGTCTCTACTAAAAATACAAAAAATTAGCCGGGCGTAGTGGCGGGCGCCTGTAGTCCCAGCTACTTGGGAGGCTGAGGCAGGAGAATGGCGTGAACCCGGGAGGCGGAGCTTGCAGTGAGCCGAGATCCCGCCACTGCACTCCAGCCTGGGCGACAGAGCGAGACTCCGTCTCAAAAAAAAAATAAATAAATAAATAAAAAATAAAAAATAAAAAAATGGATCAATGAAGCAATTTAAAGAAAATTTTAAAAATGTTGATACAAATGAAAATGGGCATGCAGCACATCAAAACTTACGGAATGCAGTAAAAGCAATAGTAGAGGGAAGTTTATAAAAATAAACATCTATATAAAAAAAAAGAAAGAACCCAAATAAACAGTATAACGTTAGAACCCAAAGAACTAGAAAAATAGTAAACTAAGTCCAAAGTTAATAAAAGGAAGAAAATATTAAGTATAAATGAAATAGAAGTATGAAAAACAATAAAAAGATCAATGAAATGAGAGTTGATTTTTTGAAAAGACTAACAAAATTGACAAGTCTAACTAGACTAACAAAGAAAAAAGAAGACTCAAATAAAATCAGAAATGAAAGAGGCGACATTACAATGGACATCGCAGAAACACATGGGATCATAAGAGACTACTATGACAATTATATGTCAATAAAGTGGATAACCAGAAAATGAATAAATTCTTAGACAACTTATCAAGATTAAATAATCAAGAAATAAAAATCTGTTTAGGCCAACTTCTCCTTAACAAGTAAGGAGATTGAATCACTAATCAAAAAACCTCCTCACAAAGAAATGCCCAGAAAATCATGGCTTCACTGCCTAATTTTATCAAATATTTAAGGAAGAACTGGTACCAATTCTTCTCACTTTCAAAAAATTAAACAGGAAGTACTTAAAAATGTATTTTTGAAGCCAGCATTACCCTGATGCCACAGCCACACAAAACACTACAAAAAAAAAAACCCAGAAAATTACAAGTCAATATCCCTGATGAATGTAGATACAAGGACTCTCAACAAAACACTAGCAAATCCAACTCAACGGCACATAAAAAGGGTCACATGCCGTGATTAAGTAGGATTTATTTCTCAAAGGCAATGATGGGTCAACATATATATCACTAAATGCTATACAGCTCATTAGCAGAATGGAGGAAAAACTGCATGATCATCTCAATAGATGCAGAAAAAGCATTTCACAGTATTCAATACTGTTTCATGATAAGAATACTTAAACTAGGTACAGAAAGAAGGTAACATAACATAGTAAAAGTCAAACATGACTAGCTCACAATAACATCATACTTAATGGTGAAAAACGTAAAGCTTTTTCTCTAAGATCAGTAACAAGAAAAGAATGTTGACTTTCATCACTTCTATTCAACATAATATGGTACATCTAGACAAAGAAATTAGGCAAGAGACAAAAACAAAAAGCATAAAATCAGAAAGAAATAAAATGTTATCTGTTTGACAATGACATAACCTTACACATGGAAAAATCTAAAGACCCTACCAAAAATTGTTAGAACTCATAAACCAATATAGTAAAGTTGCAGGAAAAAAATCAACATTAAAAATTCAGCAGCATTTCTATACACTAACATTAAAATATCAGGAAAGAAATTGAGAAAACAATCCTATTTCCAAAACCACAAGAAATAGTAAAATATTTTGGAATAAGTTTAACCAAGGAGGTGAAATATCTGTACACTGAAAATTGTGAATCATTGATGGAAGAAATTGAAGGATATATAAATAAGTGGATTCATGAATTCAAAGAATCAATATTGTTGAAAATGTCTATAATACCCCAAACTATCTACAGATTCAATACAATTCCTATCAAAATTCCAATGACATTTTTCACAGAAATATAAAAAACAGGCCTAACATTCATATGGAACCAAAAAGACCCTGAATAGCCAAAGCAGTTTTGAGCGAAATGAAGACAGGCATTATACTATTTGAAAGGATAGCCCAGAAATACACACAACTATGGTCAACTGATTTTTGAGAAAGATGACAGAAATACACAATGGGAAAAGGACAGTCTCTTCAATAAATGGCACTAGAAATACTGGATATCCGCTGGCAAAATGAAATTAGACCCTTGTATCACACTGCATATAATACTCAACTCAAAATGGGTAAATAACTTTAATGTAATACCTGAAACGATAAAACTACTACAAGAAAACATATGGGGTAAACTCCACAACATTGATCTGATCAATGATTTTTGTATCTGACCCCAAAAGCACAGGCAACAAGTCAAAATAAACAGATGGGATTACTTCAAACTAAAAATCTTCTGCACGGCAAAGGAAACAATCAACAGAGTTATGAGACAATGTACTGAATGGAAGAATATAATTGCAAACCATACATCTGGTAAGGGGTTAATTTCCAAAATATATAAGGCACTCAAATAATTCATTAGTAAGAAAACAAATAACTCAATTAAAAATAATAGGGAAAGGACCTGAATAAACTTTTCTCAAAAGAAGATATGCAAAAGGCTAATATGTATATAAAATGGTGCTCAACACCATTAATTACCAGGGAAACACAAATTCAAACCACAATGAGATATCACCTATCACATATTAGAATGGCTATCATAAAATAAGAGGAAGATAAAAATATTCAGAAGGATGCAAAGAAAAGGGAACCCTTGTATACTGTTGCTGGGAATGCAAATTACTACAATCATTACAGAAAACAATGTGGAGGTCCCCCAATAAGAAGAACAGAACTAACATATGGTCTAGTAAACCTACTACTGGCTATATATCCAAAGAAAGTGAAATCAGTATGTTAAAGAGATATCTGCACTTCCATGTTCATTGCAGTATTATTCACAATAGCCAAGATATGGAGTTAACCTAAGTATCCATGAATAGATTATGGATAAAGAAACTGTGATTTATATACACACATACACACAGTGGAACACTATTCAGCCTTAAAACACAAGGAAATCATTTACAATAACATGGATGAACTGGAGAACATTATGTTAAGTGAAATTAGCCAGGCACAGAAAGACAAACACTGAGTGGAATCTCTTATATGTGGAGTATTAAAAAAGTCAGACTCATACAGAGAGTTATATGATGGTTAACAGATGCTAGAGGTGAGAGATTGAGGAGATGTTAGTCAAAGGACGGAAATATAAAAAACAATTTATGAAACTAATGAAAACCTCCTGAACTTAGCCATTTCACAATGTATACATATATCAAAGCGTCGTGTTATACAACATAAATACATAATGTATAGTTTTGAATTAAAATAAATTTAAAAAATAATTTTCCAATGATCAGTCAGCATGAAATGAACTGGATGTAATCAAAGCCAATAGTGAAAGCATCTCTTCCATGAATTTTTCTCAATAATAATAATTTAACTATAATATATCTCTTACTCATCTCTTACATTGTCTAAACACATATTTTATGATTTGGTATATTTTATCTCAAGGTTCCCTCTAATGGTACATATTGTTAAGTTATGTCTTCCTAGTAAAACTACATACTCCCTTAGGAATAAATCTTGGGAGGTTACTCTTAGCAGTGACAGCACTGATGGCCGAGATGGCAGAGGGGAAAAGTCAGCACTGCATATCTGAAACCTGCCGGGGAGGAGGGGAGATCCCAGCTGCTGTATGGTGTGAACATACTGAGGTCCAGATTTCTGTTTTGTCCAGCCTTCCTATTGATCTGAGAGATATTCACAACTCTTAAAATAATTGTATGTCCTGTTTAGTTATCGAGGTCTGGTTTCTATTATTGGCAGCAAAAAAAAAAAAAATGCTGTCCAGTAGATATAATAAAAGAGAAAAAGTGTAATCTTTCCCATTGTCTGCCATTTAACACTGTGATCTAGGAGATAAACACAGAACAATTATTCTAAAAGTTTGGGCCATCAACAGTTTAAATAATTATAAGTTCATTTTATTTAATGTTCTTGAATTCAACATCCATAAAACATCCCAAGGAGATCAGAAAAAAATAATGTTTTTCATTCTCTACCATTTTTCAGGTAAACATTCTCAATTGTTTAATAAAATATCAAGTTATTCGTGAGTTACTAGATAGGAAGTTGCAATTATTCTGTATTTTCTCAATCAAGACATAGGAAAGCTATGGTCACTTGGAAGTCCAATAAACTAATTAATCACTTCAAAGAACATCATATTCAAAAATGGAGAAAACATTTTCAAAGACCTTTTTTTATCTTTTGACATGTAAATAGTCATTATAAGGCTATCTTCAACCTAAAAGTTCTAAAAATTTATAAAACCAGTGAAAACCTCCTGAGTAAACATAGGAAAAAGCATTTCTGAAATTTAGCATGCAACTACAGAAGGCTCAGTGACAGACAGGGAAGTGAACCATAAGACATGGGCAACGAGGATCAGAAGAGAAGAAGTAAATTTGTAAAAGTCATTGTCATTGATATTACAAAGTCCCAACGTTTGTAATTGCAGACAGAGTCACCAGATTCTTTTTAATTAATATACATGTCTTCATGAAAGAATAAAATAGCCAGATTGAAACGGGATGCACACCAGCCAGGACCAAAGAAGACTGGTAGGGAACAGAACTGGCCTGCAGAGGGAGATAAATGCAGGATAGCTGCATTTTCCTGATCAAAATTCCTAGTTACGACCTGCACAGTACACTTTTTAGAAGGGAATAGAATTAAAGACCCGAAACTCCATTATGGTCATACACATACCTTACGTATATTTTGTTCTATTGGTATACGTTATTTAAATTAACATCTTAATATCTACTTACTATTCATTCTCCATATGATTTCGGAGTCCAAATAACTTCTAATTAAGGAAATCTCTTTGGTTATTAGTAGGTTGGTGCAAAAGAAATTGCGGTTTGGGTCATTAATGGTGAGAATCACAATTATTTTTGCATCTACCTAATCAAAAGAATCTGAAATGGAACAACTCAACAGACTAGTGTGTCCTTCCTACCCTGAGACTAATTTGGTGACTATTCCCCTAGAGCAGGAGTTCCCAACCCCAAGCCACCCACAGGTACCAGTCTTGGAACCTGTCTGCACAGCAGGAGGTGAGCGGCAGGTAAGTGAGCATTACCGCCTGAGCTCCGCCTCCTGTCAGTGTCAGATCAGCAGCATGACATTCTCTCTCTCTCTCTCTCTTTTTTTTTTTTTGGTCTCATTTCATTGCCAGGCTGGAGTGCAGTGGCGCGATCTCGGCTTACTGCAACCTCCACCTCCCGGGTTCAAGCGATTCTCAGGCCTCAGCCACCCGAGTAGCTGGGATTACAGGCCTGCATCACTACACCAAGCTAATTTTTGTATTTGTAGTAAAGATGAGGTTTTGCCATGTTGACCAGGCTGGTCTCAAACTCCTTGCGTTAAGAGATCCTCCTGCCTCGGCCTCCCAAAGTGCTGAGATTACAGGCATGAGCCATGGAGCCCAGCGGCATTAGATTCTCAGAGGAGACTAAACCCTATTGTGAACTGTGTATGTGAAGCATCTGGGTTGTGTGCTCCTTATGAGAATCTAACTAATGCCTGATGATCTGAGGTGGAACAGTTTCATCCCCAAACCATCCCCTCTCCCCTCCCTGCCTGGTCCATGGAAAAATTGTCTTCCACAAAACCAGTCCCTGGTGTTAAACAGGTTGAGGACTGTTACCCTAGAGGTCTGAATAAGGCCCTTTTTGTTTGGGCATGCCACTGTTACATTTTTTTATCCCATTCTTATTACCTTCTTAGAATTTTACTTACATGTATCACACATATCTCATGGGTCAATTCCTTAGTTATCCATATAAAAGTAATTACATCAGTTTTAATTATTGGAAAATCACACAACCTTCAAAAGAAGGTACACAGTTTCTGATTCAGAAAACAGTAGTTTTCTTTTTACTTTCTTTCACTTTTAATATTATTAATACCAATCAAGACTAACTTCAAGACTTGAGATTCAGTCATTTGGGTTTACTGGCAAACTCTTAAAAGCCCATGCATTAGCTATATTACGATATCCTAAGTAATAAACAGATTAAATATAAGTATAATATTTAAAATTAATCACTAAAGAAGTTTCATTTCTAGCAATATAAAACTTAATTTCCGGCCGGGCACAATGGCTCATGCCTGTAATCCCAGGAGTCCAAGGTGGGCGGAAGGAGGTCAGGAGATCGAGACCACCCTGGCCAACATGGTGAAACCCTGTCTCTACTAAAAATACAAAAAATTAGCTGGGTATGGTGGCATGTGCTTGTAATCCCAGCTACTCGGGAGGCTGAGGCAGGGGAATCACTTGAACCCGGGAGGCAGAGGTTGCAGTGAGCCAAGATCGTGCCATTGAATTCCAGCCTGGCAACAGAGCAAGACTCTGTCTCAAAAAACAAACAAACAAACTGAATTTCCTCATAAAAATAACAAAATGTACAGATAAAAATATGTACAGCATTATGACTGTATGCATGAGATGGCAATACAGTGAGGAATAGTCAAGACAGGGAATGAGTGAAGGCAAAGATCTAGAGAGGAAAATGGAATACCTGAGATGACCTTGAGCTTGTGGGCATTTTCCAAAACTCAGCAAACTTGAGCATGAGTTTTCTGACCTCCCAGGGCCCTGAGACAGAAAAATAATAGGTTAAGGAATGCCCATATAACTGGTAAACCATTATTCCTGGGTGTCTGTGAAGGTGTTTCTGTAACAGACTAGCATTTAAATAAGTGGACCCAGTAAAGAAGCTCTGCTCTCACCATTGTGGGCTGGTGTCATCCAATCTGTTGATGGCAGACCTGAATACAACAAAAGGCCAGGAAGGACGAATTCTCTCTCCCTGTCCTTGAGCTGAGAAATTCGTCTCCTGCCCTCAGATATCAGAGTTCCTGGTTCTTGGGCCTTTGGCTTAACACCAGTGTCCATCTCCACCTCTCTGACACACACACACACCTGTGGTCCTCAGACCCTAGGACTCTACTGAATTGCACTACTTTCCTGGTTTTCCAGATAGCAGATAGTTGGTGGGACTTCTCAGCCTCCATAATCACGTGAGCCAGTTCCTATAACAAATTATCTATCTATCTATCTATCTATCTATCTATCTATCTATCTATCTATTACCTATCTATCTATCTACTGATACATCTATTATTAAATCCCTGTCCCAAAAGGTCTACATGGTAAACTGTCAGCCTTGAAGCTTATGCTCAATAGAGGAGAAAAAAAATTTCTCTCAAAAGTTTGAAACCTTAAGTTTTTCTACACATGGGCTTGCAAACTAATTCACATTGTCTGAGTTGCAATCAAAAGGTTAACTTAAGAGTATTTTCCTAGTATTTCTGGCTTGGTAGAGCATATGCTTTCTGGATGAACTCACCTTTGCAACAGTTTTCAAATAATTTTTACAGATCAAGTTCCAAAGAAACTACATCCCTTACTGCCCCCAAAAATCAAATATGGAAGGACACTGCAATGCCAGCCAAAGCCAGCAGAAGTGACAATGAGCAAATCTAGACTCACAAAAACATCAGATATGAGAATCATCAGATACCAGAATCATCAGATACATAATATAAAATAAGAATGTTCATTATGTTTCAAGACATAAAAGAGAGTTTTGAAAAATAAGTAAATAGCAAGTAAATTTGAAAAAATAAAATAAAATCTGTTCTAGAAATAGAAATGTGTAATTGAAATTAAAGTACTTAACACTGTTAAAGAGCCACGTAAATAGAAAATTATTAATTGAAATATGGAACCAAAGAAATGATTATGCATATAGAGAACAACAAAGTAACCATGGAACAATGAAATTAAGAATTATGAAAGGTAGAATAAAAGAGTTTAATATGTTCCCATTCAAAACTCTCAGAATGTGAGAATACAGTAAAGGTTGCAGAGGCAATACATTTAAAAGGAGCAGCTGGGAACATTTTAGAATTGGTGTAGGAATACAATTAACATATTTAATAAGCCCAAGAAATCCAAATCAGAATAAATAAAATTCTCATGCAGCTATATCATAGAGAAAGTATAGAAAAGCCATGAACAAAAGATCCTAAAAGCATCCAGAGAGAAAATATTACTTTCAAAAGAGTGACAAGGAACCAACAGCTGACTTCTTTGAGACACCACCAACAATAAAAAAGCTATCAATCAGTCAAGAATCCCATATTTAGCAGAAATATGTTTACAGAATGTAGGCAAAGTACAGACAAATTTCAAAATGGAATGAGAAAAAACCTCATTAATTTCAAATAATGAAGAAAATAAGAGAAAAAACACTGGTAAAAACTGGAAGAAAACAGTTATAAACTAAGTAGACAAGAATAAATCAAATTATTTTAATCATTAAAAGTAAATGGACTAAGCATTAAAAACATTTTCAGGTAAGATTAAAAAATATAAATGAAATTGGGTTTTACTGTGTTTTAGAGACACATAAAAAGCATAGGTTGATAAGAGTTGAAAGTAAAGATTTGATGTGCAGATATACATATGGGGCAAATATTAATCAAAGAAGACAAGTATAGCTATAATAATGTCAAACAATGATGACTAATTAAAATTGGTTTCCAAGAAGAAACAAGTATGCTACATAATGTAAAAACATTATTGTAAATATTTAAGGTCTCTGCATAATGCTGATAATTCATCGTGAAGTAAAATGATATGAAGTCTGGGTATACTAAAATGTCTCTCAATAGGTAAAACAAAGATTGGAAGAACCACAGAAACATACAGATCCAAAGTCACAATAAAAGATTTTAACACGTCTCTCTAAGAGCAAGCAGATAAAAATCATGACAACCATAGAAGATTATATATTTAAAATGTCTAAAAGTGAACAAAAGACATTAAAAGGAATTTCACAGAAGAAATAATATATGTATATGAGAATACATTTAAGTAGAATTGAAGTAAAAATGCAATTTAAGCATCAATAAGCTATCATTTTATACTGACTGTAAAAAATTTCAGATAATATTATGTGGAGCTACTAGAACTTTCATATGCTGATGAGTGTGTAGATAAACGACTTTGAAAATAATTTATACTCTATGGTATAAGTGGGCATGTATACACTTTACTATTCAGCAGTTCCTGTCCTAGGAAGAAGTCCCCAGTGAAAATGTTGCACATGTACAGGAGACATTAGGGGCATTTCTGTAACAGCATCAGTCAGAATAGCAAAAACTGGAAACACAAAAAGCCATGAAAATTGTTGTGGATTAATGATGTATAGTCCATGTATTCAATGGAATTCTATGCAGCCATGAATAAATTTGAAGAGTAGCCGTAAGTAGTAACATGGTTGACCTAAAAGAATAGTGGTCAAAAAAGCAAGTTATAGAAGAATAAATATGCTATGATTTCTTCTATACAGTGCCCGAAATATACAGAGTTAAATAATGTATTGATTAGAATTAGATAGGGATTCATAAAGATGGCAAAGACTATAATAGAAAGCAAAGAAATACCTGCTACAAATTTCAAGAAGTGATTACCTCTGGGAAGAGCAAGAGAGATACAAGAAGCCTGCTTGGATAAAATTTAAAGGGTAAAGTTTTGCTTCTTGGCCAAGGTGGTGGGTGCATGTGGTTTGTATATGGTAGATAATTTTATTTTTTTATCCGTAATATACATTTTCATATAGTCCTGTGTATATATACTGTCTTTGGCATATTGGAAAAACAGTAAACCACTGAAGTAATTGTAGTTGAGGATATTTTTCTGATTAGACTACACTGAGTACATTTTTAGTCTTCAGAGAAAATATCAAAATAGCCTTTACAAGGAATTTATGAAGCACAGGAAAGCACAGGATCAAGAAAAAAAATCAAAACTTGCTCATAGCTATTAAATCTAAACTAGAATATTTCAACCATGTTTCAACTGAGCAGACACCTAGCTAGGGAAAAAAGAATATTTTTCACCCTCAGCAAAGATTCCTCACTGTTGGTTAAATGTTAAATTTTTTTCCCTGCAGGGTACAAGGAATGAGGTCAAACACTTTTTAAGAATAATCGAGTAGTTTAACCTGTGCTATAGGGGCTTGTTGAACAGAACTTGTCTGTGGAGAGAAAATGACAGATTTTTGGAGACTGTTGCAAAGCTGTCAGGTTATGAACAATAATTGGCCATATAATGAGCTTCTCACTTTCATCAAATCCTTGGGCATAGAAACTCTTTCTATTCTCTTGAAAAACAAATAAACCTGTGGCAAAATAAGTACAGCTGCAATAATTGAATTATGAATGGAAAACAGTAAAATGCAATTTTGAAGTTAATGCTGTAACTCACTGTTAAATTCAAAATTCATCTTTCTCTCTCCTCACCAGTGGATGTGAGGATTTGGAAGGATTAGCTTGTTTTCTGCAGTAAACAATCGTTAGAGAATAAGTTAATTATAGCTTGAAAGTAAGAAACGTTTTCCTGAGAGGATAAAATGTGTAACATATTAAGCTACTCAGATCCACTGGGAAGGTGGGCTGCAAGGCAGTAATCTGTTCCCTAGCTTGCATATACATCCAAAGCTAATTGTAAAAGGTGGTCATATAATTAAAAATAGTCATGTTGAATGCAATTCAACTGCTTAGTCTAAAAAAATCTAACCATAATTTTGATTCAAAACTTATTTTTTTTAAATTTTAGAAGTAAGAAATAATTTATTTTACATTGAAGTTAGCACAGTAATATATTTCAAGTTACATACTTTGAGTTGAAAGCTATTCTATGGTATTTGAGCTCAACTGTTGTCTTTAGATATTTAATATACTGGAATCGTAAGCTTTTTTTAACCTTTGCAAGACACCCTTGCATTTAAGATCAATAATGAAATCTACAGGTGTTTTATTTACATTAAAAAATGAAAAATAAATGTATTTAAAATATGCAAGACTCATATTTACATTTTATTATTCATAACCTCTAAAATATGATTTTTTACTTACAATCAGACCACCATAGGAAACAAGGATATGAAGTAAATCAGAAATCTAGATTCAGACAGAAAAAAATATAGCTGGATGAAATTCCTCTCACCAAAGCTAAATTAGTTGTACTGTCAGATTTCAAATAATTTATTTTTTCACCATCTTTCACTCACAAAATTGTTATGTGATAGCATTTCACTAAATTAAAAATTAATGCATTTGTTTATTCAGCAAACATGCATTGTGAATGCCAACTGTACTAGTCCATTCTCACACTGCTATAAAGATACTACCTGAGACTCATTAATTTATAAAGAAAAAGAAGTCTAATTTAATCACAGTTTGGTATGGCTTGGGAGGCCCCAGAAAACTTACAATTATGGCCAAAGAGGGAGGGGAAGCAAGGCAGGTCTTACATGGCTCTTAGGAGATAAAGAGAGAGAGGCAGGGGAAACTGCCACTTTTAAACCATCATATTTCATGAGAACTCCCTCACTATCATGAGAACCTCAAAGGGAAAACCGCATGCATGATCCAACTACCTCCCATCAGGTCCCTCCATCAACATGTGGGGATACAATTCAAGATGAGATTTGGGTGAGAACACAGAGCCAAACCATATCACTAACCATGTATCAGGCACTGCCTTAGGTAGAAGGATAATGAAAACAAACCTAACAAAATGTCCTGACTTCACAGAGCTTATGATTTAGACAGAAAAGATTGATCTATAGGAGGAAAGACATATACTCAACAAATTAAAAGGTTAAAAAAGTATAATAAATGAAATTATTTTTATTTATTTAAGTATAATAAATGAAATGCATGTGCATTCATAAATACATAATTTTCATTTATTTGAGTGTAAAAAATGAAACAAAATGAAATGTACAAATATGAAACAAGTTGAACAGGGACTTTTGGGGTCAGGGTGGCATGTTCTTATATATACAGTGGCCAGGAAAGACCTTACTCACTGGTGACATTAAAATAGAGGTCTGAAGGCTAGAAGAGAGTGAGCCTCATGGGTACAGGAGAGGAGTTTTCTAGGCAATGCAAAAGCAAGGTGCTAAAGTAGGAAAGTGCGTGGCATGTTTCAAGGAACTGCGAAAAGGCCAGAGCAATGGATAGGAGGAAGAGAGGAAACTGGAAGAATATGATCAGAACAGTCCTGGGAGGCCTTACAAAATTATGGCAGAGAACTGTGTTTTTGCCCTGAGTATAATGGGAAATCATGGAAATATCCGAGGGTGAGGAGTGACATGATTTCAGTATTAAAGTGATCACTCTAGCTATTCTGTTAAGAAGAGCCAGAATTCACTAATGGATGGTGTGAAAGTGAGGCAGGGGAAAATAATCTAAGATAATTACATGATTAATTCTAAGAAGCTAACTTTGGGACATATTACTTTGAAATGTCTTTTAGACTACAAAGTGATGCTGACTACAGTATTTGATATACAAGCCTGACGTTCAGGAGAGGGATCTGACCTGGAGATATAAATTTATCAGTGTAGAGATGAACTTTAAAGCCTTGAAAGTATAAATATCAACTAGAAAGAGTGTAAGTGGAAAAGATAAGAAAGCCAAGTGCTGAAAACTTCAAATTTTCAAATTTTAAAGTTTAGAGGTCAAGGTGCTCAATAAGAACCAGGAAAGGGGATGGGTACAAGTGGCCTAGAGGAAGATCAAGAGAGTATGTGAGGCTGTGGTCCAGAATCCATATTTCTAAAGTGGCCTTTGAAGAAACACAATGATATATGAGAGCTGAACATTTTTTATTGGAAACACTTACAAGATGATGTCTAGTTATCTTTTAAAAATTGTTTTAATAGAGGGATATGTGTGAGAGTCTGTTGTGATTATGCTTGAGGTTTATTTCTAAAGGTGATTGAGTGAGAACATAGAGAGTTTAAATTGAAGGAAGTTTCATTACTCACAGGTCCCAAGAGAAGAGGGCACACTACATTACACAGGGCCACATGGGCAGCTAGCAAGGTCAGTCAGGATACAGAACAAGTATCAGTGGAACATAGACCAGAGCCTTTAGTGGAGCTTTCATGAGGAGCAGGCAAAGCAGGGTAGAGATATTGAGTAAGGTTAAGATTGGATAGTTTGAAGACTTTTTGTGGGCTGTGAGCTGCAGAAATGTTCTCTTGTTGCCCAATACCTGGTCCTGGGGTGATTTAGGGTGGGGGGACTATTGATGTGTGAAAGTTTGACAAAAAAAAAAAAGAGTTTGGAAACGTGGACTTTGAATTGCTTGGTTTGTATATGAAAGGTGGGCTTGCAGGGAAGTTATTTGCTATCTCTAGAAATTACCTAGCCCTGGAAGGAGCATTTTCTTCTTAAGTCTGCATGGTTCCACTAAGTCAAAGTATTATAAAATAAAGAAAATGAAAACATGATTGCTATGGTTTAAATGGGTCCCACCAAAAAACATGTGTTGGAAACTTAATCCCCAATGCAACAGTTTTGGCAGGTGTGGCCTAATAAGAGGTATTTAGGCCATCAGGGCTGTTCTTATGAATGGATTAATGCCATTGTCACAGAGTGAGATTCTTATAAAAGGGGAAGTTTGGTTTCTTTTTACTCTCTCTCTCCCTTTTTCTTTCTCTTTCCCCCTCCCTATTTGCTCTTCTGCCTTTTATGACACAGCAAGAAGGCTCTTGCCAGATACCAGCACCCCAGCTTCCATAACTGTGGGCCAATAAATTTCTTTTTATTATAAGTTACCCAGTCTGTGGTATTATGTTATAGCAGCACAAAATGCACTATAACAAAAATTAGTACTGGAAGGCTTGTTG
Organism: Homo sapiens; assembly: GCF_000001405.40. Lineage (NCBI taxonomy): Eukaryota > Metazoa > Chordata > Mammalia > Primates > Hominidae > Homo > Homo sapiens. The sequence goes on along the minus strand of NC_000004.12, from coordinate 170,614,948 downwards.
CCCAGGGCCACTTCAAGTCTTTATTCCTTGCATCCCAGCACAGGACCCCTCAGCTCCCTGCCCCAGTCATGTATCAAGCAGGTCCAGGTGTAACTCAGTCCACTGCACTAGAGGTCACAAGAAGTAAGATTTGGTGGTATCCACATGGTGCTAATTTTACAAGTGCATAGAGTTCATGAGCTGTGAAGGCATGGTACCTCTACCTATATTTTGAAGGTTATATCTGATAGCCTGAGAGCCCAGGAAGAAATCTGCACAGGGGAAAACTACCTAAGAGAATCTCCATTAGGGCAATGCCTAGTGGAGTCACAGGGGTGATGCTGCCCTTGAAAACCCAGAACCATAGAGCTACTCACATGCAGCACCACCCTGTGAGAGCTGCATGCATGAGACTCCAACCCATGAGAGCTGATGCATGAAATGAGCCCACCAAAGCCTTGAGGGCAGGGCTTCCTGAAGCTTTGTGGGGCACAACCCCTGCCCTAGTATGGCCAGAGGGCAGGGCATAGAGTAAAAGATTATTCTGAAGTCTTAAGATTTAATGTCATTTGTCCTGCTGGCTTTTGGACACATTTGGGACCAGTTACTCCTTTGTTCTTGCCTATTTCTTTCATTTGGCATACGAATGTCTATCCTATGGCTGTGCCACAATTAGTTTTTGGAAGTAGATTCTTGTTTGATTTCACAGGCTCGTAGCTAAGGAGGGATTTGCTTTAGGATGAATCGTGCCTTGAGTCTCTCCCATATCTAAACTAGATTAGACTCTGGACTTTATGATAAATCTATTGAATTTCTTTTGTACCACCTGGTTCTAGATGCAATGAACTATGAAATAATTAACTATGAAGAAACATTCAAGTTTATTAACTTTAAAATAATGAGATAAATCAGTCACAAAAATACAGACTGCAAAATCATTTACCTAATTTAAATATGAGTCAAGGATAAATATAAAGTGTAAATCCATTTGGTCTTTTATACAAAGTAATTTTGTGCCACAGATTGAGTGGCTTCTATGCCCCTCAACCCAAAGCACCACCAGTGTTAATTAAATATGCATATTTAGGATTGTGGCTTAATGCCTTGTTTTCTACTGCCATCTTTCAGACACCATCTTCATGAGGAAGAAATGAGGATTTAGACTGTGTCTTAATCTACTTTCACAATCCAGCACCTAGGATAGTGCCTACCATATCCTAGACCAAATAAATATGGCATTGACCATAAAGAGCTAAATTTAATGTGGGAGGAATTAACATCAATATACCGACATCAATATAAACATACAAACATTAGTTTGGGAGAGAGGGGTTAGCAGCAGGTTTGCAATCCATTCTTTCCTTTCATCAGAGCACACCCCTTGGGAAAAGAAAGAAGGCATTACCGGGGAAATCTCCTTGTACACATGTACAATTGCACTTCTGATAAATGTACAAAGTTGCTAGTAAGAAAGTGCTTATCTAAAAAATGCTTTTATCACAATATATTCATTCTTGGATTTCTTAGGGCAAACTAAACTGGAATGACATGTATCTATGAAATTATTAGTAAATTTTGATAGTTAGTAAGGTATTTGATTCTTTTAAGCCTGATTTTACAATCTGATCTCTGTATTATCTCAATTATTCTTAAAGTAATGAGACTAGATAAAATCAACAGAATCAGATTATATATATAACATAAAATAACTCTAACAGTAGCCAAAATTCAGAAATTAGTAATAGAAGAAAAATAACACTGAAAATAAATGAGATAGGAAGAAAACTGAGAGGAAATCCAAAAGAGAAAAATAAATGTTTCAAGAAGAAAGGAGGGTTTATTTGTGTGGGATGCTGCTAATCGTTCAAATTTTTTAAATGCAAACATTTTGCAAATTTGTTATCATGAAAGTTACTGACAAAAGGAATTTTAACACAGTGGTGCTATTAATTGTTATTATGCTTCACACATTACTACTAGATCTAGATATTCAACTATAAATTTAGTGTCCATTCTTTAATACATAAAACTGCAACTCTTGTAAATACTGAACTAATTAGTAATTACTTCTGGAATCACAACAAGAGGAACAATAAGAAGCAAGACAGTAGAAACTCAACAAAACTTTATCATGGAAGAATTGATTTCACTTATGCCATATGAGAAGGATTTATCAATTTAACTGAAATTCATTTTTTTTCTTATCTAAGCACTCCTGCTGTTCTAACTCCCTGGCTTCACCACAAAGTTCATCTCCAAAGTCAGCAGCAGCATAACCCACAATACTTCCCAGTATTTGAGTACAATTGGTTTTTATTTTGTCTACAGATGCTATGAGATGTGGACAAGGATACCACACTTCCTGAGGCCTGAAGAGTTATCGGTCATGACAACAGGTGCCTAGGATGTGTCCATGCTCAATGACAGATCCTGAGTGACAGAGGCACTTGTGCTCTTCAACACATTTATTTTTTATCTGTTTGTGATACATGGGGCTCTCTGAAATGTGGAACCCAGAGCAGAGGTCCCTATGCTTGGATCTGAGAGCATTTTGACCAGCAGTATTCCACATGCCTACCACCAGCTAAAGACACACAAGTAGAACAATATTTCAACAGAGTGTATTACTAGCCCTTCACCCTCTACCCCTCCACAAAATCACAGTTCTGTTATTAAGGACAAAAAGGATAAACATTGGTTGGGAAACAAAACTTGTAAGCCACGAAGAGTGTAATCAAGCCAGAAGACCATCAGGGAATCTCTAGCTGCCCAAATACAATATCAACATGACAAAAAGATAAAATTTGAATCTATGTCTACTGTGTAGGCAGAATCCCTCATAAGGGGAGAACCTCCTGTAGGTTTAGGAAAAAACAATCTAATACCTTTACTTAAAATAAATAATTGTATATATAGACTAAATAGGAGACCACTCAAAGAATTTATTTACATGATGAATAAGAAGAGTAATTATTTATTTTCTCCGTGTGGGAGACAGGTTTTGGGACAGAGAGAAAAGGAAAGGTTGGATGTAGGAAAAGGTTCTCAGGACAGAGAAGTTTAAGATAGATGCCATGCCTCTGAAGCAAAAGGTGCCCAGTAGTATATTCTCTGTGATGGGTATGGTGGAGAACTACACCCAGTATAGTTCATCACAACACATCACAGTGAGACACTAATGCCTCATATTCAATAATGCCTGTGCTAGACAGAAGCTGGCAATTGAGATAAGAATTTGGAGTCATCAGGAGTTCAAAGCAAGATGTAACCATAGAATCATAAACACCCAAAGAATACCTGGATTATTTGAGAAGAATATAGCTTCCTCATAATAGATGAGATAGGATTCAAGCCATTCTGTTTAGTTATTAAAGCAAAATGTAGCCTGGGAATTCAGGATAAGCTTGAAGACATCCAGGTGGGTAATATCTGATTTACGATAAAACCATCTTTCAGGTTGAACTGTGTCACTAGTAGCATGAATCTAGTCATTTAACTATTTTGTGCTTCATTTCTTATTTTGTGAAATTATAATAATCAAATCTGCCTTAGAGTGTTGTTACAGGGAAAGTGAGCATCATTGGCCCTACTGAAAATTATCATGTTAGATGGTGATTGAAAAAAATGCAATTCATATACAAGTATGCCATCTACCCAAAGTAAACAAATCAAAATTCTTAGTTAAAACTCAACTTTGAAATATAATTACTGATGTTCAATTAATGACCACAAGTACAAATATTATTTTTAGATATAAAAATTAAAATATTTTGACAAAATGTTACAAATTTAAAGTTAAATATATGAAAATGGAGTTGCTCACCCAGCTATGAACTAGCATTAAAGGATCTTTTGATTCTTCTGACCCCACCAAAATTTAGGTTTGAGATGAAAATCAGTGGACTATATTGTAGATTCTTTGTGTATTTCCACACATAAGTTTCTAGTACAGTGGAAACACCACTGGATCATTGTCAGAAGTTGAAATCCCACATCCAACAGTATCCTAGATGCCACTTGACCTCTGCGAGTCTCCTGGTTTTTATTTATAAAATGAGAATATTAGTCCTTTACTGACAGAATTATTGTCAGCAGTAAATTTTTTAAATGTAGTCATATAAGCAAAGCTCAATAAATGCATTTTTAATTTGCTTTCTGCTGGAGTCATGTTATCTTGTTTGAGCAGTTTTGTTTTTACTTTGACACACTTGGGAATTTATGAGTACTCAATCATATTTTTGGTCTAGAAATAAATATTACTCAAGAAGAAAGTATTTCTGGAGCCTTTAGAAAGTTTGCTGTGTCATATTTAATAATAATGATAATTTAAATGTGTTCATTATTGTCTGAGTAATTTCTTAGTAATAGTGTATTACCTCATGAAGCAAGGCATTTGAATCCAGAAAAGACAAATTTTTTAAAACATATAAGAGTCCGTTTCCCTCTTTCCACTGTCTGCTGTCCCCAAGGGCCAAAAACACAGCCAGCCACTAGTTTTCATCAGGGATCACCAAGAAGCTGCCCGTAGAATCCAAATGCTTTTTCTATGCCCATTACCAGACCAAAAGAATTCAAATGAGATCATAGGCCCCTTAACTTTCCTTCTAGAGCAAGTCTAAAGCAGTGAGTTCCCCACATTTTTTGCATCAGTAATAAAAGTGTTTCTTACACAAAGCTTCTTCACACCTATCTCAAAGTCAAGAAAGCCTCCATCATCCAAAACTCCAGAAGGTAACCTTTCCCCAAGACTAAGGTCATGATTCCTTAGCATCCTTGGTTTTAGAGTTTGTACGTTTCTATTCCAAATAGTCCCGTCCTCCAAACTTTGAAACCCTTTGTACTTGAGGAAGAGAAAAAAAAATGAACTACTTTCTCCAAAAATTTTCTGGGCATTAATGGATTTATTTCTTTCATCGTTTTTCAATGTGTTCCCCTTTCTCAAGCTGGTACTACATACCCCTTAATGGTGTGTCTTTGGCGATTTACAGTTACTGTCCCAGAGGTGGCTAGACTGTCAGGAATACACATAGGCAGTCATGATCTGAGAAATGAGACCAGAAATTGCAGCAGCCCAGACAGTACCCTCCTGGAAGAGTTGGCTAATGAAGTGACCTGAAATGTCTTACACCTCCAACTTTCAGGATGCAAGTAGAAAAAACAAAGTGGACAATAGCCTATAAAAGCTTTATTTTATGCTCTATTTATTTTTGGATCAAAAAAATCAAGAGCAGAGACTAAAAGCTATTTATGGTTATTTCAAATTTATATTATTTTTTAAAAGAAAGTATATAGTTCTTTTTTAATGGCAGTTTAATCACAAATTACAGACATAGAAAAATTTTGAAAAATCTAATTTCAGCTGCTCATCCCAATTATTCTGCAAACTTTATTTGTAGCAGGATTTGACCCATCTCATTTTAAATTATTCAAGCACCTCATCTCATCACTTTTTAAAAATTGTTTCTCATTTTCATGCCCTTACCTGCAGCAAAATTTATAATCTGGAGCTCAAATTTCCATTTTCTTGGTGTTAGGCCATTACTCTTTACTATACCCGGAAGTCTTTTTAACACCAGGGAAACATAAATGTAATAGAGCAATTTGGGAGAAAACAGCAGGTCACCATATGGTAACAAATGGCAGAGGATAGTTATAAACCTTTTCTACATATTTTTCCTTTATCAAATAAATAATAATAAACACTGTGTTCATCTCACTACATTCCTACTCAAAATTTTCAATTGCTCTCTATTGCCCCTGTGATAAAAGTACAATTTACTCTGCTTGGGATTTAAGGCACATTGCAAACTTATTCTTAATTAACATCTCTAGCCTTGACTTTTATTGTTTAATTATAGAGAAAATCTCCAAAAATAAACCAATCTCATGACTGTTTTTTAGTCTTTGTAGACTTAAAAAAAGGTGCCTTTTCTCTGAGTATAAAATGTCCCCAGTATAAAAATTTTAAACATGTAGTAAATGACAAAACTGAACAAATAAAGTTCTAAGGACATAAATAGTTAAATCAGAGAAGTACAAACTGCCAATAAACATTGAGAGATAAATGCTAAATATTGCTTGTACAAGAAATGTAAATTATAATTCCAAAAACATGCTGTTTTTTAGCCTATCACATTAGCTAAACTTTTAAAAAGAATTTTGATTAGTTATTTTATATGTGTACATGCAGTCATACCTTATTTTATTGCACTTTGATTTATTGCACTTTGCAGATACTATATTTTTTACATATTAGAGTTTTGTGGCAATCCTGTATCAAGCAAGATTATTGGCACCACTTTTCCAACAGCATGTGCTCATTTTGTGTTTCTGAGTCACATTTTGGTAATTCTCACAATATTTCAAACTTTTTCATTATGTTTTATCTAGAATGGTGATCTGTGATGTTACTAACATAACTGTTTTGGTGCACTACGAACGACACTCATATAAGACAGCGAACTAATCGATAAATGTTGTGTGTGTTCTGACTGCTCTACCAACTGCCCGTTTCCCCATCTCTTTCTTTCTCCTTGATCCTCCCTATTCCCTGAGATACAACAATATCGTAAGCAGGCCAGTTAATAACCCTACAGTGGCTTCTAGGTTTTCAAATAAAAGGAAGAGTTACAGATCTCTCACTTGAAATCAAAAGCTAGAAATGATTAAGTTAAATGAGGAAGATATTTCAAAAGCAAAATAGGCCGAAAGCTAAGCTCTTGCAGCAAATACTTAGCCAAGTTATGAATGTAAAGGAAAAGTTCTTGAAGAAAATTAAAAGTGCTACTGAAGTGAATACAGAAATGATAAGAAAGTGAAATAGCCTTTTTGCTGAGTTGGAGAAAGTTTTAGTAGTCTGGATAAAAGATCAAAACAACAGCAGTATTCCCTTAAGCCAAAACCTAATCCAGAGTAAGGCCCTAACTCTATTCCATTCTATGAAGGCCGAGAGAGGTGAAGAAGCTGAAAAGGAAAAGTTGAGAGTTAGCAGAGATCAGTGCATGAGATTTAAGAAAAGAAGCTGACTCCATAACAAAAAAGTGTAAGGTAAAGCACCAAGTGCTGATAGAGAAGCTGCAGCAAGTGATCCAGAAGATCTAGCTAAGATCATTGATGAAGGTGGCCACACTAAACAACAGATTTTCAATATAGATGAAATACCCTTTATTGAAAGAATGTGGTACTCCATGGAATACTATGCAGCCATAAAAAAGAACAAGATCATGTCTTTACAGGAATATGGATGGAGCTAGAGGCCATTATCCTTAGCATACTAATGTAGCATCAGAAAATCAAATACTGCCTGTTCTCACTTATAAGTGGGAGCTAAATGATGAGAACACATGGACACATAGAGTGGAACAACAAACACTTGGACCTACCTGAGCATGGAGGGTGGGAGGAGGCAGAGGATCCAGAAAAATAACTGATAGGTACTAGCTCAATACTTGGGTGATGAAATAATCTGTACCACAAACTTTCATGACACAAGTTTACCTATATAACAAACCTGCACATGTATCCCTGAACTTAAAATAAAAGTTAAAAAAAAAATAAAGATACCACCGAGGACTTTCATAGCTAGAGAGGAGGAGTCAATGCCTGGCTTCAAAGCTTCAAAGAATAGTCTGACTCTTTCGTTGGAGGCTGATGCAATTGGTAACTTTAAGGTGAAACAATTCCCCTTTCTATTTCAAAGATCCTAAGGTTAAAAATTATACTAAATCTACTCTGCCTGTGCTCTATAAATTGAACAATAAAGCCTGGATGATAGCACATCTATTAACAGAATGGTTCACTGAATATTTTATACCCATTGTTGAGATCTACTACTCAGAAGGAAAAATTTGATTCCCTTCAAAATATTACTGTTCATTGATAATGCACCTGGTCACCAAGAGCTCTGATGAAGATGTACAAGTAGGTGAATGTTGTTTTTATGCCTACTAACACAACATCTATTCTGTAGCCCATGGATCAAGGCATCATTTTGAGTTTCAAGTCTTATTATATAATAAATACAATTCATATGGCTGTTGCTCCCAAAGATAGTGATTCCTCTGATGGACCTGGGTAAAGTAAATTGAAAATCTTCTGGAAAGGATTTACGATTCTAGATGCCATAAAGAATATTTGAGATTCATAGGAGCAGGTCAAAACATAAATATTAACTGAAGAAATTGATTCCAACCCTCATTGATGACCTTGACAGGTTCAAGACTTTAGTAGAAGAAGTAACTGCAGATGTGATGGAAATATCAAGAGAACTAGAATTAGGAGAGACTGAGGATGTGACTGAATCATTGCAATCTCATGATTGAACGTGAATAGATGAGGAGCTGCTTCTTATGGATGAGCAAAGAAAGTGGTTTTTTGAGATGGAATCCACTTTTGGTGAAGATGCCGTGAATATCATTAAAATGACACCAAAGGTTTAGAATATTACATAAATTTAGTTGACAAAGCAACAGCAAGTTTTGAGAGAACTGACTCCAATTTTGAGAGAGGTTTTACCGTGCATAAAATGCATCAAAGAGCACTGCATGCTACAGAAAAATCTTTTGCAAAAGGAGGAGTCAATGTGTCAAGCTTCATTGTTGTCTTATTTTAAGAAATTGCCACAGCCACCCCAATCTTCAGCAGTCACCAACCAGATTTGTAAGCAGCCATCAACATCAAGGCAAGATCCTCCACCAGCAAAAAGATTATGACTCCCTGAAGGCTCAGACAATTGTTAGCATTCTTTAGGAAAAATATATTTTTAATTAAGGTATGTACATTGTTTTTTAGACATAATAGCATTATGTCTTAATAAACTACAATATAGTATGACATAACTTTTATATGCACTGGGAAAACAAAAAAAAAAATGTGTGTGTGACTTGCTTTAATGCAATGGTCACTTTACTGTAGTGGTTTAGAACCAAACCTGCAATATTTCTTAGGTATGCCAACATCCTATTAATAATAGTTTGCTTATATGCTACACTCCTCTCAGGGCTCACATGCACTACACGTATTTCCCTGGCTAAAAAGGGTCTTGGGGGACAGAAGAGTGTGGAGGCTGAAATTCAGGCCATGCTTTTTGACAAGCCCAATGCCCTATTAGAAGTTTGGGTCCTTGTTCATCTTTGTTATTTTTGTTAATAACAAACACACTGAGGCATTTCATCTTCTCCAAGGTCACTATATCAGAAATGGATTTTTTTTTCTTTTAACTCATCTGTATCTGTTACAACTTTAAGCAGAATGTGACTCAAGCACTACATTTCCATCCACAAGACTGGGTCTGAGTTATTTTTGAACAGCTTTATGATATGCTTAGGTAGGCTTATAACTTTTCTCCTCCAAATAATACTTTTCTTTGGAAAACAAGCCCTGTGGAGAATTCCTTCCATCAAGTTGCTTCAGTTTAACCTATTTCTAGAGGACTAGTACATGCAGAATTGGCAACTACAGGGGATGAAAAGTTCAAAAAGTAGGTCCTACAAGATGTAACAAATAATTTTCTAAACATCAAAAAAAGAGAAAGAATCCGAAGACAAACCTGAAATTGAAGATGTTGGTTCTGCTGAGGAAGAAGAAGAAAAGAAGGATGGTGACAAGCAGAAGAAGAAGAAGATTAGGAAAAGTACATTGATCAAGAAGAACTCAACAAAACAAAGCCCATCTGGACCAGAAATCCAGATGATATTACTAATGAGGAGTACAGAGAATTCTACAAGAGCTTGACTAATGACTGGGAAGATCACTTGTCAGTGAAGCATTTTTCAGTTGAAGGACAGTTGGAATACAGAGCCCTTCTATTTTCCCATGATGTGCTCCTTTTGACCTGTTTGAAAACAGAAAGAAAAAGAACAATATCAAATTGTATGTATGCAGAGTTTTCATCACGGATAACTGTGAGGAGCTAATCCCTGAATACCTGAACTTCATTAGAGTGCTGGTAGACTCGGAGGATCTCCCTCTAAATATTTCCCATAAGATGTTACAACAAAGCAAAATTTTGAAAGTTATCAGGAAGAATTTGGTCAAAAAATGCTTAGAACTCTTTACTGAACTGGCAGAAGATAAAGAGAACTACAAGAAGTTCTATGAGCAGTTCTCTGAAAACATAAAGCTTGGAATACATGAAGACTCTCAAAATCAGAAGAAGCTTTCAGAGCTGTTAAGGTACTACACATCTGCCTCTGGTGATGAGATGGTTTCTCTCAAGGACTACTGCACCAGAATAAGGAAAACTAGAAATGAATCTTAAAGTTGTCTTTTCAGAAGTGGAGACTGACATCTTATTGACAGGACTGCTCCTTATTTTCTTAATAAAGTGAATTGCCTCTATCAGAAACTAATGTGAAGTCATTTTTGCATTCCATTTCAATTTTATTTTTTCTTATATACAACCAGTCATTCCAACAGAGTACACTGAATAATCTATTATTATTAGAAAATTGTCTTTACCTTTAATGAATTTTACCCACATATAGTTTGATTGAATATTACCAGTAAGGTATTTTATTATCTGTTAATGCAAATCTCATATCATGTTTCTTCTTTTAAAAATGTCTTAGCTATTTTTACCTATTATTTCTAGCAGCCGATTTTGGAGTAGTTCAGCTGGAATTTTTATTGCAATTGTATTGTATTTATATTTATACTTAGTTTTAGAAGGAATAAAATTTTTATTATATTCAGTTTGCCTTTTAGGAAAAAATACTTCTCCTTACTAAATTTCTTTTATGTATCTTAGTGATAGCATATAGCTTTCCTCATACAAGTCCTGTACATTTCTTGTTAAGGTATTTATAGGTTGTTTAAACTATTTTCTATGTTTATTACTAAGAATCTTTTTTAATACATTTTCTAAGGGGTTATTGCTGGCAGATAGGAAAGCTATTGATTTTTAAATAATTTTCAACTGAGTTACTCACATTTTTGTGACTGTTAATTTTTCACACACTTGCTTCAGATTTTCTAGGCATACAAGTATATTCCTCAAAAATAGTGCCCACAGAGTACAAATGCCTAAATACATTCAGTTAGGCATAATAAGCCTGTAGATTCAAACTCTAATCTTCCCTTACATACATTTCAGCTTCAAATTTTTCTTTGAAAAGTTAAATAACATAGCAGATTTATTCCAACAACGAAACAAAACTCATACATAAATGTGCAACTGAAATTTAGACATATAGTAAAAACAGGGCTGATTTCATATAATTGCTTATAAAAGTCATTGACAAATAACTCAAGTTTGCACAAAATATTATTTTCCAGCCTTCTCAGGACCATTTTTGCTCTTCAAGGCTCTCATGTAAACAAAGGTATAAGTTTAAGAATGGTGGAATAATTGTTAAGGAGGTTTTCAGTACTCATATTCTGAAAGTGCCTTCCAATATCTAGGTTTTTAAATACCTTTATAACATATTGGGTTATGACAATTGTTATTATAATTCTATTAAAAATATCACTTCATGTTCACCATACTTTCATTCTGTGATGGCCAGTACTGGGACAAACACAGGCAGATATCATGATACAAGAAGAGGGAAGATTTGGCCTTGCTCAATTAGCTGCTTATCCACAGGCCCCATCATACCAAGAGCTTCAGGGCTCACCTGGGAACATTGGTTGGTAGACTGGGAGTTATATTGATGTATTGCTCATCAAATTTTTTTCCAGGTCCCCAGTTAATCTGCTGTGTGATTCTATGTCTACTTTTACCTTAATTTCATTATATATACATTATAAATCCTATTGACGGGCTCCTGTATTTATAAGAAAACAATATTCTTCACATTAAACATTGCACCCTTGTATAGTATGAATCCTCACTCCAATTATATAAATTCCTACAAATCATTGCCCATATTTCTATTGTGAAGCAATACTACATACTCATTTATCTTCTAAGTAGCTATTAGATTGAGCTCCTTGAAGGAAGAATGAGGGTCTTTAGATTTTTTGCATAGTATTAGATACATAGTAGGTGATTTTTGAAGGGAACAACAAGGTAAGACATTCAAAGCAGAAGGAGATAAGGAAGCAACTAGCCAAAAACAGTCTAGGTACGTAGATTCAACAGGGAAAAAATGATTTTATTCCCTGTTTTCTACTTTACCCACATTTACTTTGGGATATAAGAAATGAAAAAAAGGCAGTTCTGTGGGGTGATATTAAGCAGTAAATGTAGCTGCAAGCTTTTGAACAATTTATCCTATAGATCAACTTGTATATTTTCAGTGAATAGCACAAGAGCACATAAATATCTCAAGGGGCCCAATGACATGTTGAGGTCTTAAAATATGTTCTAATATAAAGAATTTTGTAATGCTGTTGTAGTTGAGCATACACGTTTTTGAGCTTTTTAAGAGAGCCAATTTCTCTCAGATATGTTGCTCACTAAACCAGTAGAAACTTATGGGAATTTTAGGCTCTTGAGTTGTCTTACAACTCATATCACAGATATCCACATCTGACTATGGAATTAAGAAAAAACTGAGGAAACAATTTTGGAAGACCTGGAAATCATATCACCTGAGGTTATAAACAAATTCACTCTCAGATTCATTTTATAGAAATTACCACAGATATGTTGCAGACAAGATCAGTCTTTTGCCCATGCTTACCTGCACTGTAATAACTAATAAAACAATATCTTGTAGATGCAGACTATAATTAGATTAAAAAAAGAAGTCACAGTTTGATTGCTAATCACAATATCCTGGTACATTTTCTGAGGTAATATTTTAAATTCTCTCCTCCTGTAGTATAATTGCCACATTCTGCTTCTAGTGTAACTGCTAGTGAGTTTTCCAGGCTCCTTTGCATTTATTTTAGTTGTCTGAATGCAGTATGTTCAAAGTACAAAACAGTCTTTTAAAAAACACAGAGAAGCAGAGAATATTTCATTTTAATCCAAATTTCTCCAGAGAATTATATTTGGTTTCCTTTCACTAGAATCTACATGCACCTCACCAGAATCCATCAGGTCAGCTGCAGATTGTGGTGGCTTTATGCAATTTCAATATCTGTCCATGCAAAAAACAATATTTTCACATTATCATTAAAAAAGTCCTGGTGAGAAGGTTTGGAATCTTAAATTAACTTAACTTATTTCTCTGTCTACACTCTTGTGTGAATACATCTCTTAAAGCAAATAGCATATGTTGCTTTACAGAATCGTTTTGCATAAATATGTTATTTTCATCCAACAGTCAATAAATTCACTTCCTTAAAGCAACATTCCACCTCAGAATGATCCACTTTCTGCCAATATGAATATTTATTATAATAAGTATATGAATGAACTCTCAAAGATTAATTTTAAGTCTCAGGCAATTGCTGCATCACATTCAAACACGTATGATAAATGTGTGAAGCAAAATAACTTTCAACATCCACAGAGAGCAGTTTCAACAAGGCCAACAGGCTTTATTGGAAAGTAAATCTGTACTTAGGTGAGGCGTAAGTCAGAAGGTAAGCATTTTAAGAATGTTTCAAATCAGTGCCATGTCCCCACTAAGGTAAATTTTTTTGTTTTCTATCGTGTTTTAGAAGAAAACAAACTAATCCTAGAAATGCCTGCATGAGATCATCTTCTATAATGGCAAGCTAGGAAATTGGAACTAACTCTTTGAAAGCAAACTGAAATTGTTGGATAAAATTTAAAAAATCACCTCAAAGACATTAAGAAGCTAAAAAAATAAGGTATTACTAGTCAGAAGGGAAGAACTGAATTACCAGAACTGAAGGGCAAGTTTGAAGGCAGAGGAAAAAGTGGCACAAAAGCTCTTTTTATTTGAAGTTCTTGTCACTCTTTGAACTTCGAACTTCGGTTAGAGGGGGCATATGAAATGAGAGGAGGAGCAATCAAATTTCAGAGTCCACTCAAGATACAGGCATCTGATAGGACATTCTCCCCACATTAATCTGAGGCCATAGTGGCTGCACCCTCAAGACAAGTTTGCCATACAAGTCAAGATTTTCCACCCACATTAACATCATCTGAGAGGCCCAAAAAACTCAAGACGTGAATTTAACCACGTCCCAGATACTCTAGACACTTAATAAACTTTGAACATCTTCTTTAAAGCAGCAATTCTCAAACTGGAACATAAATCAGACTCATGTGGAGCGTTTATTAAAACAGATTGCTGGACCTCAACCCCAGACTTTCTAATTATTTTGTCTAGGATGAGTCCTAAGAATTTATATTTCTAACAAATTCTCAGGTGATGCTGATGTTGCTGGTCCAGGGACCACACTTTGAGAACCATGGCTGTTAATGACCATATCTTTATCCTAAGTTATTTCCCCAAGAAAAAAAAATTGCAAGGATATTGAGGATCATATGATAAAGGAAAAACAAGCACACAAGAACACAGGTATCATGAGCAAAAATGTCAAACACAGAGCTGCAACGATTTCAGATACTGGAATCATCAGTCACAGATGATAAAACCATTATGCTGATTTTAACCACTACAGTTAAAGAAATTAAAGACAAGTTTAAAAAAACTTTAGAAAATAGAAATTGTAAAAAAAATGACAACAGATTTGAAAAAAATAGCAAATAGACATCTAGAAATTAAAAATATACTATTTAAACCAATGGGATTCACAACAGATTAGATGAAGCTGAAGAGAGAATTAATAAACTGTTATGTAGGTCGGTAAAGGAATTCAGGTCAGACATCAGCGATCTAGAGTCTGCAGTCAAAAATCTGGCCCACTGCTTGGTTTTGCAAGTAAAGCTTTATTGGAACACAGCAATGCTCATTCATCTACGTCTTGCTTATGGCTTCCATATCCTGAACTGGGGTCAGGAGAGTGCGATAGCCAGGAGGCAAGATGTAAGGAGATACTCACTCTCACATTCATACAAGTCCCTGCAAGTGCCAGTTTGGCACATGCACAACCCTGTGAGTAACTGTGTTCTTAAAATTAATGCCTTACGCACCTTTCTGCCCTACCCTAATCTTGGCCTTGGAAGGGAGATGAGAGGAACTTCAAAGTGATCAATTTATAAGGCTCTTCATTTTTGCTATAATACTTATGATTTGTGCACTTTTTTGTGTACATGTGTTAATGTGTTAGATTTCAATTTTTTAAAGAAATGCTTTTCAAAATCAGGACAAAGAATGAATAGTAATAAAAATTAGAAACATTTTGAACTCAAAAATAATAAAAGTTGCATTTACAAAATAAGTGGGCTGAAGCTAAGACAATGTTTTAATGCATATGTTTTAAAAGTAGAAAGACAAATAAAAGTGAACTAAGCGTCTACGTTAAAGAACAGCATATTCAATAATGTAGCTATTGTATTATAGGGTATAAAACCTTCAGAAAATTGGGCCTGTATGTTCCAAGTCACATGCACAAGAATGTCTATAGCAACAAAATTTACGTTATATAACTATAAAAATGATTGAATTACAGATAAATATGTGAGTGAATCTCAAAAAAAAAATAATGTGTACAAAAGAAACAAGGTGAAGGGCTTGATCTTGGAGTTCCCAGACTTCATAATTGTGAACGATAATGTCTGTTGCGTATAAGCCACCTAATCTATGGAATTTTGTTATACTAGCCCAAGCCTATTAAGATAATAATATAACAAAAGCTCATGTACCACTCACTCAGGTGCAACATCTATCAATATTTTTCATGTCTAGGCTTACTCACTCTCCTCTAATTCTTTTCCTGGAGATTTTAAAATAAAGCCCATATATCTTGTCATTTTACCTGTGAATACATCTACATTCTACTTTAGAAAATAAAAGCAAATTTTTAACATAACCATCATGCTACTATTTTCATACCAAATAAAAGTAGTACTAATTTTTTAATATCGTCATTATATGCCCAACTGTTCTTGATTCTGTCAACAATCATTATTATAGTTGTTTTCTTTGAACCAGGATCTAAATAAGGTCTACACATTGCATTTGATCATGAATTCTTTTAAGTCTTCTTTGTTTTTTAGCAGCCTTCTTTATCTATCTATTTATTTATTTATTCATTTAATATCATTGATTTATTGAAAAAACAAGGTCATTTGCCCTATAGAATGCCTTACATGACAGATTTCACTGATTGCTTCCTTGGAGTGTTGATCATTTTTTTTCTTTAACTGCATTTTATATTTTTGGAAGTATTCAAATATTAACTTCTAATCTTCATGTAATAGTGTCTATATGCAGAAAGCAGTGCTTTTGTATGGCAGCATCAACCTGCAGAGTACACGTGAAAACTCAATTAATATTAAAAAAGATAAAAAAGTTTACTTTTAAAAACATTCATTCAGTTGACAATAGTAAGGCTCAAACCATCGATTTGATGCAATAATAATTGCTTCACCATAAATCTAAATCTAATTATAGAAAAGACTTAAAAATTAATGGACTCTTAACTCATTATTTTTAAGTTAATAAACTCTTTTCCAATTAACTATCATTTCTAAACTTTAAGTCAGTCTTCTCTGTGCACTCAGAAAAATCTCATTTGCAGCAAAAACATCGTATTTTATAGGGCAGAGTTTCTGATTTGTGGACAAATTAATGTGTCTTTACTGCATAAATGGGATACCCATTTTAAATAAATTGAGAAACAGTATTACCACAAGTTTTTAAATAATAAAATTTTATATCAGTGAGAGAGTTTGAAAATTTTCATTAACTTATTTATCAGAGGACTGATGATAAATATTGTGAGTTATGGACAGGTCCCATATCCAGCTGACTACTTCATTTACTCTTTTTTTTTATTATACTTTAAGTTTTAGGGTACATGTACACAACGTGCAGGTTTGTTACATATGTATACATGTGCCATGTTGATGTGCTGCACCCATTAAATAGTCATTTACATTAGATATATCTCCTAATGTTATCCCTCTCCCCTCCCCCCACCCCACAACAGGCCCTGGTGTGTGATGTTCCCCTTCCTGTGTCCAAGTGTTCTCTTGTTCAGTTCCCACGTATGAGTGAGAACCTGCAGTGTTTGGTTTTTTGTCCTTGCGATAGTTTGCTGAGAATGATGGTTTCCAGCTTCATCCATGTCCCTACAAAGGACATGAACTCATCATTTTGTATGGCTGCATAGTATTCCATGGTGTGTATATGTGCCACATTTTCTTAATCCAGTCTATCGTTGTTGGACATTTGGGTTGGTTCCAAGTCTTCGATATTGTGAATAGTGCCGCAATAAACATACGTGTGCATGTGTCTTTATAGCAGCATGATTTATAATCCTTTGGGTATATACCCAGTAATTGGATGGCTGGGTCAAATGGTATTTCTAGTTCTAGATCCCTGAGGAATCGTCACACTGACTTCCACAATGGTTGAACTAGTTTACAGTCCCACCAACAGTGTAAAAGTGTTCCTATTTCTTCACATCCTCTCCAGCACCTGTTGTTTCCTGACTTTTTAATGATCGCCGTTCTAACTGGTGTGAGATGGTATCTCATTGTGGTTTTGATTTGCATTTCTCTGATGGCCAGTGATGATGAGCATTTTTTCATGTGTCTCTTGGCTGCATAAATGTCTTCTTTTGAGAAGTGTCTGTTCATATCCTTCGCCCACTTGTTGATAGGGTTGTTTGTTTTTTTCTTGTAAATTTGTTGGAGTTCATTGTAGATTCTGGATATTAGCCCTTTGTCAGATGAGTAGATTGCAAAAATTTTCTCCCATTCTGTAGGCTGCCTGTTCACTCTGATGGTAGTTTCTTTTGCTGTGCAGAAGCTCTTTAGTTGAATTAGATCCCATTTGTCAATTTTGGCTTTTGTTGCCATTGCTTTTGGTGTTTTAGACATGAAGTCCTTGCCCATGCCTATGTCCTGAATGGTATTGCCTAGGTTTTCTTCTAGGGTTTTTATGGTTTTAGGTCTAACATGTAAGTCTTTAATCCATCTTGAATTAATTTTTGTATAAGGTGTAAGGAAGGGATCCAGTTTCAGCTTTCTACATATGGCTAGCCAGTTTTCCCAGCACCATTTATTAAATAGGGAATCCTTTCCCCATTTCTTGTTTTTGTCAGGTTTGTCAAAGATCAGTCAGTTGTAGATATGTGGCATTATTTCTGAGGGCTCTGTTCTGTTCCATTGGTCTATATCTCTCTTTTGGTACCAGTACCATGCTGTTTTGGTTACTGTAGCCTTCTTTATTACTACCAAATGAGAAGTTCTTAACTAGCAAACAGTTTTAATGTTTCATGCCTCTGCCTTACAGTTCTTGATATTTGGATTAAACATAGACCTAGAAATAATTGGGAGATTTCATATTGAATACAATGTCCTGTGTGCTAAAAGATGCTCAACTGATTAGTGCAGCACATTTAAAAGCACATTTAAAAGCAATGGTATGGTGATGTAGGAACATGGTAGGAAGTATATTTCTTGTTGTTTTTT
Organism: Homo sapiens; assembly: GCF_000001405.40. NCBI lineage: Eukaryota > Metazoa > Chordata > Mammalia > Primates > Hominidae > Homo > Homo sapiens. The sequence goes on along the minus strand of NC_000004.12, from coordinate 170,596,560 downwards.
TGTGTGTATTTCTTCATGTTTATTACAGCATTTAAATATGGCTTTTATAATCTATCAAAGATTATATCATTCATTTATTTATCTGACAAGCAAAGAAGAAATTTGAAAGCTGAAAAAAATCACATTCTTGGAAATCGAGCTGTATGAACTAATTTAGACTTCTTAAGAAATCTTCTTGTCTTGTCATCAATATTAACATCATGTTATCACTAAAATAATGTGTGTAGACTATTCAAGTATATTAGTCAGGTTTCTCTAGAGGGACAGAAATAATAGGATAGGGATAGGTATAAGAATATAAAGGGAAATTTATTAAGTATTAACTCACATGATCACAAGGTCTCACAACCGGCTCTCTGCAAGCTGAGAAGCAAGGAAAGCCAGTCTGAGTCCCAAAACTGAAGAACTTAAGAGTCTGATGTTCAAGGGCAGGAAACATCCAGCATGGGAGAAAGATGTAAGCTGGGAGGCTAGGCCAGTCTAATCTTTTCACATTTTTCTGCCTGCTTTATATTCTAGCTGCACTGGTAGCTGATTAGATGGTGCCCACCCAGATTAAGGGTGGGTCTGCCATTCCCAGTCCACTCACTCAAATGTTAATCTCCTTTGGCAACACCCTCGCAGACACACCCAGGATCAATATTTTGCATCCTTCAAGTCAATCAAGTTTACACTCAGTATTAACCATCACATCGAGTTATTAAATGTATCTCTAAGATGTGTCTTAAAGCAAAAGTGACCAAAATCAGAGCAATAAACCTTAATCTTATTGAAAGTATTTCTGAGATATGTTACAGAGCAAAAGTGCCTGAAATGAGACCAATAGACCTTAATCTTTTATTGGTGCTGTGAATCTTTAATTAAAAATCAATCTTAGCCCTCATTTGTAAAGCTCCCAGAAGTAATTTCCCCTTGACAACTACTGTAGTTCTGAGGGAAAAAATTGAGTCTTATCTTCAATTCTAACATATCTTTGCATAGCAATCTGAAAAGTCAGATATTTAATCGTCATGAATACCCACATTCACAATGTTTTCTATTTATTGAACATTAAATCAAGATTGGGCATATTGCCAACTATTGACTTATGAAAACAGTATTTGTGTGATATTTACATGCATCCTTTTTATTTGCACATCAAAATACTACTTGTGACAAATAGAATGATTGCTACTTGTTATTGATCCCAAACATCTTTGTCCAATCATAGATTTTAAAAAAAAAACACCAACTTATTCATAAGAGGACTAGAACAATGTTTTTTAAAACATTTTTGCATACTTCCCCATATGCCGACTGCTGATACATTAACAATAGATTCACATCAGAACATTCCTTACTACTTCAGCAAAATATTGACCACAAGCACAGGTAATTGTTCTTCCATAATGTACACTTTTAATACTTACCTGATTTTAGCTCCTTCCACTGTCTTCTACACAAGATGTTCCAGTCGGATCTTCTTTCTCTTGCCCAGAAAGGCCTAGCTTTTGCTTTCCAAAGAGACCTTTCATGAACTTGTCCCACTATCTTCACATGAATAGAGGCAGCTGTCCTGTTTCCCTCAGTCACTTCCTTCTTGTTAGCCAGATGTCAATTAAAAGTCTCTCCTCAGTGAGATCTGTCTTCTCAATCGATATGACCACACCCCTGGTCACTCACTGTCACATGCAGAAGGGGTATTAAAAACCGTTTAATAATCTGTAAAGCAGAAGCATCAATCAGAAGGGACACAGGCTATACAAACAGGTATGGCTGTCCTGTTACATAATTGCTGAGCATCTTCCCTGATGATATCAAGCTCTTCTATTCTCTTTAGAGCATTATCACTATCTGAAATTAATCTTGACTTGGCTGTTGTTTGCCTCTTCCTGATAAGAGGTTACAGCCAGGCATGGTGGCCCACACTTGTAATCTCAGCAATTTGGGAGGCTGAGGTAGGTGGATTACTTCATCTGAGAAGTTTTAACCTAGGGCAACATGGTGAAACCTCATCTCTACAAAAAATACAAAAATAGCCAGGTGTGGTGGTGCATGCCTGTAGTCCCAGGTACTAGGGAGGCTGAGGTGGGAGGATTGCTTGAACCCTGGAGGTCAAGGCTGCAGTGAGCCAAGATCACCACTGCTCTCCAACCTGGCAATAGAGTGAGGCTCTGTCCCAAAAAGAAGAAAGAAAGGAAAAATAATATGCTCTCTGAAAGCAGAGTTTTCTTCATTATTGTATCCCTAGTACCTAGATTAAAGTTTGGCATACAATAGGTATTAAATATAGAATATGATATGTGCTTGCTTTTGATCTGAAGAACACAACTCTGAGAGCTATCTCCCTAGTTTTAGTCACCTACATGCCATTAGCAACAGCATGACTTGGACACTTAGGAAAATGTTATTTTGTTCCCATCCTAGGAGAAGTTCAATGAGTTTGCCAGATGGATAGATAACTGAAATTTGCCTAGAAGTGGTTGGTGCAAAAGCATCAGTGGCCTCCTGCCATTGTTTGACAGAAGCTGAAAGACTTGATAAGTTCCAGTCAGTTCGAGATATTTTCCACCTCACCAAGACCTACCAGTGGGCCACGGATCACATATTGACATTTGAATGCTTTTGTAGAGCAATATATGACTTCAGGTTAATTAAGGTCCAAATTTTCACTTGTCAAAATTTACAGGCTTTCAAAGTAAATAAATTTGCATTATTTTTTCATATGAAATATAAGTAAAAATTTTAAAATTAGTAAGATTAAGTTAAAAAACAGTAAGGAAAAGGCAAGCAATAAAAACAATGTTCAGCAAGCTTTATGAGAATAAGATCAAACTACATATAAGGAACGTAGTCACAGAATTTACTAGATGCTTATAAAATACTAAACTCTCTTCTGAAATTTCTTTATGAAACGAGGATAATAGTACCTACTGTACGCTTTGTTGTAAGAAATAATAAGATAATTGTGAATAATTTACCACACACTGTCTGGCAATGTAGTAAATACTCAATAAATATTGCTATATTGTTATTAACCATTTCAGCAATTAAAAAACAGATACAAAGTTCAGCTCCAATAGCTCTAGGACTTTATAATCTTATTATTCCAAGAATGTTCCAGAAGTCTTCATACCCAAAAACTGGGTAAGAAGTGTCGATCAAGTGTCATGTCATTAAGCACTAGCCCTCTCCATTTTCAACCGCTCTTAAAGTAATAACTTCAGGAGGAGAAATTCGTTAAAAAGTTTATAATGTCTGTGAAAATTCTCCCTTCTAACCTACAGTCCAGAATTCCAAAAAACCCTTGGAGTGATTAAACAGCTAAAAGAGACTTTAGAGTGAGACCTCCTGGTTTTACAGATGAGGAAAGTGCATCTCAGAGGTTAAGCCCTTGTCCTACAGCTACTTTACGTCAATCCAATGATGTTCACTGAACATTTACTATGTGCAAGAAATAAAACATAAGTAAGGCATAAGTTCTGCTTCTAAGTAGTTTATAATAATAGGAGAGGATGAAACACAAGTATCAGTAAACAATAGAAAACATGACATAGATTGTCACAAAAAAAGGAGCAAACAAGATGTTTTGATGGATCAGAAAAGAGATCGCTTCTGCTTAGATGCAAAATAGCAAAGGATTTTCAAAAAAAAATAAGCTTGTAGATGAGCTTTGAATACTGGATTGGCTTTCCCTATGCTGGGCTGAAAGAAATGGTTATCTTTCCAGGTAGAAGAATTAAAAGCAGCAAAGATAGGAGGAGAACTTTTAGGGCAATTTCAGGGTCTACAGAGCTTTCCAATGAGATTAGTGCATTGAGTACAGAAATGGCAAAAACTCGATAAGAATCTGTAAAGAGACTCAGATTGTCCTGTGGCTGGCCATGAACACCAGCTAGAGGAGTTTAAACTTAATTCAGCAAGTTGAGGGGACACTGCTGGCTCTTTCTCAGGAGAATTGCTTTCTATAAAATGTGGTTTGGGAAGAATGATCTGTAAAAGCTATGAGGAATGTTTTGTATCACGGAGAAACTAGAACTGGGTAGATGATTTTATTTTGCGGTAACATAGGGCATACTTTAGCATTTGACAACCACCATGGAAAGAAGAGGCTAGAAACAAAAGATAAAGACACAGTAGAGTTGATTACATTTAGCAACATACTGAATTTAGGATTAAGAGAGTAGAAAGAGTCAAAAGAAAAGGTAGAGTCTTTAACAGAAGTAGATAACACCAATAGCAGGAAAAAAACAGTTTGGGGAGAAAAGATGACTTGTTTAATTCTTGGCCTTAAGTCTGATGTATTGACAATGTAGTTTATTCATTCAAGTGGAGATCCATTTATATAATAAGAGGTTGGAAAAGCAGATAGAGGACATACAAAATAGACAGTGGTTAGAAAGCTAGATTTTGGAATGATCCAAATGGACTCAAAAACATCTTCAGAGCAGGTAATATCAGCAAAACTTTTTTTGGTGTAAAAAAATTAAAGAGAGAGGACAGCTGAAGACAAAGTGTTTGGGATTTTTTTATTTTCTGAAAAAAACTCTTTTTATAATAAGGAGAAGAGCATTCAGAAAAAGACAAAAACACCGTGCTTGAAAAAATTGAGAAAGAGAATCTCAGAAATCTGGGAGGTGTTTGGAGGAGTGAATGGTGGAAATTGCCTGTTTCCCCCTCCTTTCCTCTTCCCAGACATGCCTCTGCTGGCCCAGCACTCAGGCATTTGTCAGGAAGCATTATGAGAACCTATGGAGAATGGCAGAAGGGAGAGAAAAAACATCAGTGAGCCAACGCACAACTGGGACCAGAGGTTTCAGGTTTGGGAAGTGAGAAGCCCCTGAATGGCAGGATGTGAGGATTTCTTGAACAAGAAAACAAAAGCCAGTGGAAAAGAGAAAATGCAAACAAAATAAAAGATAATCTAGGAAAGCAATGTGTTTTAAAATGTGGAAAGAAATGGAATCAAGAACACAGATTATTGTTATTATTATTTTGGATAAGAGGCACTATGTTTTTAGTTTTTCCTCAGGCAGAGGTGAAAAATATTTCAATTCTGGTTAAAATTTACTAAGTGCCTATTACAATGGCCCACGTTCTGTGCACTGGAATTAGGGATACAAATTAGAAAAGATGTGCTTCCCTCAAGGAACCCATCATTTAGCAGGAGGAGCAGCCTAATCAATGAAGCAAATGAAGACAATCACTTTACAAAACTCCACTCCGATAGAGCTCTGAAGCTAGTGCTGTGGGAACAGAGATGGCCGAGTCATTGATTCCATCCGCAGGAACAGATGAAAATGTTTTGTAACCACTGACCTCTGCTTGTGACTAAAGTAAAAACCAGGATTCTGCCAAGTAACCAAATTGTGGTAGAGAAATTCAGGCAGAGAAAATGTGAGCAAAGTCACAAATAAGTGGGGAAAAAGGGAAAGGAGAATGATGCAGACACACTGAAGACATTGATTCATAAAGAGGAAGACAATGACAATTGAAAGAATTTGCAATCCAGGACCTGGTGTTCTCATTAAAGAAGAATGTCTGTATTGGTGACAGCCCAAATAAAAGGAGGTCTGAAGCGTGAGAACGTCTAGGGATGGGAAAGGGTTAATAAGAAATAAACAAGAGGTGTGACCTGTAGATATGAGTTTAGGCCTCATGAATTTTTAGTGAGCCAAGAAACATGGGTATGTGAATTTTTCTCAATCATCTGGGGCTAACAAATAATTTTATTTTTTTTATTTATTTTTATTTATTTATATATATATATTTTTGAGATAGAGTCTCACTCTGTCTCCCAGGTTGGAGTACAGTGGCGTGATCTCGACTCACTGCAACCTCCGCCTCCTGGGTTTGAGCAATTCTCTGCCTCAGCCTCCTGAAGATTACAGGTGTCCGCCACCTATGCCCGGCTAATTTTGTTTGTATTTTTAATAGAGACGGGGCTTCACCATCTTGGTCAGGCTGGTCTTGAGCTCCTGACCTCGTGATCCACCTGCCTTGGCCTCCCAAAGTGTTGGGATTACAGGTGTGAGCCACAGTGCCTGGCCAACAAAATCTTAAAAACCCAGCTTTCCTGACTCCTAGTGAATGTTTTCTCCATTAAACTACAGTTTATGCATCATATTATGATGAGGACATGCTCTGGGAAATGCTTTGTTAGGTGATTTTGCCACTGTGCAAACATCATAGAGTGTACATAACACAAGCCTAGATAGTACACCATGCTACATGCCTAGGCTATACAGTACAACCTATTACTCCTAATGTAGACAACTGTAATACAATAGCAAGTATTTGTGTATCTAAACATATCTAAACAGAACAGAAACAATAAAAATATGCTATAAAAGATTTTTTAAATGATATACCTATATAGTACACTTACCATGAATGGAGCTTGCAGGACTGGAAGTTGCTCTGGGTGAGCCTGTGAGTGAGGGATAAATGAACGTGCAGGCCTAGGACATTACTGTACACTACTATAGACTTTACAAATACTGTACACTAAAACTATACTACATTTATTTTTTAAAAAAGTAATTCAGCGACAACATTACAATGGCTAGTGTCACTAAGCAATAGGAATTTGTCAGTTTCCTTATAATCTTATGGAACCATTGGCATCTAAGTGACCCATTGTTGATCAAAATATCATGTGGAGCATGTCTGTACAATCTTGGCTAGAGAAAGAGTGTGCAAAAGAGGGTTGACTAATGTTGTGCCCTGGTGGATGACATAGTGTATGCAGGTAGTATTACTAGGCATATGACTAGCAAATGCCTAGAAAAATTGTTAGGTGATAAGCTGCCCTCTTCAGGTACTTACTGGAATCAAATAAATAGTTACAGATAAAAAATAATGAGACCAGGAGATTTTAAGCAACACGTTCTTCTGGAGCAAAACTTAGTTGGGCAAAATTCACTTTCACTAACACCATCCAGAATCAATGAAGCACAGAGTTATGGGAGTTCCAAGAAGCAGTCACTAACTCTGAATCCAAAACCTGAAGAACCAGCTACTCACCCGCTCCCACGACCACCTCACACATGTACATGCATTCACGCTTGGCCTTTACCTAATAGGCTCCGCTGATAAATTTTCAAACATTTACCATGGAAAATTTCATACATATACAAAAATAAAAGTAGTAAAATGAGGAAGCACATACTCATTACCTAGCTTTAATTATTATAATCTTAAGGCCAGTCTAAGCTGATGAGCATTATGTTTCTTTCACATTTTAAAAGGGCTCTGTGGACACTTAATGGAGTTGTAAAAAAGGTGACAAAAGTATTCAAGAGAAGGGAAGCTATTTCATGAATATAAATTGGACACATAAGCTTACCTGGACTGTAAAATATGAAACCAAAGATTGCAAAAGCCTCTTCCAAATATACATAGAATTAACCATAATCAGAGCACATAACAATTATATTTCATCCTTACCAATGACCAATAAAGTTATAGGAGCTTAAAATGCCCCCAAGAGAGTTTAGATAAGCCCAAAATAATTTTTGATTACACCATAATTTAACGCTGAAATGATATTCTATGGGAAGCTATTAATTTCCATCTGTGATGATCATTACAAGTATCATCGACATCCATTTATCTTGGGGAACAGGGCCGTCACTTAAGTATCTTTCTATTTTATTCATTTATTTGTGTATTAAGTCAAACTACACTATGTGGAGTTCAAGTAGGCATACTGAATTCTAAGTTACTTAATCAATTTTAATACAGAAATGTATTAATTTTTAAATTTAGTGTTAGTGCAGTTTATGTGCTAAGGATTTCCATGAAACATGGTGTCATGTTTTTATGAAAAAACACATAGCAATTCATTTGGTCAATCATTGTTAATTTAATCAACTTATAAAACATGCAGATTTATTATATACATGTATATATATAGACATACACACACACACACACACCTGATTATCAAAACAACCTTTAATCCTAGTTGATTTCCCTAAGATCTGTACAAATGAGGGGCAACCTATTCACTGCTTCCCATCCTAACTCACAATTTGCTCCTTCCAGCTCAGGGGAGTATTATGAAGTTGTGTGTTAACTGACTCAGGGAATCACCTGACTTTATGTCACTCTTCTCACCTCCACCTCCATGCAACTTTCTTTGATCTCCAACCACTCTCAGATTAGCAAATATTGCTTTACCCAAATTCTTATGAGATACAAATACACATCCTGCTAAATCGACTCCTCCCACTTCTGATTATTATCCAATTACTTGAAAATGTTTCTCACCTCCCTCTCATTAGACATTTTTGAGAAAAATAATCATCTCAATTATGACTCACAAATTTTAGTGGGGTGGTGGGTACCTACCTGTAGCAATAAAAAGGAAAGTCATGAGTTTTGAAGCAAAATCATATGTAACAAGAAGCAAATTATATTAACTTTTAAAACCCTAACACTCTCCTGTTGTTCTTTTTAAAGTTATTTTCATCTTCTTTGCCATCCTTTAATAATTAATACACTTTGTCTCAAATGCCAGTATATAAAACAAATCTTTAATTTAAATATTTATTTATCAAATAATGAAGGCACTGTGCTAGGCTAGGGGTATACAGTGGTGAACAAAACTAGACATGGCCCCTGACCTCATGGAGCATACTGACCAGTGCAGAAAAGAGATATTAATCAAATACTCTTACTAATGAATGCACAAAAACAATCTGAGGCACATGCTATAATGTCATGAAGCAGGGTTCTAGGAAACAATATAAGCAAATAAATCTGACCTGCATTTGGGGCTCAGGTAAGCAAAGCTTAAATTCAGACCTGAGGGATAACTAACTATAATCCAGGAAAGAGAGGGCTCTGAACTTTCTAGAAAGAGTGAAAAGAATGTGTAACATGGAGGAAGAAAGCCAATGTGGCTGAAGTTAGAAGATGCTATCGAGAATCTCATGGGATAAAGCTCATGGCACACTATTCAGGAGCATTTAGGATATGGGGAAGATTTTGGTCTTAATCTTTAAAGCAATGAGAATCCAATAATGAGTTTCAACTGTGAACATGTGTGAGAGTATGTATATGTGTGACGTGTATGTGTAGAGAAGTGACATGATCAAATCTACATTGTCAAAATATCACACTGATTGCAAGTAGAGAAACCCTAAACACGTTTTCATTAATGCGTCCTTCTTTACCACTAGAATTACAAAATATGTTCTCTTGACTGCCAATGTATAATTTTTGTCTGTGTTATGTGTGAAATTGGTTTCTTTGGTTGATCTAGAAATCAAACAAAGGTTTTTAGCATTATTGCAAGACAAAGTGCCATCCAAATATCAAATATCTTATAAAAAGACTAGGAAAATAACCATCTTACAGGTGCACCTGCTAATTCCTTAGGCTATTTCTCAGATATTTGCATATTCCTTGTATTTTTTTTACTTTTTTACTTTAAGGGGATGTTTCTGATTCAGGCACACAAGCATACAATTATGTATTACTTTCTGAAAATTGGTATTTAATTGGTACGATGATATTCAATTGGCCCAAATAACTCTTGCTTCCAAAAGAATAAGCTTATTTTGTCTAAAATGTAGACGATGAAAATATATAGTTTCACTATATTTCTAACAAAAAGAAAACCATCAATCTTTGCTGACTATAACTAGTTATGGACATTATGTACACATAAGTAAGTATAAAATTAATTATGTACTCTGAATATTAACATTGAAAATTGTTTCCATAGAAACTTGGAGCTATAATCTCCTAGAGAAAAAGAATTACATTTTTATTTACTTTACTATTTTAGAGCCTAACAAAGGGTTTAGAACACAGTCGAATCAATTAATGTTTGTTATTTTACTACATAAGTGTTTTCAAATCTATTTTAGTTACAACTTCAGATTTATTTGTTTAATACCCAAAGCAAAGTTTTTCATTAACAAAATTACTTTTTGTTTTTGTTTTTTATTTTTGAGATAGAGTCTCACTCTCTCACCAGGCTGGAGTGCAGTGGCGCGATCTCAGCTCACTGCAACCTCCACCTCCTGGGTTCAAGTGATTCCCCTGCCTCAGCCTCCTGAGTAGCTAGGACTACAGGCACCCGCCACCATGCCCAGCTAACTTTTTTTTTTGTATTTTAGTAGAGACAGGGTTTCACCATGTTGGCCAGGATGGTCTCGATCTGCTGACCTCATGATCCGCCCACTTTGGCCTCCCAAAGTGCTCGGATTACAGGTGTGAGCCACCGTGCCTGGCCAAAATTACTTCTTAAAAGAGATGATTTGAAGTAAACTTGATTGACTGTGCAGTCAATATTTTTAAATTAATATGCATTTAATATTCTTACTTATCTTAAAACATAATTGCATCTTTTCAAATATAATAGACTAGATAGCTTTAATTAAATTTAATGACCTCATTACAGAACTACCAAGCATTCCAATCTGCTTAGGTCTGAGTAGTTTCTCAGAATTGTGACTATCACTGCTAAAATTGGAAAAGTCCCAGACAAACTGGGACATTGATTACTAAAATATTGTCATATGTAACCTATAAGGGTCAATTGTCCTTTATGTTTAATTAAGACTCTTCTATTGTCTTTATTGTAATGGTCTATTTATTTAATTGGGAACTTCCAGGGTAAACATGAAAAATTAACACTACTTATCCTTTGAGACTGTAATTTGCTCAAATTCCAGTTTGGAACAAAGTTTCAGCCAGATTACTTGAATTACTCACATTTTCTTTTCTAATATTTACTAATAGTCATTGAAATAGTTGGAGTACTTCAAAATCATTCCTCTGCATCAAACAAGTTTTAAGAGAATGTGGTTAATACATTTACCTCTTGTCAGACAAATTTTCAATTTGGCCTGGATTTCTGTCTTAGTAGTTGACAACAGGAAGATATCTTATCATGGAACAAGCTAAAGAAGCATATTTTCATATCTTCTCAAACGACTTGGGAACAATATGTTTGGAAATATAAAATGTATTGACATAGGTGACTCTTAGAATCTACAGTGGTTGCTGAAATGAAGAGCAGTAATAACAGAAATGCACTGAAATAAGACAGGAGATAAAAATAGTGACCATATGTTCTCATCAATATAGTAAAAAAAAGAAACTGAAAATTTCCAGCTTGATTCGACATGATGTTGGAACTATGTGTAGGCATGTAATTAAGGAGAAAGAGAAACTGGCTATATTTTGTGTTTTAACAGTTTTTTTTAACAGAGCAAATTAATAGCTTTATGATGGAATGGAGAGTCGCAATACACTGAGACAGTATCCACTAAAATCTACTCTGTGTTGAGGTATTGAAATCTCCTTTTTTTCTTTTGTTTTCAAAGTAGCTTTTGGAGCAAATTTCAATCCCATACAGGTTCATTGAATATAATCAAAACAAACAGTAAATTGTCTTCTAGGAACAGCAACAATAAAAAAAAACATTTAAAAAGAGATCATTTATCTCATTTTTTACATGAAAATTAATTGGAAAAAAGAACGTGTTCTCACTGTGATAGAGTGGCAAGTTCAGCCCTCGAGTCGCTAATCTATGGGAGCCACAGGCAGAGGTGACAGGGGACACAAAGTAGATGGTCTTCTTGTATGTCACTTTGTGTGTATTATTTGAAGAATGAGTGTCACATTAAAATGAGTGTCACATTTAAATGCCAGATTGGTGCTGTCATATGTAACTGAACTTTTCAACAAGGCAGAAGGATACTTACTGAGGGATTTGGAAAGCTGAAAATACATGACTAGGGAAGTTAATTATAAATAATACAATCTGTGTATGCAAATACCAAAGAAACTTGTGTTAAATTAAATCACTGGCAACTTTAAAAGTTTGTGTTTCTTCAACATTTTGTCCCACTGGTGTACTTCATCGAAATATATTGAGTAAGTTAAATGAGGAAGTAGTGTTATTCACAATGCCCCTTCAGAGCCTTTAAACTAATAAAATGCTACGCGTTGCTCCAAACAGAGTCCCACCAGTACATAAAGGATACATTTTGCCAAAAACCATATAGTCTGTAGACTATAGGGTATCACAGTTTAAATTTTGAAGCTTATCTCTCACATATTAAACCAATGTGATCAGCTGAATTAAAAACTGTAATTTAAAAATTGTAATTAAATTCTTTGATACACATGCCCCAGAATGGACACCATTTGCTCAGTACTCAGGAAGCTAAAATTTAAATAACAATTCTGGGTACTTCTGAGGATGAATACAAAAATTGTATATACAAAAGCAAATTAAACACAACTGATGATCTACCCTTCAAGGTTATTCTCAATTAGAAAATAGCAGTCTTAGTCATGAGGGTAATAAGAAGTGTGACTATCATTGCAAAAAAAAATGTGGTATTAATATGTCAATAACTTTATGTCAATAACTTAAAGTTCTGAAAGAACCAAGGCTCTTAAAAACATTGGCTCATGATGATATAGACAAAGTAATTTAAACGATTATCCATTGCTGGGTGAAAACATAAGAAAACTCATTTAACACACGTTATGCATGTCCTTTGGGAAATTCCAGTTTGGAATCACCTTACCCTGAAAAAAGATGAGTTAGGAATGTATTCAGGAAGATAAGTTATTGAAAAATCACAAGTTCTATTTATTTATATTGTGTTTATATCGTCAGCTTAATTTTAGTAAAACATTCATATAATGAGAGTGTATTTAATACAGAAGCTGTTATAATAAAACATCATAATTTGTGAGAATTTGAAGCAATTTTGATTAACATAAGAATTTTCTCTGCCCCTCCATTATTCCATACTGTGGATAAAGCCCAGAACCTCGGCCAATATAGCTTGTTTGCAACCATCTCCACTGACATATATTTAGTAATGCATTTAACATAGGTTTCAGAGGGTTTTTCTTCCTTCAAGATAGACTACCTTTAGGAAGAATCCTTAGGGATCATCTAGTAACCTTCTCCTTTTCTTAGATCACAAAGCTACTTATCCCAAGACAGCTTATGTAAAATTGTTAATTCTTAAAACATTTGGTATAAGAGAATTCTTCAATGAAACCATCTGAGCCTGAATATTTCTTTTTTGGGGAAATTTTAAATTATAAACTTAGTTTCTTTAATATTAACAGTTATAGGCTTATACAAATTATCATTTTTATATTGGGTGAGTAGTGGTAGTTCTGTTTTCTGAAGAATCAGTTTATAATTTCACCAAAGTTGTCAGATTTTTGTGTGTACAGTGGTCTCTAGCATTCCCTTATTATCCTTTTAATGTATTCAGGGCTTGTGGTGATATCCTGTTTTATTCCTGATATTTGTAATTTGGATTTTTTTCTTTTTCTTTGTCAGTCTTATTTGAGATTTATTAATTTTATTGATGTCAGAAACCAAGCTTTTTAATTAACTTTTCCTATTTTTTGTTTTCAATTTTATTGGGTTTTGCTATTATCATTATGAATTCCTCCTTTATTTTGGTATGGGTACATTTTGCTCTTCTTTTTGTATGTTTTTTGAGGTGGGAGCCTAAAGTATTAAGACTTTCTTCTCTAGTGTATACATTTAGTGCTATAAATTTCCTTCTTCATACTGCTTTAAATGTGCCCCACAAATGTTTATATGTTGTATTTTTATTTTCTTTACTTGACACTTTCTCTTTTACCTATGGATTATTTAAAAGTGTGTTGTTTTATTTCCAAGTGTTTGGAAAAAGATTTTACTGTTGCTGATTTCTAGTATAATTTTATCGATTGAACACAATTTGTATGATATCCAGTTTTTCCAATTTTCTGAGTTTTGGTTTATAACCCAGGATATGGTATATCTTGATATATATTCTGCAGGACTTGAAAATACAGTAGTCCCCTCTTATCTATGAGGAATACGTTCCAAGACCCCCAGTTGATGACTGAAACTGCAGATAGTACTGACCCTGATTGCCTTCAATTAGAACATGTTTGTGTTCATGTCTTCCATTCACAAATTTAACGGCTATTCCATCTTAACTAAGCACTTATCATGCACTTATTATCACTTTGGCTGTAACTTTTGCGGTTTAAATGCAACAGCTAAACTAGCACAAACTGTTTTTCTTTCTTTACAATTTCATGAATAGAAGATTTGTTTTTACCGTGGATCTCAGCAACCTCGGCATATATTTTTTTTTCCTTATTAAGTCAATTTTTACTTACAGTCAAATTGACTTAAGTCAGTTTTTACTTTACAGACCTTTTTATTTAAAGGGAGCACTTTACAGCTTCTCTTTGGCATATCTGAATTGCCAACACTACCACTCGAGCTTTGGGGCCATGATTAAGTAAAAATAGGGGTTACTTGAACACAAGCACTGCAACAGTGCTACAGTTGATCTGATACAGGAGACACCTAATCAGCGACTAACAAACAGGTAACATAACAAATAGGTAGCATGGCTACGCTGGTCCAAGGGCTGATTCATGTCCCAGGTATGATGAATAGGACAGCATGAGGTCTCATCGCATTGCTCAGAATGGTACACAATTTAAAACTTACAAACTGTTTATTTCTGTAATTTTCCATTTAATATTTTCAGACTATGCGGTTGACTGCAGGTAACTGAAACTGTGAAAAATGAAATGGCAGATAAGGGGAGGTAGCTACTTTAATGTGTGTTCTTCCGATATTGGATAAAGCGCTCTTTAAATGTCAATTTGATTCTGTTAGTTGACGATGTTTTTGAGTTCTTTTATAGCCTGCTGATTTTCTGCTTAGTTGTTCTAGCATGACAGATCTCTTTCCAACATTTTACTTTCAACCTATGCCATTATAAACGAAGTCAGTTTCTTACAGAAAGCGTAGAGTTGGGTCATGTTTTTTAATTCATGCTGCTAATCTTTGTCTTTAATTGGTGAATTTACCAGGAGTCCCCAACCCCTGGGCCATAGACTGATACTGGTCTGTAGCCTCTTCGAAACTGGAAGGCACAGGAGGAAATGAGCCAGCATTTCTGCCTGAGCTCCGCCTCCTGTCAGATCAGCCGCCAGGATTAGATTGTCACAGGAGCACGAGCCTATTGTGGAACCTACTGTGAACTGTGCACGTGAGGGATCCAAGTTGCCTGCTCCTTATGAGAATCTAACTAATGCCTGATTATCTGAGGTGGAACAGCTTCATCCCAAACCCATTCCCTGCCCCCTACCCCTGGCCCCTTCTGTGGAAAAATTGTCTTCCACAAAACTGGGCTGGGCGCCCTGACTCACGCCTGTAATCCTAGCACTTTGGGAAGCCAAGGCAGGCAGATCACCTGAGGTCAGGGGTTCAAGACCAGCCTGGCCAACATGGCAAAACCCCATCTCTACTAAAAATACAAAAATTTGCCTGGCGTGGTGGCACATGCCTGTAAGCCCAGCTACTCAGGAGGCTGAGGCAAGAGAATCGTTTGAACCCAGGAGGCAGAGGTTGCAGTGAGTTGAGATGGTGCCACTTCACTCCAGCCTGGGGGACGGAGTAAGACTCCTTCTCAAAAAAAAAAAAAAAAAAAAAAAAAAAAAGTGGTCCCTGGTGCCAAAAATGTCGGGGACTGCTGATTTAGACCATTCACACTTAATGTAATAATTAATATTTTAGGGCTTACATATGTTTTTTGTTGTTGTTTAATGTTTGTTCTCTGTTTTATATTTTTCTGTTTTCCTTTTCTTGCCTGTGGATTACTTCAACATTTTTTAGAATTTCATTTTAACTTATTTTTTAATGCACCTCTTTGTAAACCTTTGCGGTGGTTGCCATAGGTACTGCATTATATATACATAACTTATCTCAATCTACTGGTGTCATCATTTTATCAGCCCAAGTGAGGTGTAAAAAACTTGCCTTCCTTTGTGTTCTTCCATTTATAAAATCATTAAATTCTTCCACTTATAAAATCATTGTGTTTTTTTCTAATACAGTCTTAGAACCACATCAAATAGTGTCATAAATTTTGCATCAATCCTCATTTTCAAAAACTAAAAAACACAAAGAAAATCAGTTGTTTTTGCTCATATTTTGTTTACCATGTTTTATCTCTTTTCCTGATTTTCCAATGATTCTGCCTGAATCATTTCTTTTCTGTTCAGAGAACATCTTTAGTCACTACTTTAGATTAGTTCTCCTGACCACAAGTTCTCTTAGTTATTTTTTTTCCAATCTCTAATGTCTTAACTTCCCCCTTGATTCCTGACAGATATTTTCACTGGGCATAAAAAATGTTGTGCCACTTCCTTCCAGTCTTTATGGTTTCTAATAAGAAATCCCTTGTTACTCAAAATGTTTTCCCGTTGCAGATAAGGTGTTTTTTTCTCTCTCACTCATGTTTTTTAATCTTTAGTTTTCAGAAGTTTTGCTAGATATCTTAGTGTGGATCGGCTTGGGTTTACACTGTTTGGGGATTGCTCTACTTCTTAAAACTTTAGGTTTATAACTCTTGCCAAATTTGGGAACCGTTAAACCATTATTTTATACTCAAGTGTTCTTTCAGCCCTGCCCTCTCTTGCTTCTCCTTCTGGGATTCCTATGACACAAAAGTTAGACCTTTTGTTACAATTCCAAAGTGCCTGAAACTCTATCCATTTTTTTTCAGTCTTTCTCTCTGTTGTTCAAATTGGGTAATTTATATTGTTCTATCTTATAGTTCCATAATTCCTTCATCTGTTTTCTCTATTCTGCTAATCTTTTCAGTTTTTTCAATGTATTTTTTAGTTCTAAAATTTCTCTTTGGTTCTTCTTTATATCTCCTACTCATTTGCTGATACTTTCAATTGCTTTGCTGTGACTCTATTTTTTCATTTGTTTTAAGTATGTTCATAATTACTCCTTGAAGGTCTTTTAAAATAACTACTTTAGGGAGGAGAAGGGAGAGTCAAAAAGTAATAACTGCCTTAAAACATTTATCAAATAACTCTAGCATCTCTGTCTTCTCAATGTTGCATCTATTTATTATCTTTATTTTCCATTCGTTTGAGATCTTTCTGATTCTTTGAATAATGAGCGATTTTTAAATTAATCCTAGACATTCTGGGTACCATATTATCAATTCTGGATCTTATTTAAACCTTCTAGTTTAGCTGGCTTTCTCTGATACCACTCTGACAGGTGGAAAGGGGATCTTACTACATTACTTCCAGGCAAAGGTAAAAGCTCAGGTTCTCAACTTGGCCTTCATTGATAATTAAGACAGGGGGCTCTCCCTCTTTGCTCCTAGCCAGAAGTGGAAATTTTAGTTACTCACTAGACCTCCACTGAGACCTCCCTGGCTGGGAGGGTTAGGAGTGTCTTACTACCTCTCCAAACAACCTTCATTGATAACACAAGGGATAAGGAAGTTGCTTCATTATTTCCGGTTGGTAGTGGAAGCCCTGACTTTCCACTACACCTCTTATGACAACACCCCAGAGAGGAGGAGAAAGAAAGTGTTGGGGGAGGTCCAGGTTCCACAGATGATCTCTCCTGACTCCTGTGGGATGGGGGCTGTTACTCTCCTGTGAGGAAGAATGTGCCTGTCACTGCTCTATGAAGAAGAAAGTCTCCACTCCCTGCTCAACCTTCTCTGTCACCATATCAGCAGGTGAGTTGGGGCACTTCATTACAGCCTGGGATGGATGGCTCTCTAGGATATCCATTCAGCCTTTTCTGGCATGGGTCAGGGTAGGGTCACAGTTTTTTCTGTAATGTTTAGCTGGAGTAGAGTCATTATTGTCTAAAAGACTTTTGTCTTGCAAGACTGCCCTTTTTCTAGTCCTTTGGCTAGAGGGAGCAGGTTTATGCTGAGGCTTTCCCAGGTTGCCAGCTGATATGGTTAGGTTTTGTGTCCCCGCCCAAATCTTACATTGAATCATAATTGCCTGGTGTTGAGGGAAAGACCTAGTGGGAGGTGACTGAATCATGGAGGCAGTTTCCTTCATGCTGTTCTCATGATAGCGAGTGAATTCTCATGAGATCTGATGGTTTATAAGGCAGTTTTCCCTGCTCTTCCATGTTCTCCCTCACCTGCCGCCATGTAAGACGTGACTGCTTCTTCTTCCACCATGATTATAAATTTCCTGAGGCCTCCTGAGCCATGTGGAACTGTGAGTCAATTAAACCTGCTTTCTTTATAAATTATCCAGTCTCAGTCAATTCTTTATAGCAGGATGAAAACAGACTAATACACCGGCTCTCTAGGATACATGAGGCAAAAAGAAAACGAGTCCTTCCTTAGGTCCTATGGTCCCTGAATGGTTTGTTTCATTTGCTCTACCTCTCAATCTTCTTATGTTTGTTTTTATGTACACTATTGAAAATTTTTAGGTGTATTTAGCAGGTGGAATAAAGAAAAATATGTATCTACTTTATCTTTCCAGAAGTAGAGGTCTTCTCTTGATTGTCTTTTAGTATTTATTTCACTAAGATTACTGTGTTAAAACAGATAGATGCCTCTTGCTCATAAGAGTGGGGAATAATCACATACTGTTCTTGGATTTAAAATTTTGAATCCATATCACTTCTTTATTCAGCTAACAAAGCGTGAGCACTTATAATACAGTATGTTAAACAGACATTATATGACATGCTCTGTGGTTTAGGGGTCTGATATGGTTTAGCTGTGTCCCCACCCCATATTCATCTTGAATTTTAGCTCTCATAATCACCACGTGTTGTGGGAGGGGCCCAATGGAGGGTAATTGAATCATGAGGATGGGTTTTTCCCATGCTGTTCTCATGATAATGAATAAGTCTCACGAGATGTGATGGCTTTATAAAGGGAAGTTCCACTGCACATGCTCTCTTGCCTGCTGCCATGTAAGATATGCCTTTGCTCTTCCTTCACCTTCCACCATGATTGTGAGGCTTCCCCAGCCATGTGAAACTTTGAGTCCACTAAACCTCTTCTTCTTTATAAATTACACCGTCTCATGTATTTCTTCATAGCAGTATGAAAATGGACTAATAATTTTAGGATGTAAGTGCTGTTTTCAGTGACACCTTCTGCATATTCTTTTGCTATTCTGAGATCCTTTGCAAAAATGTTACATGAGGTTTCCTGTATTTTCCATAAGCTTTGAGTGGTTGTAAAACTAAAGTATATGTTATATATAGGCTTTTGTTTCAGAAAATGGAATACTCTTTCTTCCCATTTTCTTGTACAGGAAAAAAGACTGACGAATTTAAAATTGAAGTCATATATGCTATGAAAATTCATCTCAAAAAACTTATTCAGAGGTCACAAACCCCTTGTGGCATTAATGGTAATATAAAGAGTGCAATTTAACAGATCTGAGGCATTGAGAAATCTTTCTTCAAAAAGAGCTCAAAAACATTATAGGAGATAGCCCAGATTTAATTGGCAAGTGCTTAAGGGCTGCTCTTTGAGATACTCTTTCCTTCAGATCTGATAAGAAGTAGAAGCATTTGTAAGAAACCCCTTTGAAAAATAAGGTGTTAAGATTAGGTAGCAAAACTATTAAATGGTTTTCTTTTGTTAAGCCCTGCTAGCTCATAAAGGATTGAAAGAGTGAGACTGGAAAGCAGGTGACCTCACAGAATATCCCTAAGAGTGGGATCAGGACACAGCAAGAGAGTACACCAAAAGATAAAAAAGAAGAATAAGAAGAAGAAAAAGCAGTAATTGAAGACAATAAGAGCTTTATAGAACCGAAATAGTTCTTGGAGTGAGTTTTTGCTGACAAAAAAGAAGCATTTTAAGGTGGCTTTTTGGGTTATTTTTACTTTTGAAGATGAAAGGGTGCCATATATATAATAGTCAGTGACAGGATTCCAAAGGAGGGGAGCTCTTAGTTTGAAGATATTCTTGATCCCTTTTAAACAGAAATGGAGTACACCTGTATGAAAATGAATTAAAGCCAGGAGGCAATAAAACCTGGCCAATAGCTGCTTAAATAGCTGCCCTGGAAGTCGGCCAAAAACAGATTAGATTAATTTTGCAAAAGGGAGTCAATAACAATTGCAAGATTATTTCAAGGCAGAGCTCAAACCTAGTCCATTGGAAATGAAAACTGAATAATAAAAGATACAACATGGAAGGGCATCAAAACTGTTTAAGATGTTAAATGACTGGCAAAACAGATAGAAAACAAGTAGCAATAATTTCATCTTCATGAAAAAATACACGTTCTATTAACTAAAAGAAACAAAGAAATGAGTCGATTTTGGAATTGTAAGAACAGAAGCACAAAGAAGATTCATAGATCTTGAAATAATATTTAGACTCACAAGCGTCCTGTATACTATAAGTAAGTTGCAAGTGAGGTGATCTTTTTTATTTCATTTTAAATTCTGGGATATATGTGCAGGATGTATAGGTTTGTTACATAGGTAAATGTGTGTGATAGTGGTTTGCTGCACCTATCAATCCATCACCTATGTATGAAGCCCAACATGCTTTAGCTATTTTTTTCTGATGCTCTCCCTCCCTCCACCACACTGAGAGGCCCTAATGTGTGTTGTTCCTCTCCCTGTGTCCATGTGTTCTTATTGTTCAGCTCCCACTTATAAGTGAGAAAATGTGGTGTTTGGTTTTCTGCTCCGGCATTAGTTTGCTGAGGACAGTGGCTTCCAGCTCCATCCATGTCCCTGTAAAAGACATGATCTCATTCCTTTTTATGGCTGCACAATATTCAATGGTGTATATATACCACATTTTCTTTATCCAGTCTATCATTGATGGGCATTTGGGTTGACTACATCTCTTTGCTATTGTGAATAGTGCCACAATGAACATACACATGCATGTATCTTTGTAATATAATGATCTACATTTCTTTGGGTATTTACTCAGTAATAGGATTGCTGGATCAAATGATATTTCTGTCTTGAGGTCTTTGGAGAATCACCACACTGTCTTCTACAATGGTTGAACTAATTTGCATTTTCACAAACAGTGTAAAAGCATTCCCATTTCTCCACAGTCTTGCCAGCATCTGTTGCTTCTTCACTTTTTAATAATCACCTTTCTGACTGGAGTGAGATGGTATCTCATTGTGGTTTTGATCTGCATTTATCTAATGACCAGTGATGTTGAGCTTCTTTTCATATGTTTGTTGGCCACATAAGTGTCTTCTTTTGAGAAGTGTCTGTGCATGCCTTTTTCTCACTTTTTAATAGGGATGTCTGTTCTTTTCATGGAAATTTGTTGAAGTTCCTTATAGATTCTGGATATTAGACCTTTGTCAGATGCATAGATTGCAAAAATTTTCTCTCATTCTGTAGATTGTCTGTTCATGCTGATGGTAGTTTATTTTGCTGCGCAGAAGCACTTTAGTTTAATTAGATGCCATTTGTCAATTTTTGCTTTTGTTGCAATGGCTTTTCGTGTTTTTGTCATGAAATCTTTGCCCATGCCTATGTCCTGAATAGTATGGCCTAGATTTTCTTCTAAGTTTTTTATAGTTTGGGGTTTTACATTTAAGTCTTTAATCCATCTTGAGTTTATTTTTGCATAAGATGTAAGGAAAAAAAGGAAATCTATTCCCCATTGCTTGTTTTTGTCAGGTTTGTCAAAGATCAGATGGTTGTAGATGTGCAGTCTTATTTGTGAGTTCTCTATTCTCTTCCATCAGTCTATGTGTCTGGTTCTTGTACCAGTACCATCCTGTTTTGGTTACTATAGCCTTGTAGTGTAGTTTGAATCAGGTAGTGTGATGCCTCCAGCTTTGTTTTTTTTTTTTTGCTTAAGATTGTCTTGAATACAAAGGCTCTTTTTTGGTTCCATATGAATTTTAAAGTAGTTGTTTTTCTAATTCCATAAAGAATGCCAATGGTAGTTCGATGGGAATAGCATTGAATCTATCAATTACATTGCACAGTATGGCCATTTTCATGATATTGATTCGTCCTATCCATGAGTATGGAATGTTTTTCTATTTGTTTATGTTCTCTCTGATTTCCTTGAGCACTGGTTTGTAGTTCTCCTTGAAGAGGTCCTTCACTTCCCTTGTTAGCTGTATTACTAGGTATTTCATTTACTTTGTAGCAATTGTGAATGGGAGTTCATTCTTGATTTGATTCTCTGCTTGTCTATTGTTGGTGTATAGGAGTGCTTGTGATTTTTGCACACTGATTTTGTATCCTGAGGCTTTGCTGAAGTTGCTTCTCAGCTTGAGAAGCCTTTGGGCTGAAATGATGGGGTTTTCTAGATACAGGATCATTTAATCTGCAAACAGAGACAGTTTGACTTCCTCTCTTTCTAATTTAATGCCCTTTACTAATTTATCTTGCCTGATAGCCCTGGCCAGAACTTCCATTACTATACTGAATAGGAGTGGTTAGAGAGGGCATCATGTCTTGTGCTGGTTTTCAAAGGGAATGCTTCCAGCTTTTGCCCATTCAGTATGAAATTGGCTATGAGTTTGTCATAAATTGCTTTTATTATTTTGAGGTATGTTCCATCAATACCTAGTTTATTGAGTGTTTTTAACATGAAGGGATGATGAATTTATCAAAGGGCTTTTCTGTGTCTATTGAGATAATCATGTGGTTTTTGTCTTTAGTTCTGTTTATGTGTGGTGATCTTGATTAATTATTTTTCATAAAAAGTTGTCATTGAAAGTCCCCTCACCATTGTTCAGATCAAGCAGTGGAATTATTTATGAATTTGAATACTGTAGATTCAAGGAGAATATATGGAATTTTTAAGAATAATAAATAGTACCAATTTTTATCTATTTCTGGGGGTGAAAGCAGACTGCATGAATAAAACACAGTGAATGATAAATTGACTTTGTCCCTTCATCCTTGAACTGCAGTACACTTCCAGAGAATGCAGGCCACATGAACTAAGAATGGAATTAAGGAGCTGTGTAATATGAGTGTAGAAAGATGTGTGACTTCTCAAAGACAATTAGTCTTCTGTGGGGAAATGTTTCATGAGCTAATATGTTTTGGAGTAAATTCAAGACTAGCTCCAAGTGCTCGCTCACTTGAGCAGGTGTTGTGAATTCAACACCTGAGGTGTTGTTGCTGAGGTGGAGACTGTAGGGGCTTTGGAATCATGCAGACCTAGGTTGAAACTCCAGACCCACTATCTATTTGTTATGTGAATTTAGGATTACAACTTTTCTGAAGAAGCTTCAATTTTCTAGTCTGTAAAATAAAGATTACCATGCTGATAAGGTTTGGGTCTGTGTCCCCACCGAAATCTCATTTTGAATTGTATTCCCCAATTACAAATTGTGGAGATATTGACGGAGAGACCTGGTGGGAGGTGATTGGATCATGAGGTCAGTCTCCCCAAGCTGTCCTTATGATAGTGAGCTCTCATGAGATCTGATGGTTTAAAAGTGTTTGGCAGTTCCCCCTTCGCTCTCTCTACTCCTGCCACCATGTAAGACATACCTTGCTTCTCTTTCACCCTCTCCCGTGATTGTAAGTTTCCTGAGGCCTCCCAGTCATGCTGAACTGAGTAAATTAAACATCTTTTCTGTATAAATTACCTGGTCTTGTGTAGTTCTTTATAGCAGTATGAAAATGGACCAACACACATGCCAAACATGCAAAAGCATTGCATTGCTGTATTAATCAGGGTTCTCTACAGAAAGAGAACACACACACATGCATTTTATATATACACACACACACACACACACGTACGTATATATGTATATATATATACTTATGTATGTGTATATATGTACATATATGTATGTCTATGTATATATGTGTATACATACATATGTACACATATGTGTGCATATGTACATATACACACATGTATATATACATTTCTGTACATGTATGTACATATACGTATATGTACACATATGCACATTTATGTACATCTATATATACACACACATATACACACAGAGATGTTATAAGGAATTGGCTCATGCAATTATAGAGGCTGAGAAGTCCCAACATCTGCAGTTGGCCAGCTGGAGACCCAGAAGAGCCAATGATATCATTCCAGTTCAAGTCTGAGGGAAGAGAAGACTGATGTCCTTGCTCAACAGTCAGTCAGGCCAAGTTTACTCAGCCTTTTTGTTCTGTTGAGGTCTTTAATTGATTGGATAAGGCCCACCCACATCTGTGAGGGCAATCTGCCTTGCTCCGTCTACTGATTCAAACATTAATCTCCTCCATAAACACTCTTACAGAAACACCCAGAATAATGGTTAAACAAATGCCTGGCACCCGTGGCCCAGTCAGGTTGACACATAAAACTAGCCATCACAAATACAAACAAACAAACAAACAAGAAAATACACACACACACAGTCATCAATCAGTATATGTGGGGAATCGGTTCCAAGATGCCCTACATATGCCCAAATCTGTACATATTCAAATCCGGCAGTTGGCCCTGTGGAATCTGCCTAGGTAAAAAGCCAGACATCTATATGTTCACATCCTGTGAACACTATTTACAAAGTTTGGTTGAAAGAAATCTGCATATAAGTGAACCCAAGCAGTTCAAACCCATGTTGTTTAAAGATCAACTGTATAAAGAAACTAGTAATGTGCTTAAAACCCACTTATGCCTAGTGTTCCATTATTGGAACGTTAAGCTTAAGGGAGTTATTTATATCCTACTGTACAAGGTCATCAACAAGGTCTGATTTTCCACAAAAAATTGCGATTTCTGGCATAAATGGTTTAAATATGGTAAGTGTTCAGCAGATTATCAAATATTGTGTGTAGTTTCCAAGCACTGAAATATTTGAAGTACAGGCTCACTAATATTACTATCTAATGGGTTTCTGGGTAGTAAAGATCGCACAGAAGCTTAATTATGTGAGTGAAATGAATCACAACTAAATAGAAGGAAAGGAAAAATATATTTAGAAAACTCAAAAGTGAACTAGACTGAAGTGAGATTGAATATTAGGCATCAATATCACAGTAGAGAAGAATACTAAATGTACCAGTTAAGACAAAAAACCCACAAAGCTACAAGGTTATTACATATATAAGTATAATATTTCAGAACAGTCTTATATGATCTTAAGGAGAAGATTTTCTTCTTACCCTCAAAATTATACTTTTTCCAAAATAAATCCCATTGTACAGCGCAGTGAAATACAAAATGAATTGGAAACATTTTGTTTGATTACCTGAATCTGCCATTCTAGAATATCATGGAAAATTTAACAGTGCTATTTAATCTATAAATGGTAGAATAATGCAAATAATATTATTTTAGGCTCAATATTAATAATATTAGGTTATTAACAATCTATATATTCAATGAAAATTTTAATCTCTTAGTTTATTGTGTATTACAGTAAAACAAAATTACCTGAGGTAGGCAGGTCCCTGCTCACCAACCCATGTTATCTGTGCACTTTACACACAATAGCTATTACCCAATTTACATGTTGAGTAATATATAATAAATCTAATAATAAGGAAGCATTGAAGATTAATATCTTCATGAAATTATAATAGTATCAAACATTTACTATATGCTAGGTACAGTTCTAAGTGCTTACCATATTTTAACCATACCTTTACAACAACCTACAAGGTAAGTACTATTATCGTCCATTAGCAGGTAAGAGAACTGAGGCACAGAGGTGTTAAAACAAATTGCCCAGGATTAAGAATTGTATTTTGAATCCGCACAGTCTGGCTATAGCCTCTGGGCTCTTAACTACTGTGAGATATTGTACTCCTCAGTCCTATTGGACGACAAGTTACTAAGCATCATATATAATCACAGTAGCATAGGAACTATTTTATTTTTTATTAATAAATGATATATATGTATAACCTATCTGAGACTCTGATTGTCATGAAATAACTAGCTGTGCATCATATTAAATATTATTAGTTACTTAGGGCTGCCAAAACAAAATGCCCCCAACTTGGTAGCTTAAAACAACAAAGTATTTATTATCTCCCTTGTGGCAGCATCTCTCCAATATCTGCCTTCATATCTCTGTGTGTGTGGGTCCTTGCCTGTGTCTTATAAGGATACTTTCACTGAGTTTGGGGCCTGCCCTAATCCAGTGTAATCTCATTTTGATCATAATTACATCTATTTCCAAATAAGATCACATTCTGAGGTTCTGGGTAGGCATGAATTTCAACCCACTATTGTGAATTAAACAAATCCAATACATATCTTGAAAGTGCATAAATATTTCAGATAGCCTGTAAGTTCTTATTGAAATTCAGCTAAGAATATATTGACCTTTATTACCGAGAAACTCCAAGTCAGGAAGCACTGGTAGAATCCAGCCCATGTTCTAGGGAAGAATTTGAAAAAGACTCTCAAAAGAGCTGAATAATGATTCTGAGGTGCTGATTGAGAGAAATACTGAGAGGAATGAGAAATAAGCCCAGGCATTAAGGGGCTGGGCTAAAAATAGAAAGAGGACGGAGGAAGCAAAGGGTCAAGAAGAAAAAAATGTAATACGAATGCATTTGGACAAAGATAGGGATGGAAGTACAGCCTGGGCTTAGGGTCAGGGTCCTTCATTCCCAAGGTGTGACATTGGAGCACCACTATCTTAGAAACGGCTCAAATGAAGCATTAAGGAGAACAGAGGCCCTCTTGAGGCAATCCACTCCATGGTATCAAAATGCCTCTGTAAAGGCCGCTGCACCTTCTTGCCCAACCTCAAGGACATCTCTTTCTTTTTTTTTTTTGATCTTGAAAATAGAGGGTAAAGGTTTTGGACAGGAAAATCAAATGGTCCATTTCCTCAATCAAAAAGGGAATATCTCAGGTGAAATCCCAAGCCTAATTATGACACTAACATGGGAAGATTTTTGAAACCCAAAGAATGCCTAGATATCAGGGTCTAAAATAAAATGTTAAAAAATGAATAAACAATATTTTAGCTGATATAGCAGGAAAGAAAATTCAGTGTCCATGCAAAGAGAAGTGGCTGAGAAGAGCTGGGTAGGTTGACAAGGAAAGTTTATTTTATTTTGAGGGGTCTAAACTAGAGTAGGCAAAACTACACATAAAACAATCCTATTGTTTCATTTATTTGTTTATCTCTACATCATTTTCCCTGTTATCGCCTTTCTCCATACACATTCCTCTCCATTGACATATGCTACCATGCTGAAGTGCTCAATGTCTATGTTTTTCTTTTTATGTGTTCTTGCAAAATGTATAATTTTATTTTATATGAGCGTAGATTCAATTTATTCAAATAGTGTTATCTACTTTACTCTTACTTTTTTCATTCAAAAACTTATTTTTAGGATCATTTCATGTTGCTGTGGGCTTATCTAGTTGATTCCTTCTAACTTCTGCAGAGTAGTCTGTGGTGGGAGCCCACCACATTTACTCTAACCAGTTTGCCCACTGATGGACACCCTGCCTGCCTTTAGTACTGCCATCACAAATCTTCTTTGATGATTAGCCTCTTGTACATTTCTCTATGAACCTGTAAAATAATTTATCCGGGATATATGTCCAGGAGAAAACTTGCTGAATCTTACAGAGCACACATAGTTAATTTAGTTAAGTTCTACCAGATTGATCTCTAGGATAGGTGGAATCTTCTTGTATTAGTCTGTGCTCACACTGCTACAAAGAATTACCTGAGACTGAGTAATTTATGAAGAAAAAAGGTTTAATTGACTTACAGTTCTGCAGGATTAGCAGGAAGCATGACTGAGAGGTCTCAGGAAACTTACAATCATGGTGGAAGGTGAAGGGGAAGCAAGCAGTTTATTCATGTGGTGGCAGGAGAGAGAGAGCGAGGGGGAAGTGCCACATACTTTTAAACAATCAGATCTCATGAGAACTCACTATCACGAGAACAAGGTGGAAATCCACTCCCATGATTCAGTTACCTCCCAACAGGCCCCTCCTCCAATTCAATATGAGATTTGGGTGGGGACACAAATCCAAACCATATCATTTCTCCATTTCCACTAGTAGTGGATGAAAACTCTGTATCAGCACATACCTTCTAACACTTGACATCATCCAAGCTGTCTAAAAAGCAGTCACTTGGTATCTCACAGTCATTTTAATCTGCATTGTTTGATTACTAATTAACTTTTAAGATTCTTTTTCTGAAAATTACATGTTCATGTCATCTACCCATTTTTTCACTGTGGTTCCTGTTTGTTGTTTGGTGAAGTTTGGAAGCAAGACAAAGCAACTTGCGTACAGAAAAATGAAAAGAGGGATAGGATAAAGCCAGGGTATTTCTAAGAATTCCATGGCTTATATGCTATAGAGTGTTCAGAGGTAGTAGTCCTTCATGTATCAATACATTGTTTCTCTTCACTGAGAGAAAACCATGAATAGCTTAAAGTCAAATGCTCTGTGTTGTTGCATAGAGACTCTGGAGAGATATATTAAGGAAGGGAAAGAAAGACATAAAGATAAAGTTGCTGTGTTTTCTAAGCATATTTGGGATGAAATGAGGTTGAGAGAAAAGCTATGAAGTATATTAGCCCAGAACTAACTTCCTAGCAGAATTCAGGAAGCCTCCATCACTTACATCGATTAAAAGTGGCAGCCTCTATTGGAAGAAGCACTGAGAAATAGAGTACAACTGATGGCCCTCCGTTACTATGGGAATGAATTAGATACCTCAGATGATGCTTTCTGCTTTTTTGCCCTGATTTAATGTGGCACACATGATAGCTGAATAAAACTATTCTTTCTTCCCCACTGTCATCTTTTAAATACTCATGGATAGGCCAGGCATGGTGGCTCACACCTGTAATCCCAGCACTTTGGAAGGCCAAGGCAGGCGGATCACAAGGTCAGGAAATCGAGACCATCCTGGCTAACACGGTGAAACCCCGTCTCTACTAAAAATACAAAAAATTAGATGGGCGTGATGGCAGGTGCCTGTAGTCCCAGCTACTCGGAAGGCTGAGGCAGGAAAATCGATTGAACCCGGGAGGTGGAGGATGCAGTGAACCGAGATCACGCCACTGTACTCCAGCCTGAGTGACAGAGTGAGACTCCATTTCAAAAAAAAATACTCATGGATGGAGGTTAGTTTGGTGCCATATCCAGTTATTTTATAAACTCCTTTTTAAAGCCACCAATTACATGGGTAAGTTAGAGAAGTTACCTAAACTAGTGGCTATACAATGTCCGCTAACTTAAAGGAGAGAGGATGCAAGAAAATAATTATCAAGAAAGTGCAGCTCTGGTTATTTTATTCCCTGCAGTGACAACTGGGATATCTGGGGCCCAGGGGCTTTGAATCCCAGAGGGAACACTTAAATTATTTATCCTCTGGTAATGGCTTCTTCTCAGCAAGATGCATTGCACATGGGGTGCTGAGTCATTTTTCTTAAGTTGAACAGAGAGATTACAAATGATAGAAAGGACATCCTAGGTGCAGGTAGCTCTTTATCAGCTTACAGTTTAATTTTATGAGCCCATTTGATGAGCTTTAATTTCCTCTTTTCGGAGTCTTATCTAGAAAAACTGCTTGATTCATATAAGCCTTTGATAATTGTATTAGGCTTTCTGTATCCACTATTAAATACATATCCCACCATTTGACATTTTTATGGAAGGGACCATGCTTATTTCTGGAATTGAACACAAATATAGTAAAATTTTAGTTAAAGGCTGGTTTGTGTCTTGAAGTCCAATAAATAAAAAACGGAAGTCCATTATCTTAAAGAAAAATAGTAAGCCACTAGAAATTAAAACATCCTATCTTAATAGATTAATTTTCCTTAGATTCTCATACTGTGCTTCCTTTAATGTACATAAAAGTCAAATTACTGAACACAGAAATAAAAACATATTCCTGAACCCACAGGATATTTTTAGCTTTACGTTTGAAGATACTGGAGACTTGTCACTGTTGCTATCTTTAGCCATTTAATTAGATTACATGCTGTATACGTTCAAGTCTCCTATCCATTGAATAGTAGTTATATTTGTATGGCAGTTTACAGGTTTCAAAGTTGTAAAAAACCCTTTATCTCAATGTAATTGATCCAGTGAGGTAGAGAGGGCCAGCATTATTATTACCCCCAATTTAACTTCACTTTCAAATTCCTCTGCAAAATGAGGTTGATTATAATATGGTATTGACCCCATATGGCTATCACGAAGCTTAACAAAGTCCGTCTAGAACACCTGGCATCATGTCCAGAATATGGTAAGTGTTTTTTTTGTTTTGTTTTGTTTTGTTTTGAGACTGAGTCTCGCTCTTTCGCCCATGCTGGACTGCAGTGGAGCCATCTCGGCTCACTGCAAGCTCCGCCCCCCGGGTTCACACCATTCTCCTGCCTCAGCCTCCCGAGTAGCTGGGACTACAGGCAAGGCGCCCACCACCACGCCCGGCTAATATTTTGTATTTTTAGTAGAGATGGGGTTTCACCGTGTTAGCCAGGATGGTGTCGATCTCCTGACCTCGTGATCCGCCTGCCTCGGCCTCCCAAAGTGCTGGGATTACAGGCGTGAGCCACCGCACCCGGCCAGTAAGTGTTTAATAAATGTTAGTGTGGTTGTCAATATTACTGATAAAATTTCAAGAATCTTTTGATGCTACCAGGACATACGATTAGTTGTTTCTTCCACCTTCTAACTGTCATCTCCATAATATGCCTTGCTTCCCTCTATCTTCAATATAAATTTCCTGGTTAATCAATAGTGTCATATTCTCAATATTTTGACCCTCTCTTGTCTCTTCATACCCACAATTCTTGTTAAATCCAGCTTCCTGCCTTCTCCTTGCACGTCTGCACCTGTGTAACTGAATGTGGATGAATGCACACAAACACACACCCACACCATAAGTATTCAGACTTGTCTCGCTTTAAATTAATGCCCACAAATTTTAAGCAGGCCCTAAGTAGGAATCCTATTACATTTCTTAATACACTTCCCAAGTCCCTTCACTCTCATTCAATCAGATAACAATTTTGCAGCCTCCTCTCTCTCTCTGAAAATCTTCAATACCTCCTCTCCATCTTCGCGCTTCTTCAGATCTTTGATCAAATGTCAATTTCCCAGTGACGATTCTCTAATGCTAATGGACGTTATTGCTTCTACCCAAGCCCCTTTGCCTTGCTCAGTATTTCTCTGGCACTAGTCTCCTTCTGACTCATCATATTAATGGGCTTACTTAGTAGGTGTATTGTTTGTCTTCCCTAGTAGAATATGAACTCCTCAATTACAGGAAATTTGTCCACTTTGTTTATGGGATGTATCTTTAGAGCCTAGAACACTGTCAGGCTCTTCTTAGGCACTTTCAGTGACTATTTGTTGAATGAATAAGCCAATGCAGAAAGGACATTCTGCTTTCAAATGGACACAGAACTGGAAAATCAAGCAGAAAAGTCCTGTTTCCTCAGTAATTAGGAGAGGTTGGGCCAAAGGCCAACGAACGGCAGAATAACAAACATCTCACTCAAGAGAAGGACTGTGGGTGGTAATGACCAGAATGAAGGAGAATAAATTATGACAGATGTTAAAATTAATCAATATCATAGGTGGACATACCTTGAAATACCGTACAACTCCATTAGGCAAATTGTTGCGGTTATCTTTCTCCTGAGAGTGGAACTAGGAGAGACAAAGGGAAATGGACTAATTAATTCACAAGTCTGGGTTTCAGGAGCTGTGATAGAGGCAGTAAGAGAAAATATAAAAAGCCTGAAGCTGAATTTTCCCAAATTTGCTCTTAAAGGACACAGCAACAGTAATGCAGATAAGAACATAAGTATTTTCATGAAGGGCAAAACATGGTGAAATGGAAAGAGCATGGAATAACAGCTCTAGAAGTTTTCAGATTCATCTTTGACAGTCCTTAACAATGTAACAAACACTGCTTACTTTGGCCTTAACTTTTTTATTTATAAAATAAAAGAGTTTATGAATTTAGGAACATTTGTTCTCAATTTTTT
The DNA here is from genome assembly GCF_000001405.40 of Homo sapiens. Taxonomy (NCBI): domain Eukaryota; kingdom Metazoa; phylum Chordata; class Mammalia; order Primates; family Hominidae; genus Homo; species Homo sapiens. The sequence goes on along the minus strand of NC_000004.12, from coordinate 170,564,786 downwards.
TTCCTTTCTACATTCTCATTTTGGAAATAATTTGCAAATGTCTGGCCTTTGCTTTTTGCCCAAAGACTATCAAGATAAACTTGATAGACCCTCCCAAATCCCACCTATAAAACCTGTATTACGCTCGCTTTACAAAAATGAAGACTTGTTTCTCACATATTCTATTTAATCTATTTCATCTATGAGTTAATTTTCAATATATACTTCTACGGAAAGGATGATATGGGGACAAAGAACCACAATAGCTTCTTCCAATGAGAAGAGTACGATGTAGGTGGATAAACTAGAAAAAAAATGCTATTATATCACTCAGGATTCTTAGTTGTAAAAGACAAAATCTAGTCTCTTGAGTTGATACAGAAGAAAAATTTACTAAATGAAGTCACTTGGTTCATAGTGCCAGTGATCCAGGCACGAGTGCTCTGCAGTTGCGACAATGCAAAACCACTCCAAGAGAGCTGTGCTGCTGAACCCTCACCTGCCTCTGCTGTCCAGTGCCTGCCAGGTTCAGTCCCAACCACAAGAACTTCCACCTCTGTCATTCTCAACAAACAAGTTGGTGTGCCATTCCACTTGTCAGAAGATCAGTTCTCCCAAGCTTGGTTCCCTCCTCTCATTTCTCCAAATGAACTTATCTTCTTATTGGTAGAACCTAAGTCACATGCCTAAGCTAATTGATAAAATCACACAGGTGCAGAATAAAATAATAATAATAATAATTTCCAAAGATCTAGCCTAAAAATTTTTTTTTAAAAATTACACAGCACTAAATTATCCCTTTAGTAGATATTGACTACATATTCAAATTCAGGGACCTGAAATTGACTAGTTTTATATAGTACTATATTTTTAGGACAAAATAGCTGTCTCTCTTCCAGTCATGACCCTCTGAATGAAATGAAGATATTGTGTGTTTTTTGAATTATCTTTTAAATGCACATGTAATACTTGAATACATTCTTCTGTAAAAAATACGTATAATACTGCGGTCATCTCTGCTCATCATCCTCAATCTTGACCTCTTCTTTTTCATATCTATGAAAATAATCATTAATAATCTGATGTGTTTCCTTCTGTAGTTTTCATTCTCAATTTATGTTGATATCTGAGCAACTGAGTAATTAATATTATGGCTGAATTGGAGAAGAATTTATTTCAAATAAGGATTTTATAGCAAGAGCATATTGAAAAAGGCAGGTAGGTTTTCTAAAAACAAGTTCTGACTGCTGAGTATTGCGTTTATCAAATCATGGAAGTTTTAAAGACGCAATGTCTAACAGTCTCATTTTGGCAAAAAAAAGAAACTAAAGAGTATTCTGAAACTCAAATATAATCACTCAATTTTTAGAATGTTTTATTTGTCATCATGTTTAAATATCAAGTCTGTACTCTCAGATAAACCATTTATATAATAAATTTGCAGGTAAAAACAATGCTGTATAACACAGCACGAATGTAAAATGCTTATAGACAATTTTAAAGGCACTTCTTACAAAGATTATTCAGTAAATTATGTCCACAGAAAGTACTGTCTTCATTGCACAATATTAGTGGAAAATGCTACATTTTATTCTTCGTGAGTATCGCATTCCATGGGTTATTACCAAGACCATCAATATCTGGAAATGCAAAGTATTACTTGTAGTACTGTGTTGAAAGTTACTTGATAATGTCTGATTATGTGTGTTCATGTAAAACTAAAAAATCTTGATGGATCTATAGTCAGACTGCTGGGCTGAAACCCTGGCTCCACCATGTAATAGTTGAATGAGGTTTGGCAGTTTACTTAATCTCTCTTCTTCAGTTCTTTAATTGTAAATTATGAAATGATCATAATACACATAAGAGCTGTTGTGAAAATTAAAGTAACTGATCCATGTCAGTGTCCGTCCACAAAAGTCTTTGGTATATCCTAAAAGCCAATAAATGTCATGTGATTTATTGCCATTATCATTACCATGATATTATTGTTATTATTGCAACTAGGTTTCTATAAATGAAAAAGACTGCTTTCGCAAACTCATGTATCTAATGAGCCAAACTTTGATTTGAGCTTCTGTAATTTGATACAATACAGTTTGATACATTCAGTGTCCAAGTTTCAGTTACAACTTCTGAAAATTTTTCCAGACATGTAATTGTACCTTTTAAATCAATGATAGCTGCAATTCAAATGCCCATGTTATCTTCCAAGAATCTTATCACACTCCTCTTGGCTTACCTTTCTATTTAAAACTCCAGGTGAAAAAAACACTTCTCTTTTAAGCATGCAGAGCACAATCTATTAAAATTAATATATTAAGAGAAAGAAAATTCTATGACATGAGTTCTGTAATTGACACATTATTATAATAAAATTATTGACAACATTCTTAGTCTCTCATAATTTCTAAAGGACTATTCTAAAATGTCAGCAGTAGCCCTATAGGATGAGTCTTCCCCTGTAAAACTCTGAATGACTCGGTTTCATTGCACAGAGAATATCTTTCTTGTCCACCACTTTATTCCCAACGTTCAATTCAATGTCTGAATATTATCTGAGTTCAGTATCAGGGTTTTTGTTTGTTTGTTTGATTTTTGAAGCAGAGTCTCACTCTGTCACCCAGGATGGAATGCAGTGGCACCATCTCAGCTCACTGCAGCCTTCACCTCCCGGGCTCAAGCAACTCTTCCGCCTCAGTCTAGCTGAAACTGCAGGGGAGCACCAATCCACCCATTTCATTTTTCATTTTTTAGGGACACAGGGTCTCACTATGTTACCCAGGCTGGTCTCAAACTCCTGAGCTGTTTGTCTTTTTTTGTCTTTCTTTGGTTTTTTGTTTTGTTTTGTTTGAGACAGGGTCTCACCTGTCATTTAAGCTGGAGTGCAGTAGCACAAACATGACTTACTTGAGGTTCATCCTCCCAGGCTCAAGTGATCCTCCTACCTCAGCCTTCCAAGTAGGTGGGACTTCAAACACATGCCACCATGCCCTGCTAATTTTTGTATTTTTGTGGGGACAATGTTTGGCCGTATTGCCGAGAGTGGTCTCAAACTCCTGAGCTCAAGCAATCCCCTCGCTTCAGCCTCCCAAAGTGCTGGGATTACAGGCAGCCACCGTGCATGGCCTGAACTGCTTTTAATAAATAAATGAGCACCCACTACTGCATTGTTCATTTCTTTGTACTTCTAGATTGATCTTTTGCCTTTTAACCAGGGTTTGCTGACTGCAGTACCTGAAAAAGACAGTTCTGGCATCCAATTCCACCTTCCAACTCTGGCAACTACTGATTGAAACCAGGAAGGAAACTGACCCAGGGCCAGCCAATTTGAGTCAAACACTAAGGAGATTCTATGCCTTAAGAAATTTAATCAGGAGACATAGAAGGTATTATCAGAGTGGAGGACCCTACACCCAAAATGTAAGGATGCAGAAAGCAGGGCCAGAGAGGAGCCATCCACATAGGCTATGAGAAAAGAAAACTGAGGAAGCCTATAAGAAGTGGGAGAGAAAGAAACAGATAAACCAGAGACAAGCCAAGAAAAGTAGAAAAGAGGGAGAAGGATGTAGAAAAGAATCTGGATCACTGGCTTTCCAGTTCAGTCTCCAAGAAACATGGAGTAACTTCATTATCTGTCCTGAAGCAGCCACGTATTTTGAAAAAATAACCAAGAACACCAAGTTGGGATATGCTTCATACTGGAGGCCCTAGATTTCATTCTGGCAATTTAGAAACCATCCATCCCAAACAATCCCACAGCCATTTGTTCCACTTTGAAAATCTCACTGGTCTCTTTTAGAGACCAAGAAGAGTTGCTAAAAATGTTAGTGCTGTATCACTTTATATATTCATTTATTTATTCATTTATTCACTGATTTCATTCTATTTTATATTTTGTTCCAGATAAAATCCCCTTTCCCTATTGACCCATTTTCTATTTATTTGTACTTCTAGGGGAGCCCTTTTCAAGTTTTTCACACTTCCAGTAAATCCCCAAGCTAAATTGGAATACCTAGTAAAATGAATACATTCTGCCTCTTGCAAAATGTCTTCTGTTGGGTTTCTTTTTTTTCTAATTAGAGTTCTTTCTGATATGTAATTTTCGGAAGGCTTGCTGGTAGGAGAGGGAGTTGTTTGATCCATGCTGAGAACAAAGAGTTTCTACATTTTTTAGATTGTGATTAATAATTTTCATTATCTCATCTATATTTGCTATTCCATCATTTTCTGCCCCACTTCTAGAAATCTAGTTTTACTCACCTTATATTTGCCCCACTTGTTTTATCCTCGAGTAGATTCTCCTATGGTAGCATCTGCATTATGTTTATAACTCTATTTCATTAAATTAGTCACCAACTTGTAGTATTCTTCCATTTAATGAACATCATATATACTCTCTCACAATGCCACCACCAAACACACATACTAAATTTAGTTACTCCCTTATTACTTACATTATTTAGAAAATCTTTTGTATTTAGTTTTCCTGTCACTCACTTCTGCCTTAACCGAAGAGCTCTTTGAGCGAAATCATATTTCTGCAATGTTCAGATAAACATTCTGTGAGATAAAACCTTTAGCCTCAATAAGGTGGAATCACATTACTTTTTATACTTTGTTCCTTATCTTCTAGAGCAATCACTCTCCTATGAAAGAAAGCCAGTTGAAGTTGACTGAATTTGTCAGCTTGGATGAATTATTACTGTAATATGTAATATGTTGCCAAGTTTAAAAGGCTACTTTTCCTTTAGTCCAGCCTCCTTTTTCCTCAAGAGGATTCTGCATTTGCTCTTCTTCAGTCTTTAGGAGTTACTCTTTTTGTTAGTAAACTCTCAGAAGTAATGGAGAAAACTCTTCAGTGACTACATTTGCTGGATTTTGCTAAGACATCATCACATGTGTGGTGGGATACATTTAATTTGTGAATGCAGCCTTCAGACAACCCTACCTATTTCACTATGGCCACCTGGTCTCCTATGCCAGGCATCACCCACCTCAGCTGGCAGATTATAGGGAACCTTCCAAGTGAAGCCAAGTGTTTATTATCTTTGCTTACCTACAATAAATCTGTTTGCCATGGGCAAATATTACATGCTACTAAATATATATTTTCACCTTGTGTGTTAGCCCACTCTTGCATTGTTATAAAGGAATACTTGAGACTGGATAATTCATACAGAAAAGAAATTGAAATTGGCTCATGTTTCTGCAGGCTGTACAAACATGGTGCCGGCATCTGCATGGCTTCTGGGGAGGCCTCAGGGGGCTTTTACTCTTGGGAGGAGAAGCAGGAGCAGGCAGGTCACATGGTGAAAGCAGGAGCAAGAGAGAGAAGTGGGAAGATGCCACTCATGTTTAAACAATGAACTCTCATAAGAACTCACTCACTGTCATGAGGACGAGACCACGGGGACGGGACCACGGGGATAGTGCTAAACCATTAAGGAGAAATTCTGTCCCCATGATCCCATAGTCTCCCATCAGGCCTCACATCTATCATTGGGGATTATATTTCAACATAAGATTTGGGGGACAAATATCTGAATTATGTCATCATGACAGTCAGCTGTACATTAAAAATATAACAACTAGAAATTTCTGAATCATTTATGTTTTTTACGTCTCTGTCCCCAAAATTACATGGATTCAAATTATTGCACGTGTGCAAGAAATTTGCTTCTTAAAAAGAGATTTATAAGGAGGGGAAAAACCACAATCTCTTTTGCCAAAGAAATCTATTCAACTATTATTTTTGAACTTAAGAAGCTCTACCTAACATATAACCAAATGCCATGAAAGACCATTTTAAATGTTTCAAAAATAGAAATCAATAAAGTGTGTTTGTTTCTAAAAAGAAATAAAATGTACAGAGTAGTGACAAAAGGGAATACATTGTTGAAGAATGATATCAAAGATGGCTCTTTTAATTTCAATGTGTTATAGTGACAAATAGCCTGTAACAAAGCAAAGACATATAATTTATCTTGTAACTTTTTCCTTGCACATTTGCTTGGCTAAACAAAGGTTGGGTCAGGAATAAAAAATACATATTGATTTAATGTATGTCCTAAAATACAGATAGAGTCTAGTGAATATTGTAGGCCAGTGACAGTATTTTTAATGGCAGACAATTTTTACTTAATTTCTACTTTTCTCTATAAATTTATGTATCAATTTGTTTTTAATTCTATAACCATGTATCTAATCCTAAATTCAATCAGCAATATTGAAAGCACACTATTTACATAGGCAACAGATTAGTTGTTAAAGTACATACACAGGATATTTCTGTTTCAGTGCTTCAAAAACTTGCATATCAAGTAAATGTCTACAAATAAAGATATTTTCCAAGTATTTTAAAATTCATCTTTCTCACATTTTTTTGGAAGCTTTAAATATTTAAGAATAAAATATTTCACAATTCAAACAAATTTAAGGATACATATTAACTTTACCTTCAGTATGTGCAAGACAATGATTCTGCGTGGGGTTTTTTCTCTCTTTGGTCTCTAACACTCACTCAGGTGGGTTGTTCCAAATTCTGAACTGAGACGGCGCTAAGAAACATAATTATAGTCACAAACTGTATTAGGCAATTCTCGCATTGCTATGAAGAAATACCTGAGACTGGGTAATTTATTTAAAAAGAAGTTTAGTTAGCTCAGAGTTCCACAGGCTGTACAGGAAGCATAGTGACTTCTGCTTTGGGGGGGCCTCAGTGAGTTTCCAATCATGGTGGAAGGCAAAGAAGGAGCAGTCGTCTTACATGGTAGGAGCCAGGAGCAAGATAGAGAGCCGAGAGGTGCTACACACTTTTAAACCATCAGATCTCCCCAGAACTCACTCAGTATCACAAGAACAGCACCAAAGGGACAGTGCTAAACTATTCTTAAAGGATCAGCCCCACGATCCAGTCACCTCCCGCTGGGTCCTACCTCCAACATTAGGGATTACATTTCAACATGAAATTTGGGTGGGGACACAGATCCAAGCTATATCACAAGCTTAATCTGAGCTATTATTCAACTCAGCTTTAATGTCAGTAAAGTTGATATATTAATCACTAGCCTTTGATCCTATCATATGTCATTTTTCGTGTAAGCAAAATACAAAAATCAGGCCAAAGTGACTCGTACCTGAAATCCCAGCACTTTGAGAGGCTGAGGCAGATAGATCACCTAGGCACAGGAGTTCGAGACCAGCCTGGGCAACATGGAGAAACACTGTCTCCACCAAAAATACAAAAATTAGTTGGGCATGGTGTCACACGCCTATAGTCCCAGCTATACAGGAGGCTGAGGTGGGAGGATCACTTGACCCTGGGAAGTTGAGGCTGCAATGAGCTGTGATTGTGCCACTGCATATCAGCCTGGGTGACAGAGCAAAACCCTGTCTCAAAAAAAAAAAGAAAAAAGAAAAAGAAAAGTAGAAAAATCAGAAAATTTATGTATCTGCTCATTTGGACACAAAAGAGAACAAATCAGAAACTAGTGACATTGATTACCTTCCAGAGTAGATGGGGATAGGGTAGAGTATAGATGGAATCTGTGGGGATTAACATATCTCCAACTACAGCTTTTTGTACAGTTATTACTTTCAAAATCATGTAAATGCTCCAGATGCTTCAAAGACAATGAGTACAATTTAAAGGGGGAGATTCTAAAATAAAAATAAACTGGAACTGTATTTCAAATTCCTAATCTGACCACGCTAAAGAGCAGTACACAGGGGAAGAGAGAGAAGTATTTCTGACATCTTTTGAACATAGTATTTAAGCTATGTATCCTCAAGATAGGAAAGCAATATAATTCTAAAGAAATTTTAAACTCAAGTTAGAAGGCTAATTTTTCATAAAAGAATGACTAGTGGATTTTCAAATTACTAGTCCATTCTTCTATGAAGGCAATTTGAAAATTAACACTCCATTCTTCTATGTTTTGTGTATTTCAGTTTTGGAAAATTAAGTAAATATATACTGCATAATGGGAGGTAGTTTCTCAGTATTGGAGAAGTTGCAAATATGGATATAGAGAAGGAAACTGTGTGGTGTTGATGTGAAATAAACAGTATCAGTATAAATTCATGTCTTTTAAATACAGATGAGTAGATCCAGAAATATGTATAAATGTGCATGGATGTACATAAACATATCCTATTTTTGAAGGCTGAGAAGGCCTAGAAGCAATGACACTCTAGTAGCCTATCCTGGTTTCTAAATAGCATTCTCCACTAAATATCATTGGAGAAAGGCCTAATTCCAGGGCTGAATTAAGGAAAGTATAAGATAAATCTCAAACATCTTATTACAGCATAAAAGTATCAAAAGAAATCAAGAGTCATCTGGACTTGAGGCTCCTAGTAACCAAATATGGGCAATTCCATGAATAAAATAAGAATCTGTCAGTCTAGACATACTAATTAATTAATTAATTAATTAATGATAGGAGAAAGTGATTCTTTATAGTATACAGCCACCTGATAAACATACAAGGAATAAGAAAATAAAAAATTATAATAAAATTGATTCAGAAAAGAATCCTCAGTGGATGCTAAAGTTAGTGAGCAAAAATTCAGGGAGTAGTTAAGATATTTTTACGGTTTCAAATTATCTCTCCAGAAAACGTTATTAACTATAAAGGGAAAAATGTAAAATGATAATGAAGAAATTTGAAAACCACCTTAACCATATGACAAAGTTGCCACCAAAAATAGGGCAAGACATCTTGTATTCCCTGATCGTATGCACTGGGAAGAACACAACATTTCCTGGGTGGTATTTTTGTTCTAAGTTTATAATCCAAATTTAATTGTAACATAATATCAGGAAAATAAAAATTGAGTGAATTCTACAAAACATCCTGCCTATTTTCTTGAAAGATACAAACATCATTAAATACAAAGAAAGTCTAAGCAATTTTTTCATACAAAAAGGGGTTAAAAGGATGACACCACTAAATGCAACATATGATCTGGGATTTTCTTCTTCTGTGAAAGGCGTTACTGGAACAATTGGCAAAATCTAAATAAGCTCTATAGGTTAGAAAATACTCCGTTTTCAATGTTAATTTCCTTATTTTGTAGGTGTATTGAGGTTCTATGAAACAATGTCCTCATTTTAGAAAATGCACATAGAAGAATAAAACAGTATTATTTCTGCGTGTCTGTGTGTGTGTGTGTGTGTGCATGTGTGTAGTTTTCAGGGGTTGGGGGAGGCTATTTGGTAAAGCTAAGGTAGTAAACTGTTACCATTTGGGAATCTGGATGAAGAATATATGGAATTTATTTGTCTTATTCTTTCAACTCTCTATAAAATTATGCCCAAATAAAAAAAGTTAAAAGAGAAAAAAAAACCTCATGTATTTTATGAGATGTAATAAGAAAATAGCTTAATTCTTTGCCCAGCGCTTACTTCAAATGTGTTCATTAGGTAGAGAACTTTCCCTGTCACTAGATGAAAACATGGGCAGTTGTTCTTAGACATTTTGGATAACTCTTAGCTCAGTATTCTTTTCAAAATCACTAAACACAGACTCAGAAATTAGCATGTAGTCTCAGGTAATAAAGCTTTCAACCTAAATCAGGTATAATTGCTTCTCTTCTCCTGAGAAAGCATGTGTTTACCAGAATGCTTACTATGTTGAAAGAGGGATGTAGTTGGCTCTTTCTTTTTCACTTTCTCACACTTGCCATCTATTCTTTTTGAACCCTTCAGTGTTGGAGCAGAGAAATAGAAGATGGGGAGCAAGAAAGCTTCTAGTCAAGTGGAGTTGTTGATAGTGACAAGAGGCAGAGAAATTCTAGGCAGACAGGGGCAGGTCCCTGGCAAAACCCCACCTTCGAGCCAAAAAGCCTGAAACCATGGCCCAAAGTGAGAACTTCCATTCCTATGTGCCCGCTCTCTCCAGATTGGTTCTTTCTGAATAATGTCTTTTTACCAATCAAATGTTGCCTTTTCCAGAGCTACCTATGGCCCACCTCAACCCATATCCTGTGCTTATAAAGACCCCAGACTCAGCCGTAAGAGAGAAGAAGTGGCTGGATGTCGGGAAGAAGCACCTAGATGTTGGAGAGGGGAAGCTTGTCTTCAGAGACATGGCTGGACAAGGCAGAGAGGTGGCTTGACTTCAAGGGACAGTAACCTGCCCTTCCCATCCCCTTTCCAGCTCCCCTCTCTGCTGAGAGCCACTTTCATCATTCAGTAAAATTATCCATATTCACCATCCTTCAATTCTTTTGTGTGACCTCATTCCTCTTGGGCACCAGACAAGAATTTGGGCTGCACCAGCTGTGGGTGCCCAAAAAGAGTGTCAAACTGACCCTTTGCCCTCACTGGCAGAGGGCAGCTGCCCCACACAATGAGGTGAAGTGCCCACTGAGCTGATAACACACTGCTGTCTGCAGACGGCAGAAATAAGACAGCATTGTAACATGCCCTCCGGGGCCTTGGGGGTGGCAGGTACCCCCAACTGGACGGTGCTGAGGGACACGCACAGAATTCACTCCTGCCAGCACCAGGGCAGCCAGCACCTGCACTCATTTGCTAGTATGCTCCCTCCTGCAAGGGGTTGAGTGGGGCAGTCTGAGTAAATGAGGCACCCTGGTCACGAGTCCCGTGAAGGGGTCAAGAAAACACCCTGCATCATTGTTATAACACAGCTTAATGCTTTTGGGGCTGGCAGATCTCTTGTGAATATTTTCATAAATTCTTTGAAGCTCTGCCCAGTTACTGGGAGTGTTTTGTTTGTTTTTTTTGTTGTTGTTGTTGTATTGTTGTTGTTTCCCTAAGTAGGGCAAGAACATCCAGTAGGTTCACCTAAATTCTGTATGAGAACTAATGGTACTTTAGATCCAAGAGATTTAATCGTACTTCCATTTTTTACCTGCTGTGGTTTTGTGGGCCATCTTACTGGCTCTGTTAAAGATAACTTATTTTGAGCCCTATAATGTACCACATATGTGGCCTATATCTCATGCATGAGAAACACCACTGCATCCTTTGTTCTGACCAATCTGGAAATACACAATGGTCCCAAAGCAGGAACTTTCATTTCACACTCATTACAAGAGGAAGCTAACTGGCTTTTTCTCTTATGCTCCATGGTTCTCAGGCAGGAATGAAACACAAGTTTGTTGTGTTTGCTTCAGCTTCAAGTAATACACATCAAACTTTAAAAATGATACTATTGAAGCTTCTTTCTCTTATGCTTGAAGAAAGGGTAGATACCTCCATTCTCCTCCCCTGTATAAGAGATATAACATTGCACTCTCTAAAATCCCTTCCAGAACTAATTTCTACAATCGACTCAACCCATCTTTCTTACATGGGTAAGGGACTTAAGGATAATATAACTAGCTTTTCATGATTACAATGAAAGACCATAGCTCTCCTTAGTCGATGATATCAATTAAATCTCAGTCCTTCAGATAAAATCTCCCATTTATGACTCTGCGGTACACATACTTACATGTAACGTATTTGGAGTTTTAGTGTCTCTGGAACTTACTTGGTATGTTAATGAAATGAGAATTAGATGCTCCACGAAGCCAACATTTAAGACGTGTGATTGTACTGCCTTAACGACTTGTCATCTCCTTCTCTTTCCCAAATCATTTGGTTAAACGCATCAGCCAAAAATTTCAATCTGCCCAGAAGGATCAAAGTTTTAAGCCTCTGTTGCTCTCCTTGTCTTAATATATCTACATAACATGTTGGGCTAATTTCTTCTACAGAGAGTTTCATAGCCACAGCCAGGGTCATTAGCTTATTTCAGTACTGTGCATAATCACTTTGGCACCAGGTTCTATGGGTCACTGTCAGAGATGCTTTGGGACATTTTAATTGTAGGCAATCTCCTGGATAAAGTAATTGTATTTCTAAACTTATCACCAGTGCAAGTTGACTCTTAGATAAGGTAAGAAATAGTGTTTAAGTCTGAGACTTTGAGTACTAATAATAGTGAGATATCATTCACAAGATAATTTGTGGAGATTGGGATTTAGGTAAAATAGCCTGTCTGTACGTTGTACTAATGATCTTAGACAGGTAAATAAAATAACTGTAGTTAAGAAACAATGGACGTTTTTATTGTTTCAATGGAGTCTACTGGTGAATAAAAACCCAAATAGCTTCTATACCAGACAATCCAATCTGTGACCAGATGCATAAGAATATAGAATACATTGTTTATAAATACCAACAAAAATACCAACCCTTCCCAATCTATTATAGCTTTTATAGTTTATTTATTTATTTTTAGAGACCAGGTCTTGTTCTGTCACCTAGGCTGAAGTGTGGTGGCACAGTCAGGGTTCCCTGCAGCCTTGACTTCCTGAGCTCAAGCGACTCTCCTGTCTCAGCCTCCTGAGTTGCTGGAACCACAAGCATAAGCCACCATGCCCGGGTAATGTTTAAATTTTTAGTAGAGATGGGGTCTTGTTATGTTGCTAAGGGTTGTCTCAAACTCCTGGCCTCAAGTGATCCTCCCACTTCAGCCTACTAAAGTGTATAAGCCACTATGCCCAGCCTCTTACTCTGAAAGAGTTTGGGGACAAAGTGAAATCTAAGAATGATAAGTGAAATATGACAGTTTGCATCCGTAAGGAACCATACCTCGATTTGTTGATTTGGAATTACTGGCATTGGTTTGCAAAAACAAAGCACAGGAGATGAAGAAAGAAATAAGGAACTTCACAGTATTCATTTTTCTTCAATGAACCATCTCCATCTTTTTGCCTTGAACTTATGGCTTTTTTTCCATATTCTAATTTTCTCTTTTTCTTTTTGCAGATGTTGTCACTTTAACCATGAGTTAAAAAGAAAAAGAATCATTTAAAACACATGAGCTAAAGAGATCTGAAAACAGGAAAGAATATCTTGAGAGAGTTGTTCAATACTATCTCAACTAATAAACCAATTTCAAAATATCTAACCAATATTATCATCAAATCTGAGGTATTTAGAATATTGATGATAGTTTTCATACTATACGCTTATCAAAATGGGGTTTTGCTCTCTTTCTGTTGCCCCTACATAAATTTCTTTGCAAAACTGTTATATTTTGATGACCAAAAGATATGATGCTTCTCTTGAGGAAGAAACATTCCTCAGGTTTCCTACAGATTAAGGTTTCTGATCAGACATGCTTGCCTGGAGAAAACTATTTATGAAAAATTAAAAAGTTTAAATTTTAGAAGTCTATGAACTATTTTTTTCAAATTATTCAAAACTAATGAAATAATTCAGTCTTTCAGGTAATAATGTATGAAAATTAAGGACAGAAAACAATACATTGCTTTGCTGGAGTACTTGATACACTACGTCTACATTTAAGAGCTCCAATAAAAAGTGTAATGTTAAAAACTTAAAAGAACACATTCCATGATAAATATTCAAGATGAAATATTCATTATGGAGGTATGAATTTTTTTTGTAAAGAGGCAGCAAAGATGATTGAAAAATGAACACATAAATTATTAGATACACTCATGCCTATAGGATAGTTTTCATTTGTCATATATAGATTTTCCATTTTTGGTTTTTGAACTATAACAATTAGAAGGAGATAATTATAAATGGCACTTTTGTTCAGTCAGAAACTACAAAGATAATAAATGATATAAAGTTGATACTGTCCTCTTAGGTCACTCAATTCAATTTCATAATCTTTTCATACGAATTACAGGGTAGAATTCAGAATTGTATGCAAACTAATGAGGTAGGATGCTTTTGGTTCCATCTTTCTATAGAAAACAACTACACAAAGAAAATTTGGGCCAAGTTGTAGGTTGTGCTAATTCTAACAATGCCACTTCATTCTAATGGAAGCATTTTGGAGATACAGGAGCTATTTTAGAGATTTGTAATTAATACTTAGAGATTAAAAATATCTCAATATTGCACCTAAAAAGTAATACCATATTTCACAAGATAATTCTTCTAAGGTGTTGTTCTAAAGTATAAAGCTCATGTACAGATTTCCTTTTCTTTGATATTGAAGCTCTTTAAAAACTGTTCTAGCATCATGTTTTTATGTAAAGACCAAAACTTTTCTAAATTGAGGTTTGACTACACCCCTTAAAAATGATATCAAAACATCCCAGATATGTCTTTCTCAATATCTAACCTGTTGTATGCAATTTTACATTTCTCTGGCCAGACTAATAAGGCAGCTTTCAATGAATTTTTTAACCATGGTCACTAATGTTAGACATCAAAGCTCAAATTTTAGAGTTCAAAAGCTATTAAAGTAAGAATATTCAAACCTAGAGAGAGTGAAAAAATGCATGATTTACTTCCTCTCTGTTGTGGTGTGTTTTTTCTTGAAAGCAAGGCAAGTTAAGTCCTTTGCCATGCCTCATGATCTTATAGATTTAGCTTTCTAGATTGCTCAGTCTGTTTTTTCCACACATATTCACTGTGGACCCTATGACATAATAATCAACACGACCCTTTAGAAATCATTTAAGAGTTTAAGACCTAAAATTCTTGTCATTACACTCTTAGGGTGAACAATATGTTTCTGGCAGATTTTTTAGAATGTGTGTGTTATTAAACCATTTTAATCAATCTTTAGCCCATACTAACAACTGATGCTCAAGTATGGAAAATATGTCCAATACCACCAGCCAGCATTCAAGATCTTCATCTACGTTTCTTCCACATTTCTTTTTCTTTTCCTCCTGTGCTGGCCTTTTTCATAAAAGCTATTTCACACTTTTATTTTAAATTAAATTCTACTCAAAAGAATGTACCATCTATCTTTTAAACTAATTAGTTTTTCTTTCCCTTTCATCTTTCTCCTTTAAATACTAAGAAAAGATTAAAGTTAATGATGTGACAGGCAGTCTACAGATGCAACATTGCAATGGCTCCTACAGGCTGGCATATGAATGGTTATTCACTCATGATGCCTTCATTAAGCAAGAAGGCAAAAAATTCATTTAAAATCATAAGGCGGATTTCCACAAACTGAACAAAATTTATTCCCCTAGGCTCAAGCTAAGTTTACTCCACATTCTAAGTTAAAGAAATAGATTTTCATTCCCCAGATGCCAAGTTTTGAAAGAGGTTTAGGAAAAAGATGAAAGGCAGCCCTTATGGTTGTAGACAGGATTATCTAATTCCTCCTTCTTCTGCCACTTGCTCTCTTTTTTGGGCCATTAGTTCCTCATTAGGCATTCTGCCTCAAGCCAGGAGAGGAGGCATAAAAGTGGTATCCACCACCATTCTGAAGAAATTTACAAATATAAAAATTGAAGTATGGCCACAATGTTTGTAGTGGGTTCAATGGTGGCTGCTCCTAAAAGACATGTTCACATCCTAACCCCAGGCTCCCGTGCATCAGAACTTATTTGGAAAGATTGTCTTTTCAGACATATAAATTAAGGGTCTCAAAATAAGCTAACCCTGGATTATCTTTTTTTTTCTTATTTTATTATTATACTTTAAGTTTTAGGGTACATGTGCACAATGTGCAGGTTAGTTACATATGTATACATGTGCCATGCTGGTGTGCTGCACCCATTAACTCCTCATTTAGCATTAGGTATATCTCCGAAGGCTATCCCTCCCCCCTCCCCCAACCCCACAACAGTCCCCAGAGTGTGATGTTCCCCTTCCTGTGTCCATGTGTTCTCATTGTTCAATTCCCACCTATGAATGAGAACATGCGGTGTTTGGTTTTTTGTTCTTGCGATAGTTTACTGAGAATGATGATTTCCAAATTCATCCATGTCCCTACAAAGGACATGAACTCATCATTTTTTATGGCTGCATAGTATTCCATGGTGTATATGTGCCACATTTTCTTAATCCAGTCTATCATTGTTGGACATTTGGCTTGGTTCCAAGTCTTTGCTATTGTGAATAGTGCCGCAATAAACATACGTGTGCATGTGTCTTTATAGCAGCATGATTTATAATCCTTTCGGTATATACCCAGTAATGGGATGGCTGGGTCAAATGGTATTTCTAGTTCTAGATCCCTGAGGAATCGCCACACTGACTTCCACAATGGTTGAACTAGTTTACAGTCCCACCAACAGTGTAAAAGTGTTCCTATTTCTCCACATCCTCTCCAGCACCTGTTGTTTCCTGACTTTTTAATGATTGCCATTCTAACTGGTGTGAGATGGTATCTCATTGTGGTTTTGATTTGCATTTCTCTGATGGCCAGTAATGGTGAGCATTTTTTCATGTGTTTTTTGGCTGTATAAATGTCTTCTTTTGAGAAGTGTCTGTTCGTGTCCTTTGCCCACTTTTTGATGGGGTTGTTTGTTTTTTTCTTGTAAATTTGTTTGAGTTCATTGTAGATTCTGGATATTAGCCCTTTGTCAGATGAGTAGGTTGTGAAAATTTTCTCCCATTTTGTAGGTTGCCTATTCACTCTGATGGTAGTTTCTTTTGCTGTGCAGAAGCTCTTTAGTTTAATTAGATCCCATTTGTCAATTTTGGCTTTTGTTGCCATTGCTTTTGGTGTTTTAGACATGAAGTCCTTGCCCATGCCTATGTCCTGAATGATAATGCCTAGGTTTTCTTCTAGGGTTTTTATGGTTTTAGGTCTAACGTTTAAGTTTTTAGTCCATCTTGAATTAATTTTTGTATAAGGTGTAAGGAAGGGATCCAGTTTCAGCTTTCTACATATGGCTAGCCAGGTTTCCCAGCACCATTTATTAAATAGGGAATCCTTTCCCCATTGCTTGTTTTTCTCAGGTTTGTCAAAGATCAGATAGTTGTAGATATGTGGCGTTATTTCTGAGGGCTCTGTTCTGTTCCATTGATCTATATCTCTGTTTTGATACCAGTACCATGCTGTTTTGGTTACTGTAGCCTTGTAATATAGTTTGAAGTCAGGTAGCGTGATGCCTCCGGCTTTGTTCTTTTGGCTTAGGATTGACTTGGCAATGAGTGCTCTTTTATGGTTCCATGTGAACTTTAAAGTAGTTTTTTCCAATTCTGTGAAGAAAGTCATTGGTAGCTTGATAAGGATGGCATTGAATCTATAAATTACCTTGGGCAGTATGGCCATTTTCACAATATTGATTCTTCCTACCCATGAGCATGGAATGTTCTTCCATTTGTTTGTATCCTCTTTCATTTCATTGAGCAGTGGTTTGTAGTTCTCCTTGAAGAAGTCCTTCACATCCCTTGTAAGTTGGATTCCTAGGTATTTTATTCTCTTTGAAGCAATTGTGAATGGGAGTTCACTCCTGATTTGGCTCTCTGTTTGTCTGTTATTGGTGTATAAGAATGCTTGTGATTTTTGTACATTGATTTTGTATCCTGAGACTTTGCTGAAGTTGCTTATCAGCTTAAGGAGATTTTAGGCTGAGATGATGGGGTTTTCTAGATATCCAATCATGTCATCTGCAAACAGGGACAATTTGACTTCCTCTTTTCCTAATTGAATACCCTTTATTTCCTTCTCCTGCCTAATTGCCCTGGCCAGAACTTCCAACACTATGTTGAATAGGAGTGGTGAGAGAGGGCATCCCTGTCTTGTGCCAGTTTTCAAAGGGAATGCTTCCAGTTTTTGCCCATTCAGTATGATATTGGCTGTGGGTTTGTCATGTATAGCTCTTATTATTTTCAGATACGTCCCATCAATACCTAATTTATTGAGAGTTTTTAGCATGAAGGGTTGTTGAATTGTGTCAAAGGCCTTTTCTGCATCTATTGAGATGATCATGTGGTTTTTGTCTTTGGTTCTGTTTATATGCTGGATTACATTTATTGATTTGCGTATATTGAACCAGCCTTGCATCCCAGGGATGAAGCCCACTTGATCATGGTGGATACCCTGGATTATCTGTGTGAGCCTTAAGTCTAATGATGAATGTCCTTATAAGAGACAGCAAAGGAGGAGACACAGACAGAAAAGGAACCGGAGAAGGAGATGTTAGATGGGAGCAGAGATGAGCATCATGTAGCCACAAGCCACGTCATGCCTGGAGCCACCAGAAACTAGAAGAGACAAGGACCATGGCTCTCCTAAAGTTTTCAGAGTGCAGCCTTGTGAGCACCATGATTGGATCTCTGGCCTCCAGAGCCCTGAGATAGTAAATTTCTGTATTTTAAGTCGCCGACTTTGTGGTCATTCGTCATGGCAGCCCTAGGAAAGTAATAAAGTATATTTCACTTTGGAGTCATAAAATCAAGGCACAAAATAAAGGTTTTGACCCTCATACTAATCTTCTTCTTGACAGAAAGTAGATGAGTATTTTAGGTTGTGCATGTGGTGTGGGGTGTGCGTATGTGGGGTGTGTGTATATTTATGGGTGTGCACATGCATGTATGTGTGCATTTTAAATGGTCCTTCCACAAGCGTAGATGAGCAACAATTTTTCCAAAATATGCTCAACTTTGTTGTGTAGTTACTATCACAAATCAAAATTTCATCCCCTTAAGCATGATTCAAGTGATATAAGTCTAGGGGACTCTCCATTTAAATTAAATCACCATTAGGAGTAATACAGTTTTCTTTAGGAATATGTAGGACACACAATTAAGACATTCTAATCAGATGATTACATATTAGATATCTTTTCTTATTTTGTTAAAGAAACGTCTCCAATTATACATATTCCTGTTTGAACTGTCCTAGCAAGTGAAATAATTCAACCTAATCTAATCCTGCATCAGAGTTTCTCAAAATTGATTAGCATAAGAATACCTCAGGTGTAACTGTTAACATGTGGATACCTAGGCTCAGCCCCAGAGGGCATTATTTAATAAATCTGGGTTAGGCCTGCATTTTAATTTTAAACAACTATCCCAGATGATTTTTTATTGCAGGTGGTCATTGACAACATTGGGGAAAAAAATTCCCAAAGATATGAAATAAAGGTCAGCCACTCATTGCCCTATGTTATACAAATTTACCCAAAAATGTGTAGCTCAGAAGAGCTCTGTGTTGTGAAATATAGAGAAAAAGTAAAGTTTTTGTTTAAAATGAAATAAAAATAATTGCAGTGAGATTAAACTCTTTTTATCTCTGTGATTCTCCTATATTTGGGTGCTATATATGATACTGGTCTTGTCCTAAAGGGAGAAGCTATTCTGCATCCTGAGAACAAAAGCATCAAATTCTGGAATTTTAAGAAATGAATAGACATAATTATCTTGCCCTGTACCAACTTCCCTGTGCTTCAGACTAGATAAAAATCCCCTGAAAGCACCATACATCCTGGTGAAGTCTTGAGTCTTCACTGCTCAAGACTAATTCTATGGTTGGCAGTAAGAAAAGGCCCCCAGTTACATTTGAAAAACAAAAGTAGAAGGTAGTTGGTGCTGATTTCACTGAAATACTTGAAAATGTCCCACATCATCAGAGCTTGGAGGGGACAGTAGGAAATAAATGCTAACTGACAAAGAGAGAACCCGTGGTTGCCACATCAAGTGTTCTCACAGCCCAGAGAAGTATGTCGTGGCAGCCAAACCATCCCTGTCCATCAAGAAAGATTAGGGAAAGAGAGAAAGAGAAAGGATAGAGAATTCAGAGTGTGTCTAATGGCCCTGCCACTGGGAAAAGTAGCATGGTCCAAGAGGCCACAGTACAGAGGGAAAGACAGAAGCCCCAGTTAAAGCCCGTGGAGAATGTCCATGCCCAAGGACCAAATGGGATAGAATACCTGCTAGAGCCTGTGAGAAGACTAAAGGAGAGCCCCTCTTCCTCATGGCTTCCCTAAGTTTTCTGGCGTCTGACTAAATGAGAGTTTGTGATGACATAAAAAACAAAGAAATTAGGTTTTGTTTCTATATTGAAGATTTATGGATTGAGAAATATGAACCTACTACAAAATAAAAATGTTTACGCTGTCCCAGTCTTTCTACATTGAGACATTTTCTACATAGAGATGTTTCTATATACAGTAAACCACTGAAAGGGATTTCTCTTTTCCGCATTTTTATTTTATTGGCAAAGAAAGGAATTGTCCCATTATCAGTGGGCTGAAACAACAGCAATGTGTGGTATGTATGCATCAGCATTGTTTGCGTCTAACTGCAGGGGCTCAATGTACTGCTTGTGATGTTCCTTTGCCACTAGGAAAAGGAAGAGGGGAGGCCCCCAAAATGCAGAATTCAATTCTAGTCTTACATAGTTCACATCATGTGATTTTGAGTGAGTCCTATAAATTACCTGGTAATTTTCTCATCTTTAAAAAAAAGACTATATCTACCCCAGAGTTTTTGTTGTCTTTTAGAGGATAGGAAAGTCAAGAGTCCCCCTCTGCTGTATATTCTAGGTCAAAACTCTAGCAAAAAATATGTTATTTTAGTAAAAGATATTATAATTAAATACAAACACTATTAACTTAGTTACATTTGCTCTTATCAATGTTGTGTGTTTTTATAGTTTCTTGTGTTCCATTCGTGAACTCCATTCATAATCCCTTAGCTTTCTCCTTAGAGACAATTCTCATTCTTTGGCTTAGTTCCAGATACAAAGTCTTGTTTCTAGATCACAGCAACGCATGTGCCTTTAATCCCCTGATAGGGCTCTTTCACTACACCTCCCCTCAGGAACTTTCTTAAATGTATCTTGTTCCGGCACACACATCTTCACACACATTATCCCTGGAACATGAAGCTGAGCATAATTTTTTCTTCGTATCTTCTGAAACTTGAAGATTTTCCATCTTTTAAAATCTCTTTCTGTCTTCCTGGAAAATTCTCAGCAACACCTTCTAACGAACACACTCTAATTTCCAACTGCCCCCGCATATGCTGGTCCCTCAATCAAATTCTGCTGCTTTCTGAACATTTAACTTTTATTTCTGCATCTTGCTTTTACTTCTTATTGAGTCTGTATGTTCATATCTCTAGTTGTTTTATTAATAAACGTTAACTTACATCAAAAAATAAAAATAGACAGTATTTATATACCTCTCTTTTCCATCTGATACTTTTGGTCTGGAGCATGGACTAAGGAATTAGAATATTATTCACATGTGGGAAAAAGGGGTTAATTATTCTTACTAATTAATTTGATTTTTAAATCTCTCAAATCCACCTTTTTTACAGTTCTTTTTTTTAACTTTTATTTTAAGTTGAGGGATATATGTGTAGGTTTGTTACATAGGTCAACTTTTGTTGGGGTTTGTTGTACAGAGTACTTAGTCACCCAGGTATTAAGTCTAGTACCCATTAGTTATTTTTCCTGCTCCTCTCCCTCCTCCCACCCTCTACCCCCCAGCAGACCCCAGTCTGTGTTCATGTGTTTTCACCATAAGTGAGTTATAAGTGAGAATATGTAGTGTTTTGTTTTCTGTTCCTGCATTAGTTTGCTAATGATAATGGCCTCCAGCTCTGTCCATGTCCCTGGAAAGAACAATATCTTGTTATTTTTTATGGCTATATAGTATTCCATGGTGTACATGTACCACATTTTCTTTATCCAATCTATCATTGATGAGCATTTTGGTTGATTCCATGTCTTTGCTACTGTGAGTAGTGCTGCAATGAACATTTGCATTCATGTGTCTTTATAACAGAAGGATTTATATTCCTTTGGGTATATACCCAGTGATGGGATTGCTGGGTCAAATGGTATTTCTGTCTTTAGTTCTTTGAGGAACTGCCACACTGTCTTCCACAACGGTTGAACTAATTTACACTCTCACCAACAGTGTATAAGCATTCCTTTTTCTCAGCAACATTGCCAGCATCTATTTTTTTTTTTTTTACTTTTTAGTAATAGCGATTCTGACTGATATGAGATAGTATCTGACTGATGTGAGATAGTATCTCACTGTGGTTTTGATCTGCATTTCTCTAATGAGAAGTGATGAACTTTTGTTCAAATTATTGTTGGCCACATGTATGTCTTCTCTTGAAAAGTGTCCTTTTATGTCCTTTGCCCACTTTTTAGTGGAGTTGTTTGTTTTTTTCTTGTAAATTTAAGTTCCTTATAGATGCTGGATAGTAGACCTTTGTAGGATGCATAGTTTGTAAAATTTCCCCCCCCGTTCTGTAGGTTGTCTGTTTATTCTGTTAATAGTTTCTTTTCTTGTGCAGAAACCCTTTAGTTTAATTAGATCCCATTTGTCAATGTTTGCTTTTGTGGCAATTGCTTTTAATGTCTTCATCATGAAATCTTTGTCCATGTCTATGTTCAGAGTTTTTATAGTTTTGGGTTTTACATCAAATTCATGTTTTGATTTAGTCACAAAGGAAAAAGTAGTGTCCCTCCTCCCCTAACCTTATCCCAGAGATTAAGTATTATTTAATCACCTGTATTTTAAATCTTAAACTCACCCTCACTATGTCTTTGCAAAGCAACAAATACAATGAAGACAACAAAAGCAAGATGGGAGGCATGTTCACATAGGTAACACATCCTTCAAAACACAGAACCAGACAAAATAAAAGAAAATGCCTTTTTCCTAGAGTCGAGGTATATAAGATCTAATCAGCCATATCAGTAAAGCCTAATGGTACACAATTCTTCACTTACACAGCCCCTTTCATCCCAATGCCGATGTGTCAACAACCCTACTTCAGAGAACAGAAAGCTGGCATGCAATGTGATTAAAGAAAATTACCAGGTATCATCATATATGGCAAAACCAACTGGGAATGCTATAGACAGAATAGTATTCCCCCAACAAAAATAACATGTAGAGACCTTAAATCCCAATGTGATTGTATTTTGAAATAAGGCCTAAAACAGGGTAATGAAGGTTAATGAATTCATAAAGGTGGGGCCACAATCCAGTAAGATTAGTGTCTTTATAAGAAGAGACACCAGAGTGCTGACTTCCACTCTCCTTCTCATTCTCCACACACACACTGAGGAAAGGTCATGTGAGGATGTAGGGAGACAGCAGCCAGATGCAAGCCAGGAACAGAGCCCTCACTGGAACCAGGTTAGTTAGAACCTTGATCTTGGACTGTCATCCTCCCAAACTGTTAGAACATAAATTTCTGTGTTTTAAACCACCTGGTCTGTGGTGTTGTATTACAGCAGCCCAAGAAAAAATAATACAGAGGCCAAATATATACTTTTTAATTCCTTTTTAAATCACCTCTTACTTTGCAATAATTACCCCTCGTGTATCTTTACACCAATCTGCTGCCAGGCATATGTAAGGTATTCTTTTCCTCCGTTACATACAAAGAATCTTAAAGAGAAAAATAGAAGACTGACTCCATTATCTGTATAACACAAACTGCCTACCTTCAACCTTGCAACAGAAACAAAATCTGGAGACCCCATTCTCCTTGCTAGTAACTGGTTTACTGGTGGGCATACACCTCATTTGGGATTTCATCAGGAAAACATAATCACTACAAGTGTTTGAAGCAAGGAGAACTCAATGCAAGGAATTTTTTTACACAGCAATAAAATAGTTGAGGAAGGATACCAAGCCACAACCATTCATAAGCTGGAAAGGCAAAGCGAACAGGAAGTCGAACCAAAGCCCACTGGCCTGGTGTCTTGATCCACTAGTGCTGTTATAACAACATACCATAGACTGGGGAACTTACAGACAATAGAAATTTGTTGTTTACAGTTCTGGAAGCTGAGAAGTCAAAGATCAAGGCCCTGATAGGTTGGATATCTGGTGAGGGCCCACTGCATCGATGGCCATCTTTTCATTCCATCCTCACATGACAGAAAGGGTGAAGGGGTCGCTCCAGGCCTCCTTTATAAAGACACTAATCCCATCATGAAGGCTTCCACCCACCATGACCTGATCACTTCCCCAAGGCTCCACCTTCTAAACCGTCACTTTGGGAGTTAGGATTTCAACACATACATTTGTGAGAAGCACACACATTTAGACCATAACCCCGGATTATCTGCAGAATCTGGACCCACTGTCCACTAGCTTGGCAGATGTTAGAAAACAGAAAAGACAGAAGCTGCTGGAGGTGTAGCAGCCGAGGGAGAGGAAGAAGAAGAAATACCCTGGCTTCTCTCTCTTACCTATCCTTTAATCTCCCAGCAGTGCCACCCTGTGACCAAATTCACCCAGAAACCAGTTGTTCCAGGAGTCAGAGAAACAGCCTTCAGAAACTGAGGCCTCCTGGAATGTAGAGTTGAGTCAGGGAGAATTAAGGAATCAATCTGAGAGCAAGTAAGCCTGGAGTTGACATGTGTGACCTTCTTCTGGCCAACGAAAGTCTGAAAGAAAGTCTACCAGGAAGCTTCTACAACATATTTTCTTTGTCAAAAAAAAAAAGAGGCACACAGAAAGAGATGGCTTCTTCTTCTGTGGAGCACTGTTATTCTGCCTATGGAGCCTAGAAAGTCTACACACAACTTGGCACCATTGGAAAGCTAGTGAAGACACAGAAGATAGCACAGAAGTGGGCTGGGGAACCCATATCCTTAATAATATTATTTAGCCAATGAATTAATGATGCCTTCATCTATTCTACTTTAAAACTTTCTGTTTGTAGATTATGTTACTTGTTATCTGTGCCATTTGGAGTTGATTTTGTTTGTTTGCTTGTTTCCTAAAGTCGAAAGCATCCTAAATGATAGGCTGTCTTCAAGTACAGACATTCTTGCCAAATGCCTCAAGTAGAACTTTCATGGTATACTAATAGTTAAAGCAATAAAAAGGAGTGAAACCTGAAGCAAGATAACAAAATCAAAGTAAATAAATTGTGTAAGTCAGAACAGATAATCCAATGTACTGGAAGACTGTGTGAAGTCTGCACAAGACATAAGACGCCAGGCTGAAAATATCAAAAAGACTCATTTGAATGATAGTTGCCTAGTCAATAAAGCTAGTTGGTTTGCATATGTGATTATCCGTAAATGGCCTTATTCTTTCTTATAACATTAATCTTTAATGTTGTTGCTGACTAAAGTGCCAGATGCTTTGATGGTGGGTGGATATCATTGCAGGAATTAATTTGGGACAATCAGAATATCCCCATTGTCCATGTATAGAGTGGGACAGACTCAGAACTTTAATTTTCAGTTTAAAGTACTTTTTAATCTATGCGTATTGAGACATGTTAAGATAAAGAGTAACTTGGGAGAGGCATTTATCCTGCTGTATCAAAGATTCACATTTTGCCTTTTTAAATATTAAATTAAATATTAAATTCACATTGTGAACATAAGCCTCAGAGTTTTATAGATAAGAGGATATTTATATCAACATATCCACCAGAACTGCCATGAAGGAAAAAAAATTAACTGTATTTTTTAAGACTTATTCAGCATACTGCCTACAATGTGTGAGAAGGTAAAAGAAGGTGGCTTTGGGCACCTCACCGAAATCGACATGAACTCAAACCCAAGTTGGCCCTGAATGGGCTCTGTGATCTTGGGTAAGTCACTTAATTTCTGCAAGGCTCAATTTTCTCACTGAAAAAAGGGGATGATTGTGCTGTTTCCCACTTTAGATTTTGATATAATTCAATTATATGATATCTCTAAAGTACTTAGCACAATGTTGGTCATTTACTAAGGACTCAAAAGGTGTTTGCTTCATCTCTAGATCCTCTCATCCTAAATGTAATTTACCTCAGAAAGCAGCCTTGACCCACATTTCTACTCAGATAAAAACTCACTGTGATACAACCATGTGTGCCTACAATAGCATAGAAAAAAAAAACATGTTTATAATATCTATCCTCCCAATGTCTGTAAACTGAGTCCATGGGCCAGGGCTGAGCTTTTTTTTCTTTTAATCTCCAGAATGTAGGAAAGTGTCTGTCACACAGTAAGTATATAAAAGAATATTTGCTGAATAAATGAGCATGGCTGTTCTTGGCTTTGGTTTGTTTTGTTTGTTCACTTGTTTGCATTTCCTGCTCTCAACCAAGTTTTTCTGTGGGGACTGCAAGCTGCCTACTACTAGGCCAGAACAAGGCCATTTGGTTTGATAAGTCACAGAATCTGGGGAAATGTGTTTTTTAACACCTTAATATCAAATGTAGTTAAAACTCCCCCTGATGAAAGGTAGAAAATGTCATTCTCTGTAAGTTTTCACACTTACACCATTTTTATTGGAAATAATTTGCATTCCCTTTCACAGTGTTTTCCGCCTGGAGGAAAGGTGTCTGGGAATTTAATCTTAAAATACCAAATATTACTTAAAAAGAAAACTATGGAAGAGAAGAAAATGAATGACTGCAAAGAAAATAAAGATGAAAAGAACTTTAGTTACAGAAAGACAGGGGACTGATGGGAGTTAGTTTGACTCATGCAAGCACACTCTTGGCTAAATTATAAAAACCAAGGTCAAAAGACTCAAAAAGGCACTTTAAATGTTTACTTCAGTCTAAATTTTTTGTTTCTTCCCATTTAATTCTTATACTCAATACTGCATAGGGTCATCAGAGAAGCTAGCTCTGGGCTCTAAATTTCCCTTTATAAAAGAACTCGTTGAAGTACACACATGCATGAAAACACTCAAGTAAAATGTAGCAAGAAATTGGGGCACATTTATGTTGAGAAATAAATATCCCCCAAAAAACTATCGTCTACTAAAAGTTGTATCTTGTCTTCCTTACTTGTTCATCTTGTATCCAATAAAGGTGAATGTCTGTGACTTGAATAATTTTGCCTTTATTATGTATCAAGATTTTAAGTCTTTTATACGGTTAGGAATTTTTCTTGTTTATTTTCATTAATATCTGAAGACACGAGTCTCAAGATCAGCTCTATCACCCACAGAACGTAAGCAGAGGATGTCCACCACTGAAGAGATCTCCTCCTTCCGTGCCGTGCCTGGAGATCAGCCTCATCCCTTCTCCACGTGGCTGCTGGTCATGAGAGAGGAGCCAGGAGCCCTAGCAAAACCCTGGCATGCTGCACTAATACAAACACTTCTACAACAGGATTGAGTCTGTCCCCTTGTTCTGCTCTGTGGACTTCTAGTAACCAACTTACTGGTTTATTCATTTATCCTACTCTCTAGTGTAGTCTTTTGAGAACCTGCTTAGCTTTTCTTGTAGATGTTCAGAAATCTATCGACTCATGATCTTCACACACACATGATAATCAACATCAACTTCCCCAGATTTCCTTCTGAGAACAAGCCTATTTTCTCTTCTCTGAAAATCTAATTATTAACCCATATCCACATTTCTGGCCTATTCTACACTCTCCATTGCTTCTAAAAAAATGTACCCTAGATGTTCTATAAGTGTGTGTTCTAAATATTACCTTGAAAATTACAATACCAATTAATCTGATGAATTAATGACCCATCAGAACTATCTAGCTTTTTTTTTCAAGGATTGCAATGATATTTTTATATAAATATCTAAAGTTAAAAGGATTGCTGTTCTTGAGTTTATTTCTCAGAGAAGAATATGATTTTTGCTGTCTTTCAGTTTGATGCGACAGTGAAAGTTGTCATAAAACAGCGTAAGAAAAGAAATGCCAGGAACACATTATAGTCAAACCAAGCCATGTTTATGGTTTATTAACTTGCTGCAGCAAGGGAGAGTGGGCACAAAAGGAACCCTGGAATGTTTCTGAAATAGGGAGTTTGGAGGCTGAAGGGGATGGATGGTGCTGAAGCATAAGGAGTGACTAGGGGAAATAGGGGACCAGCTCAGGATGTGGCCATCATTTAAAAACTGGGTACATCAGCAATTTTTTTCAGGAGACAGAAAGAATAAAGTGGAACTTGAGAAATCGTTGATAAGAAAATGGTAATCCGAATTGTAAGTCAATTCAACAATGTGGAAAACATTGTTTACATGACTTGGGCCATGGGCTCTGAGGATTTTTCTTTTTAGACCATATTAAGAACATCATAATCTATCACCCAGGCTAGAAGAGTACTCAGGGTCTTATTACCTTTGAAAAAGGCAAAGCTACGATTTATGTGGAATATTGTGTCCAAAAACCTTTATCTGAAGCTTAGCTGGATTGAAAATTGATGCTGCTTTTTTATGTCAAAGTGACCCGCATGGCTCAGATCCTTCAGACAAGAATGATATGTTGCATTCTCCCAAATCTTATTTCAAACACCAAAGTTTTTCATGACCTATGATTTTAGAACAAGTTTTCTCAGCATGATGTACTTGATATTAATTAACAAAAGCAATTTTTATAAGTTTCTTTATTTTAGATTTGTTTTATAAAGAAAGAAACTGCCTTTAAACTATTTTAAAAATCATAATTGTTAGGAAGGAGTTAGGCAAGTAAAAATCCTCTCATTTTTAGAACAGTATGATTTGCTTCATTAAATATCAGAGTCTTACTATACAAAAAGAGTTTTACTTTCTTCTCTCAAAATTCTCATTATTTATAAATTGCCTATTATTTTTACTTAATTTATTTTCCAAATGTTTTATGCAAAGTTTTGATCTCTGTGAATTTCTCTTTAATCTCAATAACATGAGGAGTTTTACAACTATTGCTCCAAACTTACTAGTTTTATAAAATATCCATCTTCATGGTTATACTGGAAAGGACCAGGAGCTTTCTATCTGGAAGTGCTTTTGTTTCTAAACTCATATTTCATAATATTCCGTAAACAAATGCAAGAAGAAAGAAAAAGCTTTCTGCATTTTAACAAGGTGACAAGTACTCTGTATTTTGAATTCAATGAAGAGATATTAGCATCAACTAATAAGCCTGTCAATGTACAAGCCTCCTGGATATCAAGATGAAGAAGACTGGCTAGCCCTGTCATTCCTTCATGGTTTTATCTGAGATTCCTAAAATAAAATATGATTCTAAAATTTGCAAAAGTCAATATTTTATAATTGAGCATTAATTTTTATAAAGCAAACTACTTAGGGTACCCTGAGAGTATATGATCATCTACTAATGAAAAAGCATAATCCTAGTCCTTTGCCAGTGCAGAATACCCTACAGTAGATATTTGCATCACTTGACAAGATGCTGAGAGCAATTCACTCAATAAGACTTTAAAATACATCTTGTCTCAGAAATCACAGGACCATTAATCTTTATAGTATCATTGAATCCTCCTCATCAGATTCACTAATTGATGTCCCCAAGAATCGGATACTCCCCTTTACAAGGAAAAAATAAGTATAAATCATTGCTGTCCAAAAAATAGAAAGCCTGTTATGTATTATACAAGGAATTATCTTCGGTTACAGATGTACCTGGGGAAAAAAGAGTAATTTATGTGTTTTTAAGTGCTCTTTTCCAATTTATCATTGATGATACTGATTATACATATAATTTTTAAAAATATGTTTACACAGTCACTCAATATGCTGCTAAGATGTATAGCAGAGAGGGAGGGAACTAATATTTATTTACAAATCTATTAGTTTGGGAAAAGAGAACATTCTTTATTTTTCTTATTTTTTTAAATGTATTTCACTTATAATGTGTTCACCCTTGAAATGTTAGCTTCTTGCAGCAGGACTTTCAACTAAAAACCTAGCTTCAAAAGGAAGGATGCTCAACAAATGCAATAGAAGTGCAACCATTACTCATTTGTGGACATTTTGCTTCCTGTCTTACTGGTTTATCCTTGACTCTCCGACACTTCACTTTCCACATCTGATCTTTTTATGTCCACTAACATAACCATTCAGTCAGCTATGAGCTAAATTTCACTTCTTAAATGTTCTATCTTGTCTCTGTTTGAAGGTCTTCTAAATCAGGTTGGCTGTTCATACACGTTTTCTATCTGCAGTTAATGACAGGTAGTTGCACCTCTCTGCTTCCAGTTTACTGGGGATTCAACTATATCCAAAATCCAATCACTTCTCAATACCTTCATTGCTACCATCCTGGTTCAAGCCACCCTTAACTCTTACCGGGTTGTGGCAATAATTTCCAAAAACATCTTCGTGCTTCCACTTCTCACCACAGCAGTCAGAATGATGCTTGTAAATTTTAACTCGGATTGTATCACTTGCCTACTCAAAATCCCACAACCATTCTCCAATTTACTTAGAATCCAAAATTCTGCATTAGCCAACCAGGCTCTTTCTCATCTGACTCTTCTTACTGTTCTGATTGCCTCTGCAACTGGTCTTTGGCTCTTTCACTCTACTCTCCTTCTCCACTGGCTTCTTTCCTGTTCCTTATCCATTCCAGCCATACTCTCTCCTTAGGGTCATGGCTCTGGTTGTTACTTCTGCCCAAACATTCTTCCTCCTGAGATCCACTTGCTCAATCCAATCAGTATTTGCTCAAATATAATTTCTCAAGGAGGCTTACCTTGACCATCCCATTACTATTTAAATCATGTCTCTCTTAAGCAGCATAAAGTAGGATTTTGGTGTTGTATTCAGTCTGGAAATTTTGGACTTTTACATGTGGATTTTACAGCATTTGCATTTTATATAATCACTGATATATTTCTGGTAACATATACTATATTGTTATTTGTTTTCAATTTGATATACCTATTTATATTTCTTTTATTTTCTTTCTAAACTTATGTTGGATTTGTCATGTATTTTTTGTTAATCCAATTAGCACTCTTAAATTATTTGTTATTCATTTGTTTACTATTACTTTATCCAAGATATAACAACATACATCCTTGGTTTATTATAGTAGACAGCACATTATTATCTTTTTTGAGACAGGGTCTCACTTTGTTACCCAGGCTGGAGTGCAGTGGCACAATAACAGCTTACTGCAGCATTGAAATCCCAGGCTTAAGTGATCCTTCCACCTCAGCGTCCCCACCAAGTAGCTGGAACTACAGGTATGCACCACCATGCCTGGCTAAATTTTGTAGAGGCAGGGTCTCATTAAGTTGCCCAGGATGGTCTGATGCTCCTGGCCTCAAGCAACCCTACAGCCTTGGTTGCCCAAAGTGCTGGGATTATAGGTATGAACCACCACACCCAGCCAACAGCAAATTATTATCTTAAACACACTGCTAATATTTCTTCAGCTTTAGAAGATTTTAACTTTATTAGCCCCAATCACATCTTTTGTGGATTGTAATACATATGTAACACATTTAATTACATTTGTAATACATTCAAATACATTTAAATCTCACATTTAAATCTCACAAATATTATTATTGTTGTTCTGAGCAATCACTGCTCATTGATATTTAACTATATATTTATTATTTCTATTGTCCTTCATTGTTTCTGCATTTTCTAATTTTTTGCATCTGGAATCATTTTCCTTATACCTTTTAATTTTTATTTCAATTCATGTAAGTTGGTGACATATTCTTTAATTTTTTTTCTGAAAATGCCTCCATTTCACCTTCTATTTTTGAAGAAAGTTCTCATTAGGTATAGCATTCAACTTTGGCAACTCTATGCTTTCTAGCACTTCAAATACATCATTCCATTGCCACCTAGTTTTTATTATATTTATTGAAAGGTCCATTGTCAGTCTTTTTTCTTTACTGTTACTCCTTTGAAGATATGATGTCCACCCAACCTCTCCCAGCCCCAGTCCTTGCTTCTTTCAAGAGTTTTTTGTCCTGAATTTCCAGTGCTTTTATTATGATCTGTCTAGGTATTATTCTCTTTCTGCTTACCTTGATTGGGGTTCACATAGCTTCTTGAATCTTGTGAGTTGTTGTATTTTCTCAGTTTTAGAAAATTATCAGCCATTATTATTTCAATTATTGCTTCTTTCATATTCTCTCTTCCCTTCCTGACTTCCATTGCAAACATGTTGAACATTTTGAATGTGCCTCACAAATCTCTTTTGTATTTTCTCTGTTTTCAAAGTTGTTCTCTCTGAAATTCTGTTTGGAGTTTTTCTATTGACCTGTTTTCCAATTCACTGATCTCCTCTTCTGCTGCATCTGTACAGCTTTCAAATGGTTATTTCAGTTATTATGTTTTTCTTATTTAGAACTTCTGTTTACTACTTTTTATAGTTTCCAATTTTCTTGTGAAAAGTTTTTTACCTATTTTCTATATTTCTATATTTTTCTCTATTTTTGAATATACTTGGCATAAACATTTTATTGTTTTAATTTTTAATGTTTATGGGTACATGGTAGGTATATATATTTATTAGGTATATGAAATATTTTGGTACAGGTATACAATGTATAATCATCATATCAGGGTAAGTGGGATATCCATCACCTCAAGTATTTATCCTTTGTGTTACGAACAATCCAATTTACCATATAAATTTTAAAGTATTTGTCAATTTTAGTATCTGGTTAATCTTTAGGGTATCTCTGTTGTTTGTTTTTAATCATAGATTTTAGTCCTGTAGTTCAATCTTTTGATATACCTAAAATATTTTATTAAATGCCAGTTATCACCATATATTAAATGTAATATATATATGTTTATATATAATGTATATGTTTCAGATGCTATCATATTACTATCACTATCAAAGTTTCCCTAAAGTTAAATTTTTTTTCTTCTTTTAAGATAATTTTGCTATAATGTAGTAGAAAGTTTGATGGCTTAAAATAGTTTTGCAACTATAATTAAACTTTGTATTTAAGAGGCAATTAAAGCCAAACCCATTGTTGTTAAGAAAAGAAGAAGGTGTTGTAGCTGTGTGCCAGGAAAAAAAATTATTGTCTCAAGTTGCAGGCAGCTCAAAAACATATACTTCATATGATATGATGGTAAATCTTTGAACTTGATAAAGAGCTACATTTACTCCAATATTATTCAGTGACCATACAGACAGCATCAGTGAGAAAACATAGAGAAGATCGAGATACGTTCTTTTTTCTATGCTGAGGGAGAATTTTGTAAGAGGTGGTACAAAGTGATAGAAAAAGAACATGCTTGAGAGGTAGATCCAACAGTTACAGTTTTGACACATATCTCTGAATTTCTGATATCTTATCTTCATCCTCAAGATAGGGATAATATCTTCCCTCATAGTATTATTGTAAGGATCAAATAGTATTGTGTCTGGCACAGAGCGGGTCATAAATTTGTGGCTATATTTAGGAGCATTGTGTTTTGCTTTGTTTTGTTTTTTAACTAGCTGGTTTGCACAGAGAATCCTAAAGATGCGCTATTCTATAGCTCCAGACAGGAATATGGGGAACCTTTCTATATAGTATTGAATCCTTCTTTTATATATATGCTCCTATGTAACACAGAGAAAGGTAAAATATAGAGCAATAACTTTCATGGCTGAATTTCTAAGAATATCTAAACAATATCTACCAGAATACTCAAGCTGTTCAAAAAATCTTCCCTGTAAAATAACTAGTGCTATCTTGCATCATTCCTATGGAAGAAAAAATTGAAAGAGGAAATATAAGAGGAAAAAACCTCAGAGCAAATTATGATTGAGAATCAGTGAAGGCTTTCTGTAGGTCCTTATATCCTACCATCAGTTCTAGAACAGAAAACTGTTTCTTAACTCATATCTTTTGTTTTTCTTCCAAGGACTTCAAACCTTTCCACTTCCCTTCTTTGCTTTCAGAACTATACTAAAATCCAAGATTCTCTCATTCCAGAGTTACTACAGAATAGTTTAAATCCTTCCTTTATACCATGTTCCCTAGCATCTCATGTGGTCTTTTTCCTACACACTTTCATTGCTAGTAACTATGGTGTAAAGTAAATAGTACTGAAAATATCAAACCACTCTAAGAAAACTTAAAAGTCATTAATAATAGCCATATACCCCTGATCTTTCTTGAAATGTAAACAAGGTGAAATCTAATAATAGTTGGCTTTCTTCAACTGGGAGACAGTCCTGAGAAATTCAACAATCTGATGCACTGTGAGGCTAAACAGTTCAAGTAACATTCAATTACAACAGAAAAAATTCATTTCTAAAACAGGAAAACCAAATCAGATCATTAACAACCTAGGAAATTTGGGATACTTTATTTAAATAATATATCCTTTGCCATTTTCCAAGACAAAGCTCTCATTTTGGCAAAAAGAGAAACTATCTTGGATTCTGGAGGCTACTCAATGTTTCATCCTTATAGTTACTCAGGTATCCATTGCTGAGTGAGTAATTCTACTCAGCCTTTCATCCACCTGTAATTTTTCACTGGTGGTAATTGGAGGCAAATTGGCTAGTGTTAATCATTAGATGTCTCTAATTAAAAACAGAAACTGTAAATGATGTTATGAATATTGGAAGAAATGAATGAAGCAGATCAGGATTCTCTAGGCCATTCAGACACACAGGAGAAAAATGTGGGATTGTTATTAGTATCTCTGATAATTATGAAGACCACAGAATTGTTTGGTTAAAAATTCCTTCATCAATAACATGGAAATTATTTGATTTGTACGCTTGACAAATAATAAGAAAAAATAAATCAGGTCCTAATGGACCTGTCTTCTTCACGATCCCTTGTAGAATAGAAACAACTATTATTCAGTAATGACCTGGGTACTCTCCTGCTGCTGTTGTTACAGTTTTGATCACAAATCTGCAGCTAGCTGCTCTAACTGCTCCCCAGCATTAATGAGTACACAAATATCATCATTGCATTGCATTCAGTAAGTACCCTTCTGGCCTAGAATTTGCAGCACTAACTTAATATACAAATGTGATGAGATACCAGTTTTATAAGATAGAAGTGAAAACAAATTAAAGCAGACTCCCCGCTGCTCAGGCATTTTTAAGTTATTTATGAGGAAGTGGATGACTATCAGTTCTCCTGTATTCCGTTTCCTTGTTAATAGAATGATTCAACTGTCAGTACTAGACACATTCCAAGGGTCAATGCTTCATTAGAATAAAACTCAGCTCAGTGTGACATCTCACAGATAGTCTACAAATTAAGACATTAGCTCCCATTTCACTTTCGCTTTATTAGCATTCATATCATCAATAAAAGATTCTGTTGTGCATGTTCTCTGATCTGCTTATCAGTAACTTATTTTCTTAGAACATACTAGTGATTTTGACCCCTAACATAATTTCTAGTATGTTTAACATAGGTTATTAGACAGCCATATCATATTTACATTCTTCCTACTGCCCTGAGTAATATTTGCTGTCAAATGTGCAGATGATTCACCAAGACAATAAGGGAAGCTATTTTGCATAGGATAGAAAAAATATTTCTATAACAATGACTAGCTTTTAAAACATTAGTATTAGTTGCATAATATATTATAGGAAAAATACCACATATGCTGAGATGTGTTGACAGTACTTTGATTGCCCTCACAGACTATCCAAACTTTCCAAAATACAACATTTTAGCACCCAAAGTTATTTTCCTAGCATGATTATAACTCAGAAGTGGCAAAAACAAAAACATTCTTAGATGATTAACCAAATATTGAGTTGAGGAATATGCTTACCATATTAATTAATATCTAATGGGTAATTTCATTAAATTTTAGTACATTACAATAATTCATAAGGCTGCAAAAACACTCTTGGCAAATTTGTGGAGACATTTAAGTAGTCATATCTATTTAAGTAAGCTTTGTTTAAAAGTCAGCCTCATTTTCTCACTCAAGTGCTTTCACCCATTTCAAGCTACAAAACAAGTAGTGTGGACTAAAAATAAGCAAGTAGGGAAATCTCAAAATCACTGGAGCATCTGTGATAGTTGCTTGCACTTTCTTAAGTATGTTGCCTTCCTATAGAAGTCCATTGTTTCAGTCTCTGGATAACAAGAGAACCGACCAATAATCAAGAGACCAGTCCTAAGGTTTAAAAATCATTTTCCCAATAATTTGGCCATGTTATCATATATGGAAGTGCCCAAAATAAATAGACCAGAAAGGCACTACGTTTTTTTTGAAGAAATTGTACAGACAAAACCATCTCAAGTGTGATTTTCAAAAACCTGTGTTTATTCAAACTTCAAAACAATTCCTCAGACCCTAAACCTTCTCAGGGAGAAAGTAGACTGAAGAAGTCCTCTCATGTCCATTCCAGGTATTTCCATGGTGAGAAAGTCACAAGGAAGAAACTTCCAGAGAGCATAATCAGAGGCCATGGGAACGTAATGGAGAGGGAGGTTTTCCCAAGAAACAGAACCGGGGTATCCAGGGAAGCTAACTCAGGAACTTAGCCCCCTAGCTCCCGAGATACCCTGAACAACTCTTCACAGAAGTGGGAAATGAGTCTGGGATCCACAGAGCCAGGAAGATAGATAGAAGTTAGTTCACTAGGAAGTTAGATAGAAGAGAATAGGGCGCAAAGAGAGGCAACATAAGGAAGATAGGCATAGCAGACAAGAAGAAAGCAACCGAGAAGACTCTAGTTTTGCTTTGAATGTCCCATTCTCACTTAGATATTACCCAAGACAAATCTTGGACCAAAGTGCATAGTGGGAACCAAATATTGCTCCTATGTAGCAGGTCCTATGTAGCAAGGAAGAAGGAAGATGTTGCTGCAGGATGCTGGCTAGAAAGGCTCTTATGAAGCTGTTGCTCATTATAGAACGGTTCATACATAAACCAGCCACTATCTTTAAACCTTTAAAAATATTAATCCTAACACAAAATATTCCATATAGAAACATTAAATGCAGACAATGTACAAGTAAAAATGAAGTACTTATGTCAAATAACTTTCAAATATTGAGAGATTATAATCTTAATTAAAAGTGATTAGCTGATAACAAATAAATGTATCATCAATCAATCACATTAATAACATAGCTATTTATTTGGATTAGTAATAAAAGAACTGCTTTCCTTTCTTTTAAAGACTATTTATAAAAAGCCTTTATAAAGAAGCCCAAATCAATGACAGCAATCACAGGGCAACCTAAAAAGTAAAAATTTTAATTAAATCAGAAAGATATTTATGATTAATTATCCTCCTAGAGCATGAAATCGTATTCAATCTACCAAGTACTTTCTATTATATCCCAAAAGCTGTGAAATTTGAGACTTTGGTTCCAGAAAATATCCATTAAATTTTTAATCCATCATGTTTTCATTTTATTTTAGAAATCAAGTTTTTTAAAAGGCTTTAACTGTCCATTTGACCTGCATTTCATTATACCAATCCAATTTTTGACTAATTAAATTTCTTTTTCAAAGTTCTTAATTTATTCAATTTAAAAAAGTGCTTGAGTTATAGGAATACTTTCCCAATTTTTAGAAAACACTGACTTCATATGTGACTTCTAGGTTATTTCTGTCTCTTTTCTGCCATCAATACAAGCAGGGCACCTTCACCTGCTACAGTTTAATGACACTCAGGAGTAAGTCATGAGGCCCTATAGAGAAGTATTTCCTGATCTGCTTTATTCATTTCTTCCAATATTCATAACAACATTTCCAGTTTCTGTTTTTAATTAGAGACATCTGATGATTAACACTAGCCAATTTGCATCCAATTACCACGAGTGAAAAATTACAGGTGGATGAAAGGCTGAGTAGAATTATTCATCCAGCAATGGATACTTGAGTAGCTATAAGGATGAAACACGGAGGAGTTTCAATGCCAGTCAATGAAAACACATCTCGGTGGGCCTCAAGCTAAGGTTTTATATCAAGCAAGATTTCAAGTTAGAATATTTAAATTCAAAACAAGCATGTGATATTCTTATTTGAGAGCTAAGAGCTCAGATTTCTTTGTTCTTTCACTTTATTTTCTCTTTAAAAACACTGCAATGAGTTTAATTGGCATACAATACACCAAACATATTTAAAGTATACAATTTAATAAGTTTCACCATATGTGCATACCCATAAAACTATCAGCATTATCAAGATAAAGAACATATTAATCACCCCAAATGTTTGCTCTTGCTGCTTTGTGATCCTCCCTCTTGTTCCTCCACCCTTGTCTCCAGAAAACTACTGAATCTCTTCCATCACTTTAGAGGCTAAGCAACTGGATATTGACCACAGGCAAAGGAATAGATATTTAGGTTGTTACTGATATTTAGCTATCACAATTAGAGCTCTTATGAACATTTGCACAAAACAGCTTTGTATCAATGTGTGCCTTAACTTCTCTTGGGTACTATGACTGGTTGCATCATATGATAGGTTCATATTACACTATTTTAAAGTGTACAATTCAGCGGGCTTTATTATATTCAGAATGTTGTATAACTATCACCACTATCAAATTCCAGAATATTTTTATAACCCCAAATAAACTGCTTATCTATTATTAGTCATGCCCTTCCCCCTCCTCCCAGCTCATGGCAACCCCTAACCTACATTCTGTCTGGATTTTCTTGGCTGGATATTTTATATAAATGGAATTTTATTTAGCATAATGTTTTCAAGTTCATCAATATTATAGCATGTTACAGTACTTCAGTATTTTCATAACTGGATAATGTCTCATTGTATAAATATACCACATTTCTTTACTCATCCATCACTTGATAGACATTTGGGTTGTTTCCACTTTTTGACTATTATGAATAATTCGGCTATGAACATTCATGTACAAGTGCTTGTGTTGACTTATCCTTTTAGTTCTATTGGGGATATAACTAAGGGTGGAATTATTGGGTCATGTGGCAGCCCTATATTTAATCATTAGAGGAATTTCCAGACTGTTTTTCGAAGTAGCTGCACCAATTTACATTCTCACAAGCATTGCATGAGGCCTCCAATTTCTCAATATCCTTGCCAACAACTGTTACTATCTGTATTTTACTGAATAGCAATCCTAACAGGTATGAAGTGTTATCTCACTGTGGGTTTAATTTGCAATTTCCTAATATAGTCATTTGTATATTTTTGAACAAATATCTATCCAAATCCTCACACATCTTTAAAGTGGCTTATTCATCTGTATACTGTTGAGTTTTAAGGGTCCTTTCCATACTCCGAATATAAGTCACATTAATTATAAGACTTACAAATATTTTCTACTCTTCTGTGGTTTGTCTTTCAACTTTTTGATAGTTTCCTTTGAAGCACAAATGTCTTAATTTTGAATGAGTCCAATTTATCTATTTCTTCTTTCATTGTTTTTGCTTTTGATATAACTAAGAAATCACTGCCTAAGCTAAGGTCATGAAGATATATTCCTGTGTTTCTTTCTAAGAATTTTACGGTTTTAACTCTTACACTCAGGCTTTTGTTGATTTTGAGGTTTTTTGTGTGCATATGGTATGAGGTAAGGGTCTGACTTCCTTCTTTTTCATGTAAATATAAATTAGTCCCAGTGCTATTTGTTGAAGATACTCTTCTCATGCAATTGAATGGTCTTGGCACCCCCGTTGAAAATCAATTGGCCATAAATATACGGGATTATTTTTTGACTCTCAAGTCTATTACATTGATATATATGTCTATCCTTATGCCAGTACCACACTGTTTTGATTACTTTACCTTTTCCTTGAAATCAGGAAGTGTGGAGCTTCCAACATTGTTCTTCTTTTTAAATTGTTTTGACTATTTTAGATTCCTTGCACTTCTATATGAGTTATAGAATTATAGACTCAGCTTGTCAATATCCACAAAAAAAAATTTAAAAATGAGGTGTAACTTGGAAGGGATCGTGCTCAATCTATAGGTCATTTTGAGGAGTACTGTCATATTAATGTACTTAAGTCTTCCATTCCAAGAACACCGAATGTCTTTTCATTTGTTTTGGTCCTTAATTTTTTTCCACATGTTTCACAGTTTTCAGCACACAAGTCTTATACTTTTTTTGTTAAATTTGTTCCAAAGCATTTTCTTCTTTTTTTTCTTTTTCTTTTTTCTTTTTTTTTTTTTTTGAGACAGATCTTGCTCTGTCGCCAGGCTGGAGTGCAGTGGCACGATCTCGGCTCACTGCAACCTCTGCCTCCTGGGTTTAAGTGATTCCCCTGCCTCAGCCTCCCAAGTAGCTGAGACTGCAGGCACGTGCCACTGTGCCCAGCTAATTTTTGTATTTTTAGTAGAGATGGGGTTTCACCATGTTGGCCAGGATGGTCTCGATTTCTTGACATCGTGATCTGCCTACCTCGACCTTCCAAAGTGCTGGGATTACAGGCATGAGCCACCATGCCCAGCTCATTTTGTTCTTTTTTAATGCTATTACAAATGGAATATTTTAATTCAAATTTCAATTTTTTCCTAATGTATTGAAATAAGAATTTGTGCATTAATATGCGATCGACTTTCGTGTCTTGATCTTGCATCCTGCAAACTTGCTGAATTGTTTATTAGTTCTAACAGTAATTTTACATATTCCTTAAAGTATTCTATACACAAGATCATGTTATGAAATATTCCTGATACTGCGGAGAAAGTTTTCTTTTTTTTTTAACCTGACTCCTAATTTATTTTTTTACTTTTTTTTTTATTATACTTTAAGTTCTAGGGTACATATGCACAACGTGCAAGTTTGTTACATATGTATACATGTGCCATGTTGGTGTGCTGCACCCATTAACTCGTCGTCATTTACATTAGGTATATCTCCCTTTATCAGATAAACTAACAGTAGATGAGAGCTGTTTACTTAGAAAGATGATTAAGTTTTATTGCGATCAGTAAGTTGATCAACTTGCTTTTAGCAATGTTTACTGTAAGCAAATGATAGAGTTTAAAAATATTACACAGTTAAAAAATTAAATATTAGTATAGTTTTAAAATATTTCTTTATGATACCTGGTTAGATAAGGTTGAAAATGAAAAATATAGTGACATAGTATACCAATAAAATTTTAATAGCAACATAAAAATGATACTTAGGAAAATGTAATATAAAACATTAGGATATAATTACACTGATTAGAGAAGACTGAAATATTATTTAAATGAATGGTCACAAGGACACTTTAATATCAAGAGTACAAAATTAAAATGAAGTAAAAAAGTTTAAAATGACCTGAAAAGGGTCTTTCATTATTCTAGAAAATATAGACTCAAAATCC
The DNA here is from genome assembly GCF_000001405.40 of Homo sapiens. NCBI lineage: Eukaryota > Metazoa > Chordata > Mammalia > Primates > Hominidae > Homo > Homo sapiens. The sequence continues at coordinate 170,524,145 of NC_000004.12, read as the reverse complement.
TTCTATTTCCTCATTTAGCTACATAAATCAAGAAAATGAAAGTATTAGGAGCTGAGGTGTTCTGAAAATGTAAATGTTCAGTGAATTTTTCAATGATTAAGGAAAAGAAAAAACTTATCTTCTCATTTCTACCTCTAACATATATAAAATAATATATACTGACCAAGAAAATGTCAACATGAAGTCTTAAAGTCCTTGGTTTCAGCAGGGGTCGTTTACTGAAGCCTCAGCAATTAAATACATTTATATGAAGATAGGCATTATTTGATTTAGCCCTCATAATTCCCTTTTGAATCTTGCTCTATGTAACCTATATTCTTACTTGGAAAGACATTGTGGTGAGGAAATTGAGCCAGGAAGGAATTAAGTAGACTCAACCAGTGAGAGGAAGAGCTGAGGTTTGAAGTGACGATGTTTGACTCCAGCATCTTCAGTCACAAGCACTACACTACACTGAGTATGGGTTGTAGACCTAATCACCAATCTTTAGCTTGATGAGTTGAAAACTTGTGAACCAATTTTTGCATGGTGAATGTTTCTGTGAACAGACATACAGTTTCAGGAAGGCATTTTAGCAGGCAGCATGAAGGAAGTATTTGACACCAAAATGTTTTCCCAACTGACATGCTCGAGATGGTTGTTTCTTGAAATTCCTTTAACTATCCTGTTAAAGTTTTGGTATTTTTTGTAACAAACAAAACCTGGTAATCACAGAAAAGTTTTTAAAACAAACTATCATAGTGAAAAGAGAAACATGTGTGAGTTGATTTTCATGGTTTCTCCTGCTCTTCAGCACACATCCAACAATGACTGGGATTCCAGTACAGCATTTGCACTCTCAATCCTAACTCTCTTGGTGTTTTCATTCACATTAATACTGATATTATGTTAATACTGATACCATTAACACTAGCATTGTGTTAATATTAACACTATTTACTAACATAATTAATTTTGTAGAAAAGTTTGTGCAGTGTCTTCTTAAATAAATATCCTCCAAAGATTAAAAAAAATAGTTTATTAATGATGAAATGCCATATTCAAATTGTATTGTTTCCTTTGCTGGATTTTTAAAGAAAATGTATTTCTGCTAAGGAATTAAAGGAAATGGGATAAACAAAATTCATAAGAAATAGTAAAAATAGTAAATAAGCTAGAAGCTTATTAAATAGAAATAAAGCTCATAGGATATGTCAAATATAAAGAATGAGTAACAAAGTAGCTGGCAAAATTCAACATATATGTTAAATGTGCATGGTAAGTTAGTAACCTATAAAACATGTTAAAGGTAGGATGAATAAGTAGAAGATAGAATGGAACAAAGAAGAATGTTAACATACAGGAAGAAATGGTAAGACCGAGCTATGATCACGTGACCTCTAGGCTGAGGACAATTTCTTCTAAAACAGGCACACATTAGTTATTCTGAACAGGGACACATTCCAGTTGTATGTGTGCCCTACTCTAGACCCATAAATAAAACTCATGGCTGTTCAGCAGGCTAATTGGCAGGCCAAGCTGTGCCAAGCATTCATGCCTCTGCTTTTCTCTGATAAGCAAATGTGGGTCATTGGCCCAAGGCATTTTTCATATGTGGACTCACTTGCTCCAACGTCTACACTAGTTCTTCTAACCACACCATCAGCAAGGAAGGCTGATGGAGCAGAGATACGTGAATATTGCATACTCCAGTATTCAGCTTTCTACGAGCTTGCACTCTATTCTATATGTATTATATTATCCAATTCTTTTTCCTTGCTTTTATTTTTTCAGCGTTTTGTATGATTTCCATTCTTGTTACAAAAGCACTAAAATAGTATAAAAGTTTATGTTCTGTCACAGTTCTCCAAAGAAACGGAACCAATAGAAAATTATATATATACATATATACACACACATATATACGTATATATGTATATATATAATTTTCTATTGGTTCTATGTATGTGTGTATATATATGTGTGTATATATATGCTGAGAAGTCCCATAAATTGCTGTCTGGACACTGGAGACTCAGGAAAGCCAGTGATGTAATTTAGTCCAAGTTGAAAGGCCTGAGAACCAAGGATGCTGATGATGTAAATCCTAGACCAAGGGCAAAAGAAGATGAGATAAAATGTCTCAATTCAATACTGAAGTAGAAAATGAAGGGAAGTGACGCTGAAGTTCTCCTTTCTTCAGACCTTTTATTCTCTTAAGATCCTCAACCGATTGGATGATGCCAACCACATTGGAATGGGCAATTTGCTTCACTTAGTCCATTGATTCAATTGCCAATCTTATTCCAAAACACCCTCACAGACACACCCAGAAGCAACACTTAATCTGGGCACCTATGGCCCACTCAAGTTGACACACAAAATTAATCATCAGTTGAAGAAATTTTAATATTTAATAAACTATGTGATTCAAGCAACGTTATATATAAACTTGTTTTGTGATCTCACAGGCTATATATGTTATATATGAACTTCCTGTTTTGCGTTCTCACTGGTAGCTTGCCTGTTGATGTACTTTGAGGCTACCATTTTATAAAGGAAGCTTCCTACATGATCCAAGTTTGCCTTAATAAAGTTATAAATGGCTTATTGTAGATCAATAAAAAGTCACCATCTGAGAACACAAAATTCGTAGGCTAACAGTCAAAGTGTTTGAATGGCATTGAGCTATTATTACAAATTGAAGAAAGAAGATAATATTAATACCATAAACTATCCCACTTGTATAAGTTTTAGTGTAAAAAAGAAAATGAGAGAGGACACTAAAGGCACAAAGAAAGATAGCATTATAGGTTGAAAGCATCATTATGTTTTAGAGTTTTCTTTCTCTCCCATAACTTTCAAAACTTCGTAACTTACGTTTTCATTTTAAAACTTAATATTTGAAATATTTGTCTAGATGGTGTTTTATAAGTAAGCAGTCATTTAGAGGTAAGTTCCGTTGAACCAATGTTACTCTTTAATATTTGGACTGAGGAATTAAGTTTAAAACATAGTTTAATTAGCATATTCACATTACATCTTCCAACCAGATGTCCATCATCTGGGATCATTTTGAATTCTAAGAGAAATCTTATTTCCTCTCATCCCTGACCCTACATTCAAATTTCTTCATTAAGAATATTTGACTTTGGATTATTAAGAACTTATCTCAATTAAAATGTAAACATTTCTGGTAATTATTTGCTTCAGTTAAGCCTTTACAGCTCCTAGCGTGGAATTATGAATAGCTCTATCAGACACTTTCTAAGCTTGAAGCTAGTTTGGGCAACACCCATATGAAGAAATAAATCATGTGTTGAAACGAAGAAATCGGAGGACGGGTACATGATGAGGACATTTCAATAAGTGATCTGAGTATGCAAAAACTAAACTAGTTAAAAGTTAAAAATCAGCCTGCAACACATATTTGTGCATGTCCAACCCCTGCTTGTAGACAATTTCCCCTCCAAACAAGCAGAATAGTAATTAATGCAATGAGAGTCCCTGCTAGCTCTCCTCCTGTATTATACTAACCACTCCCATCCTAGCTCTACCTCATATTTCACCTACCATTTTGGGTCCACAATTATCAGACCCCATTCTAGTATCAAAGGCAAAATTCTCAAGTGAAAGTAGCAGGGCAAACTCAGATAACCTGAAAAAGAATGTTTTTTCCAAATTTAGAACACAAAGCTAAAGCTTTATGATTTTTGGTTTATAGAAGCAAGTACACTTCTGTCTAAAAGATCACTGCTATTGAATAGTGAATAGGTAAATATCATATGAACCTACATAATTCATTAAGTTCTAGTCAAGAAGCAAGAGCAATTTGCTGCATGTTAATAAATGTAATTGAGGAAACCATCAAAATATAATGGATATAAAGAAGACACTCAACTATCCATCATTAGTGAAGCTCCATTATGACAGATAAATAATATTTGGGAAGCAATAACTTAAAAAAAATTGCACACTTCTTTTAGGAAAAGCACCATAATGAGTCAATGGACTTTCTCCATTCATTCAGTTAACAAATAAATGTTTACTGAGTTCCAATTGCATTCCAGATTTCAAGTTCACTGCTAGGCACTGGAGATTCATTGGAAATATAGTTCTCATCCTTAATGAGTCTATCTATGTACCTCAAATTTTTCCCACTTATCCTCAAATTTTCATTTTTTTCATTGTCCAATTGGCATTTGTTCTATGTTACAGCAGATTTTGTACAACAGAATCTTAAGGAGCAGTAATAAAAGTGCTGTAAGAAAATATGAACTGGTGAAATGATGGGCCCATTGAGAATTATGTTGTTGACTAAAGGAGAAATTATGTTTGATCAGTTTAGAACAATGCTTTTCAAAGTTTAATGTGCTTACCAATTCCATGTGCTCTCTATTGAAATTTAGATTCTAGTTCAGTCTATGGTAGGACAGAGATTGCACATCTAATGAGCTTGGTGATATGGAAACTGCTGGTCCCTGAGCCTTGCTTCTGGTTGGAAAGCTGTAGTCTACAGCATTTTTATATCTTTTGCTAAGACTGACAGCCAATATTAAACATGGCCTTAATTTTATATTATCACATGCTAGCCTCTTCTCCAAATATATACATTCAATAGAATATTAAAATCACTTTCCATGATCTGTATACCCTGCTAGACTGTGGAGAAAATAGAAATCAGAATTCCACCCAACTTATTGAGGAAATAAGAGCCCAGTAAGGAAACCTGAAGTACAAACAAATAACTATATTAAAGTACCATTGCAACAAGATCCAAAAGTGTTATTTATTTTTTTTTTTTGAGATGGAGTCTCATTCGGTCGCCCAGGCAGAAGTGCAGTGACATGATCTTGGCTCACTGCATCCTCACCTCCCTGGTTCAAGCAATTCCCCTGCCTCGGCCTCCTGAGTAGCTGGGATTACAGGTGCACACCACCACACCCGGCTAATTTTATTTTATTTTTTTGTATTTTTAGTAGAGACAAGGTTTCACCATGTTGGCCAGACTGGTCTTGAACTCCTGACCTCAGGCAATCTGCCCACTTTGGCACCCCAAAATGCTGGGATTAAAGGCATGAGCCACCGTGCCCAGTTTATTTTATTATTCCACCCCGACCCTTCTTATCTTGCTTTAAGAAAATTTATGAATTTTCTAGGTCTGCCTAGCAGCAGGTGATCAGAACAGTAAGGAAAGAGAAAAGTTGAAACTAGACTGAGAGAAGAAACTGTAGGGGAGGAAAAATAATTTTCTCTCTACCCTTTATAGTTCTTAGTTGGAACAGGCCTTTGAAACAAAAGACAGATTAACAAAATTAAAGAAAACAAGTTTAATAACACATATATCATATATATGTATGGGAGATAATTGGAAAATGAATAAATCTGAAAGTAATGGCTTTGAATTCAGGCCTAAATACCATCTTCAACTGAAGCAAAGAAAAAAAGGATGTTGAGATGACCAGAAAAAGGACAAACAAAGGTAAGGTTTGTTATGCAGATTTAAGTCTGTGCCTTCTCCATTAATAAGATGTTCCAGTGATTTAGAATCTTATTTTCTTCCTGGTACAGAAAGAGAGAGAGAGAGACATTTACAAGTGGTGATTTCCTTTATAGATGTAAATTTCCCTTACCAAATGGTAACTTCTACTGTTGTTCTTCTCAAACTTCTCCTGGGATTGCAGTCTCTCAAAATAGCTCAAAATAATCCTTATGCCAAAAAGATGTAACTGAGTACCCCCATTTTTGTAAGATATATTTTTTTCACTCTTGTTTTTTCTGCCTTTTTCCCTGTTCCCCACTTTCTGCTTAGCTTTTTAGAAATATAATTATAACATTTTACCTTCCCTTCACTAGACACTCCCTACAGGGCAAGCTTATCTAACCAAGTGCTTACTTGACAGCCTCAGAGCAGAACTCTCTCTCAGGAGATTGCCTCAAGAGACAATAGTCAATGTCCAACCAAAAGTACAACTTAGTTCTGCCTGCAATGGTGCCAACTCAACCACCTGGTAAATAAGGCACCAAAGCAAGTCACAGGGACTCCCACCTGTGTTTCCCTCCCCTGCATGCCATTCATGCCAAGTCCTCTTTTAAAGCACCTGCTTTCTCTCCAAAAGCAAAGAGATACCCTTAAAGCAGGAGCCTATATTTCTTCCCCTAAGCTAACTTTGACATAAAACATCACTTTCTTTAGACCAGACCTCACTCTTGTTAGTTGAACTCTTCAAGTGATGAGCAACTGAACCTGCATTATGGTCACAGTTTTGGTGGCCACTCTGGGTGAATCCAAGCCTGACAGCCAATTTTCACTTTGGGTGAGTCATGGGGTCACCTCTGAGCACCAGCTGCTAGTGGCTAGTGGAACCCATAAAATGAACATTAGAGAACTCCCAAGCAGCTTCCAAAAACACTTTTGTTTTGGGGAACCTCCTTTTCCCCTCCTGGCACAATGTCTGCTACCTCCAGCATTTCACTGGTAAAAATAAAGTGAACTCTGAAGAAGCCAGCAAGCTTTGGTACTGAACAAACAGGTTGGAGTGCATCTGACCACCCTATGCCTCTTTTCAGGTGTCACTGGGGCCCTGCTCTATTTAGACTTGGCCTCTAGTAACTCTATTTGAGCATTTTATGCATTTGTATTTTTTGTATGTGTGGCACTATAGGAGCTTTGCTCAGCTCAGACTCAGCTGTATATGGAGCCATTTGAAACTGGGGCAGGGGATTCAGGACTCCACCCAGCCCCTTGACTGGAAGCATGCTGCTAATTTGGAAGCATGCTGCTAATTTTGTCTTATTATTCTTTTAGCTTATCACAATCCTTAAAAACCTCTGAACTAGACAAAATTGCATTGCCTTTAATAAAAACGATATTTTCATATCTTCTCGTAACCTTTTACCAAAAACACACTCAACTTTCCTTATACACCAATTACACATTTACAATGTTAACTAAATTACATATTTCATATGTTACACATTTATAATTATACATTTACAATGTTATCTTTCAGCAATTACACATTTACAAGGTTAACTCTCAGCAACTTTTATTTTTGGTGAAAAACTTGGTAAGTAAGCAATTTTAACCTGTATCTGATTGTAGAGCACAGGACAAAGACAGAACTGCAGACCAATATCTGACTCTTCCCAGCCTACCCAGGGGACCTGGCTAACTTCATATGTCACTAGGACTTACCTAGAATCTAATGACTGTAAAACAGACAAGTCACATAATTATTATAAGTCATAAAGGCAGTTTATGACCTTAAAGCATCTAGCAAACAGTATCAGTCCTGCCTAATTTAGACCAAATGTCTGAATTTTGGAGATGGTATTTTCATTTTACTTTACTGATAATCTTTAACTGCCTTTATTTTTCAAAGATTATTGGTGTCACATGAGCTAAAGGCTTTAAAGTTTCTAATTATCTGATAATATGTTTGATTTAAATGCTTGTTATTTTTAAGCCAAATAATTAGAGCTCTTTTATATAAACCTCATGCACTATATATATATATGTATATATATATACATATATACACACACACACACACACACACACACACACATATATACAAACAAAAGCAGATTTGGTAGTTTTAAGATTTTTCATGTGTCAGTTTTTAAGTTTCTCTTTCTCATTTTCGATTATCAGTCTTTTAATTACCTGTTCTCTGTCCTGATTGTCAGCTAGGGAGCTCTAAATTTTTATTACTAAAAGGCCAACTCTTAGGTGAAACAAGATAGAGAATTCATATTTTACCCAAACCAAGCAAAAATAGTGTGAATAACATTTCAGTTAAGATGGCCAGAAAAAGCAGACACTCTTACACAGGTAGATTGTCTTAAAGATGTAAGTTAATTAAATTACTGGCATTAAATTACTGGTGGAGAATTTTAAGGAAAAAAACTAGGAAAGCATGCAGTTTCTAGGGCCTAATAAGCAGGTATAGCTGAAAGGCGAAACAGATTCCCCAAATTAAGGATCCCATATTTACACCTCTCAAAAGAGGTGAAGACCATGGGACCAGAGAGTATAATGTTTTTACCATGTATTTTACTGCAAGGACATTCTCCTGAGGCTGGTGGGCAACCCAAAGCCAATCAGACCATTTTATAATTAGCATTGCTAATTTTTTTGTTTTTCAGAGTCCAGAAACCTTTTCTGTTTTGACCTATTTACAGCTTTTAACAGTTGGCTAAAGTACACTTCTGTGAGCAAAATTTTAAGCATATTACTTTCTTTCTACCTGATTTCTCAAAAATTTGAAAGCTATTTGTAAATATACTTAATTTAATCTGTTCTCTTTCATAACAGGACATAATTAGAAACACTGGATTTTTTTTTACCAATGCTTTGACTGGAATAGCATGCTTTCAGATACAAACAGACTACTCTAAGGGATCAAGATGAACTTTTAGAGTCAATAAAAGCCCCTTGGAAAAACTGGCTTCATATCTTATCTACACAGTCCCTATACAGGGTTCATGGCCTGTAGTAAGTAAAGAATGTCACTTTCCAACAAACCTAGGAGCCACAAGTTATCTTGGGACCTTGAGAGGAGAGGAATTCACTTAATCCATACAGGTATTGGTAGGCATAAATAAATTCATGGCTGGGCTTGAGGCTTTAAAAAGTCTAATCCATAATTCCTCATAAATAAGAATTCCAGCAAAGCCAATTTTAAAGGGATCCTATATGGTAGACAACTATTTTTTTCTGCACTTCATGAAAATAATCAGGCCAAGCATCATAAGACTAAAACTTATTTTGCAAATAAATTTGTCCTACTATGAGTTGTTTTTAGTAAAAACAGGCTACAGAAAGAAAACCTATGTTTCTGAAAAATACTACAGTATACCTGTTGTTAGATTCTAGTCTTGTTCATTGTACTTAAATTTTTATTATTTTCTGCAATTTGGACTAAATCTTTAATTCTTTCTTTGCTACAAGTCTCTAATGCATTTGAATCTTTCTTCCATTTTTCTAATTTGGAATCAATGAAATTACTACTACCTTATTTCTTGTAATACAGGTGAGAAAAACATGTCAGACTACCACTGCCTCCCTCAAAGCACTAATGATGCTTTGAGTCCAACATTTGGATAAATTGTGCCAAACATTAACCTTTGTTTTTCTTCTATTTCCATAAAAATACGTCTTATTAAAAATCTGTTTATGTTTATCACATACAGAGGCCCACCCCGTCTGTAACACAACCTCCTAGATTGGAAACAGCTATTGATTCATACTCAAGAACTGGACAGAGGTTATGACCACCTTCATGAACATTCATAGCTCCTCCTGTAACCTACTAAATACATATTTAATCAACCTGTCATCAAATCTTCATAGGAGGTCCAGTTACAACTGGCATTGGGGAACCTGCATGATAATTAAGACTAACTGCAATGTATACTTCCTAGGTAATTTGGGAAATGTCTTGATACCCCTGTGAGACATATGCCAACAAATCAAAGCTTTGTCTTCACCCCATATTGTCACTAGATCAATGATTAGAATCCTGGTTTGGGTCAGGATCATCCTGGTGGTGAATGCTACTTGTAACTTTGGCTCTGGTTGCAAGAACAGGCATATTTCTCTGCTGTAGATTTTACTGCTGTTGCACCCTCTATATGGGAATGCAAAACAGGCTTTCCCAGAAACTTTCCAGACCTCATACCATCATTGTCCAACAAATATCATTTTTAAGTCCTCATACTTATGAATATTTCCAACTCCAAATAGATCAGTTTCATACTGATATCCAATAACTATGCCCCTTTCAGCAGGAAGTAGCCAGAATAAATATGGTACCCAAATCTCGTAGAAATGGCATAAAACCTGACAGTGGGGAATTATAACCGAGTACCCCCATTTTCCAAGCAATAGTTTAGCCTTTTTCTCTTTTATCTTCTCTTTCTCAGATCCCCACTTCCTAATTAGCTCTTTAGACATGTAGTTATAACATTTTACCTTCCCTTCACGAGACACTCCCTACAAGGCAAGCTTATCTAACTGTGTGCTTACTTAAAAGCTCCAGAGCAGAATGCTCTCCTACCAGGAGATTGCCTCAAGAGATGATAATCAGTTTACAACCAAAAGTATAACATAGTTCTGCCCACATTGGTGCCACCTTTACCGCCCAGGAGATAAAGCACTGAAGTGTGTCACACAGACTCCCACCTGAATTTTTCTCCCTGTGTGCCATTCATGCCGAGTGTCCTTTTTAAAGTGCCTACTTTCTGCTCCAAAACTAAAGCAGTACCCTTAAGGCAGGAGCCCATAATCCTTCCCCTAAGCTAACTTTGGAATCAAAGTCATTTTCTTCATACCAGACTTTGCTCTCGTTAATTGGACTCTGTAAGTGGTGAATGACTGAACCTACATTTTGGTTACAGAGACATATTTTGAGGTGGCATATTCTAGTCTCCTGCAGTTATAAATCAGGGTAGCATGTCCTGAACCCAATTACTACATTAATTTACACACTAGAGAACTTTTTCAAAGTGGACAGGTAAGTGGGAAAAAGAGTTATGCCACACAATGAAAATTAAAGATTTTTAACAGGAGGTAGGCAAAAAGAGATCCTAGAATTCTGGTGGAGCAGTTACCTTAGGAGAAAACCTCTAGACAAAAATAGGTGGGTAAAGAAAACTATGAATGGATCAATAGCAAATTTAGGACAATTTGAAATACCCAATGATGCAATTTTCACATTGACAGCTCCTTAAGGAATTTATGTATGGTCTTGAGGAAAGAAAACAACTTTTATCTGAGAAATATGAGCTCTTTCAAATTATCAGGCCCAGAAAGTCATTAAAATAAGACAGCAATCACCGCATACCTCCCCCTTTTTGAGCTGTTTTCATCTTTTGAAACTACAGGCTATTGTCACAAGTCGGTATAATTAACCAAATAATGCTGCACTGAAACCATAACCACACAATGTAGCTTAATAATGTATAGCCAATTAGTAATCAATGTTATTTCTATGAACCAGTGAGAATCCCTGACAAAAATCTTTGTATCAGCCCATTCCCTTTGCCCCATTTTTTTGCCTTTAAAAACCTCTCTGTAACAAAGGTCAAAGAAAGCTCATATCCAAGGGGACTTAGGCTGAGTCTTCTGAGCAGCTCTCCTCAGTTTGGCTCAGATAAACTCTTTAAATCATATTTTATGCTTCAGCTTCTTCCTTTTAGGATGAGAGACTCATATTACTTTTTAAAGGTTTTTCTACTTTTCTTTTTTTTTTTTATTATACTTTAAGTTTTAGGGTACATGTGCACATTGTGCAGGTTAGTTACATATGTAATTTACGTGTTTATATTTTGGACCTGACCATGTTTACCTCAGCTTTACTCCAGCCACACAATTAAACAGTTGAAATTGGTACTTTTCCTCAGCTCAGGTTTTCGCAATAGCTCTTCCTTCCTCTTTATATTCAGTTTTTATTTACTATCCTTTTATAATTGTTAGGTGCAGTCATATCTCTTTAGCCTGTTTAAAATGCATTTTATAGACATAAATGTATTCATTTTTGAATCCTTCCTTACAAAAATAGTTATTCTGATTTTTGAATAAATTTTACAGTCATTTTCAGCATCATTCACCAATTTGTAACACCTTAATTACACTCAATATTTAGAACCAAATACAGTATTGCTTATGAAGATTTGTAAAACAGATGCATGATTTTCCTTGATTCAGAACAAAGTTCATGAAGAAATACCTTGATTTCATTCTATAAATTTTTGCCCTTCCAAATCTCCAGGCTGTGACCATAAGGAAACAAAACAACCATTAAAAAACAAGAACATTTTGTTCAGCCAGCATGTATTCAATTACCGTAGCAATGAGGGTTGGGCAGTTCATGACACTCACATAGACAAGTAACCTCATCTTTGTTAATACAAAACTGTATCACCTTAGGTGTGTCCCTCAGGTATCGTGACAATTCTGCAAGACTTTCCACACTGCTCTGCTGTGATTTCTAGAGGTTTCCCCTTCCCTACTGGGTATTTCTTAGGCTGCAAAATCACATCCTTCTGTTGTTAGATATGCCACTTGGGGAGGCATTTTTAAGACTCAGAGAACATAGTCATCTGAAACATCCTAGAGTTTCATTGTACATATGTCCTTAGAATATCATGTAGAGGAAAATAGTTGTAACAAAACTCATACAAGCTCTGTCAATTCCTAACTATGTGCCACCAAAGTTCTGTTTTCTCTCTAAGCCTGTTTCTAGATCATTGCTATGCCTGTCTTCTCAAACTTTAGTGTGCTTAGATAGAAATCATGACTGGGCATGGTGGTTCACGCCTATCATCCCAGAACTTTTGTAGCTGGGCATGGTGGCAGGCACCTGTAGTCCCAGCTACTCGGGAGGCTGAGGCATGAGAATGGCGTGAACCCAGGAGGTGAAGCTTGCAGGGAGCCAAGATCATGACACTGCACTCCAGCCTGGGTGACAGAGCGAGATTCCATCTCAAAAAATAATAATAAAAAATAAAAAATAAAAATAAAAATAAAAATAAAAATAAAATCATCTGGAAATCATGTTGGATCCATATTCTATTTCAATGACCACGGAAACCAGTATTCTGTATTTTAGCAAACTTTCAAGTGGTAAATGGTACCAGTGCTGCTGGTCTGAAGCCACACTCTGAGTAACAAAGTACAAAAGACTCGTTGTGAACAATCTTAAGTTCTTTCAAAAAGCTGTGAAATCTCATGAAATGGAATCTAGAAGGTAAATTTCAGATGTTACTGTAAGTTACCTTTGGAGATGAGTCAATGGAAAAATTGATGTTGAGCAATTTAACAGCCGAAGGATCTTGGACCATAAAGGGTTGTGAGTAACCTTTCAGATCTGATGTAATCAATGAGAGATTATGCTAATGAGATATTGAAAAAAATTGACTGGGTTTTTGTTACAGAATAATCACCACTGAAAAATAATCTTCAAGGTTCCAAGATGGCCAAACAGGTACAGCTCCCAGCGTGAGCGACGCAGAAGACGGGTGATTTCTGCATTTCCAACTGAGGTACCAGGTTCGTCTCACTGGGGCTTGCCGGACAGTGGGTGCAGCCTACAGAGCAGGCAGGGCATCACCTCACCCAGGAAGTGCAAGGGGTCGGGGAATTCCCTTTCCTAGCCAAGGGAAGCCGTAACAGATGGTGCCTGGAAAATTGGGACACTCCCACCCTAATACTACACTTTTCCAACAGTCTTAGCAAACAACACACCAGGAGATTATATCCCACGCATGGCTTGGAGGGTCCTACACCCGGGGAGCCTCGCTCACTGCTGGCACAGCAGTCTGAGATCGAACAGCAAGGCAACAGCAAAGCTGGGGGAGGGGTGTCCGCCATTGCTGAGACTTGAGTAGGTAAACAAAGTGGCCTGGAAGCTCAAAACAGGTGGAGCAGACCACAGCCCAAGGAGACCTGCCTGCCTCTGTAGACTCCACCTCTGGGGGCAGGGCATAGCTGAACAAAAGGCAGCAGAAACTTCTGCAGACTTAAATGTCCCTATCTGACAGCTTTGAAGGGAGTGATGGTTCTCCCAGCATGCAGTTTGAGATCTGAGAATGGACAGAATGCCTCCTCAAGTGGGTCCCTACCCCCAAGTAGCCTAACTGGGAGATACCTCCCAGTAGGGACTGACTGACATCACATACAGCCAGGTGCCCCCCTGAGATGAAGTTTCCAGAGAAAGGATCAGGCAGCAACATTTACCATTCTGCAATATTTGCTGTTCTGCAGCCTCTGCTGGTGATACCCCGGCAAACAGGGTCTGAAGTGGACCTCCAGTAAACTGCAACAGACCTGCAGCTGAGGGTCCTGACTGTTAGAAGGAAAACTAACAAACAGAAAGGACATCCACACCAAAACCCCTCTGTACGTCACCATCATTAAAGACCAAAGGTAGATAAAACCACAAAGATAGGGACAAACCAGAGCAGAAAAGCTGAAAATTCTAAAAATCAGAGTGCCTCTTCTCCTCCAAAGGAATGCAGCTCCTCACCAGCAATGGAACAAAGCTGGGTGGAGAATGACTTTGACAAGTTGAGAGAAGAAGGCTTCAGACAATCAGTAATAACAAACTCCTCCGAGCTAAAGGAGGATGTTCGAACCCATTGCAAAGAAGCTAAAAACCCTGAAAAAAGATTAGACGAATGGCTAACTAGAATAAGCAGTGTAGAGAAGACCTTAAATGACCTGATGGAGCTGAAAACCATGGCACAAGAACTACGTGACACAGGCACAAGCTTCAGTAGCCGATTTGATCAGTAGAAGAAAGGGTATCAGTGATTAAAGAACAAGTGAATGAAATGAAGTGAGAAGAGAAGTTTAGAGAAAAAAAAGAGTAAAAAGAAATGAACAAAGTCTCCAAGAAATATGGGACTATGTGAAAAGACCAAATCTACGTCTGATTGGTGTACCTGAAAGTGACGGGGAGAATGGAACCAAGTTGGAAAACACTCTGCAGGATATTATACAGGAGAATTTCCCCAACCTAGAAAGGAAGGCCAACATTCAAATTCAGGAAATACAGAGAATGCCACAAAGATACTCCTCGAGAAGAGCAACTCCAAGACACATAATGTCAGATTCACCAAAGTTGAAGTAAAGGAAAAAATGTTAAGGGTACCCAGAGAGAAATGTCATGTTACCCACAAAGGGAAGCCCATCAGACTAACAGCAGATCTCTTGGCAGAAACTCTACAAGCCAGAAGAGAGTGGGGGCCCATATTCAACATTCTTAAAGAAAAGAATTTTCAACCCAGAATTTCATATCCAGCCAAACCAAGCTTCATAAGTGAAGGAGAAATAAAATCCTTTACAGACAAGCAAATGCTGAGAGATTTTGTCATCACGTGGCCTGCCTTACAAGAGCTCCTGAAGGAAGCACTAAACATGGGAAGGAACAACCAGTACCAGCCACTGCAAAAATATGCCAAATTGTAAAGACCATCAATGCTAGGAAGAAACTGCATCAACTAATGGGCAAAATAACCAGTTAACACCATAATGACAGGATCAAATTCATGCATAACAGTATTAAGATTAAATGTAAATGGGCTAAATGCTCTAATTAAAAGACACAGACTGCTAAATTGGATAAAGTCAAGACCCATCAGTGTGCTGTATTCAGGAAACCCATCTCACATGCAGAGACACACATAGGCTCAAAATAAAGGGATGGAGGAAGATCTACCAAGCAAATGGAAAAGAAAAAAAACAGGGGTTGCAATCCTAGTCTCTGATAAAACAGACTTTAAACCAACAAAGATCAAAAGAGACAAAGAAGGCCATTACATAATGGTAAAGGGATCAATTCAACAAGAAGAGCTAACTATTCTAAATATATATGCACCCAATACAGGAGCACCCAGATTCATAAAGCAAGTCGTTAGAGACCTAGAAAGAGACTTAGACTCCCACACAATAATAATGGGAGACTTTAACACCCCACTGTCAACATTAGACAGATCAACGAGACAGAAAGTTAACAAGGATATCCAGGAATTGAACTCAGCTCTCCACCAAGCAGACCTAATAGACATCTACAGAACTCTCCATCCCAAATCAACAGAATATAAATTTTTCCAGCACCACATCACACTTCTTCCAAAACTGACCACATAGTTGGAAGTAAAGCACTCCTCAGCAAATATAAAACAACAGAAATTATAACAAACTGTCTCTTATACCACAGTGCAAGCAAACTAGAACTCAGAATTAAGAAACTCACTCAAAACCACTCAACTACATGGAAACCGAACAACTTGCTCCTGAATGATTGCTGGGTAAATAACAAAATGAAGGCAGAAATAAACATGTTCTTTGAAACCAATGAGAACAAAGACACAACATACCAGAATCCCTGGGACACATTTAAAGCAGTGTGTGGAGGGAAATTTATAGCACTAAATGCACACAAGAGAAAGCAGGAAAGATCTAAAATTGACACCCTAACATCACAACAAAAAGAACTAGAGAAGCAAGAGCAAACACACTCAAAAGCTAGCAGAAGGCAAGAAATAACTAAGATCACAGGAGAAATAACTAAGATCAGAGGAGAACTGAAGGAGATAGAGACACAAAAAACCCTTCAAAAAAAATCAATGAATCCAGGAGCTGGTTTTTTGAAAAGGTCAACAAAATTGATAGACTGCTAGCAAGAATAATAAAGAAGAAAAGAGAGAAGAATCAAATAGACACAACAAAAAATGACCAAGGGGATATCACCACCGATCCCACAGAAACACAAACTACCATCAGAGAATACTGTAAACACCTCTACACAAATAAACTAGAAAATCTAGAAGAAATGGATAAATTTCTGGACACATACACCCTCCCAAGACTAAACCAGGAAGAAGTTGAATCCCTGAATAGAGCAATAACAGGTTCTGAAATTGAGGCAATAATTAATAGCCTACTAACCAAAAAAAGTCCAGGACCAGATGGATTCATAGCCGAATTCTACAAGATGTACAAGGAGGAGCTGGTACCATTCCTTCTGAAACTATTCCAATCAATAGAAAAAGAAGGAATACTCCCTAATTCATTTTATGAGGCCAGCATCATCCTGATACCAAAGCCTGGCAGAGACACAACAAAAAAAGAGAATTTTAGACCAATATCCCTGATGAACATCGATGCAAAAATACTCAATAAAATACTGGCAAACCAAATCCAGCAGCACATCAAAAAGCTTATCCACCATGATCAAGTGGTCTTCATCCCTGGGATGCATGGCTGGTTCAACATATGCAAATCAATTAATGTAATCCATCATATAAACAGAACCAAAGACAAAAACCACATGATTATCTCAATAGATGCAGAAAAGGCCATCAACAAAATTCAACAGCCCTTCATGCTAAAAACTCTCAATAAACTGGGTATTGACGGGACGTAACTCAAAATAAAAAGAGCTATTGATGACAAACCCACAGACAATATCACACTGAATGGGCAAACACCGGAAGCATTCCTTTTGAAAACTGGCACAAGACAGGGATGCCCTCTCTCACCACTCCTATTCAACATAGTGTTGGAAGTTCTGCCAGGGCAATCAGGCAGAAGAAAGAAATAAAGCGTATTCAATTAGGAAAAGAAGAAGTCAAATTGTCCCTGTTTGCAGATGACATTACCGTACATGTAAAAAACCCCATCACCTCAGCCCAAAATCTCCTTAAGCTGATAAGCAACTTCAGCAAAGTCTCAGGATACAAAATCAATGTGGAAAAATCACAAGCATTCTTATACACAAATAACAGACAAACAGAGAGTCAAATAATGAGTGAACTCCCATTCAGAATTGCTTCAAAGAGAATAAAATACCTAGGAATCCAACTTACAAGGGAAGTGAAGGACCTCTTCAAGGACAACTACAAACCACTGCTCAATGAAATAAAAGAAGACACAAACAAATGGAAGAACATTCCATGATCATGGATAGGAAGAATCAATATCATGAAAATGGCCATACTGCCAGGTAATTTATAGATGCAATGCCATCCCCATCAAGCTACCAATGACTTTCTTCACAGAATTGGAAAAAACTACTTTAAAGTTCACCTGGAACCAAAAAAGAGCCTGCATTGCCAAGACAATCCTAAGCCAAAAGAACAAAGCTGGAGGCATCACGCTACCTGACTTCAAACTATACTACAAGGCTACAGTAATCAAAACAGCATGGTACTGGTACCAAAACAGAGATATAGATAAATGGAACAGAACAGAGTCTGCAGAAATAATACCACACATCTACAACCATCTGATCTTTGACAAACGTGACAAAAACAAGAAATGGGGAAAGGATTCCCTATTTAATAAATGGTGCTGGGAAAACTGGCTAGCCATATGTAGAAAGCTGAAACTGGATCCCTTCCTTACACCTTATACAAAAATCAATTCAAGATGGATTAAAGACTTAAATGTTAGACCTAAAACCATAAAAACCCTAGAAGAAAACCTAGGCAATACCATTCAGGACATATGCATGCGCAAGGACTTCATGTCTAAAACACTAAAAGCAATGGCAACAAAAGCCAAAATTGACAAATGGGATCTAATTAAACTGAAGAGCTTCTGCACAGCAAAAGAAACTACCATCAAAATGAACAGTAAACGTACAGAATGGGAGAACATTTTTACAATCTACCCATCTGACAAAGGGCTAATATCCAGAGTCTACAAATAACTTAAACAAATTTACAAGAAAAAATCAAACAACCCCATCAAAAAGTGGACAAAGGATATGAACAGACGCTTCCCAAAAGAAGACATTTATTCAGCCAACAGACACATGAAAAAATGTTCATCATCACTGGCCATCAGAGAAATGCACATCAAAACCACAATGAGATACCATCTCACACCAGTTAGAATGGCGATCATTAAAAAATCAGGAAACAACAGGTGCTGGAGAGGATGTGGAGAAATAGGAACACTTGTACACTGTTGGTGGGACTGTAAACTAGTTCAACCATTGTGGAAGACAGTGTGGCAATTCCTCAAGGATCTAGAACTAGAAATACCATTTGACCCAGCCATCCTACTACTGGGTATACACCCAAAGGAATATAAATCATACTACTATAAAGACACATGCACACGTATATTTATTGTGGCACTATTCACAATAGCAAAGACTTGGAACCAACCCAAATGTCCATCAATGACAGACTGGATAAATAAAATGTGGCACATATACACCATGGAATACTATGCAGCCATAAAAAAGGATGAGTTCATGTCCTTTTTAGGGACATGGATGAAGCTGGAAATCATCATTCTCAGCAAACTTTCGCAAGGACAGAAAACCAAACACCGCATGTTCTCACTCATAGGTGGGAATTGAACAATGAGAACACTTGGACACAGGGTGGGGAACATCACACACGGGGGCCTGTCATGGGGTGGGAGGAGCGGGGAGAGATAGTATTAGGAGATATACCTAATGTAAATGACGAGTTACTGGGTGCAGCACAACAACATGGCACATGTATACATATGTAACAAACCTGCACGTTGTGCACATGTACCCTAGAACTTAACATATAATAAAATAAAATAAAATAAAATAAAAAGAAAAATAATCTTCAAAGCCACTGCCAACAGAAAAGCTGCCACTGCTACTGAGAATATCCCTTGATAGGGGAAGCTTTGCAGAATCATATATGGGAAGCCACCAAAAAGATCAGTTACTAGGAAGAGCACATAGGGTATTGTTTGAGGAGGCCTAATTTGTCAGAAATATTGACTTCTTCCTATCATATGTTATCTTACCTTCAAGCACAAAGAGTTTATTTCTGTGTATCTCAAAGTAGACTGGGGAATGCTAGTTTTTTATTAGAGGGCTTAATAAGAGGAGATAAGAATTTTCTAGCAAATGCCTGATAGGGTTGGAAGTCCAAAAATTTGTCATGGGATGAGGAGTACTCAAACCAATATTAGAACATCTGAAAAAATCCCCAGGCTTCGGGTTTTCAGTTGCAGAGCACAACCCATTAAACAACAGAGACATAAATGCTAATCAAACACTACATAAAGTCCACCTGCCTCTGACTCAGTTCTATCATTACCACTGAGCTGCTCCTTTAGCCTGAAACTCCAAATTCAGATTATGATTTTGTTTTGAGGACCTTCTTGTTTACTCATGGCTGTTTCCCCATGTTTCTCTGAATCTCAAACTACTATCTAGAAGTCAGCAGCAGATTGCTGAACTGTAAGCCTATTGCTAAATTAGTGATATAAATCTTATTTAAACTATTCCTGAATTCTGAGCCCCTGGGAACCCTGCTTGTCAACTCTGCCCTAAAGAATTATTGTCTGTGTATTATTACCTTCTCTAGTTTGCCAGTTACTCATCTATTTTAGCAATCTTATGCTAATGCCAATATATTGGGACTTATTCACAAGCTTTTTGAAAGACGCTTTATCAAAAGCATTGCAAAAATCAAGATAAATTATGCCTTTTCATAAATTAGTTACTTCATCAAAAAATTTAGATTAGCCTGACATAATTTATTTTTAGAGAATACAGGCTAAACACCTGCTCAACAACCCAGATAATTGATTCCATTATTTTAGACGAGATGTAACAGAGTAGCTCAGTTTTGAAGAAAAGTGCAAACAATTGCAACTACCTTCTCCATTAAAAGTCCAGAAAAATCACAGAAAATACTAGTCTATTAACTATGTGCAAGAATAGGGGTTTTTTTTGTAATTATTATCTAATTACCATCTGATATGATTCGGCTGTATCCTTACCCAAATCTCACCTTCAATTGTAGCTCCCACAATTCTCACCTGTTGTGGGAGAAACCTGGTGGGAGGTAATTGGTTCAAGGGGGCAGGTCTTTCTGGTGCTGTTCTCGTGATAGTGAATAAGTCTCATGAGATCTGATAGGTTTATAAAGAGGAGTTCCCCTGCATAAGTCTTCTCTCTTTTCCTTGCTGCCGTGTGAGAAGTCTCTTTGCTCCTCATTTGTCTTCCGCCATGATTGTGAGGCCTCCTCAGCCATGTGGAACTGTGAGTCCATTAAACCTCTTTCTCTTTATAAATTACCCAGTCTCAGGTATGTCATTATTAGCAGCGTGAGAACAGACCAATATACCATCTTTAGTAACTACATCCCAACTATTCTGAATAACTTGAAAATTGTTATCACCTTAATAAAAAGAAAATTTAGGAGAAGAAACAGCTGGGAGCAGTGACTCATGCCTGTAATCCCAGCACTTTGGGAGGCCAAGGCAGGCGGATCACCTGAAGCCAGGTGTTTGAGACTAGCCTGGCCAATATGGCAAAACCCTGTCTCTACTAAAAATATAAAAATTAGCCAGGCATGGTGGCACATGGCTGTAATCTCAGCTACTCAGGGGACTGAGGCAGTAGAATCGCTTGAACCTGGGAGGTGGAGATTGTAGTGAGCCAAGATAGCCCCACTGCACTTCAGCCTGGATGACAGAGTGAGACTCTGTCTCCAAAAAACAAAATAAAATAAAATAAAGAAGAGCCATATATTCCCATGCCTGTATGTAACTCATAAGACTACGACCACTCAGTGATTTCGTGAAATTTCCTCTATACCCAGGACTTAAATGAGTGGATACGTAAGGCAGAGTTGAAATTCTTTATAAATAAATAATCTGAGTCAGTTTGCATGTTTCTGAGAGACTGAGATGGTGGTTGGGGCTGTGAGTTAAAATTAGAAAACTTTTGGATACATGTGACAGAAACATATCACTACTTTAGTGAGGAGATGTTCTTGGCTAGGAAGCTAAAGTATAGAAAGAATACTGTGGGTGAAGATCAACCTCACAGACAACTAGAACCACTAGAACCAGGAATATGAACACTACTAGGACCTTCTCATGTTTGAAGATCAGCTGTACCCTTTCAGGCAGGCTGAAATATGAATATATATGAAATATACCCATATGGATATAGGTATGCACCTTGCACCCCTCAGACTCACATTAACAGCTTGCTACAACTGAGAGCAATTTGTTACTGGTTCCAGGTTTTTTTTAAATGGTGATCTTTATTGGGTTTAATATAAAAATGGTGATCTTTCTTGTGTTTAATTTAAACCAGGATTCAATTTGGCTGGTATGACTAACCTCTGGGAAAATAATATTTCTAACATCTCTGGTTAGAGAACGAGATGTACAGACAAGTTGGTAAACCAAGAGGTTTAAGCAAGTTCTCCCCATAAGAGAAGCTTAACCACAGTGTAATTTGTGATAAAAACACTTCTCCTGCCTCCCACCTTCCAAATGCACACGTTGTCAGTAAAACAAGCTATAAATAATAATTCCCACTGTCCATATCAGAAATAGACATGTCTAGACTTACCCACAATAAAATGAGAATTTAAACACACACACACACATTTAAAATGATTGTGCTTCCAAGCTTCCTATAACATTTAGAACAAATTAACAGTCATTTCAAGAGGGCAGAATGAGCACATATTTTCCCCCTTCTTCCCCTTCCCAAATGTGATTGAGATGATGGAAAAAATATAAATTTGGAATAAGAATGAAAGAGAGGAGAGAGGCAAAGTCCCCACCATCAGTGTTAAGCCTGTTTCACAAATTGCTGAGAGCTAGGAATGTGGTGGGATAACTCTGACCAAAAGAAACAGGCCTGAGGAAGTCACAGAACGGCACATAGGTTGAGAGAGCAGCAGACCAGGCAGGAGCAGCCCACCCCTTGATTACAGAGAAGCTCTGGGCTGAGACTCAGTGAGCATGCTGGAGGCTGGGAGGGAAAGGGAAAGCTTAAAACAGGAGACGTAATAGAAGATTTGTATGTGAACACTTCATTGCTCTTTCTTATTCCCAATTCAAATGCAAGCAGCGAGGTTTAACTACAGGCAAGACATGGAGGACTCATCTCTAAGGAACGGAACAAATAAGCTGAGAAGATCTAAGATTTCTTGTGAGGCGGGTGGAATAATGGGACAAAATCCTACTGATCCTTACATTTTAGAAGCCAGCAACCTATTAATTCTTACAGCCAACTGACCTAGCTAATAAAGGATTATACTCAAGGAGATACGTAAACAAATGTATGTGGTTTACACAAGCCTTCATTCTTCAAAATGTGTGAATAACCAAGGATGAACACAAATGGAACAAAAACCATGAAGAAGAAATAACTAGATAAGTAATCATTTTTTAAAAATTTCTGAGAAAGTAGAGATAATTCAAGAAAAAGCTTAAAAATCTAATCAGTGGGCCGGGTGCGGTGGCTCATGCCTGTAATCCCAGCACTTTGGGAGGCCGAGGCGGACGGATCACGAGGTCAAGAGATCGAGACCATCCTGGCCAACATGGTGAAACCCCATCTCTACTAAAAAAAACAAAAATTAGCTGGGTGTGGTGGTGCGCCCCTGTAGTCCTAGCTACTTGGGAGGCTGAGGCAGGAGAATCGCTTGAACTCGTGAGGTGGAGGTTGCAGTGAGCCGAGATCGCACTACTGCACTTCAGCCTGGGTGACAGAGCGATACTCCGTCTCAAAAAAAAAAAAAAGCAAAAAAAAAAAAATCTAATCAGTGTACACAAGACATGTAAGAATGTATTAATTCATAAAATAAGAATCAAATGCTATCAAAAGGAATAGGCAGAGAACAGGGAACAAACACTAAAAGGTTAAAAATATGCTTATGAAATGAACTAGAAGAAAAACTTTACAAAAACCTATGATTATAAAACAAAAGCCAAAGATATTGAAAATATGAACGATATTATCTTGTGTAGGCAAAAATCACATAAAAGCTATTGATTTTTAACATTCATAGTCAACTCATAATACAAAGAATTACAGATTTATAGAAAGTGTTAACATCCCTAACAATGTAAAAAGTAATAGGAAATAGGCAATAGGGAAGGAAGTCATCATCTCCTATAAAATGGCATCACTTGTTGATTAAAATGATGGGAACAAGAAATACAGCTAGTTACAGTTACATAAGTAAACTAGAAACGAAAGCAACAGTAAAAGTAGCAAGAACATGGAGAAGAATGTGGGCCAAGAAGAGATGAGCTAAATTTTCATCTTTCAAGGTAGGAAGGCATTAAGGCATGGGATTCTGTTTAAAGAGATTAAGTTCAGAAACAGTGGTGTAAACATTATCTAGAGTTATGGAGGCAGCCACAAAGAAGCTGAAAACATAAATGATAAAAAGTTGTTGCTTCTGGGGAGTGGGAAGATTAGGAGGTATAAAGCAGGAGAGTGGTCCTTTTATCAAAAGCCATTCATGATATAGTAGTGGATATTTTGTCAAGTGCTCACATTATTTTGATTTAAAGTAATTACAGGTAAATATTGCCCATATAGATTAAAGTCAATTAATGTTATGGAAGTTAAGCCTTAAAAGCATTTAAGTGTTCCATTCTATATCAACTTCATTTAGGGTATGGAGTAAGAAAGTGATACTTTAGCAGCCTCTGAAACAACAGTGGAAAACAGAAATGTCAAAATTTCAAGGGAAAAAACATGTATGATAACTTCCAAAAATAAAGATTTGTGAAGTCTGCATCCCTAGAAGCACTCAGGAATACGTTATTGTACGTAACCTTGGGGGTATTTCAAAATAAATAGATCCATTATGCTCAAGATTGGATAACTACAGGACTGGCAATACCTAGAAAGCCAGGCCCAGATAAGGACACAGTTGGGCAACTATGGGGACCTAACGTAAGACTACAGCTAGTAGAATATTATTCTGGAGATGTACGTGAGTGACACAATCCTAAATAAAGACCCTCATATTTGTCAGTGTGCTGTCTCTCCTCCCCTTAGGTAACAAAATGCCTCCTTCTCTGGGCTGACTCCACTTCCACTCCCTACCACCAGCCTCATGTCTGAGCTCCTATTCAAGATCAATCTAGCAGGGAGAACTTCCTTTATCATGGCATTATGTCTCTATGTGGAAAGACCCCATCAGAATTCTACTCCAGCCTCTCTTTTCCACTTAAGTCAGTTCTGAAAGGAAAGGAAGTGATTTACCTGACAGGTGGAATTGACGGAAGAATGAGGCATCTATAGCCCTGACCCTTCTTATCTTGTTGCTCTTCATTCAGGATTTCTGTGCCTGCAGAGAACAAGTATACACCTCTGCTCTCTGCAGGGAGTGATGTGGGGCCACCCTAACCAGAAAGTCATGTAGTTTTCCACATTACCTGATTTGGGGTAACACTATGCCTGATTTTGGAGGAAACTATTAGAAGGGTTATTGTTTTCAAATACTCAAGCCACATTGTCCAGTTGCTCCATTGGTAGCAAAACTTCCATTTATGATCAAAGTATTCATTATGCAAACACCAACTGAGGGAGAGCTGATTTGGCAGTACAGTATATAAAAAGGCTTTGGGATTTTAGTTGTCTAAATATAAGCTAACAGTTATGGATAAACTAATGTTAATTATATGCCGTCACAATCCCTCTTTTAGGAATCTAACCCTTTAAAATAGTGATAGAAATATGTTTATGAACTTGAGACACAGCACTCTTTGCCATAGAAACAAGTGTTTACTGAATCCTAAAGGAAAGCAAGACTGGTCTCAAATAATCTTAGGGAAAAAAAACTTATTCAGTGAGTTTTAATGGAGTCTCACAGAGCTCTGGGATTTCGGAGTTCTGCTTCAGGGAGCTGTCAAGGAGAACGCAGTAAGTCATAGTTCCAGGTCCCCCACACAGCCCCTCAGCCTCCACCAGCTGAGCCTCACTTTGGACGGTTTACTGCCAGATTGTATTTGGGAAAGAAAAGGCTTACTTTGCCTTTTTTATACTAGGTTTACAGGATCTGGCCTCTAACTCTCGCTGAATTCACCTTCATTTCCATTTCTGCTGTGGCCACTAACACTGCCCTTTGAGTTTGAATTATTTCCCTTCTCTTCTCTCTTCTTTCTTCTCTCTTCTCTTTTCTTCTCCTCTTTTCTCTTCTCTCTCTTCTTTCTTTCCTTCTTTTTTTCTTCCTTTCCTTCCTTCCTTCCTCTCTTCCTTCCTTCTTCCCTTCATTCCTTTTTCTGCCTTTCATCTGTCTTTTCCTCAACAAGCCTTCATTGAATGCCTGATGCTAATCAATGTTTCTATTCTTCCTTCTTGATCTTTTTCTGACCTCAAACAACTTCCAGTTTCCTCTCCTGGTAACTTACCAAATTTTGGAAGCAGTGTCAAATTCACCCCCATTATTGGTAACAAAAAAAACTCAGACAAAATTGACCATAAAGATACTTTTTAAATGCACATGAAAATGACTAGATTGAATAACTGCCCAGTGGAATATGTAGCGGTAGCAGCTGCTTCCTCTCCAACTCATGTTGAATATTCTCTTCTCAAAAACATTCAAGGTCGTCAGCTTCTTTGTTACCAGGCTACCCTTTTCCAGAGTCTCTTCAAAACTAACACTTTCTGATTCCATGCTTGGTCTAATCTCATAAAATTTATAGTATTTTGTCTTTTTCCCTCGAGGCCGGTTATTCTCATCAGCACATTTAAGCTAAATGACTGATCCTATGTATTTTAAATGTGCCCAAATATCATTGTCTAAGAGTTGACTTCACTGTCTCAATCATGCAAATCAAGAAAGGAGAGAATTTTAGAGTCCTTGGGAAAGAGATTTATAGACAAAGAAGTTTGGAACATGTTTCATACTATACCAATATAGGCAGTTGCCTGTACTTTTGTGCAGTTCCCTATTTCCTATCTAGAAACAGTAGCACTAAAAAGCTGATGTGGCATTGAGCCAGTGAGTGAACAGCTCTATAATATGCTTATTTCACACATTTTAAATCCCATTTTCTCCAAGTAGGAAGCCTTTTATTAATGGAATATGAAGCAGCTTCCAGTATCTAATTAGGTCTAATTTAATTCCTTTCCACAGCCCTACAGGGTGGCAAGTCAGAGGTAAATAGCAAGCGGGCTTAATGAAGCTGCTGTAGGAGAAAAAGTAATGTAAAGTTTCAAAAACCATAAAGCTTTCAGTTGATACTTATTTCACTGCAGATACCTCAAGGAACTTAATCGAAGTCCTTTAGGAAAAAAATGCAGAACTCTGACCTTGTGAATCTACTACCTTGCCTTTGAAAAAGACAGAAAAGAATATTTTATTACCATTCTCTCACCCGTCACTTATGTTTTTTTCTGGTGAGGAGGTGAGCAGGGAAGAATCAGAGGAGATCGACTGAAAAAGCCCTCCGTAGAACAAAGTGAAAGTGAGGCTTAGATCAGTTCACAGAAATCCAGGAAGCCATCAGGGGGACAGTTGGTGGCACTCTGTGACCAGAAGAGAGGAAAGAACACTGACGAGAAGCGAGGGTAGGGAAGCTGGAGCGGGCACACACGGCTCTGGTCCCTTTTTCTCCTGATTCCGTGACCTTGTGAGTGATGGAGACTCCCACGCATGCAGACTGCCTGCAAATGTGAGGGAGTTGGAGCGGCACTTGTCCTCTCCCGCACACTTCAGCCTAAAATAGAAGAAAATACTTCAGCTGTGATAAATGCGTGTCTGATTTTAGCTTACCTTGCGCACACATCAATTAAGGCAGGTTTGGTGACTCCAGGGACATTGTAGATTTCTGCTGCATAATCAGAAAATATTAATAGTACTTTGGAAAACACTATTAGGTAGTAAATGTACCCATGGTGGGGGGGCAACAGTTTGAACTGATTTGAGTGAATGAAATGATAGACTTAAGGAATATTTTTTAAGAGATGATCTTTCTGATTATTATAATAAAGTGTTTATTAGGTAATACTGGATATTATTAAAGACACTCTTTTTAAAACTGCAAAACATTTTACATAGCTGAGAATGAGGAAAGAATAAGAGAAGTTATATGCAAGTGTTGTAAATGGCAGTATAAAATAGCCCTTTTAAAATTATGGTTAAACTAAAACGTGGACTTAGTGACTGAAATTAAAGTATATCAACAAATCTTTGTTTAAAAACAAGAACATCTACACATTTTAAAATATATATTCTACAAGTTATTGCTCATCTAAAGAATATGGCTAACAGCACACAATTTTTATCTATGAAAGAATAAATCTGCCTTTTAAGATCAACTCTTTTCTCCTAAAAGAAAATGTGAAGGGACTATTCACAATAACAAAAAGATGGAATCAACCCAAATGCCCATCAATGGTGGGTAGACTAAAAAAAAAATGTGGTATGTAGACACCATGGAATAATACTATGCAGCTATAAAAAAGAATGAAATCATGTCATCTGCAGCAACATGGAATCAGTTGGAGGCCATTATCCTAAGCAAACTAACAGAAATGGAGACCCAAGTACCACATGTTTTACTTATAAGTGAGAGCTAAACACTGGGCACACATGGACATAATGATGGAACAACAGACCCTGGAGAATACAAGAGGAGAAAGGGAGGGGAACAAGTGTTGAAGTTACCTATTGGGTGCTATCACCACTTCCTAGGTGATGAGATCAATCATACCCCAAATCTGAGTGTCATGCTATATATTCATATAACAAACCTGCAAATGTACTTCCTGAATCTTAAAAGTTAAAAAGATAGTGATGGCAACACTTAAAAATATTTTTAATTATCAGACCTATTCTATTTTATTAAGACACTTATTTTTAAGTTCTGGGATAATGAAGGATGGTTTTGTTACATAGGTAAACATGCGCCATGGCGCTTTGCTGTACCTACCAACACATCACCTAGGTATTAAGCCCAGCATCCATTAGCTATTCTTCCTGATAGCTCCCCCAACCCTACCCTCTGACAGGCCCCAGTGTGTGTTGTTCCCCTCCCTGTGTCCATGTGTTCTCATTGTTCAGCTCCCACTTATAAGTGAGAACATGCAGTGTTTGGTTTTCCGTTTCTGCATTAGTTTGCTGAGGATAATAGCTTCCAGCTCCATCCATGTCCCTGCAAAGGACATGATCTCATCCCCCTTTATGGATGCATAGTATTCCATGGTGTGTATGTACCACATTTTCTTTATTCAGTCTATCATTGATGGGCATTTGGGTTAATTCCATGTCTTTGCTCAATAATGCTGCAATGAACATACACATGCAGGTATCTTTATAAAAGAATGATTTATATTCCTTTGGGTATGTACCCAGTGATGGGATTGCTGGGTCAAATGTCATTTCTGATTCTAAGTCTTTGAGGAATTGCCTCATCATCTTCCACAATGGTTGAACTAATTTACACTCTCACCAACAGTGTAAGAGCATTCTATTTCTCCACAGCCTCACCAGCATCTGTTGTTTCTTAGCTTTTTAATAATCATTCTGACTGGCATTAGATGGTATCTCATTATGGTTTTGATTTGCATTTATCTAATGATTAGTGATGTTGAGCTTTTTTTCATATGTTTGTTGGCCACATAAATGTCTTCTTTTCAGAAGTGTCTGTTCATGTCCTTTGCCCACTTTTTAATGGGGTTCTTTTTTTTCTTGTAAATTTGTTGAAGTTCCTTGTAGATTGTGGATATTAGACATTTATCAGATGTCTAGATTGCAAAAAAAATTTTCTCACATTCTGTAGTTTGTTCACTCTGATGACAGTTTATTTTGCTGTGCAGAAGCTCTTTATTTTAATTAGATACCATTTGTCAATTTTTGCTTTTGTTGCAATTGTTTTTAATGTTTCTGTCATGAAATCTTTGCCCCATGCCTATGTCCTGAATGGCATTGCCTAGATTTTCTTCTAGGCTTTTTATAGTTTTGGATTTTACATTTAAGTCTTTAATTCATCTTGAGGTAATTTTTGTACAAGGTGTAAAGAAATGGTCTAGTTTCAATTTTCTGAATATGGCTAGCCAGTTCTCCCAGCACCATTTATTAAATAGATAATCCTTTCCCCATTGATTGTTTTTGTCAGATTGGTTGAAGATCAGATGGTTGTAGATGTGTGGTCTTTTTTCTGAGGTCTCTGTTCTGCTCCATTGCTCTGTGTGTCTGTTTTTGTACCAGTACCATGCTATTTTGCCTATTGTAGCCTTGTAGTATAGTTTAAAGTCAGGTAGCATGATACCTCCAGCTTTGTTCTTTTTTGCTTAGGATTGTCTTGGCTTTACGGGCTCTTTCTTGCTTCCATATGAATTTTAAAGTAGTTTTTTTTTTCTAATTCTGTGAAGGATATAAATGATAGTTTAATGGGAATACCATTGAATCCATTAATTACTTTGGGCAGTATGGCCATTTTCACAATGTTGATTCTTCCTATCCATGAGCATGAAATGTTTTTCCATTTGTTTGTGTCCTCTGATTTCCTTGAGATGTGGTTTGTAGTTCTCCTTAAAGAGGTCCTTCACTTCTCTTCTTAGCTGTATCCCTAGGTATTTTATTTTCTTTGTAGCAATTGTGAATGGGAGTTCATTGATGATTTAGCTCTCTGCTTGTCTATTGTTGGTGAATAGGAATGCTTGTGATTTTTTTCACATTGGTTTTGTATCCTGAGACTTTGCTGAAGTTGCTTATCAGCTTAAGAAGCTGTTGGGCTGATGTAGTGGGGTTTTCTAGATATAGAATCATGTCATTGGCAAACAGAGACAACTTGACTTCCTCTCTTCCTATTTGAATACCTTTTATATCTTTTTCTTGCCTGATTGCTCTGGCCAGAACTTCCAATACTGTGTTGAATAGGAGTGGTGACAGAGGGAATCCTTGTCTTGTGCTGGTTTTCAAAGGGAATTCTTCCAGCTTTTGCCCATTCAGTATGATATTGGCTGTGGATTTGTCATAAATTGCTCTTATTATATTGAGGTATGTTCCATCATTACCTAGTTTATTGAGAGTTTTTAACATGAAGCATTGTTAAATTTTATCAAAGGCTTTTCTGTGTCAGGCAAGATAATGATGTGGTTTTTAAAATATTTTTGGTTTTTATAAACTCAAGGAAATGGTGAGAAGGATAAAATTTCCCCTAAATTTAGTCACATAGTTCAAGAAGAAAAAAGCATCACTAGCCTCAGTGATGTTGAATCATAAATTTTGAATGAGTGAAGGGGACATCACAGCTTTGGGAAGTCTAGCAGTTTTTCTAGTGTCCAAGTACTGGAGTACTGGAGTAAGCAGTCTAGTATATCATCTAGGTGTATATAAAACACAATCTCATGTCAGCCTAGAATATCTCATCAATTTCTGCATCAAATAACCTGGAATAACATAGATAAGGATAAAATGCTGACCAGTACATAGTGAGACTATTCTAAAACACAGTACATTCTAAAAGAAAAGAAAATATGGAGGGAGTCAAGTACAGGAGCAAAGGATGCAGGTGCTCTTAAGTGGTTTGCTCTTAGGTGGTTGTTGAAGGATGCTTTAAGTGTGTCATAGGAGAGGTCTCTGACCAAATAATTTTTATAAGTGTAGATTATGTGTTTTATATATAAAGTGGATGCATAAGAAATCCAATTTTGGCTGGAAATAGTCTTGGCTTACACTTGTAATCTCAGCACTTTGGGAGGCAACGGCAGGAGTATCACCTGAGGCCAGGAGTTCAAGGCAGGCCTACTACATAGAATATATACAGCCAGAAATATAGCAAGACCCTGTTTATAACCCCCCAAAAGATAAAAATATAACTTTAAAAAATTTTCCAAACTAGGTGAAAAACTGCAAGATAGGAAGGATTTTTTTAAAAATCAGCAACATGACCAATATGTTCTTATATTACAATGATTCCCATCTTGAATGGCTCACATCATTTTGAACCATACTTTATTGACTCAGTGGAAAGTATTTACTGCCTACCTCCTGCAGGCACAGTTCTAGACATTTGAGATGTAATAATGAATAAAACATAAAATACCCTGCCTTCAAGAGAGCTTGCTTTCTAGCAAGAGAACATATTTTATAAAAATAATTATAATAAATGAGTGAGTTACATAGTGTGTTAGAAGGTGACAAATACTATGAAAATAGAGCCAATAAGATCAGTTGCCAGCATGGGGAGGCAATTTGGAGTTTTAAAGAGCACCATTTCTGTAGGTATTATTTCAAAGGCGATATTTGCACAACAACAGAAGTGAGTAAAGAGAGAAAGAAAAACTGCCACAGTTGGAAAAGTCCGTGTTAGATGGCAATAGGAACCATTCATTTCAATCCCAGGCATGGAAGCAGATCGTCTGGTTGCAGGTGCTATGAAGTAATAGGTGTGATGGTGGCAATCTGTGTAAGTTCTTTTCTCATTGCTTTAATTTTCTCAGTGAAAATGTGAAGAAAGTAATCAGTTGAGAGAAAATAAAAGGAAGGAGAACTCGAGTCTGAAGTCAGGGCAGAAGGTAGAAAATATCAATCTAGGAAAGAAAACAACAACCTAGGGAAATGGCTTATGACTGCCAGGCAGCATTCATAGCTCATTTGGGTCTCACAGTGGGAATACCCAACTTATCTGCATGTTTTTCTTCAGCCACCATCAGCAACATGAGTGATGCCACAGAGTAGCCAAGGACTGTGGTTTTGCCAGTTGAGTAAGACAAGACGATGGGCTTGCGGGAGAATGCAAGGGAGTGGTTAGATTTATTACCCATGGGATGTATGCTCAGTAAGAAGAGAGAACATGAAGGGGCTGAAGAACAATAGAAAACTTGTAGAACCAATGAATTAGAGGTCTTACTGGAGTAAAAATATTATCAGGATCAGAATAACAGAGGGAATAAATTGAAAACTTAGGAGGAGGGATAAAATTTAGACCGTGAACAGATTGCAGTTATTAGTAATGACATAGGTCTACTATATGATCATAGGAATGCATGACTGAAGAAGACAAGACAAGGACAGTTGGAGAAGAGGCATTGAAAAGACTGACCAGCAAGGTGGTTGGAAAAATCTTCTACATGTATTTCAAAGTCACCCAGAATTAAGCCTGAAGTTGTACTGGAAAGAATGACAATGATCCAGAAATTAAAAGTGTATAAAATAATGCAAAATAACCTGGGATCAGTAGATGGCAGTCATAATTAGGACAGTAGATTGCAAAATCTAATGACAAGATACTCAGTGCTGGGAGTTTGGGAGAGGAGGGAAAGAGTGGCCTGGAAGTGGCAAGGAAAAGCAGTATGGTACCTGTCCTACCTTTAGGAACAGTTCGGGGAGGATTGTGAGTGGGAAAACAGCCACCCCTTGAGAAGGCTATAGGGAAAGGAATCCCCAAATGCTACCTTGGGATGGTACAGTGTCCAACTCATAGTTTACAAAAAATCATTTTATAATACAAGCTTTATCCTGCCTAAGGGGCTAGGCATGGTAGATGGGAGTTTAGATTCCTGGAGAAAACAATCTCAACTCAACAATTCTCACTCCCCATTTTGCAAAGAGTTAGCGATTCTTCCAAAGGTGTCTTAGGAAACCACCTGGTATTAAATGCTGACTACCAGAGTAAGATTGTAGTCATCGGGAGGATACACCCAGTGTCCCAATCTAAAAGAGCCATCCCCTGTGTACAGGATAAACCTTATCATGCTGTGCTGCATATGTATGTATACAGAAAATTCTCACAGGATGCCAGTGCAACACATCTTCACTAATAAAACTCAGTCACCAAATTTCAAAACTGCAGCACTGAGCTTATCAGAAATAGGCAAAAATAAAATTCCTCCAGATTTGTATAGGCCTTGCACAAGATAAATCTGCTCTCAAGAGTAGAAATTTTACTTGTATTTTTCACTTGGCAGAGCACAATCAGGACCTCTCTGCCATCTTTAAAGCAATGAAACATTTATTCTAAATCCCATGATTTTATTTAATATTACTGCTACTGTCAGCTCTCTTCACATGTGAAGAAAAGTTTAAATGTATCTCTTCAATTTCTCACACTGACTGATTAGTTACATGAATGGAAAAGTAATGAGTGACCGTTGGGAAACAAGTGCAATATTCATAATGAAAAGATTGAATAAAATGTTGACATTTTACTTTGAAAACTTAACATTCTTTTTTTCCATAGCTTCTTTTTTCTCATGCAAGTCTATCTCCATAACGAAGACAAAATGTATTTGCAACAGTTCATAGTAAAATGATAAGATATTGCTGAGTATTTCATAGTCTTAAAAGATTACCTTCCAATACCTCTAAGATAAATAATCCAACTTAACTTACCTTTTAATGTCCCTGTCATTTCATGAATAATGCATAAGCTAATCCTAACTAGCTTCTACAGTAATAAGATGTCTTCTATATTTCTGAAACTCTGAGCAACTCTCTTGAGTCAAGTTACCATTATATATGCATTGATAAGAAGATGATAGTAAGGATTTGTTTTATGAATTCGACAGAGAATGCCCTTGTTGGCATTTGAGTTTTTAAAAAATCTTCCTCTACATTCACGTTTAGCCTTAATTTAAAGCAACTTTATTATCAGCTTTTAAAAAATAAAAATAAAATTTTAAACACCTTAATTCCTAAACTTACAGTTCAAATCAATTAGTTATTTTTATCTACCTATGTTTAAGCTACCCATAAACTCAATTTGTTTACTCTATCACTTAGAAGAGTTCTATTTCCCTAATCTCAAAACTCTGAATTTACATTTTGCAAAGAAAAGTTTCTTCTGTCTGTAATTCTCTCACAGTTCAAAACCTAAATTTTGCCCTCATCGTGACATGGAATTCCTAAATTGGAAGCCTAGAGACACTATTCCTCTCTGCTTTCTTATAAACCTTCATACACATTTGCTTCTTAACATTTGTTTCTATCATATTAAAAAATATTAATTTTGTTTGGCAGTCAGTGAGTCACTATGACAAATGAAAGGTGAAAACTCATGGATAAACAACCAATTGATAAGATGCCCCCCACATATTATCTTTTTAAAAATTATGTCTGCTTCCTAGAGATAAATATATAGAAGTAGAAAGAGCATCTTAATGGAAAATTAATGTGAGCAACTACTTAATTCCTATTGATTCAACCTAACTGAGTCAGTTTAAAATCTCTTAAATGCTTGTGTCTTAATTATTAAAGCATTAATAATTATAAGTAGCTAGTATTTTACGGAAGAGGTCTTTACATGATCACAAAACTGTATTAAGATAATCAAAATGTTTTTCAAACAGTTGAACAGATATTAAAACCAAGATATTTGTGCCAGTACTAGAAAAAGCACCGTGTTCATGATCTTTCCAGATGAAAACTGCTCATAATAAATGAGCTGAGCCCCCGTTTTCTCATCTATAAGTAAAATAATAAATATCTTTTTCTCATAGAGGTAGTGTAAGGATCAAATAAGGAAATGCTCATGAAATGCTTAACAAATTAGTACATAATATCAATCAGCTAAGTCATCTATTATTGCTATTTATATTATTCCTAATATGTCCTCATAGTCTTGGCTTGCAAAATTCTGTTATATCTGTGTTTGTCTTCCTCAGTATTCCATGGCACACTCTCTCATTTTAGCCTAATGATTATTCTATTTCCTTGCCTTTGTTCATACTGTTCCATGATCTAAAATGTTCTTCATCCTGCGCATTCCCATTATCTCATTTGTCTAAATTCCAGCTCTTTTCATCTGTATTAGTGATCAAGTGTTGCACAATGAATTAATAACCCAAGACTTTGAAAAACAAACACTTATTACCTCAGTTTCTGTTGGTCCAGAATTTGGGCATGGTTTAAGTGAATACTCTGCCTCAGGGTCTCTCATAGTGCTACAATCAAGATGTTGCCAGGGTTGTAGTCTTAGCTGAAGGCTCAGATGAAGAAGATTCTACTTCCAGGCTCACTCACATGGTTGTTCATAGGATTCAGTCCCTCATGAACTGTTGATGTGAAAGCATTAATTGCACACTGGCTTTTGGCCAGATGCCACTGTCAGTGCCTTGGTACCATGAGCATGCTTCTTTTTTTTTAGTCAAAGTGTGCAAACTGAGAAGAAATAGAGAATGCCAACCAGATCAAATCAGTTCTTTGTAAACGAATTATGGTAGTGACATTTTATAATTTTTATCTTATTCTGCTTCTTAAAAGCAAAGCAGTAGGTCCGGCTCACGCTCAAGAAAATGGGATGGGAATACCAGAGGTGACCATTGAGGATCACTTTTGGAAGCTGCCTACCATAACATGTCACTTTCAAACCACTCTGACTACTCAGTTGCTATAAACCTTTATGATAATAGTTAGAAAATTAAAGATTAATTTCTAATTTTCAATTTTGACTAGTCTTGTACTCTTAGAATTCTGAAAGCATTAGTAGCTTGATTTAAAGTTTTTGATACAATATAAAATTGTGTGTGTGTGTGCATGTGTGTTTTATTTTCAACTATATTATACCTTGTCATGTGTTCTGTCTCTCTGGGAAAGCTTAGTACTAATAGCACATTATATAAATGCTAGTTGAAAGAGTAAATATTATTTCTCACTGATAAACAATTTAGATGATAGAATTTTAATATAATCTCATGAGAGATATTCAAATGTCAAAGATAAAAACATGTCTTTGTGTATAAAAATGCTACATTTAATTTTATTAGTGCAGAAACAAACTGCCCTATATTCTCTTCCTTTGTGACACAATATAATGTTTTCTTTTAAAAGATTATGTGACTTTAGCTAAAAGTCACTGTATTTAATTATAAGAACAAGGAAGCAAAGGAGAAATTACTTCTAAAAATTTTTAAGTTATTTTATGATTATAAGGATTTAGTTCTTTATATTTTTTCTTCACTCCCGCGTGTGTATTTACCGAAAATAATATTTAAACCAATCACCTTTAAACAGCATAAAAAAATCACATCTAGTGCATGTCACTTACTGTATCTCCCAAATGCTGGAAAAGATTAAAATGAATTACCACAGAGATTTTCCCTCTAAAATATTAATCTCCTATAAACATAGCTTTACATAGGCCTATACACCAACAGAAATTGGTCTTTAACTGGGACTAATATTCTGAATAGCCTAATGACTTATTTTTTCTTTTAATAGCCAGATCTGGCAAGTAACACCAAAGTCAGATGGATTGCTTTATATGACTTCAGAATGAGCTGTGTAATTGGAATTTGACTGATTCGAGAGGGAAAATCAATAAAGTCCCTTGAGCCATATAGTTGTATTAAGTTTTCAAACTTTATTCCTTTCTGACTACATTTATACTGGGGTGCAATATTCTATTTTAAATTCTTTTGCTGCTGAAAAGTAGAATAGTGATGCTAATATCTTCATTAATACTGATAGTCATATATAATTCTAAAGTTATTAAAGAATTATTACAATTTAAAAATATTTAGCAATAAAAGAGATCCTGATTAAAAGAAGCAAAGTAAAAGCATTGTTTGTTCCTTTCCACAAATCCAATGAAAGCAACAAATATATACATGGGGAAGATGCTCCATCCTCCATTAAACACAAAATATCTAAACCATCAAACTGACACATTTCTTCTCAAATTTTAAGTATATAGTTGACCCTTGAGCAACATGGGTTTCAACTGCATGGATCCACTTATATGCACGTTTTCTTCCGCCTCTGCCATCCCTGAGACAGCGAAACAATGCTGTCTCCTTTGCTCCCTTTACTCCCTCCTCAATGCTGTCTCCTTTGCTCCCTCCTCCTCAGCCTACTCAACATGAAGACAATGCAAATGAAACATTTGTGATGATCCACTTCCACTTAATAAGTAACAAATGTATTTTTTATGATTTTTAATTATATTTTCTCTAGTTCAAGAATACAGCACATAATACATGTAACATATAAATTATGTGTTAATCAACAGTTCATGTTATTGAGAAGCCTTCTAGTCAACAGTAAGCTATTAGTGGTTAAGTTTTTGGGGAGTCAAAAATTACACCAATTTTTACTGCATGGGGGAGTCAGTTCCCCTAACCCCCACATTGTTCAAGGGTCATCTGCAATTCAGATTTGAGTAAAGTTGTTGTTAGTAAATAAGCTCTTACGAAAAAAGAGACATGAATATTTTTGTGTACTCAAAACAAAGATTTATTAAACATAACACAAAACACTAATCATAAAGTAGTTATTTAAAAAGATAAATAAAGATAAATGAATCTGTTTAAAATCAAGGATTTATTTTCATGAAAAAAAATTATACTGAGACTTTCATATCCACTTAGAACACAGAAAGCCACAAAAGAAACTTGTCCCTAGGCTAACATTAAGAACAGGCTTGATAACTGTAAATTCATATATATATATATATATATATATATATATAGAGAGAGAGAGAGAGAGAGAGAGAGAGAGAGAGAGACAGAG
Organism: Homo sapiens; assembly: GCF_000001405.40. NCBI lineage: Eukaryota > Metazoa > Chordata > Mammalia > Primates > Hominidae > Homo > Homo sapiens. The sequence goes on along the minus strand of NC_000004.12, from coordinate 170,486,426 downwards.
CCAGATCTAGCAAGTAACACACACACACACACACACACACATATATATATATATTTTTTTTTTTTTTGAGACAGAGTCTCTCTCTGTCACCCAGGCTGGAGTGCAATGGTGTGATCTCAGCTCACTGCAACCTCCGCCTCCCAGGTTCAAGCAATTCTCCAGCTTCAGCCTCCTGAGTAGCTGGGAGTACAGGCATCTGCCATCATGCCCAGCTGTGGAGTTTCACCATGTTAGCCAGGCTGGTCTTGAACTCCTGACCTCGTGATCCACCCACCTTGGCCTCCCATAGTGCTGGCATTACGGGTGTGAGTCACTGTGTCTGGCCTATGAGATCATATTTTAAACTCATTGAATTGCTTAGAATACAAACACATTTCTAAAATTTACTTATATTTACTAAAGATGGAGGACAGAGAAAATATGATGGAAAAGCTTAGAAGCAACTCCATTGAATAATAGAAGATACATGTGTCTGGCAGGAGAGCTAAGAGACCCCTTCCAAGGCATAGACACTACATCTGTAGAAGTTTTGAGGGTAGGGAAATAAGACTGGGATAGAACCACCAGGCTTTCTCATCTCAAACTCTGCTGAAGAGGTCTTCAGCATGTCTTCATATTATTTAAAGACAACCGTGTACAAATCTACTTAAAACACCAAGAAAACTTAAACCCATCTTAGCTACAAATTAGATGGATTCCACTTTCCACACAAGCACTCCAACAAAAAGGGCTCATTTATGTATATTTCTGGGCATAATCATTTACTTAAGTCTTTTCTGATTTTTAATGCATAATGCATTATACAATTAAAAATAAGTCATGAAAAGAATCAAAACAATATGGCCAATCAAAAGGAGATGAAATAAATTATAGAACCAGACTCAGTCTTTAGAGTTATGATAAATATGTTAAAGGATATATTGTGAATGTGGACAATATGCATGAATACATGGAGAATTTCAGTAGAGAAATGGAAACTGTATAATAGAATCCACTGGAAATGATAGAAATGAAAATGGGATTTTAGAGATGAGAAAATCTTTCAAGAGGCTTATCAGTAGTCTGGCACATTACGGAAAAAAAGCAGATAATTTTTATTGGGTCAATAGAAATTATCTAAACTGAAATACAAGGAGAAGAAACGGTAGAAAAACAAAACATGCTGTATCTGTGGAACAATATCAAATAAACTACCTTATGTATAATCAGACTCAGAAAGAGAGGAGATAGAAAATGAGGCAAAGGAAACACACAAGGAGATAATGGCCAATAATTTTTCAAGATTGATAAAATATATCAAACCACATATTAAAATTCAGTAAAACACTAAGCAGAATAAACAAATCAGTCAGAAACATTGTAGTCAAACTGCTGATATCCAAGAATAAAGATTAAATCTCAAAATCAGAGAACAAAAAATGTTGCATGTCATAAAACAGATAAAAATGATTATTGAAGTCAATAGAAATTATGGAGGCCTGAAAAAAAAAAGAACAATTTCTTTATAGTACTGAAGGGTGAAACTGTCAACCTAGAATTGTATAACCAACAAAAATGTCCTTTCAAAATAAAAATAAAAACTATTAATGATTTTAAAGCATGGTTATATTAATATTCATGAGGGAGTTACTCTATAATGATATAATGATCACCCTATCTTACCTGGAAAATCTTTTCACTTTATATAAACATAATTCTGCAGCATTTTCCACGATAAGGTGAGACTATAGAGAATGAATAATTTTTTTTCAATGTCCGAATAAAAGGTTAAACATGAAAAAATAAAATAAAAGGTCACATAAGGGCATTTAAGTGACTCAAATTTTGTTTGACTTTGCGACAATTGTGCTGTCATTGTTTTGAATCCCCGTTTAAGTCCAGAAATATGTAACCTCACAGGCTTTGGAAACACTAATTATAGCTGAAGTGAATTCAAACAATCTTGAACATTAAAGCTCATTACTGAAATGAATCTATGTAGCCGAGTCTAGTTCGTTAGGGACCTCCTCTATAACTAGGAGTTTGTTAAATTAACAGTTTGCTAGACTGTTTATTAAAGGATAAGTAATAGAAATGTGCTAATTTGACTGTTTAACCACAGAAATTCTTTAGCAACTAAACCAGCAAAAAACTTTCATTCTAAAAAGAGAATTTTATCACAGGCTGTATATGTTTGCAAGGGCTTCCTTTACAAACAACCACAGACTAGATAGCTTAAACAACAGGAATTTATTTTCTCACAGCTCTGGAAGCTAAAGTTCAAGATCAATGTGTAGGCAGATTTGATTCTTCTGAGGCCATATTCTTGGCTTGTGTCCACAATGGCCTTTTCTAGGTGCATGTGCACCCCTGGTGTCTCTGTTTGCATCCAAATTTCCTCCTTTATAGGAACACCAGGCACATTGGGTTACAGTCCACTCTAATGGCATTGTTTTAACTTAATCATCTCTTTAAAGGCCCTATATCCAAATATGGTCATATTCCATGGAAGTTGAAGTTAGAGATTCAATGTATTTTTTTCAGAGGGACACAGTTCAGCCCATCACACTGTCCTGGTTTAGAATCTCTTTCGTATTATGATAATAAAATCTCTAAGTAACTTTAATTCAGCATTGTTATTTTTAAAACATTTTCTACAACTTACTTCTATCCTGCAGGTTAACAAATCCCAATGCCCCACAGTACCTAACAATATACCCAATAATGAAATAATAAACACTTTCCTACTACAATCATGAGCAAGGCAAGGATTTCAGTCATCATCATTTCTATTCATCTCTGCATTAGAAAATCTAGCCCAGGTGATTCAGTAAGAAAAAAAATATAGACATAAAGATTAGACAAAGAAATAAAACAATATTTATTTGCAGATGACATAATATGTATGTGCAAAACCCTTAAGGAATCTACAAAACAAATATAGAAATTATGTCAATAATCCCAGTGTTGTAAGATTCAAAGTTCATAAATAAAATTAATTATATTCCAATGTACCATCAATTCACAATAAAATACAATTTTAGAAGTTTGCAATTGGACACAAATAATTCTTAGGAATAAATGTGTATGGTCTTTACACTGAAAATTACAAACATTGTTGAAATAATAGAAATGAAACTTTTAAAATGGGAATAACATGTGCAAGGATTGGAAGAGTCAAAATATTAAGATATGAATTCTCTCCAAATTTGGGATTGAATGTAATCCCAATCATAATTTGAATAAGCCGTTTTTTTAGAAACTAACAAGATGATTCTAAACTGTATATGAAAATGAAAGGACCTACAATAGATAAAACAATCTTGAAAAATAACGAAATCAGAGGACTTACCTGATTCAAAGACTTACTATAATGTGGCCAGATGCAGTGGCTCACATCTGTAATCCCAGCACTTTGGGAGGCCAAGGTGGGTGGATCACTTGAGGTCAGGAGTTCAAGACCAACCTAGCCAACATGGTGAAACCCCATTTCTACTAAGAATACAAAAATTAGCCAGTTGTGATGGCCACGCCTGTAATCCCAACTACTTAGGGAAGCTGAGGCAGGAGAATTGCTTGAACCGGGGAGGAGGAGGTTGCAGTGAGCCAAGATCACTCTACTGTACTCCAGCTTGGGTGGCAGAGCGAGACTCCATCTCAAAAAAATAATAATAGTTGGAGCCATGGCCCGAGGCACCCAAGGGTGGTACCCCAGTAGGCCATGGGGCAGCTGAGGAAGAGACTGTACCCCAGCACCTATTGCTATCCTGGGGGCTGCTGGAGCGCTGGATGCTGCTGGACACCCTGGGAACAGCCTCCAAGGCCTCCAGCAGGTTTCTCAGAAAAAGAGTCAAAACTATTTCTCCCCTTGATCCAGAGGTCCTGTCTGTTTTTGTGGCCCCTTTTATCAGTAAAGAGGACAGGGTCAGGTGCTGTGGCTCACATCGGTGATCCCAACATTTTGAGATGCCAAGGCGAAAGGATTGCTTGAACTCAAGAGTTTGAAACGAGCCTCAGTAATCTGGCAAGACCCTGTTTCTACAAAAAATTTAAAAATTAGCTGAGCGTCTGAGACGGGAGGATTGCTTGACCCCAAGAGGTGGAGGCTGCAGCAGTGAACTGAGATTGTGCCACTGCACTCCAGCCTGGGGAACAGAGAAAGACCCTGTCTCAAAAACTGAAGAAATAAAAACACACACACAGTCAAATGCCAGTGCAAATGGCACCACTCTTGGTAAAATCAAGAAGCCACTCCTTCAGAAAGAAAAAAGAGAAGCCCAAAACCAGAGCAGAAGATGGCCTTCCCAGTGTCCCCAGAGTGCCAGATCCTGAAGATGTCACTGTCCCAGGAGGCATGGAACTCCTTGCTTTGCCCCAGCTGTGCTTCCCTGGGGGCATATGCACAGCCTCTGACCTGAAGGATTATGTCCATTCCCTGGTGCTGACCGATGTCTGTGGGACCAGGTCCTACAACGTGGTGGCCCAGTACTACGGACCCCTGCACAAGTACGGTTTCTACAATGGCGAAGCACACTGGGAGTCATCCCAACCGTCCCTGAGCACGCTGGCTCCATTATGCCCTTTGCAGTGTGGTGGTCTCCAGGTTCCACTATTATAATTCTCTCAATGACTTCCTCTCCTGTTTATTGACTCATCTGAAGCTCTGTAATTTGAAGCTGACAATCCTATAAAAGAGTTTGCTGCAAAACTGTCTTTAATACCTAGTTTACCACCTGGACCACTCTTTTTGGTAAATTAAATCTCAAGTTATGTTTTTCCTTGGCATATAGTAAAAGTAAAATGCTGAAGATAGTGTAAATGTTCTAAACTATTTCTGAAGTTCTGGCTGTTGCAAACCAAAAATAAAATCCTAAACCTATCCTCCCCAGCTGACTGAACAGACCCCCTCTTGGCCACAGGGAACCTAGAGAAACCTGAAAAACAGAGTTCCTCTCCAGGACAGAAGGGAAGAAGATATGCCTAGTTATACCCTCTCCCTTTTGGAGTACAGGCATCACTGACCAGCATTAGGTTAAAGTAGAGATCCTAAGACTGACAAAACAGACTCTTTGTGGCTATAGGACATCAAATTATAAACAAGACCTAAGGCCATGCAAGGAAAGGGTTAAGTCATTCCCTGCAAACTGTAAAATCTCCTGAAATGGGTTTTTTAATGAATGCAGTATAATATGGTCTACTTTCTGACCTGACTCTGCTATAGCATCACATGACAGATAGTAGACCCTGAAGGAAACCAACATATTTTACCCCAAAATATTCATGTATTTCTTTGACATATTTTGAAATGGCCCTGCAAAACTGTCTTTTGCAGGAGAAATTTGCATCTGTAGAGAACCTCTATTAATGTAGCCGTGCTTTTCTTTTCTAGGCCTTACCCAGATCTGTGAGAGATTAACTGAGAGTCTGACACCTTTAAGATCTGAAGAGAGATTTGCCATTTGTTCCCTCTGAGGGCTGCTGCCTGCTCACCTGCAGATGAGGCTTCATCCACAGGTAATAAGGGCCTTGGCCCCCACAGCCCCCTTATCTTGACTCAAGCGTTTCTGCTTTTTGACTTCACATCTTTAAACAAACTTTCTCAACCAATTATCAAGTAAAGAATCCCTAAAATCCACCTATGACTTATATAACCCACCTTCACTTCAAGATGCCCCACCTTTTTGGGCTGAACCAATGTACACCTTCAATGTATTGATTTATGTCTTTGCTTTAACTCTTGTCTCCCTAAAATGTATAAAACCAAACTAACCCGACTACTTCAGGACTACTTACTCAGGACCTCCTGAGGCTGTTCACCAGCCCTTGGTCACTCAGAATAAGCCTCTTTAAAAGAAAAAAGAAAAACAACATTAACAGAAAAGCCATGAACTGGAAGAATGTATTTGTAACATATGTATTCAACAGCAGACTAGCATTCAGGATATGTAATTAACTCCTACAACTACAATAAAAAGGCAACCCAATTTTTTAAATGGTAAAGACTCAACAGGCACCTCGTAAAGGAAGGTATAGGAATGGCCAGTATACTCCTCAAAAAAATTGCTTATTTTTTAAGCAAACGAGAAACAAGTAAATTAAAATCACAGTGAGATACCTCTAAACACACAAACACACCATGTACATAGATGCACACACACACAAACACACACACTAAAATAGCTGAAGTTATTTTTCTAAAAAACTGATAAAGATAGAACATTAATTCATTACTTGTGAGTTTCCCAAGAATTAAAATCAGTGTTGCATCATATTAACAAACTAAAAGGAAAATCAATTTCACTATCTTAATAGATGCTGAAAAAAAACTTGACAAAATTCAAAACACACTTATAATAAATTCTGCCCATAAATGAGAAAATGAAGGGAACTTCCTCAACTTGAAAACAGGTATCTATCGAAAATCTACGTTTAATATCACTTAATGATTAAAGACAGGGTTCTTTACTCCTAATATTGCAAATAAGCGAAGGCAGGTTCTTCCACTTCAACTAAGCACCTCGCTGGAGGTTGTAACCAGTGGAATAAGGTAAGAAAAAGAACTATGAGTAATCTCAAAAATATGTTAAGTGAAAGAAGCCAGTCATAAGAGTATATATTATATGATTTCATTTATGTGAAATTCCAGAAAATAAGAATTTAATATATACTAGATAATAGTAGATCAGTGGTTACCTGTTCTGGGAGATGGGGAAATAGAAGAAAGATTGATTGGAGGGGGTACAAGAGAACATTTTTATGTCATGCATATATTCTGTATTTTGATTGTGGTAGTTGTCTACATAAATGTATATAAATTTGTTAAAACATATCAAAAAGTACATTCAAAATGAATGCATATTTTGGATGGAACTGTATCTCAGTAAATTTTATTTTTAAAAATACCTTTAAAATAATAAAGATATCTCTTTTAAGGAGAAAGATTTACACTTTTGTTTCTTTAAAAAAAAAAAAAGGGGAAACACAGGAACTAACTAGTTTGATGGATACTCCAGTATCTTTTTGCTTTCATTTAGAATACTTGAACTATTAGTACTGTGGTGATATTAGCTTTCTTTAATTCAGGGTCTACTCATTGCCCAGTACTTTCCACATCCTATTCTCGAAAAATATATCATAGTAGATAGATACCCATATATACACAAAAATATGATATATGTATATCTCATACACACACACACACACACACACACACACACACACACACCCCTGTTTTACATATAAGCAAACTAAGTTTCCAAAAGCATTTGAACTTGCCAGAGACAGTAAATGCCAGACAGAAGATTTCTTAATTTGATCCCAGATAAAATGTAAATTATATTTGTTACACCATACTGCTTCTATGGTGTTAACATATGTTAACACCCTAGTACATTGACAATTGAAACTCTTTGTAAATATTGTTTTATATTACTGCAAAAAAAGCTTTTTAGTTTTTTAGATATCACACAACTTGCCAGTAATTTTGAGTTTATTTTTCTTCATCAACTTTTCAATTTGACTTGATAGAATCATTGTACTACATCTATAAAGGTAGGAGATATATATATATATCGGATATATATATATATATCTCTATATATATCCGATAAACATATATCTATATATATATCGGATATATATCTATCCGGATATATATATAGGATATATATCCAATATATATATATCTGGATATACATAGAGATATATATATATCTATGTATATCCAGATATATATATATCTCTCTATATATATCCTATATATATCTCTCTATATATATATCCTATATATATCTCTCTCTATATGTATCCTATATATATCTCTCTCTATATATATCCTATATATATCTCTCTATATATATATCCTATATATCTCTCTCTATATATATATCCTATATATATATCTCTCTCTATATATATATCCTATATATATATCTCTCTCTATATATATATCCTATATATATATCTCTCTATATATATCCTATATATATATATCTCTCTATATATATCCTATATATATCTCTCTATATATATCCTATATATATCTCTCTATATATCCTATACATATCTCTATATATATCCTATATATATATCTCTATATATATATCCTATATATATATAGCTATATATATATCCTACATATAGCTATCCTATATATATATAGCTATCCTACATATATATCTTATATATATAGCTATATATATCCTATATATATATCCTATATATAGCTATATATATATTTCCTGCATATATATCTCATATATATATGTATCTGCTTAGATATCTGCTTAGAGCACAGCCTACATATATATATCTCCTATATATGTATCTCCTATACATATGAGAGATTTATAGACATATTTATATATATGACACATATATAATATCTATGTATCTATATATATGCCGTGCTCTAAGCAGATTCCTAATTTTGAAGCTGAATGATTTAAAAAATATTATGATCAGCCTATTAGGATTAATAAATGTGAGTTTACAAATGTCCCCTATATAATGGAACCAGCTTTGCTGATCAACTCTCCCACATCACTTTAAACATAATGAGAAATAACTTTTAGCCAACCTTACTCTCAAACTCATTATAGATTTTATAATCACTCACAATTAGTTTATACAAAAATAGAGTGGAAATTATTGCCATTGATTCAAGCAGTCAACTGTTAATGAGTTGTCATCTTACATAATTCAGTGCAAAATGTTTGTTGCTTTGGTGACATTAGAAACTAATTGAAATATTTTGTAGTCTGCTTTTAAAGGTCAGTTCCAGATCTTTTCTTCAGCCTATTACTGTGGACGCAATTTAACTTCCTTTCTCAGTACAGGGAAAATTGTACATTGTTGATTTGTGCACTGTTCATTTCTAGTTAATCCTGAACTGGGCAGTTCTCTTCAGGTGCTCCTTTTTTTCCCTCCTTTTTGTCCTTAACTGTCGTAAGTTACATTCTTGGGCTTGAGCATTCACATTTTCCACATGTTGCTTCACTATGTCAATTTATCTCTTAATTAGCATTTAAGAGTTTCTTTTTTTGGCCTAAATTTGTAGGAAGATTTGACATGGAGACAGTGAATAATACTTTATATGAGAATGAAATGGAATACGTTACCAGAAATGATGTCAAAACAAAGCCAAATTAGTTGGTAATTCCAGATGATGTCAGTGCTAACAAGACTTAGAGCTTCACATATCTAAGGCTGCTGACAACGAATCAGTATCCCAGTAGAAGTATTAAATTATAGTAGATATCTGGGACATAGAAGAGGGATATATACACAAGTCTTTCTGACTCTTTTGAGGCACTAGGTCTAAGATAACCCCTAATGATTTACCATGAGGACAGATGACAAGGTGATGCGTCTCAATCATTACTTAATTATATATTTATTACATTTCTAATAAGTCCAGACCCTATTTTAAATAAAGTATTAAATGCAACCATATTAATTAATAAACATTGAATAAAATGTGAAAAGCTCTTGCACACAGGAACTGGCATTTGAATGAGGAGATCATTAATAAACAGGCATATAAACAGATAGTATATCAAGTGTATCTAAGTGTACATTTGATCATTTCCATTTTTCTATTAACATCTCTGTATTAATGATGTAATAATAATAAATAGAATTGTTTTAATCAAAAACAAATTATAAGTGTAAAGAAAATTGTAGCATGGAAAGAGGACTAATGGGAAATGCAAGGGAAGGTTGCTATTCTGGAGGATGCTTCTGGAAGGCATTCTGAGGAGGTGACTTTGAGCAAGAAGCAGCTGAAGTGAAGAAATAAGTGATGCACACAGCTGGGTGAGGAATATTCTAGGCAGGGGGAGCAGCACATGAAAATGCCTGTCATAACAAAGTGTTGGCTTATCTGAGAAACAGCCGGAGGCCAGTGTGGCCAGAACACAGCATAACGAGAGTGGAGGAAGGGGAAGCTGGACCCATAGCCAGGGCCAGATTATGTTTCCCTCAAAAGGCATGGCAATAACTTTGAATTTTATTCTAAGTAGGAGGAGAAATCATTGATTGAGAGGAAGTGGGTAAAAGATTTCTTTTGGCTATGTTTACTTTGCCTATAATTCTGTTTACATAAAGGCCATGTCTGAAAGAAAGTAATTTATAGACGTAGAGCAATCTCACTTGCATTTTGGTTCTAAAACTTGGTGACTACTAGCTTCTGCATCTCAAGCAAGTATCTGGCTAAATTTATTATATTCTTTGTCATATTAAATTACAATTAAATTAGTATGTCTGTCATTCTGCTAGGTTATAAGCTAGCTGAGCACAAACCTTTAGGTAATGTATTCTAGAACTAAGCAGGGGTCCTGTACAGATTTTTTTTTTAATTTAGCCTACTAAATATTGTCCTTTCTTTTTTTTTTTTTTTTTTTTTGAGGCAGAGTCTTGCTCTGTCACCCAGGCTGGGGTGCACTGGCACGATCTCAGCTCATTGCAACCTCTGCCTCCTGAGTTCAAGCAATTCTCCAGCCTCAGCCTCCCAAGTAGCTGGGATTACAAGTCCCGTGCCACCGCGTATGGGTAATTTTTGTAAATACAGTCTTTCAACGCAATCTTTTACACTTGGTCAGTGGAGTAATATGCACAGCTCTCCTTGGGCTCTCATTTCAAGAAGGTCACTGTAAAACAGAATTAATCTAACCTTTTGTATATTTTCCACTAAAATTGACCCTAACATGTCACAACAAAAGTGGGACTTAACAGGCTCATGGACATTATCTACTTCTTATTTTGTGCATTCGAAGAGAATTAAAACAATCGTAGAATTTTCTATAAAGATGGTATTTTTTAGGATAGGTTCATCATTTACCACTCAATAAACTAGCTGACTTTAAAGACCCATTTTTGAAAGCAAAAGATGCAATTTATAGATATTAAATTAGATTAATTGACCTTTTCCAAAATACTAAGACTGTTGTTTTTCTCATATTCAGATTTCTTAAATGTCAGACTAAAGTAAATGCCAAACGTAAAAAATTAAAAATAGTATGAAAACATATGCTATTTATAATTCTTGAAGGGCAAGCGCTGTCTTTATATCAATTTGTTCTGTGATTAAAATCCCAGAAAGTAATTTGGCATAGTTTTAAACACATGACATTATGTTATTTTTAAATATCTTTATTAAATTCGCTTCTTTATATTTTAGATATGCCTATACTTCTATTCACTTTATTTCATAATTATTGTATTCTAATTAAACCTAATGAGAAATATAAATTATTGTATTCTAATTAAACCTAATGAGAAATATAAATTATAATATATTTTATAGTTCATAATTTAAAAAATGTTTCCAATATGCACATTTACCATAAAGAGACAAAAGATAACATGCAGCTTTTATAAATATGCAAAAATAATTTTTCTTATTATCTGCTAACAGATTTTTTTAAATGTATTTCTCTGTGTATTATTCACTTAAATAACATGTATTCTATTTTTTTAATTATTTGCCCCCATAAGTTCTCCTAATTTTTTAAGTTATTAATTCAATTATGCAACAAACTGATTGAATACTATAATCTTTGTCACATGTTGGGAAAAAATAAATTTTAAGGGTAAGTGGAATCTTGTATCCCAGCTTTCCAAATTATGCAGATACTAGAGATATTACTATTTTTCTCAAATATGGTAAAGCTCACAAAATAATTTTCTATTAAGAATACTTACCCTATTATAAATAATTTAGCATTTAAACAACAAATAAGGGAAAATTTATGGGATTGATTCACTTTTTCCTCCTTGGAATTGGGTGACAGAAATTCATAGAACAATCTTCAAACTTTTGGGGTATAAAAATAATGTACTATAGAATTATCATCCCCTTTTGGTTAAATAAATTCATCATTTAAAAAATTCATGTTTTTTACATCCTACTTAAAAGTTTTTACCTATTGCGAGTCCATCAAGATTTTTTTCTATGGTTTTTTCTAGAAATTTCATAATTTTTGCTGTCATAATTAGGGCTTTGATTCATTTTCAGTTAACTTGTATATATGATGTAAAGTAACAGTAGGGTTTATACTGTTGCATAAATATAATTGTTCCAGCATCTTGTGTAGAAAAAATTGATTTTGTTTCCTCATTGACTTGCCTGGACACCTTTGCTGAAGGCAATTGGCGCCATATATATATATTTGGAATTTCTGTTTTCTTCCACTGATCTGTATGTCTATGTTGAGAGGGTACAGGAATCACTACTCCAAAATATAGCACCTTGGAAATTTAGAAAGCAGGAGAAGCAGAAAAGTCACTCTCTTTCTCCCAACTTTCTGTGTGAGACCTGGTCCTAAAAAATTATCTGATCTACCTCCCTTGAAAGTAGGTTAGAAACTCTTATGTGACAGATCTTACCCTATACTGGGGAAAAGGAATGAAAACACAAAAACACCAAGAAAAATCTGAACAGACAGGTCTTGCTAAATTCTCCCCAGATAATTATCATTACACCATACCCCCTTTTGTCCAATCACTTTTACATGACTATCCACTCTTTTTTTTTTTTTATACTTTAAGTTTTAGGGTACATGGGCACAATGTGCAGGTTAGTTACATATGTATACATGTGCCATGCTGGTGCGCTGCACCCACTAACTCGTCATCTAGCATTAGGTATATCTCCCAATGCTATCCCCCCCCCCCACCCCACAACAGTCCCCAGAGTGTGATGTTCCCCTTCCTGTGTCCATGTGTTCTCATTGTTCAATTCCCACCTATGAGTGAGAATATGCGGTGTTTGGTTTTTTGTTCTTGCCATAGTTTACTGAGAATGATGATTTACAATTTCATCCATGTCCCTACAAAGGACATGAACTCATCCTTTTTTATGGCTGCATAGTATTCCATGGTGTATATGTGACACATTTTCTTAATCCAGTCTATCATTGTTGGACATTTGGGTTGGTTCCAAGTCTTTGCTATTGAGAATAATGCCGCAATATACATACGTGTGCATGTGTCTTTATAGCAGCATGATTTATAATCCTTTGGGTATATACCCAGTAATTGGATGGCTGGGTCAAATGGTATTTCTAGTTCTAGATCCCTGAGGAATCGCCACACTGACTTCCACAATGGTTGAACTAGTTTACAGTCCCACCAACAGTGTAAAAGTGTTCCTATTTCTCCACATCCTCTCCAGTACCTGTTGTTTCCTGACTTTTTAATGATCGCCATTCTAACTGGTATGAGATGGTACCTCATTGTGGTTTTGATTTGCATTTCTCTGATGGCCAGTGATGGTGAGCATTTTTTCATGTGTTTTTTGGCTGCATAAATGTCTTCTTTTGAGAAGTGTCTGTTCATATCCTTCACCCACTTTTTGATGGTGTTGTTTGTTTTTTTCTTGTAAATTTGTTTGAGTTCATTGTAGATTCTGGATATTAGCCCTTTGTCAGATGAGTAGGTTGCAAAAATTTTCTCCCATTTTATAGGTTGCCTGTTCACTCTGATGGTAGTTTCTTTTGCTGTGCAGAAGCTCTTTAGTTTAATTAGATCCCATTTGTCAACTTTGGCTTTTGTTGCCATTGCTTTTGGTGTTTTAGACATGAAGTCCTTGCCCATGCCTATGTCCTGAATGGTAATGTCTAGGTTTTCTTCTAGGGTTTTTATGGTTTTAGGTCTAACGTTTAAGTCTTTAATCCATCTTGAATTGATTTTTGTATAAGGTGTAAGGAAGGGATCCAGAACCAAAGACAAAAACCACATGATTATCTCAATAGATGCAGAAAAGGCCTTTGACAAAATTCAACAACCCTTCATGCTAAAAACTCTCAGTAAATTAGGTATTGATGGGACATATCTCAAAATAATAAGAGCTATCTATGACAGACCCACAGCCAATATCATACTGGATGGGCAAAAACTGGAAGCATTCCCTTTGAAAACTGGCACAAGACAGGGATGCCCTCTCTCACCACTCCTATTCAACACAGTGTTGGAAGTTCTGGCCAGGGCAATCAGGCAGGAGAAGGAAATAAAGAGTATTCAATTAGGAAAAGAGGAAGTCAAATTGTCCCTGTTTGCAGATGACATGATTGTATATCTAGAAAACCCCATTGTCTCAGCCCAAAATCTCCTTATGCTGATAAGCAACTTCAGCAAAGTCTCAGGATACAAAATCAATGTACAAAAATCACAAGCATTCTTATACACCAATAACAGACAAACAGAGAGCCAAATCATGAGTGAACTCCCATTCACAATTGCTTCAAAGAGAATAAAATACTTAGGAATCCAACTTACAAGGGACGTGAAGGACCTCTTCAAGGAGAACTACAAACCACTGCTCAATGAAATAAAAGAGGATACAAACAAATGGAAGAACATTCCATGCTCATGGGTAGGAAGAATCAATATCGTGAAAATGGCCATACTGCCTAAGGTAATTTATAGATTCAATGCCATCCCCATCGAGCTACCAATGGTTTTCTTCCCAGAATTGGAAAAAACTACTTTAAAGTTCATATGGAACCAAAAAAGAGCCCGCATCACCAAGTCAATCCTAAGCCAAAAGAACAAAGCTGGAGGCATCAAACTCCCTGACTTCAAACTATGCTGCAAGGCTACAGTAACCAAAACAGCATGGTACTGGTACCAAAACAGAGATATAGATCAATAGAACAGAACAGAGCCCTCAGAAATAACGCCGCATATCTACAACTATCTGATCTTTGACAAACCTGAGAAAAACAAGCAATGGGGAAAGGATTCCCTATTTAATAAATGGTGCTGAGAAAACTGGCTAGCCATATGTAGAAAGCTGAGACTATCCACTCTTTATCAAACCTAAGCATATATTACCACTCTATAAATTAGCTGACCTTAAAGACCCGTTGTTGAAAGCAAAAGATGTCATTTATAGATATTCAATTAGATTAATTGACCTTTCCCAAAATACTAAAAGACTGTTGATTTTTCTCATACTCAGATACATAGATGTGTATCATTGATTCATATTCAAAATACATAGTTTTCCCCATTTCTTTGAGTCTTCATTTCTGAAGACTTTCATGTCCTGTAAAACCTTATCGAAATAAATTTGTTATGCTTTTCTCTTGTTTATCTGTCATTTGCTATAGAGGTATCAGCCATGAACCTTGTGACAGATGAGGAAAAAATACTACTTTTTCTTCCTTACACTGCTTACAGAAAACCCATCCTGTATTAATTAATGTAGCATTAACAACAACAAATAAAGTCTTGGAATGTGACAGTTGACTCCTATAAGTTTGCTTTCTTTTTTGAAAATTATTTTGGTTATTCTGTGAACTTGAAAGAGCTTGTCAATTTCTACAGAAAAAAAAGACTTCTAGGATTCTTATTTGAATTGCATTTGACTATAGATCAATTTTGAAATAATTGACATCTCAACAATATTGAGTCTCTCAGTTTATTACTATGGTATATCCCTCTGTTTATTTAGGTCTCCTTTAATATATCATAGCAATAATTTATAGTTGTCAGTATATAATTTTTGCACACATTTTGTTATATTTATCCCTAGGAATGTCATCTTTTAATTCAATTATAAGTAGTATAGTTGTCAATTAATGTTTAAAGGAAGCCTAAAACCAAAAAAAAAAAAGTTTTCCCTATTTCCACATAGTTCCCATTCTGCTGAACAGTAGCAACCTCAGACCTACTACAAGAACCTTTCTGTGGATCCACAGACAATAAGCTGTGGACACAAGATCTTATAGAGCTCATCCCAAGTTCCTTCCTCATGTTCCTCCTTTGGTGACTGGATATGCTTGGCATCTGGAATTTCTTGATAGGTCCATGGAGCTCTCCACCCATGCCTGTGCTTTAGGAGCGTTGACGAGCGCTCTCTGTCTAAACCTGTGACTCCATCTTTCCAGGCTTCACTTCCTCAGCTCCTTATTCCCATAGTACTTGCTACAGCTCTGCATCCCTAACTGTCACTTCTCTACTCATTACCCTTTCTGTAAAACCCCTTATAAATTTTAAGAAACCTCGACCTCATCTTAACCATGTGATCAAAGTTAGCACCAGTAAGGAGACAAATGACACCATGTGAATTTTAATGTTTCCCTGATATGACCACAACAGAATTTCTGATGTATCCCTGCCAAAAATGGGTAACCTGAATCTAATAATGAAAAAAGACTGCATAAACCCAAACTGAGGGGTATTTTACAAATAATTGACCTCTTATATTAACAATATATCAAGGTTATAAAAAAAAATCTAAGGAGCATTTCGAAGTAAACCAGAGACATGACAACCAGCCAAATGCAATATACAATCATAAATTAGACCTCAGACAAGAAAACAAGTTTTCCTCTGTAATAGAAAGACATTGGTTGGGCAATTGATCAATTTTAACTACCTATAGTTTAAAGCACTGTATCAAAATTAATTTCCTGATTTTAATAATTGTTCTGTGTTAATTTAAAAAATGCCTTTATTTATAGGCAGCGTAGACTGAAGTCTTTAGAGAAAAAGGAATATCTTGTCTACAACTTTCGAACATTTCAGAAAAAAGTAATATAAATGTAAAAATATTGAAGTTAATTTGGAGAATCTGGATGGAGGATATTTGAGAATTCTTTGTACTATTTTCACATCTTTTCTGTAAGTCTGAAATTATTTCAGAAAACCTTAAAGACGCCTCCGGATCAAGACTGCAAATGAGCGTATGCTTTTATCTCCTCCTCTTGATCTACCTTTAAAATACAGAGAAGGAAGGAAAGAAGGGAGGGAGGGAGGGAGGAAGGAAGGGAAGGAGAGAGAGGGAGGGAAGGAGAGGGAGGGCAGAAGGGAGGGAGGAAGGAAAGAGGGAGGGAGGGAGGAAGGAGAGAGGGAGGGAGGAAGGAAGGAAAATGGGAGGGAGGGACAAAGGGAGGGACGGAGAAAGAAAGGAAATTCCTAACTATGAGTTACAGATACACCTTGTGGGGCACAAAGAATACCAAATAACTAAGGTGAATTTTAGTGGATACCTGGCAAATGTCAAAATCCCTTTTGTAAAACTATAACTAAACAAAAATTTATATGAGAAAATAATTGTCCAAATATGAAGTAACTGGTCCAAATAGGAAGAGAAAGTCAATGGAATTTAAGCAGCAAAATTAAATAATGCCAGTAAAAGATAGAATAAAATTGAAGGATATTAGAGTTGAGTTATAGCAAGAAGATATATATTTATTTACCAACTAAAGATTTTAAAGAAAAAACATGAAAAAAAAAAAAACTCCAGAGGTAGGGGGAACCCAGGCAAACATGCCAGAAATTTATACCACAAAGAGAAAGACTCCAACATGAAGTTTTAATTGGAGCTATTCATGCATTCATCTCTCAAAATAGTATAAAGACATTTTGGGGAATGATGAATATCAAATAGTAGTCACTTTTGTGGAGGAGGAAGATAGATGGGATAAGAGAGAATTACAAAATCTCTTTACTATTTTGATAATATTTTAGACCTTCAGCTGGGTGGAGGGCACATGGGGGTTCTTTGTTCTGTTAGTATGGTGTAGGGAAAAAAAGATTTATCTCTACATAAATCTCTATGTTCATGACTAAGACACCTACAACAAAAGACATATTAACAAAAGAAAAGGACCATACAATTTTTAATAGAAGTTTTACATGATACAGAAGTCTTCACAAGAAAATAAAGACTCCACACACACACACACAAAATAGAATGAATAAGTTCTAGTATTTGATAGCATAGTAGTCAATAATAATTTAATTATGCATTTAAAAATAAGAGTATAGCTGGATTTTTGTAACACAAAGGATAAATGCTTGAGGTGATGGATTTCTCATTTATAGTTCATAATTTAAAAAATGTTTCCAATATACACATTTACACATTGCATGCCTATATCAAAATATATCATGTACCCCTAAATATATATATACCTACTCTGTACTCACAAAAATTAAATATTAAAATTTAAGAAAATGAAGACTCAGAGAAACTTGTAAACTTGTGTGTTTTGTGCTTAGTTTAGTGAAAAGTAGACAGGCATGGAGAAATACAATTGGAGGAAAAAAGAATATGATCTAATGATAATAAACTCCAGGAAGACTCAGCAAGGCCTATTTGTTCAGTTTTTCCTTGGCATCTCTGTGTCTTTTGCTCCTTTCCTCTAGGTATAGAGGTAGCACCTTTTAGTTAAGGATCTTATGACCCACTTAGGGGGAGATGGGCAGTAGAAGGGCAAACAGTGACCTTCCTAGGTTTTATGACCTGCTTTCTGGGAGAAAAGGGGAAAGTCAGTGTGACCTTCCTGCTTCTGCTGTTTTCTCAAATGCCATGGTGCCATATTTTAGGGTAGCACATCCTGAACCCCATCAATACTGCTCTGACTTTTTTGGTATGTCAAAATATTTTATAATCTTGTGAAGAGTAAAAGTCATAAAAACATAAAAATATGTATTTGCATGCCTATATAGGTCTCCAGTTTTTCAACAAAGACAACTATTTCCCAAATAGGAAACAATCTCTCTAGACCAAAAGATACTTTATTCACACAAATTGTATGCTGGAAAGACCTTCTTTCCTTGATAAGGGCACTGACATGAAATTAAAACTTGGCTTGTTGATTTATCAGGCTAAAGCTAAGGTCCTAATAAGACTAAATTTAACCATACCCTGCTCTATATTTCATGAAGCAGGCTTTTGTCATTTGTGATATCTTTCCAAGAACATTTGTGTCAAATTTTACTACAACAGCTATATCTTCAATGTAGCCTCTAACCTCCATTATTAAGAGAATTTCTTGGGGAGAGCACAATTCTTATTTTAGGAAATAGTGTTAGTTAATCAAGTACATGACCATAATTTCACTGTGAGAATGACATTATGTATGTAAGTTTTCCCTTTACATTCTTTGTTCCCCAAAATGTCAGAGAAAGCCAGAAGAATTTTTTTGTGTTGCCTGTCTTCCATTATCTATCTCACTTTTGCAAAAGACTAAGAAAATGATAAATTAAAGAGTTTCTGACACTTTCTAGCAATAGTTATAATGCAAAATCTTATTTATACTCCCCACAAACTTTTGCTGTGATTTAGATTTCAATGGAGAATTGGCAGGATCAATCTCACCATGGCCAAATCCCTCAGACCCTAAATAAGGTCCTAAATCTCTAATGGGAATTTTCATAAGATTAAATAGAAAGTATGGCACTTTAATTTTTATAAGCTTTTAGATATTTGTAAAAAAGAGTAAATGAAAGAAAGTTTTCTAAATTTCTTATATTTGCTTTGTTGTCAAAGTATTTATCATAACTGAATGATATTTAAAGGCATGTAATATCACCTAAATATGGATCTGCAACTACATAAAATAATCTCAATAATTAATAGGTTGTACAAAGTAGTTCCTTTAAAATCTCAAATAATATTTGTGGTACTTTTATTTTGAACACTTTGAACTAAAAAAAAATTATATATTTCTCTAGACATTTAAATATTTAAAAGTTTAAAGCCAGACACTAAAATGTATATATATATGGAAATTACATCTGTAGTTCTGGTTGGTAAAAGGAATTAAAAAAAATTTAGAGAAACCTCAAAACCTATTTATATCCATAATTTCTCTATTTAATAATCATATGGTGTGCTATCTAAACACAATGTGAAAATGAAACTTTCTGGTAATTTAAGGATTTTCATTAAAATCATACTAACAAGGTTTATCTAAATTTATAGACCATGAACTTTATTATAAGTTCTTGGATAAAAATTAAAATAAACATGAATACATAATTTCACATATACAGTTTACATTTGTGCTTTATTTCTATGTCTTATCTGCTTGTAAAATGATTTAAGATCTCATAAAAAGAACAAAAAGTGGTGAAATAATTTACTGAGGTCATTATCTTACTCAAATGTGTATATGTGGTTAAAATTAAACGTGTTTAAATTTAAACTTTAAAAATTAACATTAATTTATTTTAAAATTAAATATTATATATATAGAAATAAGAATTATTTACATATGTAAAGAAAGATAGCCAAAAGCCAATATGTAATTTAAAATGAAATGCTAAAATTTCAAAAGACAGTTGGAAACGGGGAAATGAAAAATAAGAGAGTAAATACAACAGAAACTAAATAATAAAACAGGTAAATCCAACTATATCAACAATAATTATATTGAGGAAGGGGTACAGGTTGGCCAACTAGGAAGAGCCTGTTCCACCAAGTGAGACCAAAATATTGAGTAAAGCAGCACATTTTAAGCAGGTCTTTCAAGGAAAACACTGAGAGTTGGTAGAGAAGTGAAACAGACCTAAGGAGGTGAAAGAGGGAGGAAGCTGGGAACCTGCATGGGATTGTTGATTGCCAGGACTTGTTTCTGGGCCTGAATGGCTCCTAAGGAAGTAGTGAGTACAGTAACCATGAGGCAATCCACTCTCACCATGGACTTCTAGGATCCTAGCTACAAGAGATCCCACTCAATACCTGCATGAACAGTGGAACTGGCAGAGGGAACTGCCCTGGGAGTAACCAGAGACAGAGCTCAACCCTGTGTGGAACCCAGGGGGTTGGACAATTGAAGAAGACATGGCCATAAGCGCCCATCCCCCATGGCTCCCCATATTCCTCTGAGTGGCTCTAGCCTTTGCTGACTGCCAGGCTGGGAGAGAACACGGCTGGCTGTCGTTCCCAGAGGCCAGGGCACATCAGATCTGCAGCCGCTGATTCTACCGGCCCCTCCAGGGATCCCTGCCTGGCCCTCTCACAGGAGCAGGCAGGCAGCACCACCTCCACTGCCTCATTTGAGTGCTCTGTCAGTCAACCTCTCTGGAATGCTTTGTTGGCAGCCTGGGAGCAGCTCAGCACGCCCAGGATAATTGGTGCTAGACTCAAGGGGCCAGAGAACAAAGCTGAAGGTCCAGTTCCCACCCCTACAGTTACAGCACACAGCTCAGGAGTGCAGAGCTGAGATCTGTGGCTGGAGCTTCAGCATGGGAAGAACCCTCACTCTCAGTACACTGTCAAGAGTGGGTGCAGGTTCTTAGGCTGGTGCAGGAGCTGGGTGTGTCTCCCTCCTCAGGGCTGCGAAGGGTGTGGCATGGCTGCAAGCCACAGACTCATCCTGAGGGAACCCCCATGGCCTGGAGCATCTAATAACCCAGTGATCTGGGTGTAGAAGGCTTGGGACAAAACTAGCAAATTGGGCCAGATACTGGGACAGACACCAGAAGGAGACCCAGTTGAGGGAAAGTGAGCTGGGTGGTCCCCACAGCTGTGTGTTGGGCAAAAAAAACCCAAGCCACAGGTGCCACATCAGCTCCACACCTACAGCAACAACATCCTGCCTCAAGATACCCTGTCCTTGACCTACTGCCTCAACAGATCACCCGCGGACATTTCCCACAGCCCATTCTGACTCTGCCAAACACAGAGAACCAGTGGGCCACTGGGGAGCTGCAGGTCTCCTGGCAACCTAACCATCGATTCAGGCCACCCCACCCTTGGGGCTAAGGAAATGCAGGTGCAGTGCCAGTGATCGGGCTCCCTTAAGGCCCAGGAACGGATCTGGCAAAGGGGTCATCTCTACTCCCTTCCTGTCTCCCTTGCCACAATGCACTGCTGTGAACACACTGAAATACAAAAGAGGCATGCAGGTGAGTAGCCTAGCTGCCTGCCTTTACTTTACTCTTAAGTGCTATCTACTGGATTGTAACCTGAATTACACCACCAAAAAAAAAAAAAAAAAAAAAAAATTGCAGGCATACACAACCTGTGAAACCTAGTGCAGGAATCTAGCCACAAATAAGGATCCTGTATAGAGCCTTGGCCTTCAGTAAACACCCAGAATAAGTCAATTGACTGTACTCAACTTACCCTATAGTCAAACCCTCAAGAGAAATAAAGAATATAAAAACATAGCGCCCCATCAAAATGACAGCAAATTCTAAAAGATAAAGGACCATCAGCTCTATCAGATGAGAGAGAATTAGTGAAATAATTGTAACAATTCAAAAAGTCAGAGTGTTTCCTTACCTCTGAACGATCACACTGGCTCCCCAGCCATGGTTTTTAACCAGATTGAAAAGGCTGAAATGATAGACATAGAATTCAGAGTCTGGATGACAAGGAAACTCAGTAAGATGCAGGAGGAAGCTGAAATCTGATACAAGAAATCCAAGGAAACCAGTAAAATGGTGCAAGAGTTGAAAGATGAAATAACCATTTTTTAAAAGAACCAAACTGATCAACTGCATTCTTGGACATACAGCAAGTCTTCATATATATATATATATATATATATATATTTTTTTTTTTTTTTTTTTTTTTTTTTTTTTTTTTTTGAGACGGAGTCTCGCTCTGTCGCCCAGGCTGGAGTGCAGTGGCGGGATCTCGGCTCACTGCAAGCTCCGCCTCCCGGGTTCACGCCATTCTCCTGCCTCAGCCTCCCAAGTAGCTGGGACTACAGGCGCCCGCCACTACGCCCGGCTAATTTTTTGTATTTTTAGTAGAGACGGGGTTTCACCGTTTTAGCCGGGATGGTCTCGATCTCCTGACCTCGTGATCCGCCCGCCTCGGCCTCCCAAAGTGCTGGGATTACAGGCGTGAGCCACCGCGCCCGGCCGTCTTAATATATTTTTTAAAAATTGAACTCATTCCAAGTACATTCTCAGAACACAGTGCAATAAAAATAGAAATCAATACCAAGAAGATCTCTCAAAACTACACAATGACATGGAAATTAAATAATTTGTTCCTGAATGACTTTTGGGTGAACAACAAAATTAAGGTAGACATCAAAAAATTATTTGAAATTAATGAAAACAGAGACACAGCACACCAAAATCTTTGGAATGCAGCTCAAGCAGCGTGAAGAGGAAATTTTATAATGCTAAACACCTACATCTAGAAGTTAGAAAGATCGCAGATTTACAATATTGCAACTGGAGGAACTAGACAAAAAACAACAAACCAATCCCAAAGCTAGAAGAAGAAAATAACCAAAATCAAAGCAGAACTGAGTGGAATTGAGATGCAAAAATCCACACCCAAAAATCCATGAAACCAAAAAGTTGGTTTTTTAAAAGGATAAACAAAATTTGTAGACCACTAGCTAGCTTAAAGAAAAAAGAGAGAAGATCCAAATAAGCACATTCCAAAATGACAAAGATGACATTACAACTGATCCCACAGAAATACAAAAAATCCTCATAGACTATTATGAACACCTCTATGTACACAAATTAGGAAATCTAGAGGAAATGGATAAATTCCTGGAGACATGTAATGCCAAGATTGAATCAGGAAGAAATTGAAAACCCGAAAAAGACCAATAATGAGTTCCAAAACTGAATTAGTAATAAAAAACCTACCAACCAAAAGAAGCCTCAGACCAGAAGAATTCACAACCAAATTGTACCAGATGTACAAAGAGGAGCTGATGCCAATTCTACTGAAAGTATTCCAAAAAAAAAAAAAAATTGAGCAGGAGGGATTCCTCCCTAACTCATTCTACAAAGCCAGCATCATCCTGATACCAAAAGCTGGCAGAGACACAATGAAACAACAACAAAAAAACCTCAGGCCAGTATCACTGATGAATATAGACACAAAAAATCCTTAACAAATGATAGCAAAGTGAATCTAACAGCACCTAAGAAAGATAATCCCCCACGATCAAGTAGGCTTTATTCCTGGGATGCAAGGTTAATTCAACATATGCAAATCAATAAATGTGAGTCACCACATAAACAGAATTAGAAACAAAAATCATATGATCATCTCAATAAACACAGAAAAAGCTTTTTATATCCAACATCCCTTCATGATGTAAACCTTCAACAGACTAGATGTCAAAGGAACATACTTTGAAATAGTAACAGCCATCAATGACAAACCCACTGCCAATATCATATTGAATGGGAAAAAGCTTGAAGCAATCCCCTTGAGAACTGGAACAAGACAAGGAGGCTTGCTCTCACCACTCCTATTAAACATAGTACTGGAAGTCCTAGCCAGAGCAATCAGTCAAGAGAAAGAAATAAAAGGCATCCAAATATGAAGGGAAGTCAAGCTATTTCTCTTTGTTGATGATATGATTCTATACCTAGAAAACCCTGAAGACTCTGCCAAGTGGCTCCTAGAGCTGATAAACAATTTCAGTAAGGAAACAAAATTGTTGTACAAAATTTAGTACCATTTCAGTATACCAATAATGATCAAGCCGAGAGCCAAATCGAGAATCTGATCTCATGTACAATAGCCACAAAAAGAATAAAATACATAGGAATGCAGCTAACCAAGGAAGTGAAATGTCTGTACAAGGAAAACTACAAAACACTACTGAAAGAAATCAGAGATGACACAAATGAATGGAAAAACATTCCATGCTCATGGATTGGAAGCATCAACACCATTAAAATGGCCATACTGTCCAAAGTAATCTACAGATTCAGTGATATTACTATCAAAATGCCAATGTCATTTTTCATAGAATTAGAAAAGTTAATTCTAAAATTCATATGGAACCAAAATAAAAGCCTGAGCAGCTAAGCAATCCCAAGCAAAAAGAGCAAAACAGGAGGCATCACATTACTCAGTTTCAAACTATGCTACAAGGCTATGGTATCCAAAACAGCATGGTACTGGTACAAAAGCAGACACACAGATCAATGGAACAAACTAGAAAACCCAGAAATAAAGCCACATACCTACAGCCATCTGATCTTTAACAAAGTCAACAAATAAGCAACAGAGAAAAGACTCCCTATTCAATCAATGCTGCTGGGTTTGCTGACTAGCCATATGCAAAAGTACGAAGCTGGACCTCTACTCTCACCATATACAAAAATTAACTCAAGACAGAGACTTAAATGTACGACTTCAAACTATAAAAATTGTAGGAGAAAAGCTAGGAAATACCTTTCTCAATATTGGCCTTGACAAGTAATTTATGACTAAGTCCTCAAAGACATTGCAACAAAAACTAAAACCCTTAGTTTAAGTAAGAATATTATTGCTTTTTATTTTATTATTACTTTAACATTATTTTGTTAACTTACAAATTAATTATTTCAGGTTTGTTAGATATTTTCAACAAAAAATTTAATTGTACAGAGAACTAAATTATCAGAGAAAAAGATATTTAATTATAATTTGTTAGCGTTAACACATTTTTAGTAGTCAATGTTAGAGTTAAAATGAAAATGTCAGTATTGTAATTTTTAAAAATATATAATTTCTAGCTTTGCTTATTGGTATAACCTAAGAATAGTGTTGCCTCAGCTCTGTGTGTCTGACACGGGCCTTGGTGCACAGAATTTTATCTTCCACATTTTTTTCCTCTACTAAAAGAAATCAGAATTTCTTAGAGGGTTGGAACAGGGTTTGGGGGCAAGTCTAGTAGATATTGTTATACACATGTTTCAGGAGCTCTGTGTTGATTCTAAATCACACCAACTTAGAAGGGTATCTAATATCCAAATTGCAACAATTTAAGCATCCATGAAAGATAACGGTTGTAATTAATTGTATTTTCTAAAGAGCTTTGAATACAAACTGATATTCTTTATATATTTTCCCTTAAGAATTGTTAATATAGGCCAGGCATGGTGGCTCATGCCTGTAATCCCAGTGCTTACTTTGGGAGGCGGAGGTGGGCAGATTACTTGAGGTCAGGAGTTTGAGACCAGTCTGGCCAACATAGCGAAACCTTATCTCTACTAAAAATAAAATTAAATTAAAAAATTGAAAAAAAGGATTGTTAGTATATTCAGGTTGTTTTAGTTAGCTGAAAAATCTTCTGGTCATATTTAGTTATAGGTTTGTTTTCAGAATTGATTAAATCTATCCATATATAAAGCCTAACATAATGACTATAAGGAAAATACTTAGGATACCATTAGCTGTCTATAGCAATGAAAAGAACTGTTTTGTACATGAAATTGTAGAGAATGTCTACCAATACACAACAAAGAAATGTTGGGAAATAAATTATGCCAAACTTTGTAGAGAAACATTACTTAAATGTGCAAATATTCTACTCATACTACTTTTAAATGTGTTATGTAAAAATAAATAAATAAAATAAAAAGGTAAAACACTAGTGGGAACACCATAAGGCTTTTTATTACACCCCACAGGCAACCTACCTATGGGAGTTAAAAGGGATATTTTAGTACTAGGTATAGACATACTATAATAGTTCAAAGTATGAATCTAAGTTATTGAGATGCTATTGTCACAGAGGTAAAACGCCTTACCTCTTGACCCAAATGAATGATTCGGTTATCTATTGCCTAGAGATTATATCCATTTAAAATTTATCAGAAAAACTATAACTACATAAGAGGCCCTGCTCAGTGCTACCACCATAATAAGGTGTCAGAGTCCCCAGCCTTGAATATGTGCTTTCCACTATGAAAAGACATCAGCCCTAAACATGGCAGAGCTCTTAATACTTGCTTCAAACAATTCCATTCCAGAAAACAAGTTGCTGGGTATCTTCCGCAAATCAAAAATTTACCTTGTAAAGAGTCGTGTTAATACTAGCTCTCACAAAAGAAGCTGGAACTGTCTGCCTTGCAAACAAATTTAAAACTTATAAACTATAACATTTTAAAAACTTATGAAATATTTCATAAGTAACTTCCCTCAGATTAAATTTGATGTCTATCAAATAATAACAGCAGATTATTATACCAATTACCCCGTTACTGTACTTTTCCTTTTGAGTACCCTGGCATAAATAAAAATAAATATTTTGCACTATCAGAGGGAAGTAGCCTAAAAATGGACAAAGAAGATTCCACCTTCAAATAATGTGTTTTGTGTAATTATTATTATATTAATATAATGACTTCTGTCAAAAAGGGTCTGCCTCCATTTTGCCATTTGACTGCTGACAGCTTTCAAGCTCCATGTCACCCCTTTGCCTTTCTGCACTATATCGGGGAAGCTGACAGGATAGCCTGTCTGCTCTCTCCTTTAGCACTGGTGAAAACTTCAAACCACACGAGTTCCCAGCCTCTGCACAACAGCCTTCACTCCAGTGCCACCCGTTAAACATCCTAAAAACCCAAGCCAGCTTTCTAATTGTTTCTGATACCTGCTCTTTCTAACCAACTTGGACCTGTCAGGAAAAATTCCCTGTTCTGCCCAGAAAACCTCATTATGTGAGTAATAAACCTTTTCGTAACTTTTTGATGTGTGTATGATGTCACTAATCTCAGCATTCAAACCAAATTTTTGATGGGGTGGCCCATTCCACCTCTGGAGTTGACCATATTAACTCCAGATGTTAATTGATTCTAATGAAGGAATAGTGGCTTCAGTGAGAAAATCACTGCTCAGATATCCCAAATTCTTTATTTGTAACTTGACTATTAAGAAAATTAACAAATTTGTACAAGTTAAATGGAACAGAGAAAGTTCAGAAAAGCAATTAAGGGAGAATGAATTAAACTGAATTAAGTATGCTGAGAAGTAAATTTCCGAGAGATTATATATCTGAATATGTCTCATATTTCATGGAATATTTTACTGCAGAATTCTAAGTTGGATATACTGCTCTTTCAGGATTTTGAAGTAATTAATCTATTGCTTGTAACACTAGTATTTCTAAGGCAAGTGTTGGCAAACTTTTTCAGTAAAGGACCAGACAGTAAATACTTCAGGCATTGCGGGCTGTATGTTCTCTGTCAAAACTCCTCAACTCTTCCATTTTAGCACAAAAGTCGCCACACAAAGTATATTACTTAGTTTCCCAAACCTTGCCCTAAAGTGGAAATTTAATGGTATTCTTATACTCACTTATATAAAAACTTTTGTTCTTTTTGGAAACTTAAGGATTACATCTTTTCTAGTTTTCTAAAATATTATTACTAAGTGCCCTGGTATGGATATATTTTCATCTGTTGTCTTAGACTTTTGATGAGTCCTTCTAACCTGGAAACTCATATGTACTTCTGCAAATTTCACTAGAACTATTATTTGATGACTTACTGTCTTCTGTTTTCTCTCTCTTCTCTTCCTGGGACTTTTATTCTTCATATATTAGAATTTCTTTTATTTTATACTTCTTTGTAATTTTACATTACTATGCCATTTAGGATTTACTGAAGATTTCCTCAACTCTATCTTTCGACCCTATCATTGAATTTTTACATTTAAATATCTACTTAATTTTTATTTTTATAATTCTAATTTTTATGTCTTTGACAAATTACTGAATGATATATAGAGGCAAATAGCAAAAGAATTAGCTATGAAACTATTGTAAAGTTATCGCTTCTGAAGAGAAGATTAGGAGTGAGAGGTTTTATGCAGAGTGCAGCAGTATTATTACAATTCTTGTATAACTATTTGACTTTTAAAAATAAGCACATGTAAAATTTTGATAAAATAAAAACTAACTTACAAAGTCATTGTTAAAATAAAAATTCTTCATATATGTATGTATATATAGGACCCTATTTTTTCTTCCATATTTTCTTTTTATATATATATTTATATATAAATTTATTTATATATAAATATATTTAAATATTTATGTAATTAATTAAAAATTTATTTAAATAATTATATTTAATTCAAATATTAAAAATATATATAATATATTTATTTTATATATATATATATATATATAGTCAACTGAATTTTAACAAAGGTACCAAGATAATTCAAAGAGGAAGTAAAATGTTTTCAACAAATAGTGTTTGAAGAACTTTATATGCATATGGGAAAAAAATAAACATGAACTTTACCTAACACTGCACATAAAATTTAACATGAGAATTATAGTACTAATTGTAAAAGCTAAAATTTCCCCAAAAAATACATAGAAGAAAATCTTTGTAATCTTGGGGTAGGCAAAGATTTCTTATACGGGACTTAAAAAGCACAAACTTACTTTGAGCTAATAGAAAAACTAAAATTAAATAAAGAAACTTTATAATATAAATAATAAAATTAATGCAAGACCCCAAAAAGACTAATGTATTTTTTGCAGCATTTTAGATTCAGGGAGCACATATGCAGGATTCTTACCTGGATATATTGCATGATGCTGAGATTTGGGGTACGAATGATTGTATCACCCAGGTCCTGAGCATAGTACCCAACAGTTTTCCAACCTTTGGCCCTCCCATCTTCCCCCATCTAGTAGTCCCTGGTGTCTATTGTTGTCATCTTTCTGTCCATGAGCCTGCAATGTTTAGCTGCCACTTAAACTGAGAACATGCAGTCTTTGGTTTTCTGTTTCTGTTTAATTCTCTTAGGATAATGGCCTCCAGTTGCATCCACATTGCTGCAAAAGGCATGATTTCATTCTTGGTTTGGCTATGTGGTATTCCACAGTGTATATGTACCACATTTTCTGTATCCAATTCACCATTGATGGGCAACTAGGTTGATCCCATGTCTTTGCTATTATGAATAGTGCTGCAATGAACATGTGAGTGACTGTAGGTTGTTTTTGTTGTTGTTCTTGTTTTTTGTTTTGTTAGGTAGAATGATTTGTTTTCTTTTGGATATATACCCAGTAATGGGATTGCTGGGTCAAATGGTAGTTCTAAGTTCTTAGAGATATCTCCAGACTACGTTGCACAGTGGCTGAACTAATTTACATTCCCACCAACAGTGTATAAGTGTTCCCTTTTCTCTGCAGCCTCACCAACATCTGTTGCTTTTTGACTTTTTAATAATAGCCATTCTGACTGGTGTGAGTTGGTATCTCACTGTGGTTTTGATTTGCATTGCTCTGATGATAAGTGATGTGGAGCATTTTTTCACAGGTTTGTTGGCTGCTTTCATGTTTTCCCTTGAGAAGTGTCTATTTATGTCTTTTGCCCTATTTTTAATGGAGCTATTTGGTTTTTGCTTGTTCAATTGTTTAAGTTTCCTGCAGATTCTGGGTATTAGATCTCCGTCAAATGCATCATTTGTAAATATTTTCTCCCATTCTGTAGGTTTTCTGTTTACTATGTTGATGGTTTATTTTGCTCTGCAGAAGCTCTTTAGTTTAATTATGTCCCACTTGTCAATTTTTCCTTTTCTGCAACTGCTTTTGAGGACTTAGAGAAGACTAAATTTAACTAAATCCTATGTCTCAAGTGAACAAAACTTATTCTTTCTCTTCAAAGTAAGAAAATAAATTGCTCTCTTGTCTAAATTTACTAAAACAGTTATATCTGCAAAATAACCTTTAAGTTATATATTTGAAATTATTTCAAGTAGGTATAAAACAATATTTTAATAAGAAAACTAGATTAATTTATGGAATATGTGGGTAGTGGGTAAATAACATCATTAATTTTTTTCTTTTTCTTTCTTTTATTTCCAAACTGCTCCAGAAAAACAGAATACTTTTTGGAGGGACAAAATGACTCTATGATTGTTATTTCCCATATTCACAGAGTTAATCAGATAATTTGTAAAGAAATTATCGGGGCCGGGTGCGGTGGCTCATGCCTGTTATCCCAGCATGTTGGGAGGCCAAGGTGGGTGGATCACAAGGTCAGGAAATCAAGACCATCCTGGCTAACAAGGTGAAACCCCCTCTCTACTGAAAAATACAAAAAAAATTAACCAGGCATGGTGGTGGGCGCCTATAGTCCCAGCTACTTGGGAGGCTGAGGCAGAAGAATGGCGTGAACCCAGGAGGTGGAGCTTACAGTGAGCTGAGATAGTGCCACCGCACTCCAGTCTGGGGTGACGGGTGACAGAGTGAGACTCCATCTCAAAAAGAAAAGAAAAAAAAAAAACAAGAAAAAAATTATTTAAAATATTGTTTCTGATAGTTTTTAAACAGGGGGCTTTGTTTATGTCTTCAGGCAGCTACATTTAAAGTCATGAGAGTAAATGAGATCACTGAAGGGAAACCAACCCTAGAAGTCCCTTAATATAAGTCATATAAAGAAGAAGAGGGTAGAGAAAGGAGCCTTAGGAAGAGCATACAGAGAAGGATGAAACAGAAAAGTGTGGCATTATGAAAGTCCAAATGAAGAAAATGTGTTTTGCACAGGGTGAAGTGGACAGTGTGCTTAATGCTTTTGAATATTTGAGTATATTAACAACTGAGATATGCCAAGATGTTGGTAGGCAAAAGAGGAATTTCAATAAAATAATAGAAACTAAATCTCAGTTGGACACCATTAACAGAAAACAGAGAGAGTGAAGAGTGAGAAGATAGTAGTTTCAGATATAGAAAGTAATGAGAGGCTTTCTTGTGAAGATTGGAGAAATGGGAAAATAGCTGAGAAGGACATGGGATTGGAAATTATTTTTAAGATGAGTGGTACTGGAGTGTATTACACACCAATAAAATTGATCCAGTAAAGAGTAAGAAGTTGATGATGCAAGAAAGAGAGGAAGACTTTCTGGGATCAGAACAGCTTGCCAGTCTGAAAGGAATATGAAACACAAGTGAGGAGTCAGTGTTTTATAGGATTAAAAAAAAAAAAAAGCAGAATACCTGTGCACACACAGATACACTAGTAATAGTGGAGAGATGGAAGAGAGCTTGTCTGATTGCTTCTGTTTTCTCAGTAAACCATGAGGAAAGATGATCGGTTGACATCAAAGGAGTAAGATAGAAATTTAAGATGTAAGGAGATGCCAGATGGTCACCTTTAGAGTGTGAGATAACATATTTATTAAGGAGATAGAGTAAGATTGCCAGGCAGTGCCAGGTGCCCATTCAAGATCCAAGGTCTTTAAAATTGAGAAAAGCTGCCTTGGTAGTTCAATTTTCTCCAATTGCTCCAACTGCTCAACTGCTTAGGTAGGAAGCATTGTTGTCAATATTAGGTGTACCCAAGATTTGCAGTAAATTTTGACAGAAGGAAAGAGAGTAAAGCTTGAAAAGTGTTTCTTAAAGGCAGATACATGCAGTAGACATGGTATCCTAAGCTTAAAAAAAAGAGTAGATATTATTGAAGTATTGAAGAAAAAGATAGAAGCACTAATGGAATGAGAGACCTCAATGAGTGGAATAATTGCTGAAGTGAGAATACTTTATTTAAAATTTAGTCAAAAGCATAAAATATTGGAGAGAAATTCTTCTATCATAAAGACACATGTATGTGTATGTTCATTGCGGCACTATTCACAATAGCAAAGACATAGAATCAAATGACCATCAATGGTAGACTGGATAAAGAAAATGTGGTACATATACACCATGGAATACTATGCAGCCATAAAAAAAGAACAAGATCATGTCCTTTGCAGGAACATGGATGAAGCTGGAGGCCATTATCCTTAGCAAACTAATGCAGGAATTGAAAACAAATACCACGTGTTCTCACTTACAAGTAGGAGCTAAATGATGAGAACACATGGACACATAGAGGTGAACAACACACACTGGGGCCTATTGGAAGGTGGAGGGTGGAAGGAGGGAGAGAATCAGGAAAAATAACTATGGGTACTAGGCTTAATACCTGGGTGACAAAATAATCTGTACAACAAACCCCTATGACACAAGTTTACCTGTGTAACAAACCTGCAAATGTACCCTTGAACCCTAAATAAAAGTCTAAAAAGTAATAAAAAATAAAATGTGGGAGAAAATAGTATGCTCAAATTTGAGATTTTAGAATATGATATAGTTATAGGATACAATTGTAAGAGACAGTTGTTGAGGTGCAAGATTATTATCGATAAAGGGCTCAAGAATATGAATGACTCAAGTGTTTAATGAATTATCAATATGAATTTTGAAATTACCAAAATGCTGTTGGAAAAGAAGTCAGTATGAAAGTCTTCAATGAGTATAAGTGGGAGGGGAGAGTGACTGACAAGTTAGTGATATGAACTGACAGCATGAGCTTAAAAGTAGTTGTAATTTTTTTAAAAGAAAAGTGGAAAAGTGACATGGAAGCAGCACTGGGGAGCTAAGAAGATAATTACCGGAAAAAGTAGGTCTTGCAGTGCATGAAATGTAGGTGAAAAATCATCCTTCATTTGAGATGGTGGTTGGGGAAGTGATTGGGGAAGTGATATCCTAAGTGGCACAGTAAAACTTCAGCTATATCAAGAAAGTTTAGAAGTTGAGGTTCCAAGGAAGTTTACTGATGTTATAAAACTCAAATCCAGAGGGCATTATGGAGGGCGATGAAGAGCTGGAGATTAGAAATATCAAGAGCATTTTCGGGCTAAGTCTCTGGGTTATCATGGAAAACTGGAAGGTGGAGACTTCTGGTGGTGACTGAGGTGAATGGTGTCTTGGGGGAGCTGAACAAACAGTTTAAGACGGTCTCTAGAGCTGCACTGTACACTGCAGTAGCCCCTAACCACACACTGCTATTTAAGTTACACTCACTTAAAATTAAATAAAACTGGCAGGGTGAGGTGGCTCATGCCTGTAATCCCAGCACTTTGGGAGGCCGAGACGGGCAGATCACCTGAGGTCGGGAGTTCAAGACCAGCCTGACCAACATGGAGAAACCCCGTCTCCACTAAAAATACAAAAATTAGTTGGGCTTGGTGGTGTATGCCTGTAATCCCAGCTACTTGAGAGGCTGAGAAAGGAAAATCACTTGAACCCGGGAGGCAGAGGTTGCGGTGAGCCAAGATTGAACCCTTGCACTCCAGCCTGGGCAATAAGAGCGAAACTCTGTCTCATAAAATAAAATAACAAATTCACTTCCTCAAACTACCTACATTTCAAGTGCTAGTTATCACATTGGACAGAGCAGATACAGAACATTTCTATCATTGCAGAAAGTCCTCCTAGTGTTTCCCTAGAGTATTTAGTTGGAAACTGTAAGTCACTGGGATATTTCTGTGGCTTCTAGTGAAATAGCCATCTAGGGAGAGGCTGTCTGATGGGAATCTGAAGACACAGTGCATGTCTTGAAGTGGCTTATCTCCCAGTAACTCCTAGTGAGTTCACAGACACCTTGCTTATTACATTTCATCTTGACTTAACGTGACTCAATAAGGGAATGACAGAAGCAGACTGGGAGCTTTTAGCACCTAGTGTAGTGTGAAAACACAACAAATGAAAACGAGATCATATTTTTAAGTTATATATCTCAATACCCATAAGTACTTCCCCAGAAGGTGTTATTCACCTGCATTCAAATCAAGAATCCTCTACATTTATAGTCCTGTTCCCTCCATTTATCTTCATATTTAATTTACTGATTGTGAACCTGCAGGGAAAACACATCTACTTTTTCTCCCCAATAAAGTATTCTCAAAAATGTTCTTTTCTATGTAAAAGAAAAGTATGTGAGCACAATTCTCTCATTAATTTATATATCCAACAATTAAAAGGAGAGATAAATCATTATCATAGCCCAGAAAGTAATTTAATATAAAAAATGAATAGAGCAAAAGTTAGCAAAGTTGCACCCAGATAGCATGGGAGTTGGTAATAGGTTCACATTTCCCAACAACAAATAAATTGAATCTTGTGTCCTCAAATCACTCAAAATCCATCTAGTCCAAAATGATAGATGCAAACAAAAAATGCGGTGGCTCGTATGTAACAATTATTAGCCTTATATACACCTTTTTGAGTTTATGTTGCCAGCAAAAAGTTGTAGGAGGACACAATGTATTAGGGTTCTCCAGAGGGACAGAATGAAGAATGAATAGGAGATATATATATATATATATATATATAAATTCCCCTCTCTCTCTCTCTCTGTATATATACTACTTAATATATATATTAAGTAGTATTAACTGAGAAGATCACAAGTTCCCACAATAGGCCGTCTACAAGCTGAGGAGCAAGGAAGCCAGTCCGAGTCCCAAAGCTGAAGAACTTGGAGTCCGATGTTTGACAGCAGGAAGCATCCAGCATGAGAGAAAGATGTAGGCTGGGAGGCTAAGCCAGTCTGGCCTTTTCATGTTTTTCTGCCAGCTTTATATTCTGTTCGTGCTGGCAGCTAATTAGGTGGCACCCTCCCAAATTAAGGGTGGGTCTGCCTTTCCCAGCCTACTGACTCAAATGTTAATCTCCTTTGGCAGCACCCTCACAGACACACCCAGGATCAATACTTTGCATCCTTCAATCCAATCAAGTTGACACTCAGTATTAACAATCACAAGCAGAAAGAAGACAATTAATGGGATAAAGGGAGCAAGTGAAACGATATAGTGAGACTCAAATATACATGGAGACTATAAAAATCTAGGTTCTTAGTACCTCCTATTTTGAGCACACAGATTAACTTTGTGTATTCCAATGATAGTTGTTTTCATGATCATGAATATTCTTACAGAGCAGTAGATTCATATTCTTCAGAGTCTCATAGGGTTCCCCCAGATGCCAGCCAGGAAGGATGATTAATTTTAACTATAGTTTCTTTCAGATAAGAAAATTTTCTCCCAAAGTCCATAGAAGTATTCTTTTTCAACAGATTTTGATTTATAATGTGAATTTCTCAATGCCTGCCTTCCCAATGCTAGTTGAGAGAAAGAAAGGGAGGGAGGAGAAGAGAGAGAATTACTATTAGGCTAAGGAATTCACTATTACACCTTAAGATTTGTCCCCAAACCCATACATGGTCTCACAAACCCTCAATCCTGGACTTCTGGGAGTGGCTTCACTTCCTAGGCTCAAGGCAGATTTAAGTGGTTTATAACCCCAGCTGGCTAAGAGGCATCCTCTTTCCTAGTTCCACCACCTCCCAAATTTAATTATCCAACAGCAAGATGAGATGAACCCATGGGAATCCACCAAGAAGCTTGATGATCTGGACATAGTCTTTGATATTTCAGGGTAGAAAAAATAGGCCCCTGTAAGCACCGACTCAATGTTTTTCAGCCAATCTGGGCCTATTCCCAGAAATGAGCCTCCAGTAGCTTTTTTCTTTTCTCCAAGAACAGTGGGTCCACAGGTGAAGATGTCAGCATCAAATGAGAATTTCAAATGTCAGTAGAATTCTAAGAGGGTTTCTCCATCAAGAATCAGTGAGTGTTTTTTTTTCTGTCCATCAAATAATGCTATAGATTATATACTATGCCTTGTACCAACTCTATTGGTACTCATGTCCAAGAGTAATGGGAGGCAGGGTGGCAGCGGGGTAGGAGTGAGCATATTTGTGTATCCTGGATGTCCTGTGGAGAATAGTATGGAGAAGGGCCAGTCTTGAGGCAGAAAGATCTTTAAGAGGTTATTTCACAGTCCTATTAAGACAGGTAGAATTTTGGATTAAGGTACATGTACAGACCAGAGAGAAGTGGCTGGATTGAGAAACGTTTAAGAACTAAACTTGATTGTGCTTATGAAAGGTTGAAAATAGGGACCATAGTAAATAATTGCATCATATCCTAGTTTGCCATCCATCATACAATTTTTATATACTTACTACATTTTGAGCATTACTCTAGGAGCTACGGATATAACAGTAATAAAAAACAATCTTCCCCTGACACCATGAAACATACAACAGCATGTTTTGTTAAACATGGTAGTATTCAAGGAATTATTTGAGAGAAAGTTCAGTTAACCTAGAAGTATAATTGACTTTGCTCCAATTTCAGGATGTCTAGACTGTGGAAGACAAATTTAGATGCCTATAGATTGCAAATTTAGAAGCTTAATGGCGATAAAGAAGTCATTTTTATCTTAACTGCATTGTAAGTAAAACAACAGGACTAGCATAAAGATAAATGGTAGTTACAGTCAGACTCAATGCCAGGGACCAATGGAGAGGGGTAGGGACCATTGAAAATTATTCACATTCAGCCAATTCATATATATGAGCATGTAGGTCTATATTTTTTAAAGCCATAAATCCACATACTTATATGTAATCTCTTAATTAAATTTATTAATGTCGGCAACCAATTAATAGCTAACATTTTGAAAACAAGGTATGGTCCAACGTTGTACAAGCTGAAAACATATTGACTAGCCAACAGTAGCCATGTGGATATCCTAGTTTCCAAGGTCTGCCTAGAGATTCTGAAGTCAGCTTTTTCCAGTGCTACATGAGTGGGAATCATCACATATGATGGCAAAGGAAAATAAGAGAAAAATAGCATGTTATTATCTAGCAAAATGTATTCATGTTGAGAAAATGCTTCAGAATATCACTGAGACCTAGCCCCCATTAAGTGACTCATGAACTAATGTTTGGAGATAGGAGAAAATGCTGATTAATTTAGTTGTTATAACTGTACAGACAGTCCCTGACTTAAGATGGTTTGACTTAATAATTCTTCAAATTTACCATGCTGCAAAGTGAAATGTATTCAGTAGAAATGCTATGTCAAGTACCCATACAACCATTCTGTTTTTCCCTTTAGGTACAGTATTCAATAAATTACAGGAGATGTCCAATAATTTATTTTAAAATAGGCTTTGTGTTCCATGATTTTGCCCAATGGTAGGCTAATGTAAGTGTTCTGAGCATGTTTAAGGTAGGCTGGACTAAGCTATGATGTTTAGTAAGTTAGTTGTATTAAATGCATATTCAACTTATGATATTTTCAACTTACAATAGGCTTATCAGAACTTAATCCCATCATAAGTCCAGGAGCATCTCTATTTGAGAAACCTTCTAACATGATTTTTCTATCTTTGAAGTGTAAGATTTCTTTGTATATTCTTGTGGTGTATTATCTTTACTGTTAACGGTGTTTTGTTGTTGTTGTTGTTCCTTTGTCATTATAGGTATTTCCAAGATAGACTAGAAGAGGCTGTATTCAGTTTTGCTGGCCAAACACCAATTTAAAATGGGCAAAGTGTTTGAATAGACATTTTATCAAAGAAGATATACTAATAGTTAATAAGCATATGAAAAGATTATCAACATCACTAGTCGTCAGGGAAATGAACTTAAAACCACAAGACATCGTTTTACACCCTCTAAATGGCTATATTTTTTTAAGGACAAGAACAAATGTTGCCAAGAATGTGGAGAAATTTACTAGAAACACTTTTCTGGTAAAATTAAAGATGTTACAGCCACTGTTATGATTAAATTGCATCCCTCCCGAAATTGACATGTTGAAGCTCTAACCCCTAGCACCTCAGAATGTGACTATATTTGTAGGTAGGTCCTTCAAAGAGGTGACTGAGTTAAAATGAGGCTGTTAGGGTGGACCCTAACGCAGTGTCCTGTCTTTATAAGAAGTAGAAATTTGAACACACTGAGAGATACCAGGAGCACACACACACAGAGAAATGGCTACGTGAGGACATAGAGAGAATGGCCATCTGCAAGCCAAGGAGGGAGGCCTCAGAAGAAACCAAACTAACCAACATCTTGATTTTGGACTTCCAGCTGCCAGAACCATGAGAAAATAAATTTCTGTTGTTTCAGCCATCCAGTCTATAGTACCATGTTAATGCAGCTAAGCAAACTAATACAGCCACTCTGAAAAAAACAGTTTAGAAGCTCTTCAAAATGTTAAACATAAATTTATCATATTACCTGGAATTCTCTCCTCAGGTATCCATTCAGGGGAATTGAAAACATATGTCCACAAAAAGACTCACACACAAATGTTCTTAAGAGTATTATTCATAACAACCAAAAATTGGAAACAATCTAAACATCCATCAACTAATGAATGAATAGAAATATGTGCTATACATATACAATGAAGTATTATTTGTCAATAGATAAGAATGAAGTAGTAAAATACGCTTTGACATTAATGAAACCCAAAAACTTTCACACTCAGTAAGAGAAGCCAGACACAGAGACCATACATTATATGGTTCAGTTTCTATGAAATGTCCA
Source organism: Homo sapiens (assembly GCF_000001405.40). NCBI lineage: Eukaryota > Metazoa > Chordata > Mammalia > Primates > Hominidae > Homo > Homo sapiens. The sequence continues at coordinate 170,447,744 of NC_000004.12, read as the reverse complement.
GAAAAGGAAAATCTACAGAGACAGAATGCAAATTAGTGGCTACCTAGGGTGAGGAGAAGGAGCAAACACAACTTATTGGGATGATGGAAATATTCTAAAACTTGTTTATGGTGATGGCTGTACAACTTGGTCATTTTACTTAAAATATCACTGACTTATGCACTTGAAGTGAGTGATGCCTTTGTCACCAATAAAGTTAGAAAACAACTCATTAAAGTTATTTAAAAGTTATGAAATTATGTCTCAATATAGTTTTTTTAGGTAGTATCACTAGAATGAAAAGAGAGGCCGACAGGTTGCAGGGAACAAAAATAAACACCACTTTGTGTGAGAATTTGTGGTAAGAAGGAATGGAAAATTAGTGAGTAGTCTGGTGGGAAATGAATTGAGGAAAAATTATGTTTGATTGCTGTAAGGCTGAAAGGAATAATAGCCTAAAAAGTAGTATTAAAAACAATGGATATTGCAAAATAAGCCAAAGACACGGTTTGTGACACTAAACAGCGTCTTTCCTCTGTGTAATTTTTAAATAATTAAAACCTCAAAGATCGATTTTGAGGAGTGTTGGGCCAGCAGAACTGGACCTACCTCTCCTAATCCCTTTTTGAAATACCTATAGTAACAAGCAATAACATGAACATCACTGTGTTAAAAGCTAGCACTTGCAGTCCTGCTATGGTCAAATGTGTGATAAACTCTAAAAGACTAATGAATCATCACCAGGCTGTATCTCGGTCATCACTTCCCTCTATAGTGTCTTACATCTATGACCCTATGACAGAGTTCCTCATTTTCTCCCAACATCTCTGTGTCTTTTTTCTGAAATAGTAGAACTTTTAGATAGTCATGGTGACTGATACGGTTTGGCTGTGTGTCCCCACACAAATCTCACCTCTAATTGTAATAATCCCCATGTGTCAAGGGTGGGGCCAGGTAGAGATAATTGAATAATGGAGGCGGTTTCTCCCATACTGTTCTCATGGCAGTGAATAAGACTCATAAGATCTGATGGTTTTATAAGTTAGAGTTCCCCTGCACAAACCCTCTTCCCTGCCACCATCTAAGACATGACTTTGCTCCTCATTCACCTTCCGCCATGATTGTGAGGCCTCTCCTTCCATGCGGAACTGTGATTCAATTAAACCTCTTTCCTTTATAAATTACTCAGTCTCAGGTATGACTTTATTAGCAGCCTGAGAACACACTAATACAGTGACCCCCAAAATTCTGCATTACCCAGTATTTTTGGAAGCCATATGTGGCCATGAAGCTAATATCTGGCTAGTGGGACTTAAGTGGATTAGATTTGACAACTTGTAAGAGCCTTTTTTGAAGGAAATCTGGTGCATGTCCTTTCTGTTCTTCCCCCTTCCTTTTTTCAACCTTCTTTTTGAAATATAAATACCACTATCTTGGACCATCAGGGAAATTGTGACATCCTAGAAATGGTGGAACAATAGATCTAGAAGGAGTGTGGTATTTATGGTCTTCTTCAGATACTTCTGAACTTTTACAGGAATGAGAAAGTCTTCATTCTTGGTTAAACTAAAACAAAACACACTTAATCCTCTATCAGCTCATTCTGCTAGGTAGTGGAGGTTCTGGCAGGGAGACTCAGGGAACCACTGGGTCTTGCCAGTCAGCTGGAAATAAGTCTGTCGTCTTTAGAGCAACTCAGTCTCTTTAGTGCAGATGATCAGTCTTTCACAGCTCCTTCCCCACTCCCTCACTTTCCCAAGATGTCATCTTATTCCCCAAAAGCAAGCAGTTTTTTCGAGAGCAGTGGTGAAAGGGTCTTCCATTCTATGTGCTGCTCTCTGGGTCTTTGCTGTCTGCTGATTAAGGTTTCTCATCATGCTGCTCTCTAGACATCAGCTTCTGTGTTCAGAGTCCACACTGCCAGTCTCCCTCAGGCTTGAGGTGTCTATCTGCCACCACTACTAGTTGGGTGTGGACACTGTCGTTGCAGCTCTGTGTTATCCTGGTCCTGGCCCCAGGCCTCCGCCATTCCACCAGGACTGTGACTGCTTCTGCCCCTTGGGAGGATTCCTGGATTTCTTGAACACTGTCCTTAGGCTGTGGGAAATCAGAATTGACATGTATCAACATTCATTTATTGATATACATCTTTTCCCCTCTGATACCTTTCTGGCTGGTGACAAATTGTCAAATGTAAGGAGTAAGCAGAGAACCATCCCACACAATCTCAGATTCTCCCCCAATGCTCTGGGGGTTTCTACTGACCCAAGCTTAATCACGCTTTTCCAAATCACACCTTCCTGCCACCTAGGTATCAGCAAATTCCTCTGACCTGTTCTTCTGTCTTTTCCTCATTCCCTCAAACACTCTGTCTCAGAAGTGTTTCTGTGATTTCCTCTTTATCCCTTTCTCATGCTCAGAGTGTAAAGTAAAGCTCTGGAGTCTGGTGCCAGCACTATGGCTCTTGCTATATTCAGGGAGAAATTGTAATTGAAATACAACTTTCTCCTCTCTTTACAGTCAGGCTCTCAAGACTGCTATCTCCCTACATCATTGCTGAGATTGAGTTGATGGATAATCTCCTTTTCTAAGTGATGTCTGTCCTCGCCTTCCCTGGGACTTAATATGTCTTCTTGGTGGTTTAGTAATATCACACTATTAGATTCATTTATAATTGAATCATACATCTACAGAAGCACATCTACATGGAAATAAAGGAAGGAGAATAAGATTGTGAAAAATTCCAAAATGAGGCGTTTGAGATATGGTAGACGACTTTACTCAGAAGCTACCTGGGTTGTGTTCAGAATCTTGGGCACACCTTTAGTTCGTTTGCTCATTTGCTTGGTATTTACAGTCATGGATGTTTTTATCACAGGCTTTAAGCTTGGTATTAAATAAAGAAAAAAGTCCTCTGACAGCTGCACAAGGAGCTTAATTAGGAACGTTTTTAAGTTGACTTTAAAATGCATAATTGATGTAGAAACATGTAAAGTAGATAGCACCCCTTTAACATCCTCAAAATATTTTCAAAGTTGCTGATTGTCACATTTGTTTAATATCATTTAGAAGATGTCATTTTCTAGCTTCTTCTTATCTTAATCCAGCGCCATGTCTGGGTTTAATAATTCATTAGAAGTTCTTTGGAACTTATTGCCTGCTGAGTTTACTGAAGACTGATTGGTAATTTTATCATTTCTAAGTTTTCTGTATATATTTTCATAAGTGTCATCTCCTGTTGATTCTAATACTTTCTTATTTGAAACAACATTTTCTCATTTTTTCTGCTTTGACACTGTGCATCTATCAATCATTTTTATCCCTCAGATTATATATCATTGAAATATGATAGCTTCTTGGTCATTCTACATTATATAGTACCTGTATTAAAAGGACATTAATATTTCAGATAAGCTTTATTCTTTTATCAATAATCACCAACCCAAATCAGGTGTGCATTCACAAACAAATGAGTCACAATTGGGTAAAACATGGGCATTGAAGTAAGACTCACCTGGAATTTGAAGTCTGCCTCTATTACTTTCTACTTGATTGAATTTAAACCAATTTTTTACAAACTCAACTTCCCTAAATTTGTTTCTTCATCTATAAAGTTGCAATAAGTACTTTCTAGCATTGCTGTGGGGAATTGATGAGAATACATTTGTCAAATGTGCAATAGTGTACCTGAAAGTAAAGAGATGTCTTATTAAAATTTTATTTCATTTATTTTCTTCTTTTCTTCCCCCCTCTCATTTCATTTTCATCAAGTTGCCACTAACACGTTTTTCAGTGGTTTCATTATAACACATATGGCATTATCTGAGGTACCAAAATAGTTCTTATCCTTATTTTAAGCTCAAGGTATTCTCAATTTCATTGTACCATGTCCACTTTATGTTCCACTGCATTGCAAAAACTCCATTTTAAGAAAAACTATTTAATAAGGCTAATTTTGATAACTCCAAAAGCTCCCTAAATTTTCATTTGCTCATTCACTACCCCATTAATATAAAAGAGGCAAAGAATGGGCAGTATTGACACATGTAAATCATAACTCTTTGCAAAGGCACAGGTGAATCATGCATTTTAATTGGAAGACCACTTATAAAAACAACCTTCTGCAAACCTAGACTAACTCCACCATGATTTCACATTTGCATTTAACTGCTCTAATCTAATGGGTTTTACACTGTAGTTGGCCAGAAACCTGAAGATTTCAACCAGAAAATGTCAATAATATTTGTTTCTAGACAATGCTATGTAACAGATTTTCTTCCAATATTGGTGTGCCATTTGCAAATTTTTTAAATCACTGTCTGTGATTTCTTGGTTCTTCATAATAGATATATGTTCATTTTTGAAAAATTAGAAAATTCAGAAATTCAATAAAAAGAAAGCAAAAACAAGCTAAATGTCTTTTATACTTACACGTATACTTACTGTCTTAAGAGTAGACCCTGGCCTTAGAAACTTGGTATTTTTGTTTAAGTAGCAATGTTTTGAGTTTATAGAGTCAAGCATCACTTAACAACTAGGATACATTCTGAGAAATGTGTTGTTAGGCAGTTCATCTTGGTGCAAACATCACAGAGTGTAACTACACAAACCTAGATGGTATAGCCTGCTACACACCTAGGTTACCATCCTGTACAGCATGCCTCTGTGCTCAATATTGTAGGCAATTGTAACACAATAGCAAGTGTTTGTGCATCTAAACATATCTAAACCTGGAAAAGATAGAGTAAAAATATGGTAGTATAATATTATGGGATTACTGTCACATATGAGGTATGCATATGATGTCTGTTGTTGATCGAAATGTCATACAGTGCGTGGCTGTATTCAAGAGCAGGATGGAAATGATAGCAGTTTTCATTTAATAACCCTACCTCTTCCATTTCTCAACTATTATGAAAGAGTATATTGCTTCTTAGGGAGCATTCTATGAGAGTAAAGGCAAGAGAACAATTGCAAGAAATAATGTCAGGGCAAACATTTAAAATGTGGTAAGGCAAAAGCATTTTGATTCAAATTTTTTCAACAAAATGTGTTTAAATGTATTTAAATTTAAATTAACATTTAATTTTCCCCAATCTTTTCTGAATACAACAGGTTGAACCTGGTTCCTTTAAACAAAATAAGAAAAGACATTATTTTTGCTCATTTGCTATATCCTGGTAAAGTTTTGTTGTCCTATCCAGAAACTGAGAAACTAAATGGTGACAATGAACTAAATAATACATCCTTTTACAAGTCAAGTGGCTTCTAACTATTTTCCTTCAAGAGTAATGAAGGGGGACTTAAACAAGTTGCCACCTAATAGATTACAAACAAGAATTTTTGATTACCCTGTATTGGTTGCAAATAAATAAAGTAGCAAAAAAATTTAAACAATTTAAACAAAATAATGTACATACCTACTCCATGTGTATATGTCTGTGTTTACATGTAAAAAAACATTTATGATAAAATTTTATTTTTATATTTAATAATTATTAAACTTTTTAATATATTTATGTTGCTTTGATCAATTATGTAAATAAGTAATTATAAGAACTTTTATTATCTAAAATCTAATAAACATACACATTAAAAAGTTGGAATGTGTTTATATACATATATAGTACATACAAACAATATATATGTACAAGATATATAAGTAGAACATATATGCTTATAAACCTATGTGAATTATTTTGTGTATATATACAGAATTCAGTATGCACATACATTATTTACCTATGTAATACATTGTTATGCTTAAATGTTTTTAACTGATTATTCTATTTCTTTGCAACCAATGGTGCAATCAATAACACATTTAATCATAATAATGCATATATAATTTGCATCATTATATATTACGTATTATATAAGCACGTAATATTGCCTACCTCAGCCTCCCAAAGTGCTGGGATTACAGGTGTGAACCACTATGCCCGGCCTTACAAAGACTATTAAAATTGTTTATCATTAAAATTTTAGACATGGAAAGGAGTAAGTGTAAGTGGATGAGGCCACAGCAGCCTGAGAACAGCAATTTACGGCACCGATTTCTACATTTCAGAGGAAGGACCTAAACAGACTGCAGAACTTTAAGAGGAGGTAGTCAAAAACAATTTTGCAACCTCTTGCCCAGTATCTCCCTAAAAAGTATGAAAAGACTGGGGCTGAAAAAGTTCACTGTGTTAGCTTTACTACTACAAAAGATGAAACCGAAATTTTAGTGACTTCACACAAAGAAATCCAGTGTAGGAGGTAGTCAAAAACAATTTTGCAACCTCTTGCCCAGTATCTCCCTAAAAAGTATGAAAAGACTGGGGCTGAAAAAGTTCACTGTGTTAGCTTTACTACTACAAAAGATGAAACCGAAATTTTAGTGACTTCACACAAAGAAATCCAGTGTGTCTTGGTGAAGCTTCCCTTCCATTCACAGACTCGTAGACTCAGGTTTCTCCCATCTTGGGCAATTAGCATCTTAACACAAGCCTTCAGGTCACCACCATGAGGAAAGAGAGATAAAAGGATAATGGAGCTTCTAGGGAGTGGGCTTGAAAGTATTCAAAATTATTTCAACTGACACTCCAAGGTTAGAACCACCAGCCTCTTGGTTTTAATCTAGTTGCAAGGAAGCCTGCACAATATACTCCCCCTGTGTCCGCAGAAACAGAAAAATAATAAAGTTAGATTTGCTCAGGAGAGGGGCTTCAGAGAGATTCGTCAGAAATGACCAAGGCTGGAGTTTCCTCTTTGCCAGAAAAGATTCAGGTAGATGCAGCTTGAGACCAATCTCCCCATGATGGTGATGCAAAAAGTGAAGTCAACTGTGGGTTCAGTTGTTTTTCTCCCTAGCGTGGCAAAAATGCACAAGCTTCCTGTGGCAAACAGACACAAGGAAAGATAGATAATCTCAAAGGTGATAAGCTTGACAATTCATGAGGAACCTTAAACACTATTTAAGGGAAAAGGAGAAAAAGTTGCTATATAGTGCAGGTTTGAAGACACCATAAAGGAACATAGTTAAATTGCCTTAGAATTGCACTCTGTTGATTTTTGCTCTTCAACATAAGCATTACATGGAGGTCACCTACTGTTTTCTTCTCCATCTTTCGGAGGCTTTAAGCAAACCTGACACAGAAAGAGTCCCTGTAATATTTTGATATCAACCACCCTCAGGAGATATCCAGTTTGCTGAAAATCTAGTGCTTAAAAAGAGATACTCTTTTTTTTTAACACATCTTAAATCCCTGTTTAAATGACAGATTTTTAAATACAAACATTTATAGCTGTCTCACAGCATGACTAATCGAATTTTTATACTGTTAAGCCTTAATATTTTCTTGCAAAGCTGAAGTAATCTTATTCAGTACTGCAAACTGTACCCAAGTACAAGGGAATAAAATGCCACAGGAGAGCTGAAGGGCTAAGGGCTTAGCTTCTCCCTTTGTTTAGTTCTTTTCCTGGAGTAAAAATATCCCAATTATTTATGAAGTGAGAAGGGAAAAGTTCCCTTGGAGTTGGTCTTTCCTTCCAATGGTCCCAGTGTTTTTGCGGTATCAGTGGCTAAACCAGGACTACAAGCAGACCAAGAAGGAACAGGACTGTCAAACTACTGGATGCTGAGACTGGATTGGAAGAGTCACAGCTAGGAAGTTAGTTACGAATAGAATCAGGATCATGAAAACTTGAAGTCCAAGTGAGGAAACAGCCTTCAGTCAGGGACAAAGACTTCATGGAGTGCACATAGGCACAAACAAAAGGGATAGGACAAGTAACAGAGATTAGGGAAAAGAGGCCAGATAAGAGTGTAGGGTTTGTTCGGTGATAAATAATCATGGGCTGGTACTTTAGACTAGGAGGCTGGCAAGCTGAGACAGACAGAGACATAAGCAAAGAGGGAGTCCAAATGATGAGCTCAGAGATCAAGAAACAATGGGAAAGTAGAATTGGAAATTCAGATTCAGAGGAACTGAAATCTAAAGCCGAAGAGAGCTGAGGTGTGAGGTATTGGAATGAGTGACTGGAATTGTACAGAATTGTGTTAATAATCGTCTGTATCCCATTCTTCCCTGAGACCTCTGTCCAAGTGCCGCTGAGACAGAGGCTCCCAGGTGAGGCTGTTTCTAATGTAGTCCCACCTAAATGGGGTGGAGAAATTCAAGGAAGAGTGAAGTTCACGACAGCCAGAAAAAAAAAATATGTATATATATATATATATTTTGAGACGGAGTCTTACTCTGTCATCCAGTCTGGAGTGCAATGGCACAATCTCGGCTCACTGCAACCTCTGCCTCCTAGGTTCAAGTGATTCTCCTGCCTCAGCCTCCTGAGTAGCTGGGATTACAGGTGTCCACCACCACGCCTGGCTAATTTTTGTATTTTTAGTAGAGACGGAGTTTCACCATGTTGGCCAGGCTGGTCTCAAACTCCTGACCTCAGGTGATTCACCCACCTGGGCCTCCCAAAGTGCTCCAGAAAATATTTTTTTTAAATAAATTCTGAGTTCTTATTTATTAGAACAATATTAGTCACAATATTACAGTGAGCTTTTGCCTTTTCTTCCTTTAGAGGAACAAGTATTTTCTGTTCAGGTGTCAGGACATCTCTACAGAGCAATTTCGTGATAAAAATTGGAGATAATCTTCACAAATGTGAAATTCTATAACATTATCTGGAATCCTGTGGCACTGGCTTCAGACATCTGAAGCCCCAATCAGCAGTGTGATTTAAGAATTAATAATTGTCACCCAGTGTGGAAGGATGTGTCATTGATTCTGATTCAGGTGTCTGAAAGCAAACTCTCTGCCTTCAACTGACTCCAGAGTGGCAGCTCACCCTTGCCACTAGAAAAGATAATATTTGAGGAGATTAAATGGCAGCAACCTCAGATATGGTGAAATTCATTTCCTAAAAGCCACATGTCTTGTAGACAGATGAAGCAAAAGCCAGACAGGAGGGTTAGACAATAAGAATCTTTACGTGTTCTTCTCTATCCCACTACATTTCTGAATTTGGTATTTTGTCATTGTGAAATGTGATCAAGGTCATAATCAGACTCAGAGACTATGCATTTATTTTCTTTTTGGAACACGGGATTTTGTATTTCCCATGTCACCATGTCACTCTCACTACTGGTATGAGAAAGGATCAGCTGCTTTTAGCTAAGCCATCGCATAAGGGGTCAGTGCATTGTAGATGGGATGGGGGGGTGAATGAGCTTTGTGTTTCGTTCCCCCCACACCAAGGGAAGGGGATTTTAAAGGAGCTTTTTTAGACTAGTAATGATTATAGTCTAAGGCTGAGATTATATGAGAGGAAGACTGGAGATGGGATTCATCAGGTGACAAGAAATGTGAGGGATAATTATCCCAAAGAGGAAGATGATTAATGTTAACAAGTGACAAGAGTACCAACAGGTCATACTCCATAGAAGAAACAAAATTCTCAGTTGCAGAAGTGCTCAGAGAACCAAACAAAGGGGCAGATAAACTGGGAATGCTGAGTGACAGCAAAATTGTTCTAGAAGGGTCTGTGTGAGGAGAATCTATGTTAAGTTTTAGCTTCTGTGCTCAAAAGATTCCTAATAGTGCTGCCTCTGTAAAAGGCCATGAGGGGAATCAGATAAGTGGTGGTTAAGAAGAATGTTAATATAATCTTGACCTATTTTTTAAAGGAGAATATATCTATGCATATGTGTAACTGGTATAATCAAAATTTAAAAATAGTGTTTAAAGACCTAGTTAAAGGATGTTTCAAAATTGTTTTGAAGTAGTTCAAGGCTACACAAAATAGCCTGTTTGTCCTTAGCAGTTTTACAAAATAATTCACTGATATTTTTTCAAAAATTTTCTAATATTTTCAGTAAGCTCTGCAGTTTTCCCTAAGGGTCTTTAAGCTTTCAAGACTATTCATTTGGTTGTCAGTGTAAATTTTTTGTTGTTGCTGTTGTTTTGTTTTGTTTTTATTATGCTTTAAATTTTGGGATACATGTGCAGAACTTGCAGGTTTGTTACATTAGTATACACGTGCCATGGTGGTTTGCTGCACCCATCAACCCGTCCTGTACATTAGGTATTTCTCCTAATGCTATCCCTCCCCCAGCCCCCCACCCCCCAATAGGCCCCAGTGTGTGATGTTCCCCTCCCTGTATCCATGTGTTCTCATAGTTCAACTCCCACTTATGAGTGAGAACATGTGGTGTATGGGTTTCTGTTCCTGTGTTAGTTTGCTGAGAATAATAGTTTCCAGCTTCATCTATGTCCCTGCAGAGGACATGAACTCATCCTTTTTTATGGCTGCATAGTATTCCATGATGTATATGTGCCACATTTTTTTTATTATACTTTAAGTTTTAGGGTACATGTACACATTGTGTAGGTTAGTTACATATGTATACATGTGCCATGCTGGTGCGCTACACCCACTAACTCCTCATCTAGCATTAGGTATATCTCCCAATGCTATCCCTCCCGCCTCCCCCCACCCCACAACAGTCCCCAGAGTGTGAGTCCCCTTCCTGTGTCCATGCGTTCTCATTGTTCAATTCCCACCTATGAGTGAGCATATGCGGTGTTTGGTTTTTTGTTCTTGCGATAGTTTACTGAGAATGATGATTTCCAATTTCATCCATGTCCCTACAAAGGACATGAACTCATCATTTTTTATGGCTGCATAGTATTCCATGGTGTATATGTGCCACATTTTCTTAATCCAGTCTATCATTGTTGGACATTTGGCTTGGTTCCAAGCCTTTGCTATTGAGAATAATGCCGCAATAAACATACGTGTGCATGTGTCTTTATAGCAGCATGATTTATAGTTCTTTGGGTATATACCCAGTAATGGGATGGCTGGGTCAAATGGTATTTCTAGTTCTAGATTCCTGAGGAATCGCCACACTGACTTCCACAATGGTTGAACTAGTTTACAGTCCCACCAACAGTGTAAAAGTGTTCCTATTTCTCCAGCACCTGTTGTTTCCTGACTTTTTAATGATTGCCATTCTAACTGGTGTGAGCTGGTATCTCATTGTGGTTTTGATTTGCATTTCTCTGATGGCCAGTGATGATGAGCATTTTTTCATGTGTTTTTTGGCTGCATAAATGTCTTCTTTTGAGAAGTGTCTGTTCATGTCCTTTGCCCACTTTTTGATGGGGTTGTTTGTTTTTTTCTTGTAAATTTGTTGGAGTTCATTGTAGATTCTGGATATTAGCCCTTTGTCAGATGAGTAGGTTGTGAAAATTTTCTCCCATTTTGTAGGTTGCCTGTTCACTCTGATGGTAGTTTCTTTTGCTGTGCAGAAGCTCTTTAGTTTAATTAGATCCCATTTGTCAATTTTGTCTTTTGTTGCCATTGCTTTTGGTGTTTTAGACATGAAGTCCTTGCCCATGCCTATGTCCTGAATGGTAATGCCTAGGTTTTCTTCTAGGGTTTTTATGGTTTTAGGTCTAACGTTTAAGTCTTTAATCCATCTTGAATTGATTTTTGTATAAGGTGTAAGGAAGGGATCCAGTTTCAGCTTTCTACATATGGCTAGCCAGTTTTCCCAGCACCATTTATTAAATAGGGAATCCTTTCCCCATTGCTTGTTTTTCTCAGGTTTGTCAAAGATCAGATGGTTGTAGATATGCGGCATTATTTCTGAGGGCTCTGTTCTGTTCCATTGATCTATATCTCTGTTTTGGTACCAGTACCATGCTGTTTTGGTTACTGTAGCCTTGTAGTATAGTTTGAAGTCAGGTAGTATGATCTCTCCAGCTTTGTTCTTTTGGCTTAGGATTGACTTGGCGATGCGGGCTCTTTTTTGGTTCCATATGAACTTTAAAGTAGTTTTTTCCAATTCTGTGAAGAAAGGCATTGGTAGCTTGATGGGGATGGCATTTAATCTGTAAATTACCTTAGGCAGTATGGCCATTTTCACGATATTGATTCTTCCTACCCATGAGCATGGAATGTTCTTCCATTTGTTTGTATCCTCTTTTATTTCCTTGAGCAGTGGTTTGTAGTTCTCCTTGAAGAGGTCCTTCACATCCCTTGTAAGTTGGATTCCTAGGTATTTTATTCTCTTTGAAGCAATTGTGAATGGGAGTTCACTCATGATTTGGCTCTCTGTTTGTCTGTGGCTGGTGTATAAGAATGCTTGTGATTTTTGTACATTGATTTTGTATCCTGAGACTTTGCTGAAGTTGCTTATCAGCTTAAGGAGATTTTGGGCTGAGACAATGGGGTTTTCTAGATATACAATCATGTCGTCTGCAAACAGGGACAATTTGACTTCCTCTTTTCCTAATTGAATACCCTTTATTTCCTTCTTCTGCCTAATTGCCCTGGCCAGAACTTCCAACACTATGTTGAATAGGAGTGGTGAGAGAGGGCATCCCTGTCTTGTGCCAGTTTTCAAAGGGAATGCTTCCAGTTTTTGCCCATTCGGTATGATATTGGCTGTGGGTTTGTCATAAATAGCTCTTATCATTTTGAAATACGTCCCATCAATACCTAATTTATTGAGAGTTTTTAGCATGAAGGGTTGTTGAATTTTGCCAAAGGCTTTTTCTGCATCTATTGAGATAATCATGTGGATTTTGTCTTTGGTTCTGTTTATATGCTGGATTACATTTATTGATTTGCGTATATTGAACCAGCCTTGCATCCCAGGGATGAAGCCCACTTGATCATGGTGGATAAACTTTTTGATGTGCTGCTGGATTCGTTTTGCCAGTATTTTATTGAGGATTTTTGCATCAATGTTCATCAAGGATATTGGTCTAAAATTCTCTTTTTTTGTTGTATATCTGCCAGGCTTTGGTATCAGAATGATGCTGGCCTCATAAAATGAGTTAGGGAGGATTCCCTCTTTTTCTATTGATTGGAATAGTTTCAGAAGGAATGGTACCAGTTCCTCCTTGTACCTCTGGTAGAATTCGGCTGTGAATCCATCTGGTCCTGGACTCTTTTTGGTTGGTAAGCTATTGATTATTGCCACAATTTCAGATCCTGTTATTGGTCTATTCAGAGATTCAATTTCTTCCTGGTTTAGTCTTGGGAGAGTGTATGTGTCGAGCAATTTATCCATTTCTTCTAGATTTTCTAGTTTATTTGTGTAGAGGTGTTTGTAGTATTCTCTGATGGTAGTTTGTATTTCTGTGGGATCAGTGGTGATATCCCCCTTATCATTTTTTATTGCATCTATTTGATTCTTCTCTCTTTTTTTGTTTATTAGTCTTGCTAGCGGTCTATCAATTTTGTTGATCCTTTCAAAAAACCAGCTCCTGGATTCATTAATTTTTTGAAGGGTTTTTTGTGTCTCTATTTCCTTCAGTTCTGCTCTGATTTTAGTTATTTCTTGCCTTCTGCTAGCTTTTGAATGTGTTTGCCTTGCTTTTCTAGTTTTTTTCATTGTGATGCTAGGGTGTCAATTTTGCATCTTTCCTGCTTTCTCTTGTGGGCATTTAGTGCTATAAATTTCCCTCTACACACTGCTTTGAATGTGTCCCAGAGATTCTGGTATGTTGTGTCTTTGTTCTCGTTGGTTTCAAAGAACATCTTTATTTCTGCCTTCATTTCGTTATGTACCCAGTAGTCATTCAGGAGCAGGTTGTTCAGTTTCCATGTAGTTGAGTGGTTTTGAGTGAGATTCTTAATCCTGAGTTCTAGTTTGATTGCACTGTGGTCTGAGAGATAGTTTGTTATAATTTCTGTTCTTTTACATTTGCTGAGGAGAGCTTTACTTCCAAGTATGTGGTCAATTTTGGAATAGGTGTGGTGTGGTGCTGAAAAAAAAATGTATATTCTGTTGATTTGGGATGGAGAGTTCTGTAGATGTCTATTAGGTCTGCTTCGTGCAGAGCTGAGTTCAATTCCTGGGTATCCTTGTTGACTTTCTGTCTCGTTGATCTGTCTAATGTTGACAGTGGGGTGTTAAGGTCTCCCATTATTAATGTGTGGGAGTCTAAGTCTCTTTGTAGGTCACTCAGGACTTGCTTTATGAATCTTGGTGCTCCTGTATTGGGTGCATATATATTTAGGATAGTTAGCTCTTCTTGTTGAATTGATCCCTTTACCATTATTTAATGGCCTTCTTTGTCTCTTTTGATCTTTGTTTGTTTAAAGTCTGTTTTATCAGAGACTAGGATTGCAACCCCTGCCTTTTTTTGTTTCCATTTGCTTGGTAGATCTTCCTCCATCCCTTTATTTTGAGCCTATGTGTGTCTCTGCATGTGAGATGGGTTTCCTGAATACAGCACACTGATGGGTCTTGACTCTTTATCCAATTTGCCAGTCTGTGTCTTTTAATTGGAGCATTTAGTCCATTTACATTTAAGGTTAATATTGTTATGTGTGAATTTGATCCTGTCATTATGATGTTAGCTGGTTATTTTGCTCTTTAGTTGATGCAGTTTCTTCCTAGTCTCGATGGTCTTTACATTTTGGCATGATTTTGCAGCGGCTGGTACCAGTTGTTCCTTTCCAAGTTTAGCGCTTCCTTCAGGAGCTCTTTTAGGGCAGGCCTGCTGGTGACAAAATCTCTCAGCATTTGCTTGTCTGTAAAGGATTTTATTTCTCCTTCACTTATGAAGCTTAGTTTGGCGGGATATGAAATTCTGGGTTGAAAATTCTTTTCTTTAAGAATGTTGAATATTGGCCCCCACTCTCTTCTGGCTTGTAGGGTTTCTGCTGAGAGATCCGCTGTTAGTCTGATGGGCTTCCCTTTGAGGGTAATCCGACCTTTCTCTCTGGCTGCCCTTAACATTTTTTCCTTCATTTCAACTTTAGTGAATCTGACAATTATGTGTCTTGGAGTTGCTCTTCTCGAGGAGTATCTTTGTGGCATTCTTTGTATTTCCTGAATCTGAACGTTGGCCTGCCTTGCTAGATTGGGGAAGTTCTCCTGGATAATATCCTGCAGAGTGTTTTCCAACTTGGTCCATTCTCCCCATCACTTTCAGGTACACCAATCAGATGTAGATTTGGTCTTTTCACATAGTCCCATATTTCTTGGAGGCCTTGCTCATTTCTTTTTATTCTTTTTTCTCTAAACTTCTCTTCTCGCTTCATTTCATTCATTTCATCTTCCATTGCTGATACCCTTTCTTCCAGTTGATCGCATCGGCTCCTGAGGCTTCTGCATTCTTCATGTAGTTCTCGAGCCTTGGTTTTCAGCTCCATCAGCTCCTTTAAGCACTTCTCTGTATTGGTTATTCTAGTTATACATTCTTCTAAATTTTTTTCAAAGTTTTCAACTTCTTTGCCTTTGGTTTGAATGTCCTCCCGTAGCTCAGAGTAATTTGATCGTCTGAAGCCTTCTTCACTCAGCTCGTCAAAGTCATTCTCCATCCAGCTTTGTTCTGTTGCTGGTGAGGAACTGCGTTCCCTTGGAGGAGGAGAGGCACTCTGCTTTTTAGAGTTTCCAGTTTTTTTGTTCTGTTGCTGGTGAGGAACTGAGTTCCCTTGGAGGAGGAGAGGCGCTCTGCTTTTTAGAGTTTCCAGTTTTTCTGTTCTGTTTTTTCCCCATCTTTGTGGTTTTATCTTCTTTTGGTCTTTGATGATGGTGATGTACAGATGGGTTTTTGGTGTGGATGTCCTTTCTGTTTGTTAGTTTTCCTTCTAACAGACAGGACCCTCAGCTGCAGGTCTGTTGGAATACCCTGCCGTGTGAGGTGTCAGTGTGCTCCTGCTGGGGGTCAGGGACCCACTTGAGGAGGCAGTCTGCCCGTTCTCAGATCTCCAGCTGCGTGCTGGGAGAACCACTGCTCTCTTCAAAGCTGTCAGACAGGGACATTTAGGTCTGCAGAGGTTACTGCTGTCTTTTTGTCTGTGCCCTGACCCCAGAGGTGGAGCCTACAGAGGCAGGCAGGCCTCCTTGAGCTGTGGTGGGCTCCACCCAGTTCGAGCTTGCCGGCTGCTTTGTTTACCTAATCAAACCTGGGCAATGGCGGGCGCCCCTCCCCCAGCCTCGCTGCCGCCTTGCAGTTTGATCTCAGACTGCTGTGCTAGCAATCAGCGAGACTCCGTGGGCATAGGACCCTCCCAGCCAGGTGCGGGATATACTCTCGTGGTGCGCCGTTTTTTAAGCCCGTCAGAAAAGCGCAGTATTCGGGCGGGAGTGACCCGATTTTCCAGGTGCCCTCTGTCACCCCTTTCTTTGACTCGGAAAGGGAACTCCCTGACCCCTTGTGCTTCCCAAGTGAGGCAATGCCTCGCCCTGCTTTGGCTCGCGCACGGTGCACGCACCCACTGACCTGCGCCCACTGTCTGGCACTCCCTAGTGAGATGAACCCGGTACCTCAGATGGAAATGCAGAAATCACCCGTCTTCTGCGTCGCTCACGCTGGGAGCTGTAGACGGGAGCTGTTCCTATTCAGCCATCTTGGCTCCTCCCCCCTGTGCCACATTTTATTTATCCAGTCTATCATTGATGGGCATTTGCTATTGTGAATAGTGCTGCAATAAACATACATGTGCATGTGTCTTTGTAGTAGAATGATTTATAATCCTTTGTGTATACACCCAGTAATGGGATTGCTTGGTCAAATGCTATTTCTGGTTTTAGATCCTTGAGGAATCACCACACTGTCTTCCACAATGGTTGATCTGTCTTCCACAATGGTTACACTCCCACCAACGGTGTAAAAGCATTTCTTTTCTCCACATCCTCTCCAGCATCTGTTGTTTCCTGACTTTTTAATGATCCCTGTTCTAACTGGCGTGAGATGGTACCTCACTGTGGTTTTGATTTGCATTTCTCTAATGACCAAAGATGATGAGCTTTTTTTGATATGTTTCTTGGCCGCATAAATGTCTTCTTTTGAGAAGTGTCTGTTCATATCCTTTGCCCACTTTTTGATGGTTTTTTTTCTTGAAAATTTGTTTAAGTTTTTTGTAGGTCAGTGTAGATTTTGGGGAATGGGGGAAGAGGAAGAGATGCCTAAAGAGACCTCTGAGAACAATCCTGACACCAGACGGCTTCACCATTGCTTTTATATTGAAAAGAAAATGAAAAGAGTACAAGAATAAAAGGAATTTAATAGAACCCTACCACAGGGAAGCTGGATCAATTGTTTCATATCTATTTGAGAGGCAGGAAACTGTATAGAAGACTGTACTATTTTACTAAAGATGTGTTATATGTCTTACAGCTAGCTTTCTGGTAGCCCAGGTAGACTAATAGCGAATTCCATGACTATCTTTTCTCTGAAAGTGGCAAAGTGTTATTATTGCACTGTAAATTCATCCATGAACATGCCTCCCAGTCAGGCTGAGGGCTCAGGTGATCTTAAGATATTATGTGGCTTCAGATATCTGTATATCAGTTGACTATATACACAGGTCTCTGAAACAGAGCTACATGTTTATGAACTCTCAAGACCTGTACACTTCATCTTGCCCAGTATATTAGTCAGAAAGGGTAAAGTATGCAACAGTAACAACTCCAGACTCTTAAGGGGAGATACTTGGTCCTGAAAATTACAAGTACGAGCTAAATCACAACTTATTGGCCCAAACTAGTTGCATGGCCCTACTCAACCACAGAGGGCACGAAGTTCCATTTTCCCAGTGCCTGGAAGAAGATAGTAGTCACATGAGCAAAACTATTGACTATGGTGCCCAATGAATGATCCCACTTAACTCCAAAGAGCTCACCTTGGATTAGGAAGATAATTTTCAGGGTGCTAAGAAGTCTCTGAAGAGGAATTCAGAGCCTCTTGATTCTTCCACTAGATGGTCACCAGTTTGTTATTGCTTGAAAATAAATAACATATAGTGATGAGGTGCATGGCAAAATAGAAATATTTAAAGCAATGTAAAATTCTTTGATAGTCAGGATTTTAAAAGCTATAGATTTTAATAAGAATTTCTATACTTAAGGGCAATTTGACCTAAGACTTCCTGAGAAAAGAAGAAGTATTCCTTAACTTCAGAATAAAAATTTCACAATAGGATTTTAAGAAAAGCAATATTGTTCCTAGTTTTTCATCTAACAATTCAGAGTCAAGAATATGCAGTTACATCTTTGGAGGGCTGCCACAATTAGATCACAAGCATATAAATTGTAATTTGTCACATAAATTGTACACTCATGCTATTATTCCCAAGTTTTCCTAGGTAATTAGTTTATTGAAGAGTATTAACTCAGTAAAATACAAACAGGTAATGATTTTCCTTTTTTACAACCATTGACTAACACCATGCTCTGTTGAATCACTGTATCTTATCCCCTTAATGGCAACCTAAATAGGTCCTAAAGCTTCCCATTCACTTTTAGTTAATAAAAATTCCAATCCAATTCGATACGGTTTAACACTTCAATAGTATATCAAACACCATATTCAATTTAATGCTTATCTTCTTCCCCTCCCCAGCATTACCCTGGGTTTAGACCAAAGGATTTGGAGGAGAGTGAGGGTTGGGTCACCTTTTGCACTGCTTTTCCACCAGCACAGCAGCTCAGGAAGATTCCAATCAGGGAATGAAATCCCAAGGCCCGTCTTCGAGATCCCTCTAGTGGAGTGCCCCTGCCATCCTAGAGCTCTGGATAGTCTCTGCTTGCCCCTCCAGATCCATTCCCAGCTCCTCTCTCTGCTCTGGGTCCCCAGAATGCTGACCTCTATATGCTGCTCCAAGGAACTCTTTTGCTCCCTGGCTTCTGGCTGGGAGGCACTGGTGGGAGACCGGAGTTGGGAGAAAGATGTTGCGGTATCTGTTTCCTTGAGTCATACTGGGCCATGGACTGCCGGGGACTGCATTCTTATTCAGAAAAAGGTCCTGCCAGGCTGCCCTCCTCTGCAGCTGCAACTCTCACTGGGTCTAGTAACCATTTCCTCCCCTTGCTAATGGTGGTTGCAGCTTCCCACTGTTGCTATAGCTGGATGCTTCTCTGTGCCTTTTGGCTTTCCTTAACTCTGTTCACACCTTTGTAAATAATCCCTTCGCAAATCCCTCCTCGGTTCCACTACACGAGTGTGTCCTCTGTTCACTGTAGGATCATGACTGGAAATGGGCTGAGCACCTCTTTTCCTGCCCCACAGGAAAGGAGGGAAAATCATCCGATGCTGAGGATTTATAATCTAGACAATGTCCTTCTTTTGACTCTCTCTGCTCCCCTAAATTGTATGTTTATTAAGAAGGGGATAAGATTTGTGATAAAGGAAGCAGGGTCAGATTTGACGCCTCGTAATGAGGCCGCAAGAGAGTGTCAGCTTTCAAATGCAAGGTGCTTTCCTGAGAAAATGCATCACTTTCTGCTTCTTTGTCCTTAATTCAGCAGTTTTCAATTCTGGAAAGTCCATTCAACATGCTGAAAGACCTGCATATATCAGTTTGTGTGGTAAAAACTAGAGATAAATGCAAAATGTCATAAATTGATCTAATTTTCCAGAACTGAATATATCTGTAGGTTTGGATCCTCACTATCTCGAATAATCAACAGTTAATAGATACTCAAGGATTTATTTTTTATCTGTCTCATTACCTTCCCAGGAAAATAGCAAGTTGTACATACAAAATTCTAGCATTTATTCTCTGAAGCCTTTTATTATGTTTTCAACACACATCCAATGTCAAAACAGCACTCCCAGGACACTAATACAGAGATTCATCTGATGACATATTTAGCAAAATAGCTACTTTGAGAAAGAACAAGAGCATGATCCTTTGGAGGCATTGTGCTGTGTGTTTCATTTAGTTGTAATAAAACACTACCTGAGAGCCATTGCCAACTAACGTTATGCTTTATTTGCATTTTTTTAGCTTATTAAATGTGAAGGCATTCAGAGGTTGAGTAAAATTGCCAGCAAACTGTATTTCATGTTGAAGATCAGCAGGGGCCTTTTGGAGGGCTTCAATTTTTCTCTGAGTGTCAGGAAATCAGATTATTGCATCCAGCTGCAAGCTGTTTTGATTGAACTGAAAGTCTGATTTAATTTGGTACAAATGGCAAATTACTCCTCTATTTATCCTTGAACTACTTGTACCCACAAAGCACTGTATTTTAGGATGCTCTTAAAAGTTTAGAGTAGAAACATGATTTCTAAAGGTTCCCTCTCTATACCTGGACCACTTGTAAAATTCCAATATATGTCAAAGACCCCTGCAAAGATAACATACATGCATTCTTACACTCCCTGCCCTCATGCTGTTTAGAGAATATGTGTATTGATTCAGAAGTTAGATGCATATTGTGAAAGACCCATTAAAATTCTTTATAAAATGAAACAAAGTTTAGAGTACTTATTTGTTGATACCACTTAAAGGGCAACCAATTTTAAGATTATGCTATACTGTAAACAATGCTACTATTGAAAACGCTAAACAATGAGAAAAAAAATCAGTCTCTTTAAAGGAGAATATTGAAAAGAGGAGGCAACTGTTTTACTTTGTGAAATTTTCTTATATAGCACAGCTTTCTAGAACCACTGTGCAGAGAAACATATTTAGGAGACACAAAAGAACCTAAAAATCATAGCGTTATTTTTACCATACTTCAGAAGCCATTCATAATTTCTGAGATTTCCAGCTCAGAAAATATACAACTTCAAAACACACAGCTTAGGACATTTCAAGCTGTGTCAAAATAAATGATGATATGGAAACAATGATATTCATTATGAAGTATGAATGCCATAAAGTGAATTGTTGGATGGTCTTCTTTCAACGAGGTTTAAAGAAGGAAAATATCAGTAGGTTACATTTAGTTCAATTTAAGGGCAACAGTGATAATTTTTCTCTATTTAACACAATTTTCTTTTCAGAGATATAAAACCAGAAAATCTGGGTAGATAGCAAGTAACAATATAATTTTCAAAGAATAGAACTTCATACATCTTTTCATTTCTGATGCCAAGTTTGCTTATGTAGTTCGTCCACTCTGCAACCTTCCTTCTATTCAAATCATGCACATCTTCAACTCAACTACCACTTTTATTCAGGTGTCTTCCTCAAAGAAAATAATGTTTAATTTCCCTAAACAAATATAGAATTTTATATTCAATTACTAATTTTCTCCAAGAATAGCATAGTACTGAGCACTTTCTCCTGTGCCTATACCTTGCCATCAAACTACATAGTAAGAGCAGTGGTCAAATATTCCCTTATTTTCCCTCCCTTTAAAAATCTGTTATAGTGGCGTGTTTCACAAATGCTCACTGGATGATCGTGAGCATGAGTTCTGTGAAGTTTTCATAAGCTTTTGTTCAATGTCTAATGCACCAAATATAACTTTTTAAAAAATAAAAATTATTTTGTGTTTGTGCTATGGTATTCACGTCTGTTTTTGGAAACTCTCCTATAATATTTCATGTTATATGGTTTTTAAAAATATATGAAATAGGAAATGTGGTTTAACATATGCTTATTGCCTGGAAAATGAAGTTATTGTATTTACATAATATAGAACATATTATATAATACATAAATATGATGTCATAAGGTTTGCATTTGCTTGAGTGAAATTATAGTCTTTTACTTATTTTTAAATCTTACAATTTTTACAATACTCCTGAGAAAATAATGAAAATCACTGAGTTTCATGATCCTACTGAGTATAGCATTTGAGAATAATATGGTTACTACTCTGACATCTGAGAAAAAAAAATCAAATATGATTTTCTGTGAAGGGAATTTCAGACTAATACATGCTAATAAATGCTGAACTGAACTTATTAAGATAAAATGTTCTTGTAAATCAAATGATAGTCATTTTCTTAAAAAATGATAGCAGGTGTTCCAATCTGAACCATTCATTTGCAGCATGATTTAAAATTAGCAAACGTCAACATGATGGAGGGTTAGTTTCTGAAAATACAGATTACACAGACCATGTTCAATGCATGCACTGAAGCATAAATAATAATCCTTTACGGTGCTTTTCAGTTTGTAGTCTGCTTTCCCATACATAAAATCGTTTGCTGCTTATTACAACTTTGTAACAGAGAAAACAAGAATATTTTTATTATTCTCATTTTTTAGATAAGGCAGTCAGGACTCAGAAACATTTAATGACTCATCTAGGATCACATAATTTATATGTTGTAGACTATAAAACACAAGAATTGAAAGGCAAGCCTTCTGATAATTAGTTCTATACTTATTCCAACTACAAACCATCTTCAGCATTTTGAATGTTCTATACGGAATAATGGATCCTAAACGCAGTTCATAGCATAGTGTTTATGTCTACTGCATTAGATGCCACCAAGCATAAGAAGACAAGGCAGTGGAGAGAAAAGAAAACCCATGCTATTTTCCATTCCCATCTTCCTCATCATTTTCTTAATTATTTATAGTTCTTTAATTGAAAAAAATGCATTTGGCCTGACTAGGCATTTTAATTTTATTCTAATTGTAGTCTCCTGATTGATATTTTCATATACATATTTTTGTTGAAAGTGAATTTAAATATGGTAGAATTTGGATCAGCCTTATATGAGATAGAAAAAGAAAAAAACCTCCATTAAAGCATAAATGAAAAGGATGGAGGTGCATGGTGGCTTCTTACTGTGGTTCAATGTATAATGGCCCACTTTGGCAGATAAATGGCCAATATTTCACAAAATTGTCTATTTTCTCAGTGAAGCAAGATATCTCCTCTTTGCACATGGTTCACAAATTACAAACCTGTTCTGATTGCAAGTAATGTTATGAACTGGATGATTAAAAGAACATTTGAATGACAATGCTTTCCTCGAGTGCAACCCAAGAAAGAGACCAGAGAGTAGGGAAGAAATATACCCATTATGCAAATTCTAAATTTTGTGTCAGGAAAAAGAGGTAACGTGATACCAATGATTTTGATTCAAAGAGCAGGAGATAAAAACACACAAAAAAACACATGATTTAATGTGAATGATCCTCTGTTACCAAAATAAGAGGTCAATCTTAAATATCTAGGCCACTGGCTCAACACAGCACACTGTTCAGTGCAGGCTGCCCAAGCAGGCAGCAAAGCTTTCAGTGCCAGCAAATCTAAGGAACCTACATCAATTTTTTGTAATAATTTGCATTTTAGAAATAAGGTAATACCAATCAAAACCACATGAGATATCACATCACACCTGTTAGGATGGCTATTGTTTAAAAATAAAATAAAACAAGAGATAACAAGTGTTGGCCAGAATGTTGAGAAAAGAAAATCCTACACTGTTGGTAGTAATGTAAGTTGGCATAGCCATTATGGAAAACAGTATGAAAGTTGCTCAGAACATTACAAATAGAACTACCATATGATTCAGGACTCTGGATATATATCCAAAGGAAATGAAATCAGTATGCTGAAGACATATCTGCACTCCCATTGCAGCACTATTCACAATAGCCAAGATTTAAATCAACCCAAATGTCCATCAACAAATGAATGGATAAAGAAAATGTAGCATATATAAATAATGGAATACTATTCAGGCTTTTAAAGAAAAAGGAAATCCTGCCATTTGTCACAACGTAGATGAACCCTGAGGATATTATGCTAAGTGAAATAAGCCAGACACAGGGCCGGGCGCAGTGGCTCACACCTGTAATCCCAGCACTTTGGAAGGCTGAGGCAGGTGGATCATGAGGTCAGGAGTTTGAGACCAGCCAATATGGTGAAACCTCGTCTCTACTAAAAATACATAAAAACTAGCAGGGCATGGTGGTGCACGCCTGTAGTCCCAGCTACTCGGGAGGCTGAGGCAGGATAATCGCTTGAACCCAGGAGGCGGAGGTTGCAGTGAGCCGAGATTGTGCCACTGCACTCCATCCTGGGCAATAGAAGGAGACTTCGTCTCAAAAAAATAAATAAAAAATAAAAATAAATAAGCCAGACACCAAAAGAAAATTATAGTATGATCTCAATTATTGTGAAATCCAAAAAAAGAAAAGAAAGTCAAACAGAAACAACTAGAATGTACCAAAGGCAGAGAAGGGAAGTAAATGGAGAGAAGTGGGCCAAAGAGTACACATTTGCAGTTAGGTTAGGTACAATGAGTAAATCTAAAAGATCTAACATACAGCATGAGGACTAAAGTTAACAATATTGTATTGTATACTGAAATCTTGCTAAAGTAGCTATTATCACCCAAAAAAAAGCTACTGTTGAAGGCCAGGTATATGTTATTTTGTTTAACTGCGATAATCATTTCACTGTGTATATGTTGTGAAATTAAATAATTCACTTAAAGCTGTTCGAACTCTAAATTTCCCTGAGCCCTGGGAGGAATGTGGCTATGTAGCTTGAGACATGTAGCATGCAGTTGCAACTTCTGCTTTTTTCTGTAAATAATTAGGAATGACCAAGTGGTGCCAGAAATAAGAATTCCTCAGAACATTATTTCTCCTCAAGAAATGTTAAAGCAAATTTCCTTGGAATGTAGCAAGCTGTGCTCATCAAATTGCTATAATGTGTGTACTGTCCTTGTATGAAAAATGTTGCAACCCTCCTAAAAATGTTTCTGTCCATATAAGTAAAACCTTAGCTTTACCACTTGAGAGCACTGACTTTGTTCCTTTGGCATCTGTTTCCCTTCCTTTGGAGTCTGTTTACCAGATGACTATACTCAAGCTTTGTGCTTGAGTCACCTCTATGATTAATCATATTTTCTGAATCTTATTATTTAAATTCGACATTGTATATAAAAGCATCATGTTGTATACATTAAATATACACACTAAAATTATCTTTTAATAAATACAGACAGGGCACGGTGGCTCACTCCCATAATCCCAGCACTTTGGGAGGCCGAGGCAGGCGGATCACGAGGTCGGGAGATCAAGACCATCCTGGCTAACATGGTGAAACACCGTCTCTACTAAAAACACAAAAAATTAGCCGAGTGTGGTGGCATGCACCTGTGGTCCCAGCTACTTAGGAGGCTGAGCCACGAGAATCTCTTGAACCCGAGAGGCGGAAGTTGCAGTGAGCCAAGATCGTGCCACTGCACTCCAGCCTAAGTGACAGAGCGAGACTCTGTCTCAAGAAAAGAAAAGAAAGAAACAAAAATCAGAACTTTGTTGGGATTTCTTATAATTTTTATAGATTAGTTTTGATTTTGTTTTGAATTACACATTAGAGGTAACATAATATTTTTAGTGCTTATTAAGAACTCTGCAGGTCTTAATCCAGCCCTACTATTTTTACCCTTCTGCATTCCTTGTCTTGAAGTTGAAACATTTTCTAGCCAAAAAGAGCATCCATAAATTAGCGCTAGAACCTTAGCCAATAAAAGAGTGGGATTCCCAAGTAGGACTTCAGTTCCTAATAAGTCACATTTCTGGGACAAGAGGAGTAAGTGATGAAAGTGATGAAGACAAGTTTAACATTCTTGGCTTGACTACATTTTAGACAGGCTTCTTCTTGACTCTAAACACTGACCTCCCTTTGTTTACAGCATTTACGTTAGAAAATTTATAATCATTAATTTTTTCCTGTCCTTTCATGATATAAATCTTTTTACAAGCCTCTTGCCAGTTTTACAACCCGGGACCATCTTTCTCAAAGATCTGGGAGCTATCTCTTTGAAATATAATCATCAAGAAAGAGAGTGCCCTTATCTTCTAGTCTCTGTGGAAGGGTACCTAACCTCCATGGGTGCCAATCAGCAAACACAGAAAAAAACATTTGCAAACTCAAGAATAACAATGTGCTAAACATATCCCATTGGTCAACCTTGCCCCTAACTTCCCCCAACAGTACTTCTCCACTAGCTCACCCACCCTGAAAAACCCTCCAACCTTTTACTGTGTGAAGTTGGATGGATAAAAGGATATAGAAAATGGTGAAACTTGCTGAAGCTGGATAAGTGATGTGTAAAGTTACTTCTTTCTTAATAGACTACTTTTAGAACAATTTTAGGTTTGCAGAAAACTTGTGCAGAAAGTATAGATAGTTCCCATATACTCCCTCTATCTATCCTGCCTTTTCATCCCACGGTTTCTGCTATTATTAATTTCTTGCATTAAGGTAGTATAATTGTTACCATTGAAAGGCTAAAATTGATACATTACTGTTAACTAAAGTCCTTAATTTATCTTAGGATTCACTCTGTTTTGTGCAATTTCAACAAATGCATATTTGTCACATATCCACCAGTACAGTATAATACAGAATGGCTCTGCCACCTTAAAAAATCCCCTGTGCTTCACTATTCATGCCTCCCCCCGACTCAAAATCCCTGACAACCACTGAATTTATTTTTACTGTCTCTATAATTTTTCCTTTTCCAGAATGTGATATGATTGAAATTATATGGTGTATAGCCTTTTTTTAATAGTCTTTATTTTTAGAGCAATTTTATGTTCACAGAAATATTGAGAAGAAGGTACAGAGATTTCTCCTGTATACCCTGACCCTACACATGCATAGCCTCCCCTACTATCAACATCCACCACTGGAGTGTTAGATTTATTACACTGTTGAACCTGCATTGACACATCATTACCACCTGGAGTACATAGTTTATACTGAAGTTTACTCCAGGTGTTATACATTCTGTGGATCTGGGCAATTAATATGGCATGTACCTACCATTATGGTGTCACATAGAGTAGTTTCATTGACTTAAAAATCCTCTGTGCTTTGCCTATTCATCCCTCTCTCCCCACTAACCCTTGGCAACCACAGATCCTTTTACTGTCTCCATCATTTTGCCTTTTCTAAAACATCTATGACTAGAATCATACAGCATGCAGCCTTTGGAGATTGACTTTTTTTCACTTAATAATATACATTTAAGTTTCCTCCCTGCCTTTTCATGGTTCGCTAGATCATTTCTTTGATAGATCATTGCTGAATAATATTTCATTGCATGGATGTACCACAGTTTCTTTATCAATTCACCTATTAAGATATTGAGAGACGATAGGTATCTCTGGTTTTAGGTAATTATGAATAAAACTTCTGATGCAGGATTTTTTACTCCTTAGCTCAGTTAGGTGTGGGTTCTTGTCTCACAACCAGGAAGAAGTAGGCACACAGACACTCAAAGAGTGAGTGGAGTAGAATTCATTAAGCAAAAGGAAAGCTCTCAGCAAAGAGAGGAGTCCTGAAAACAGGCTCCCAGTTGCCCCCTTCACAGCTGAATACAAGGGCTTCTATATGTACAAGCTGAAGGGGCTGGGTTCCCTATTTGTATAAGGTGCGAATTCCTGATGGCTCCACCCCCCATCCTTCCGGTGGCCATGCAGGCCCTTAGTCTGAGCCACTCCGTACTGATTTATTTCCTTTACTGAGCATGTGTTAAGGAACAGAATTTTCCACTGTGGGCATGTTTACGCAACCCCCCCACCCACCGCCCCTATGCAAGTTCCTTCATCTGCACAAAACATCTGGTGTAAACACTTGTGGGTTGCGTGGGAGATTCTCCAGGGACCCTTCCCTTACTGTCTGCCTAAAGTAAGCTGGCCAACTCCTTTCACTTCTATAAACATTTGCATGCCGGTTTCTGTGTGACATGAGTTTTAACTCAATTAGGTAAATACCTAGAAGCATAATTACTGAGTCATATGATAAGGCTGTTTGCTTTGTAAGAAACTGTCAAATTGCCTCCAAAGTGGCTGCGTTATTTTGCATTTCTCCTGACAAGGAATGAGAGTTCCTGTTCTTCTGTGTTGTGTCTAATTTTTGGTATTGTGTAGCGATATTTCATTTTTTTTTAAGTTCTGATTTTCTAATGACAAATGATTTTGAGAATCTTTCTATATAATTATTTGTCATCTGTGTTTACATGTTGAGGTGTCCGTTAAGATATTTTGCCTACATTCTAATTGAGTCGTTTGTTTTTTATCGCTCCGTTTTAAAAGTTTTTTTTGTGTGTATATTTTGGATACAAGTCCTTTATCAAACATGTGTCTTACAAATATTTTCTCCCAGTCTATAGCTTTTCTTTTCATTCTTTTAACAATGTCACTCAGAAGTTTTTAATTTTAGTAAAAATATTAATTTTTTCTCTCATGGGTTGTACTTTTGGTGTTGTATCTAAAAATTCTTCACCAAACCCAAGTGACCTAGATTTTCTCCTGTGTTTTTTTCCAGAGCTTTATACTTTTCCGTTTAGACCTGAGTCTATATCCTGTCTTAACTTGATTTTGGTAAAATATGTAATGTCTGTATCTATGTTTACTTTTTTACATGCAGCAACACAATTGTTTCAACATCACTTCTTGAAAAGACTATCCTTTGTCCATTGAATTCCTTTGTTCCTCTATCAAGAGTTAACTATTGACTATATTTGTATGAATCTGTTTCTGGGCTCTCCATTTTGTTCCATTGATCTACATTTCCATTCTTTCACAAATATCAGGCTGTCTTGATTATTGTGGCTTTATAAAAAGTCTCCAAGTCAGGTAGTGTTACTCCAACATTGTTCTTTTTCTTACATATTGTGTTGACAATTTGGGGTCTTTTGTCTTCCCATGTAAACCTGACAATATTGAGCCTTCCAATTTATTAACATAGAATATCCCTTCGTTTTTAAGACTTTTTTAAAATGTAGTTTTCCACATACAGATCCTGTACATATTTTGTTAGAAATATACCTAAGTATTTATATTTATTGGTGTTATTGTAAACAATGTACTGTTTTTGTGTCAAATTCAATTGTTCATTGATAATACATAGGAAAACAATTGATTTTATATATTAACTTGCATCCTGTTAAAATAATCACTTATTAGTTAATTAGTAAATTAGTTACTTATTACAGTATATTAACATTAGTTAATATAATAATTTATTAGGTCGAGGAATTTTTTTGTTGATTCTTGGGATTTGCTATATAAACTGTAATATCTGAAAATAAAGATAGTTTTATGTCTTCATTTCAACTGAAAACAAAGTTTAATTTCTTCATTTCAAATTTGTATACATTTTATTTTTTTGTCTTGTCTTATTGCATTGCTAGGACTTCCAGTGCAATGTTGAACAGGAGTGATAACAAGAGGAATCTTTTTTTCACTCTTGATCTTAGGAGAAAAGGGTCCAATTTCTCATGCTTGTGTATGATAATACTGGTAAGGCTTCTGTAGGTGTTCTTTGTTCAGGTTCAGGAAGTTCCCCCAATGTGAAGCTTTTAAATAAACATTATTGTGAAAGTATATTTTGAATATTGTCTTTTGTTCACAATAATGTTTCTTTAGACACTATATCACATACAGTATATGGTTCATATAGTAAGCAAAGTACTTTCAAAATAAATTTAAATTGTTTTCTCTGGACAACTTTCCAGTAAGAAAAAATAAGCCTGCTATTATTTCTTTTTTATTGCTAAAATAACTATTTTTACTTAAATATTCCTTTTTTTTCTATTTTTTTTATTATACCTTAAGTTTTAGGGTACACGTGCACAACGTGCAGGTTAGTTACATACATATACATGTGCCATGTTGGTATGCTGCACCCAGTAACTTGTCATTTAACATTAGGTATATCTCCAAATGCTATCCCTCCCCACTCCCCCCACCCCACAACAGACCCCCATGTGTGATGTTCCCCTTCCTGTGTCCAAGTGTTCTCATTGTTCAATTCCCACCTATGAGTGAGAACATGCAGTGTTGGGTTTTTTGTCCTTGCGATAGTTTGCTGAGAATGATGGTTTCCAGCTTCATCCATGTCCCTACAAAGGACATGAACTCATCCTTTTTTATGGCTGCATAGTATTCCATGGTGTATATGTGCCACATTTTCTTAATCCAGTCTATCATTGTTGGACATTTGGCTTGGTTCCAAGTCTTTGCTATTGTGAATAGTGCCACAATAAACATACGTGTGCATGTGTCTTTATAGCAGCATGATTTATAATCCTTTGGGTATATACCCAGTAATGGGATGGCTGGATCAAATGGTATTTCTAGTTCTAGATTCCAGAGGAATCACCACACTGACTTCCACAATGGTTGAACTAGTTTACGGTCCCACCAACAGTGTAAAAGTGTTCCTATTTCTCCTCATCCTCTCCAGTATCTGTTGTTTCCTGACTTTTTAATGATCGCCATTCTAACTGGTGTGAGATGGTATCTCATTGTGGTTTTGATTTGCATTTCTCTGATGGCCAGTGATGATGAGCATTTTTTCATGTGTCTTTTGGCTGCATTAATGTCTTCTTTTGAGAAGTGTCTGTTCATGTCCTTTGCCCACTTTTTGATGGGTTTGTTTGTTTTATGCCTGTAAATTTGTTTGAGTTCATTGTAGATTCTGGATATTAGCCCTTTGTCAGATGAGTAGATTGCAAAAATTTTCTTCCATTCTGTAGGTTGCCTGTTCACTCTGATGGTAGTTTCTTTTGCTGTGCAGAAGCTCTTTAGTTTAATTAGATCCCATTTGTCAATTAAATATTTCTTAAAGAGGTCACTTAAAAACTAAAACTTACAGCCAAAATAATCACTTACCACATAAAACATAGCTACCCTTTCTTGGTTCAGAGTATGCCCTTGTAATATTTTGAGAAGTAATACAATCCTGGACGATCAACAAATATATGAGTAACAAATTAATTTCTAGGTACAAATGAAATTTTAGAAACCAGAAATCTGTTGGTTATATAAAGCATGAGACTAGATTCTAAAAACAGTAGCCATCTTCTCTTCAGAAATCCCTTCCTTGAGAAATTAACACTCCTGATTTTCTATGGTGTCCCACATATTCAAGTTGTGCAAGTATTAGCTGCCTACATGAGCAAGACTGGCAGTACTTTATATTAAGCTAGAAGCAACTTAATTTTATCAGTAGGAAGATTATTTCCTTTCAAGTCTGTTTAAAAGGAACTAGCACATCTTTTAACTAAAAAATAGGAAAAAAATTGAAATATGTAGGGTAAAGTAAAATGGTCTGGTTTCAGGTCTAACTTTCAGACTCAAAAGTACCATAGTGCATTTTCAAAATCTATAAATGTTTCAAATGTGTCAAGCAAATAACTAAGGCCTCCTTTCCTGACACACAAACACAATTGTCATATGACATCATAAATTTGATCACAGACCTAAAACTCATACGATGTTAGTTTTCATCTAGGCCAAAGAAGTCAGTAAAGGGTTAACAAATTCCTGGCAATTCAAAAACCTCTGGATTAAATGAAATAAAGATGAAAATTATACTTATCCAGTCTTGGAAAAAATTGAGACACTACTTCTCAAAAATGTAAAATGTATGATACATTATTGTTTGTGCAGCTAAATGGAGAAAAGCAGAAAAGATGGAGATGTGGCCAGGAGTCCCAGGACAAGGCTGAAGTTAATGGGACCTAGCTGGACATTCCTATTAGCTGTTCAGTGAAGACAGTAGTCCACGTGTGAACCAACTGACCCCTGAATAGACTTAAACAGCTAGTCGGGTCTTTGCTCTTCTTTCTGAGAGAACTGCCATGAAAGCAGTTCAGGAAAACAGCATCCACCCTTTTCTTTAAGATCTCCAGAGCGTGACTCCATATAAGCTCTCTCAGTAGCTAGCACACAGTCCAAAACCTTCACCTCTACTATATTATGTGAGGCTGCCTATCAGTTGCGTGGTCTTTAATTTTAAAAGGTTACACATGACATTTTCAAAAGGTGAAATGGAGCAAAGTGTGACTTACTAAAAAGAGAATTATATGTATCCTTCAAAGTGAGCATAGGTATAAATTAGAATATTATGTCTTCTAGCATTTCATGACACTCAGAGCAAATAAAACTTTAAAGGAGTCACAAGTCTCTACCTATTACACATTCATCAAATAAGAAACTGAAAAAATAGTTCTTATATTTAAATATCAGACACCTGGAATGCTTTAATAGACTTTAATCAATTTTGAAATGGCACTTATCTGTGAAAAAGATAACGAGTCTGCTTTTGAAGCAAAATACAATCAACAGAACAAAAAGCTTCCTTTATGCTGCTGTTTCTTTGATAGCTTTTACACAGCCCACAAACTTTTCACAATGAGCTCTCAATAAAGCTCAGTTTCTAGATGGCCTCAGCATGACAATGGATGCTGAGCTATGGGTCCCGAAAAAATTGATCAGATCTTGAGAATCAAGGCAAGCTGTGTAATCCTAGATCTTAGGTTGCTAGTTTGACAGAAATAGAATTTATTTGCAGGTTTCTGATTTCTTACTGGCTATAAACAATGTCAGTGAGTCTAGGACCCTCCATGCTCCATAAGAGGTATAGCTGAGAAATAATTACCTGTGGATTCTGCCTTATTATTTTCCTGCATCAAGGAATCCTGCCTGTTTCTCCTGATTATGGTTAACATCCTGAATTGAATCTCCCTTGTTTCTAAACACCATGTATCACCACCCTGTTAGCAGCATTCTAGGTCTATTCTACTTAATTATTAGTCATTTATGAGTTTGACTGGCACAAATTTCCAAAGTTCAACAAGGCAGAATGGCCAGGGTGGCAAAAACTGTAGTGTGAGCTCAAATCTTAGGAAAAGATTATTTGCCTTCTGCCAAATTTTAATCACCACTTTGAGTTTATGCGTGGAAGGTGATCATTTCTAATTTCTCTATGAATTGCAAATGCCAGGAGTACTGGTCCTCAGTGTCACTCTGTGAAAAAATCACTATCAGGGCTTGATAAACATGCAGATCCCATACTCCCTAATTGATGACTCAACTCCATGGATCAGAATCAGAGTCCAGGAAACTGCAAGCTGAACTCCTGTAGGATATTCGTAGACCATTTTGAGAAATGCTGGACACTCCTGGAGGACAGATAACTTACTTAATGGATGCTTTGTAAACATTTACTGATGAGCAAGTATTAAAATATCCACTTTACTTACTGTTATTGGCAATTATGAAACTAGCGGGAAAGGTCAGTTTTCCACAAGTATTTCTAAAAACAACTGCGTGTTTAGCTAAACGTTAAATTTTTTGTAATTCTGAAATTCAAACATATCCTTTATTTTAAAAGTAAGTGCAGGTAATGTCCATGAGCCTAAACAATGCCTCTAAGATCTAATGTAGTCAGATCAATATCTGTAGAACAACAATCAACAATAAGTTAAAAATAATGAACATGGAGGGAAGAAGTGCATAGAATATTTTTAGATTCCTTCAAAGAAGATGAACAAATAAAATCTGAATTCTAATCTAAGTGTGAACCATTTTTATAATACTCTACGGAAGAACTGAGAACAGAATAGAATGGAATGTCTGGGTGAGAAAACAGATTTTCTTTTTTCTAGAGAAGCAACTTAAACTTTGGAACATTCTCTTCTCTTGCACTTGTAATAGTTCACACAGTATCTCTTTCCAAGTGCAGCTCTGTATGCTTGCATGAAGCAAAATTTCACTAAAGTATTTTACTACTCCTAGTATAGAAATTATTTTTACTCAAGACAGCCTGCTTTGGAAGCATATATCCTGTGCACAGGATTAGAATTGACACCCTCCCCCTACCCGAAAATTTACCAAAAGCATATGAAAGGCTTATGTTTTTCAACTCTGGAGCATCTCCCTGTGAGTCATTGAAAGTAATTGATACTGTACTATCCTAAAGTTTTATAATATTAGGCTGATACTATAGATTGATACTATGAAACATAATGCTATACCATGTTTCTTACTCAACTGACCTTCACTTAATCAACTGGCTGGCTTAACTCAAGTTCTGTAGTCTTCCCTTGAAACTTACTGATTGCCACCCACAGCATGCTGGATCTTGTGGCTAGAAGCCTAATCTTTATATTCCTGTGCACTTCTGCTCCCATCTGTTGAGTTGAATGCTTGCCAGAAATCAGTTTTATTTATTCCCAAATTTGTTTTTGCTGGTTTTACTTTACATTGTAATTATCTAGATTAATTAACTATTATGTAAACTGATGAAATAGAAGTATGAAAAGAGAATTTATTCTAAGAATACTAATTTAAATACTTTGGTTAAATGCTTTTACTAAAGGTGAGTCACTCAAAATATCATAAGCTCATTTGGGGACAAGGCAACGTAAAAGTTGTAAGAAAGTCATAGAAATTGAGAAGGATTCTACACTGAGCCCACCTGGCAAATATTCTTCCCCCACTTTAAGGAAATGAAAACTGGGAATGAAGGACAGTGAGTGTGGTCTACACAAGGAAGACAATTCGGCAGTCCAGCCAGTGACCTCATCCTCAGAGAAAAGGATTTACTCCAGCATAAAAAGAACAGTGACCTTTGAACAAGTACCCTAGGAAATACATATATATTTTAAAAATAAAATAAATTTTAAAACTTTTAGAAATTATAAGGCAGGGCATGGTGGCTCATGCCTGTAATCCCATCATTTTGGGAGACTAAGGCAGGAGAATGACTGGAGCCCAGGAGTTTGAGCCTGGTCTGGGCACTATAGCAAGACCCTGTCTCAACATGAAAAATACATATTTTTTAATTTAAAAATTATAAAAACGATTGCTAAAAGAACTTACTGTATATATAACATAATGTATATGTAATTTATGTTCTAAGTTAACATAAACTTGGGATATGCATTGTCATGTATTCTGAAAATTTCATAATACAGGCCAATCATTTCCTTATGATAAACATCTTTAACTGATGTTTTGAACTAAACTAACTGACCAGCTACTAATGCTAATTATGTCAGATGAGAGAGTTGTAGTTGTACTATAATTACAACATCAATAACAACAAAAACCTCTCTAGAGATGAGGTTGCAAGCTAGCAGTCTGCAGGACAAATTCAGCCAAGAGAGATACAGAATTTGGCCTGTCAAATTCTAGAACAAAAAACAATTGGATATTTCTCATAAAAATGTAAGTCTCTGGTGTGTGATGTTCCCCTTCCTGTGTCCAAGTGTTCTCATTGTTCACTTCCCACCTATGAGTCAGAACATGCGGTGTTTGGTTTTCTGTCCTTGAGATAGTTTGCTGAGAATGATGGTTTCCAGCTTCATCCATGTCCCCACAAAGGACATGAACTCATCCTTTTTTATGGCTGCATAGTATTCCATAGTGTATAGGTGCCACATTTTCTTAATCCAGTCTATCATTGTTGGACATTTGGGTTGGATCCAAGTGTTGTGGGGTGGGGGGAGGGGGGAGGGATAACATTTGGAGATATACCTAATGTTAAATGACGAGTTGCTGGGTGCAGCACACCAACATGGCACATGTATACATATGTAACTAACCTGCACGTTGTACGCACGTACCCTAAAACTTAAAGTATAATAAAAAAGAAAAAAAAATTTAAGTCTCCATCTTCTCTTGAGAAATTAGATCAGGCAACCCTGGACTTGAAATTTCACGTGGCCTATCAATTTTGTTGATCTTTTCAAAAATTGATAGACCACTAGCAAGATTAATAAAGAAGAAAAGAGAGAAGAATCAAAAAGATGCAATAAAAAATGATAAAGGGGATATCACCACCGATCCCACAGAAATACAAACTACCATCAGAGAATAGTATAAACACCTCTACGCAAATAAACTAGAAAATCTAGAAGAAATGGATAAATTCCTCAACACATACACCCTCCCGAGACTAAACCAGGAAGAAGTTGAATCTCTGAATAGACCAATAACAGGCTCTGAAATTGAGGTAATAATTAATAGCTTACCAACCAAAAAAAGTCCAGGACCAGATGGATTCACAGCCAAATTCCACCAGAGGTACAAGGAGGAGCTGGTACCATTCCTTCTGAAACTATTCCAATCAATAGAAAAAGAGGGAATTCTCCCTAATTCATTTTATGAGGCCAGCATCATCCTGATACCAAAGCCTGTCAGAGGCACAACAAAAAAAGAGAATTTCCGGCCAATATCCCTGATGAACATCAATGCAAAAATCCTCAATAAAATACTGGCAAACCGAATCCAGCAGCACATCAAGAAGCTTATCCACTATGATCAACTGGGCTTCATCCCTGGGATGCAAGGCTGGTTCAACATACACAAATCAATAAACGTAATCCAGCATATAGACAGAACCAACAACAAAAACTATATGATTATCTCCATAGATGCAGAAAAGGCCTTTGACAAAATTCAACAATTTTCATGCTAAAAACTCTCAATAAATTGGTATTGATGGGATGTATCTCAAAATAATAAGAGCTATCTATGACAAACCCACAGCCAATATCATACTGAATGGGCAAAAACTGGGAGCATTTGCTTTGAAAACTGGCACAAGACAGGGATGCCCTCTCTCACCACTCCTATTCAACATAGTGTTGGAAGTTCTGGCCAGGGCAATCAGGCAGGAGAAGGAAATAAAGGGTATTCAATTAGGAAATGAGAAAGTCAAATTGTGCCTGTTTGTGCATGACATGATTGTATATCTAAAAAACCCCATCGTCTCAGCCCAAAATCTCCTTAAGCTGACAGGCAACTTCAGCAAAGTCTCAGGATACAAAATCAATGTGCAAAAATTACAAGCATTCTTATACACCAATAACAGACAAACAGAGAGCCAAATCAGGAGTGAACTCCCATTCACAATTGCTTCAAAAGAATAAAATACCTAGGAATCCAACTTACAAGGGATGTGAAGGATCTCTTCAAGGACAACTACAAACCACTGCTCCATGAAATAAAAGAGGATACAAACAAATGGAAGAACATTCCATGCTCATGGGTAGAAGAATCAATATCGTGAAAATGGCCATACTGCCCAAGGTAATTTATAGATTCAATGCCATCCCCATCAAGCTACCAATGACTTTCTTCACAGAATTGGAAAAAAACTACTTTAAAGTTCATATAGAACCAAAAAAGAGCCCTCATTGTCAAGTCAATTCTAAGCCAAAAGAACAAAGCTGGAGGCATCACGCTACCTGACTTAAAACTATACTACAAGGCTACAGTAACCAAAACAGCATGGTACTGGTACCAAAACAGAGATATAGATCAATGGAACAGAACAGAGCCCTCAGAAATAATGCCGCATATCTACAACCATCTGATCTTTGACAAACCTGACAAAAACAATCAATGGGGAAAGGATTCCCTATTTAATAAATGGTGCTGGGAAAACTGGCTAGCCATATGTAGAAAGCTGAAACTGGATCCCTTCCTTACACTTTTATATAAAAGTTAATTCAAGATGGATTAAAGACTTACATGTTAGACCTAAAACCATAAAAACCCTAGAAGAAAACCTAGGCAATACCATTCAGGACATAGGCATGGGCAAGGACTTCATGTCTAAAACACCAAAAGCAATGGCAACAAAAGCCAAAATTGACAAATGGGATCTAATTAAACGAAAGAGCTTCTGCACAGCAAAAGAAACTACCGTCAGAGTGAACAGGCAGCCTACAGAATGGGAGAAAATTTTTGCAATCTACTCATCTGACAAAGGGCTAATATCCAAAATCTACAATGAACTCAAACAAATCTACAAGAAAAAAAACAAACAGCTCCATCAAAAA
Source organism: Homo sapiens (assembly GCF_000001405.40). Classification (NCBI taxonomy): domain Eukaryota; kingdom Metazoa; phylum Chordata; class Mammalia; order Primates; family Hominidae; genus Homo; species Homo sapiens. Next base: position 170,410,446 of record NC_000004.12, on the reverse strand, counting down.
CTGGGTGAAGGATATGAACAGACACTTCTCAAAAGAAGACATTTATGCAGCCAACAGACACATGAGAAAATGCTCATCATCACTGGCCATCAGAGAAATGCAAATCAAAACCACAATGAGATACCATCTCACACCTGTTAGAATGGCAATCATTAAAAAGTCAGGAAACAACAGGCGCTGGAGAGGATGTGGAGAAATAGGGACACTTTTACACTGTTGGTGGGACTGTAAACTAGTTCAACCATTGTGGAAGTCAGTGTGGCGATTCTTCAGGGATCTTGAACTAGAAATACCATTTGACCCAGCAATCCCATTCCTGGGTATATACCCAAAGGATTATAAATCATGCTGCTATACAGACACATGCACACGTATGTTTATTGTGGCACTATTCACAATAGCAAAGACTTGGAACCAAGCCAAATGTCCAACAATGATAGACTGGATTAAGAAAATGTGGCACATATACACCATGGAATACTATGCAGCCATAAAAAAGGATGAGTTCATGTCCTTTGTAGGGACATGGATGAAGCTGGAAACCATCATTCTCAGCAAACTATCGCAAGGACAAAAAACCCAACACCGCATGTTCTGACTCATAGGTGGGAATTGAACAATGAGAACACATGGACACAGGAAGGGGAACATCACTCACCGGGGCCTGTTGTGGGGTGGTGGGGGGATAGCATTAGGAGATATACCTAATGTTAAATGACGAGTTGATGGGTGCAGCACACCAACATGGCACATGTATACATATGTAACTAACCTGCACGTTGTGCACATGTACCCTAATACTTAAAGTATAATAAAAAAAATTACAAAAAAAAAAGAAATCTCAAGTGTCAGGACTAGTGATATCTGAGCAGCAGCTGCCCCCTTCAGAAAAGGCAACAGCTCTCCAAAGAGATTCATTCTTCACCTCTGCAATCAGCCCAGCTCACTCATTCGCCTTACCTGCCTGCTTCCCAAAGGCATCTGTCTTACCTCTCTGCTTCCCATAGGCATCTGCCTTACCTGCCTGCTTCCCATAGGCATCTGCCTTACCTGCCTGCTTCCCATAGGCATCTGCCTTACCTGCCTGCTTCCCATAGGCATCTGCACTTGCTAATCATGCTCTCAGGCCTTGCTTGTGAGGGGTAAAGATTTCTAATTCACCTACAGTTTTGCTAAGAAAAAGCACCCTCCTTCTCAACTCTGCAAGTTCATTGAATAAAGTTTTTCTCAATCTTCCATGTAACCCTGTGAAGAAGATGCAAACAGGCATATTCACAGAAATAGAAGACAGTGCCTATTCTTTCAGAAGCTAAAAAAAACCATTTATTAAAAAAGAAAACACGTGCCATACCTAAACAAGTACTAGATACTTATGCTTTCAACTACTGCAAAATTTACAGAGTAAACCAAACAATGTAGCACTTAATTCCACATTTCCTTGCTACCCCAGCTATCTAAAAGCCCGTTGAAGAATATAATAAATTAGTTTGAAATCTCCACAGCCCCACTACATAATATATTTGTAGGAAATTTATTGATATAAAATAGTTAAGAGATCGAACAGTGATATTTGTTAATTTTTCAAAAGAATAAAGCAAGGTTTGAGATGTGAGATGGGAGGTCAACTTGTATGAAAAGTAGATGGTGCAATGTATTTTATGGACAGTAAAAATGTTCACCTACTGGGAATGGAATTGTTAGTTCCCTTCAATATTTTGAGGACTATGTGTGAAATGGTAGCAAATGACAGATTATGATAGGCTTTGAATGTTAGACGTCAGGGTTTAGATTTTATCTTGTATGCAGTAGGGAATGACTAGAGGTTTCAGAAGCATAAAGGTAACATGAAGGCAGATATTTCAAGAAATAGAACTGGTAACAGTATGTAACATCAGCCTAATTGGGGAAAGAATGTAAGTGGGGAGATTAATTGATTGGCTGTCACAGTAGAAAGAGTGCCTGTATTAAAACCAGACCTGCAGGAGGAATAGTATTTGTTGTTATTTTAATTATCTGAGAAGTAGTCGAATGTAGATATTGTCAGGATCAGTGACATTGAGTATGGGTAATGAAGGAAGACAAGCCTCAAAGATAATTAAAAGATCTAAGTTTTCAGAGGTTTCAAACTAGTGTCATTGTAGACAAAATGTATGAGAAAAAAGTTACTTTGAAGAGAGCACAATGATGCATTCAATTTTGAAGATGAAGTCCTATTTAAAAGATGTCAAGAGAAACTACTAAAAATAAGGTAGCTGCAGGGAATAACAGCATCATGACTTTACTATTTCAAATATCAGTAAGTGAAGTTCCTAAAAATCCTAGGAATAATAGATGAAAAAATATAAAAAGTTAATTATGGGCACTTAAAACTATGGATACTTAAATTTCAGTGACAACTAAAATTGAATTGGAAATCTAAGATCTACCACATTTTTCAAAAATATCATAGGCTGAATAGGATTTTTCAGAGGACTTATGGGATGATTTTAGCTACTTTTAAAGACTGAAACAGTCAATAACCAGTCTAATAACTACAGTAAGTCTTCACTTATCGTGGATAGCTCCTTGGAAACTGTGACTTTAAGTGAAACAACATATAACATAACTAATTTTACCACAGGCTAATTGTTATAAACAAAAATTATGTTCCCAGCATAATTCTGGTCACAAAACATCACCAAACTTCTGCTAACAAAATGACCATGAAATCTACAGAGGAATAAGAAAGGGAAGAACTTTCTTTTCAGAGTAACAATCTGCAGATTGGGAACTGTAGCCTCCTGGGAAGGTGGCATATACTCCGTAGAAGGGAAGGAGGTAGCAGCAGTTAAGCCTTCCAGGGTCTCTCTTACATGTACATTCCTCAGGCTTGGGCAATGTTATATGAATATTCATGGACAAAGTCTAGTGCTTGCACAATGAGTTAACATATATGTAGAGCATCCCATTCACTTTGGGACAGGGTTTTGACATTAAAATGACGTGGAATTTGGTTCTTTATATCAAAAAGTGAACTGTTGAGCACCAAGTCATTTAGACATTTTGTGCGCAGTCTCTGTAAGCCAGCTGGAGCTGTTGACACTTCTAAATAAAGACAAAACACTTCTAATATTGAATATTAACTAAGTGTAGGCTATATATACACTTAAGAATGATTAATCCAAACAACTAAGATAATTATTTATCTTCTTATTCCAGTTCAGGGTTCTGGGTGGCCAGATCCTATCCTGGCTTCTCAGGGCACAGTGTAGACACCAACTCTGGACAGGACACCATTCCATTGCAGGGCTCAGTCAGACACACCCACATCACTCAGGCACATCAGACACTCCAGTTCATTTAACGTGCACAGCTTTGGGATGTGGGAGGAAACGGAAATACCCAAAGAAAATCCACACTGACATGGAGCGACTGTGTAGACTCCACAAGACAGTGGCCCCAGGTAAAATTCAATATTTTTTCTTATCGATGTCATAAGAAATGATGTTGTTTGAGGACCTGCTGTATGGCCTCCACTGTTATTTTCATGGCCATGAAGATTGGTCATACAAAATAAGATAGATCAAATCTATCAGTTGAGATACTGTAAATAATAAATTAGCTCCCAGACACAATATCTGGTAAGAATTTTGGAATTTGAGGACGTTCACCTTTTACCTATAGTTGAATTTAAAATTATATTGAAAAGGGTAAACGAGAATCCAAGTGATCTACTATACAAGTTTAATTTTAAGATTTGAAAGACTAGTTTGAAATGCATAGATTGGGTCCTCAGGAACAAACATAGATTATTTATTAATTATTTCATTGAACAAGTCTTCATTAACAAAGTTAATTACCAGAGACGGGTCTTTTGAGATTACAATGATAATAAACCAGGATGAGATATATATGCTATTAAAAGCAGTGCCTATACCATCTAAAATAAAAGAACTAATATATGTGTTTTCACATGAATTCTTGTGAGAGTTAAGGAATTATGAATGACCAATATTGCTTCTTTTATATATATATATGTGTATATATATATATGTGTATATATATATGTGTGTGTATATATATATGTGTGTATATATATATGTGTATATATATATATATATATGTGTGTATATATATATATAGTGAAAAGACTTTCTAGTTGTTGGATGCTAAAGGATTTTGTGGAGCCATGGACAGCTGGGAACAGTTAGCTTCTCTGCCCCTACCTCTCATCTCCAAAGCCAGCTGAAAATGAAATGCCTTCTCAGGAGGCAAATTAGTGAATAAAACATTTGAAATATACATCATAAACTACAGCTCAGTGGGATCTGAAGTGGCTATCACATTAAAAACCCAAAATGGACTAATATAAAATTCTAATAAATAATGCTGAAGCTTACAAAGTTGATACATAAACCTGTTAAAACCAAGGGAAAACAGATTTGCAATTGAGATTTCTTAGTATTTTGTAAGAGTACAATTTGGGGGCATCTTGTCCTCTGGTAAACAATAATTGCTGTGACTTCCATATTCTTTTGAATACAATGATGTCAGATTAATTAGGTTTTTGTCTATTGACATGTTATGCAATTTAAGATAGCACCTGTACTGTAGCCCTCATGGATAAATCTGTGTAAGTCCAAGAAACTCCTGCTTCAATTCTATGATTTAGTGGTAAATTTATGACAAAATAGCCAATTCATCTTCTTCCTGAGTGCCATTGCACTTATTTATGATGTGTGTCTTCTGTTTCATCAAAAGAAGAATATCTTAGGTAATGCACCATCTTCTCATTTGTGTAACTCATTTGCTTTTTGAACACTTTGTTTCAGGGCATTCAATATAAGTTTCAGAAACAGAAGCCACAGGGAATGTGTTTGCAATGGATGTGTGACCTCTGCAACAAGAATACAAATTGTATACTCAATGTCTGGGGGCATTTGTTGTTGTCCCACCTTGTTGGGGGTAAGGAGAAAGGGCTTAGTTGGTAGAAGCCAGGGATGCTGATAAATATCCAAACTAAATGATATGTTGTTCTCAGAACAATGCACAGAATAGCTCCTGACAGCACAGCATTATCCAACCCAAACTGTCAATAATGTTGAGGTTCAGGAACCCTGGTGTAAGATATTGCAGCTTCATCCAATAAAAATTCTCTTTGTGGAAGTCTTAAAGCAGAGTTTCCTATTTTGGTACTTGCTTTACTGCTTACTAAAGAGAAATCCTTATAACAATATAGCTTATGGAAAGCCAATAGGTTTCTGTCTCAGTCCACTTCTGCTGCTGTAACAAAATACCACAGACTGAGGAATTTATAACAGCAGAAATGTATTTCTGTACAGTATTTCTCATTGTATTTCTCACAGTTCTGGAGGTTAGGAAGTCTGAGATCAAGCCACTGGCAGATTCCATATCTAGTAAGGGCCCTGTCTGCTTCCACGTTGGTGACTTGTTGCTCGGAACAAATGCTGTGTCTTCCCATGGTGGAAGAGTGGACAGGCGAAAGAGATGGGAGGGGCAAACGTGTCCCCTCTAGCCCTTTCACAAGGTCCTAACCCCATCCATGAGCGCTCATGGCCTAATCACTTTCTAAAGGCTTCATCTCTTGATACTGTTTGGGAATCAAGCTTCAACATGAATTTTGAGGGGACGCATATTCAAACCATAGCCGTTTCATTGCTGCCTTACCAGCAAACTAAATGATATCTTGTTCTCAGGATCTGTCATGTTTCCTGGTTATGATGAGCACTGTAAACTTTTCCATGTGGTTTTACAAGAAGGTCTATCTTTCTCAAGGAAAATTTCCTTGAGATAACAGTTTTGGTTTGTCTTTTTATTAAAAGAAATGGCCTATTTTATTTTGAATGACAATCATAACAGAGAGGTAGATGCAAACGATTGTAATTTCTTGTCCTACCTTTCTAATTCTCACTTGTTATTATATATAATGGCTTAGGGTCAGTCTTTAGAGTATGAAGAAACTGGGATAGAAATCACTCAGACACTTCTAGCTGTGTCACATTGCCAAGTCACTTCTTTTTTTTATCACTTAGATTTTTTATTTTATCTTTCTTGGTAAAACTCTTGATTTATTTCAACATAGATATAGATATTTACTACTATATCAGTATTGTGTACATATATTAAAGGGAAAATATGTATAATAAATTGGCTGTCTTCCTAAAACTACTTCACTTTTTTTCTAATTTTGCAGACTTTTATTTTATACGTTTATCTATCCCTTGCCCCTCTCTCACCCTTCCCCCCAAGTCCCCAAAGTCCATTGTATCATTCTTTTGGCTTGGCATCCTCATTGTTTAGCTTCCACATATCAGTAAGAACATAGGATGTTTGGTTTTCCATTCCTGAGTTACTTGACTTAGAATAATAGTCTCCAATCACATCCAGGTCCCTACAAATGCTGTTATTCATTCCTTTTTATGGCTGCATAGTATTCTATCATATATGTATGTGTGTGTGTGTGTGTATATATATATATATATATATATATATATATATATATATATATATCACAGTTTCTTTATCCACTCATTGATTGGGCATTTGGGTTGGTTCCATGACTTTGCAATTGTGAATTGTGCTGCTATAAACATGCATGTGCAAGTATCTTTTTTGAATAATGACTTCTTTTCTTCTGGGTAGATAACCAGTTGTAGGATTGCTGGATCAAATGGTAGTTCTACTTTTAGTTTTTTGAGGAATCTCCACATTGTTTTCCATAGTGGTTGTACCAGTTTACATTCCCACCAGCAATGTAGAAGTGTTCCATGTTCACCACAGCCATGCCAACATCTACTGTTTTTTGGCTTTTTTATTATGGCCTTTCTTCCAGGGGTAAGGTGGTATCACATTGTGGTTTTGATTTGCATTTCTCTGATCATTAGTGATGTTGGCATTTTTTCATACGTTTGTTGGCCATTTGTTATCTTCTTTCGAGAATCCAGCATCCCTTTATGATTAAAACTCTCAGCAAAATCAGCATACAAGGGACATACCTTAATGTATTAAAAGCTATCTATGACAGACCCACAGCCAACATAATACTAAATGGGGAAAAGTTGAAATCATTCCCTCTGCCAACTGGAACAAGGCAAGGATGCCCACTCTCACCACTCCTCTTCAACATAGTATTGGAAGTCCCTCGCCAGAGCAATCAGACAAGAGAAAGAGATAAAGTGCATCCAAATCAGTAAAGAGGAAGTCAAACTTTCACTGTTTGCTGACGATGTGATCGTTTACCTTGAAAACCCTAAAGACTCCTCCAGAAAGCTCCAGAACTGATAAAAGAATTCAGCAAAGTTTCTGATACAAGATTAATGTATACAAATCTGTAGCTTTTCTATACACCAACAATGACTAAGCAGAGAATCAAATCAAGAACTCAACCCCTTTTACAATAGCTGCAAAAAAAAAAAAAAACTTAGGAATACACCTAACCAAGGAAGTGAAAGACCTCTACAAGGAAAACTACAAAACACTGCTAAAAGAAATCATAGATGACACAACAAATGGAAACACATCCCGTGCTCACGGATGGATAGAATCAATATTGGGAAAATAACCATACTGCCAAAAGCTATCTACAAATTCAATGCAATCCCCATCAAAATACCACCATCATTCTTCATAGAATTAGAAAAAAACAATTCTAAAATTCATATAGAACCAAAAAAAGAGCCCGCATAGCCAAAGCAAGACTAAGCAAAAAGAGCAAATCTGGAGCCATCACACTACCTGATTTCAAACTATACTATAAGACCGTTCTCCCCAAAACAGCATGGTACTGGTATAAAAATAGGCACATAGACCAGTGGAACAGAATAGAGAACCCAGAAATAAAACCAAATGCCTACAGCCAACTGATCTTCAACAAAGCAAACAAAAACATAAAGTGGGGAAAGGGCACCCTTTTCAACAAATGATGCTGGGATAATTGGCTAGCCACATGTAGGAGAATAAAACTGGATCCTCATCTCTTACCCTATACAAAAATCAACTCAAGATGGATTAAGAACTTAAACCTAAGACCTGAAACTATAAAAATTCTAGAAGATAACATTGGAAAAACCCTTCTAGACATTGGCTTAGGCAAGGATTCCACGACCAAGAACCCAAAAGCAAATGCAATAAAAACAAAGGTAAATAGCTGGGACCTAATTAAACTAAAGAGCTTTTGCATAGCAAAAGGAACAGTCAGCAGAGTAAACAGACAACCCACTGAGTGGGAGAAAATCTTTATAATCTATATATCTGACAAAGGACTAATATCCAGACTCTACAATGAACTTAAACAAGTCAGTAAGAAAAAAACAAGCCTGGGTGCGGTGGCTCACACCTGTAATCCCAGCACTTTGGGAGGCCAAGGTGGGTGAATCACCTGAGGTCAGGAGTTCAAGACCAGCCTGATCAACATGGAGAAACCCCGTCTCTACTAAAAATACAAAATTAGCTGGGCGTGGTGGCACATGCCTGTAATCCCAGCTACTCAGGAGGGAGGCAGGAGAATTGCTTGAACCCAGGAGGCAGTGGTTGCAGTGAGCCAAGATCACGCCATTGCACTCCAGCCTGGGAAACAAGAGCAAAACTCCATATCAAAAAAAAAAAAAAAAAAAGAAAAGAAAAGAAAAAAAAAAAAAACAATCCCATCAAAAAATGGGCTAAGGACATGAATAGACAATTGCCAAGTCACTTCTAAAACCATTTTCTCATTTGTAAAATGGACATAATAATAATAGTACCAACCTCATGGGCAACTATGAGTGTGCAGTTGATAATGTATATAAAGATCTTAATATAATGCCAGTGACAAAAAGGCTATAAATAAATGTTAACCAAAACGGTTATGATTACTATTATTTTATTATTATTGTTGCTCTGTTGTGACAAGAATCAGTTTAGTATAAATATACATCTAAAAACTTGCTATTCATAAATGTGCCCACGTTGGACACATGGATCCTTCCAGTCTAATATTATTTCTTTTATCTCAACTTTTAGCTCAATGCCTGGCACACAGCCAGGTCTCTACGAATTCAAATAATTGTTTAAATGACTGAATGAATAAACACCCTGTAAGATACAATCAGAGAAACTTTTTTTTTTTTCTTTGAGATGGAGTCTGGCTCAGTCTAGGCTCACTGCAACTTCTGCCTCCCAGATTCATGCGATTCTCCTGCCTCAGCATCCTGAGTAGCTGGGATTACAGGTGCACATCCAGCGTTTCACCATGCTGGCCAGGCTGGTCTCAAACTCCTGACCTCAGGTGATCCGCCTGCCTCAGCCTCCCAAAGTGCTGGGATTAAAGGCGTGAACCACCATGCCTGGCTAATCAGAGAAACTTAAAAAAGATTCATCATGTACTATAAGAAACATCTTAAGATTTCTGCTCATTAGCATAACAAGATATTTTAATCAACTCTCATTTCTAGACAGTGTCTGGGAAATAAATCTATAAAATTGAATATTTCACTAATAGTGTTCCCTGAGACCTGCTATCTATCACATACATATTGTGTATATCCATAATATAATATAATATGATAATGTTTGATGTTTAAAAGTCACCTAAGGCCTTTATTCTAAATGCATAGAAAAGTCTTTTGATTGTTTAATGCAGGGGAATAACATGGCAAGAATTAGCTTGACAGAGATCCCTTTCGCTGCACTTTGGAAGATGTGCTGCAAGCCACAAGAATAAGAGCAGTAAAACAAATCAAGATGCCATTTTTGGCAGTCCAAGGAAAACATGATGGTGGTTAGGACAAGAGTATTCCATTAAGATAGACAGGATATAGCTTGAAAGTTGATGGATGCAAAATAAGTAGCAGTAGAGGTGGGAAGTGGAGTGGGAGGACAGGAGGTAAAGGGAGTGAAGGAAAGTGAGTAACCAAGAAAGCTGTTTGGGTTTTGAGCCAAGCCACCGTGTGGCTGGTAGTATAATTACTGAAGAGTAATGGGGTGTGGAAGGAGACTCAAAGTTCCCCCATTACACTGGTTTACTGCTAATAATCCCCTCAGCCTCCAAATTCTAAATCTAATTTTTTTCCTTCCAAGGAGGCAAAGGTACTGTTTCTTTCTTTCACTTGGTAAAAGCATTCTCTCTCTCTGTCTCTCTCTCTCTCTCTTTCTGTCTGTCTCCTCTCCTTTGCTCACTCTCATTCTCTCTGTATTTTTTTTTATTTTATTCTCCCTTGTCTCCTCTGCTCCTAGTTAGTGAACTAACAGTTTGGAAGAATATAAAAGAGAGATGTAGATTTCCCATAAATACCTCTCTCTCGGGAAAAGGTCATTGAGCCCAAGAAGAAGAAGGAACAAACTACCTTGTAAAACTCATCATTAAACTCAGTTTACTTAGTCCCACTGCACTATTTATGACAAGTCACTAAAATGTCAGCCTATTCCTCAGTGAAATGAGTCATTCTGTTTTACAGTTAAGCTTTTCCTTAAAATGTTTTTGGTGGGTAAGGTTTATAGGATACATAACAACTTTATTTTCTCGGTACCCAAAACATTTATAAAAACCCTGGAATATGCAAATAGCAGGTAAACAATAACACTTTTTAAGCAGTCTTTCATAAATTGATTTTAAAACATTTCTCCATAAAGGCACCAGGCAGGAAGCACTGTGTTCATTTCTTCCACAGTTACTCTAGGGTGCCCATTATTGGATGATGGGAGTGCTGAGTTAATGAGCCTTAGAATCACCTCTTGAACCAGCCTAGCTAACTTAACCAGATGCTTTCACAGCATCGGCTTTAAAAAATACCTTCACAGCAAACATCAATAATAATTTCAAGAAAAAATAATAGAAATGTCTTATAATAAATTGTTGGAAACACATCTGGTAGGCAAGTGATCTCAGCTAATTCATGCTAAAAATAAAATAAAGAAAATGAAAGAAAATTAAAACCCTCAGTGCTGCATCTCCAGGATAATGAAACATTAAGTAAGTGAAGGGTATTCCTGCCCCAGAGCTCTTTGTTTGACCAGTGTAGCAGAAGTTTTAGGCACTGGATACTTAGATAAGTCATGATATATGAAATGTGAAACAAGTGAAATCCCCAGCCTAGAAAACCACTCTAGGAGAAGGCAGGCAACAGCACATGGTGGATAATAAAAAGGCCAAAATCACTTTCATGTTTTTCAGCTGAAAAGAGCGGCAGTGTAAGTCCAGCCTCATTTTAGCATGCACTGTTGGGACTTGATCAGTTACCCTGATATAACCATGGATTGAATCCTGTTCTTAGATTAGCTCTCTGGCGAAGGAAGAAATACCAATTTTCGTCTTACCTGAAAAATGGGCTTTTCGTGTCACTGGGGATCTCATTATAAGGCAAACATTTTGCCGTTAAAGTTGCTGAATTAATTATAGGCACAAATCCTAAAGAGGAAAAAGATAAGTTAGGGACTTGGAGAACATGATGATGACACTGAGCTTTTCATACCCAAACCTATAAATCATCCAAATTATTAAAACTATGGAGGCTTTGTGAGTGTGACAACATAAAATAGTGCCAGAGTAAACTGCACATAAGCCTTGGAACTGTGGAATCAAGTTTCAGGGCATAGAGGAAGTACATCTATCATGAATCTCAGTTTCCCTGAGAATGAAAGATTTATATGATTCTTTTACTCTGAAACCTAAATAAAACTCTGCTTAAGAGTAAAATCAGTATAATAAATAAGTGTGACAGCAGAGTAATTGTTTCCTGGCTTATTGTCTACTTACTCATATTAATTTTATAATATTTTGTAGATTATTTCTTTACTCCATCTCAAAACTTTTAAGTCACAATGTTGCACTACTAGATCTTATTAAAATTCAAGATGAAATGCAAGGAGTCTCCTCAATCAATTTTTTATCCTTCTTCCTTGAAAATCCCTTACTTCACTATAGCACTTATTAAAATTTTCTGATATCTTACTCCAGTTCAGAAATTCCTCTGATCTCCTCACTCTTCTTTCACCTTTTGTTTTCTTTATCAGCATCCCCAGACTTTACCCAGACATGCAAACTTTGGAGACAGTCCAAAGGTGAGCAATAAATGTGATTAAGTGCTTGGGAAATAGGATGTATAAAGAAAGATGAAAGGCAATATTTTAGGTAAAAGAGAAAGCTGCTCTCAGAATATATTCAATAGTTTTCCAGAGCAAGGTCTTGAATTTCAATGACACTTACTTAGGTCTGATTCAAAAAATAAAAATGTAAGTAAAAATGCTAAAAGCCAATCCTCCAAAATTCACTTGCCTGGCATTTTTCCATTTTCCTCACAGCCTTTATCACATCTCTTGTATCTTACCTTCGTCGGGCTGCCTGTCATATCTACAGAATGCTGATGCTTTCGTTTTCTATATTATAGTCAAGGAGACATTTATATAGTAAAGAATTTATATTCTAGAACAGTGGTTCAATCAGAGGTGAATTTTGCCCCTCAGGGCGCATTTATCAACGTCTGGAGGCAGTTTCCCTTGTCACAACTGTAAATGAGGACACTGCCGGCATTTAGTTAGTAGAGGCCACAATGCTACTTAACTTTCTAGAATATGCAGAATAGTCTCCAATAACAAAAAATTATCCACTCCAAAATGTCAATAGTGCTGTGCCCTAGAAGCATTGGCAGGAAATATAAGGACTGGCTATGCTCTGTGTCACCAAAGCAGGCTACAACTCTTGAGCTAGGAGCCTTTCCATGCCTCCTGAAGAAGGTGAGAACACTTGGGTGGGGTTTCCTCAGTCACAGTTTCACCCAGGCTTTCCATGCAGCCTGCTCTCAAACCCTTCTCTATGGAACAGCTCCTCTCCATACAGGATGAGAACCCACTGCATGAGTGACCACATCCCTGGTTGGTAGTCTGCAATACTGTGTGTGTTGGATGGGGGCGGGGTCTTTTGCCAACACACAAATATTGGATATTTGAATCTGTAAATTGACTGTTTTATACTTAAATATAATGTCTATCTCAAGCTGCCATTACAGGCAGTTGCAAAAAAGCTTTATCTTAACTGAGGGAAAATTCAGTCAATTCTACATAAATATATACATAGTTCATCCCCTTACCTCTTCTCTGTGAGGGCTCTTTGCCTTTTCTCTTATATATTAGCTTCCCAGCTTCAGGAGAGGCATTTACCCTTGTTCAGCCTCTACCCTAACTGGCATCCCCTGGTGCGTGCTCCCACTCAGAGAATCTGATCCTATTGTCCATTCCTCACGGACCACTGTCCCTATCCATTCCAGTGTCCAGATCCCCTCTAGTCTACTTGTTCTCTGTCTCTCACACATTCTGTTGCTCTCTTACCCTCTCACTCTCTTTCTCAACTTACTTCCATGACTTTCTCAAGGGTATGGAGAGGCTCAGCTGCTCAGCTGCAGGAATCCTAGTAAAGATGTCTCCAGACCATTCTCTTCTTGATATCCCCTTTGGCCATCTTGAGTTGGCTGCTAACATACAACAGAAGCAGAGCCCCACCCAGGATACCAGACTGCAAGCAGAGACAGTCCTCACCTGCTCACAGACTTTCTAACACATCTGGAGCCTCTATAGTGTCCAGATTCAGATCCCCAGGTGCCCGGCTCCCTTTACAGATTCTCATTGGCAGTGATCATTTTGGTATGTTTTCCAACTTTCTTCTTTACCCCTCAATGGTATTTTTTCCAAGCATAGTGTTTAAGCCAGGACCTTGACCTTTGAAAGCAAGAAGGTCTTTGCTTCTCTCTGCATCACTGCCATGCTCTCTGTAGCTCCTACAGCAGTAGAAGCCGATTTCAGGTCTTCGGGTGTGGGTGTATGTGTGTGTCTGTGTGTGTAAGAGGGAAGGCAATAAGGTAAACAAAAGGACGTTAAGGAGCTAAATCACCTCACGTCTATTTGTTCTTCTTAATACTTTATAATGTCATCTTGCCACTGATAGCTAAAAACAGTTACGAAACATAATTGTTATTCTTGCTATTTCCTTTTCCTTTGTAAGTTGAAAAGAGTTTCTCAAAATTTCACACATTTTATATGGCCTATTTTATCACAGATTTAGATAAAAACTTAAAGTATAACTTCCTTCATGTCCTTAAAACCATTTATTTTTTCACCCTTTAAAAGAAAAGGCATTCTCAATTGAAACAATATAAATATTGGCTAGGTATTTTAGCCTTTGGTAGAACTCAACCCACCCACATGTATTTTATGCCTTGGGAAGATGGGATCTTAGATAATATGCACTCAAATTGGGCTTATCACATGCCAGGCCCTATTCCAAGTGTTTTATGTCTATTAGCTCATATAATCATCTGAGCCATTGTTATCTCCATTTGACAGATGAGAAAATTGAGACAACAGAAGTTAAGTCACTTGCCTGAGGTCACACAACTAGCAAGCAGGGGAGCAGGGATTTGAACCTACACCATCTTGTACCAGAAGCCAATGTCTCAAACCACGCATTACACTGTCAGCCTTTATTATGTGAGTTGAGGTTAAAAATGAATCATAAAAAGGCCATAGAACACAGCACCATGTTTACTGAAGGACATACATACGTGAAGTTTAAATGGGAATAGATTGTGATAAAAAAAATTTATGTCACTTCTGAAAATGAGAGTAATAAACCTTAGAGATCAAAGATCAGGATATGGGTCTTACAGTTTAGAGTCTCAGAGCAGAAAATTCAATCTTTCTTGGATTAAGCAAGAAGTATGATCAAGGCTTATAGACAGTTCACCAAATTCACTATTGTAAGAGAATACATATTGATTTAAAATACATATCAATATTACTATGGAACTAGTAATAAGATGGACATTTGCTTGACCATCTGCTGTACTAAGTTAATATCTCATGAGTCTAGGCAGGTAGTCAGCTGCTAGTCAAGATTCAGGGATTTGGTATGTCCCAATCTCTTTCTTTCAGGAGACACAACTAAGAGTTATTGATTTTTATGAACAACAGCAAAAAAAAAAAGCAGATAGAATGATTTTAAAAGAACCCTAAAAATCAGTTGGCTACTTCCATTGCTAATTCTTGGTATTTTTCTTTGACTCACTGTGAGTGATATCCTGAGATGCACAGTTTCTCCAGATTGATGATGACCCAATGCACGTAAATGTCACTGGAACAAAGGTGTGGAGTGTAAACTCAACACTTGACTAAAAGCTCTCTAATGACAGGGTGTTTTGTTTCCTGACACCTCCTGCAAACATTTCCCAAGCATTCACTCAACTTTTGCTGACTGCAGAAATCGTGAAGACCCCGGATAGGTGTGATGTGGAGACAAAGCAGCCCCGAGTCAGAGCCCACCCATGCCCAGAGGGGGCCTCTGATTTCTTTCTCCTTCCACGATAGGACATAAGGAGCTGTCTTAAGTGTTTTTGAACTAGGCCTGCTGAGCAGCTTTATCTCTCTTTATATAAAACTTTTCAGCAGAAAATTTAATCTAAAATTTAACTTTATCTACTGAACAAAATGAACCCCATAGATTTTATGTTATTATGTTGGGAACAAAACCTAGTTTTCTAGAACAATAAACATGGTAGACTTCTTTTCCACCTGCTTTAAACTGAAAAGAAAAGAAAAATTTCCCCTGTGAGATACCCATTGCCTTCCTTGGGCAAAGAGGCTAAATTTAATACAAATTATTTAACTATCCATATTCTAGTTATTTCCCTTATCTCCTTCCTAGGCCCTGTAAGCTTAGGATATAGCAGTTTTGCCTTCACTAGTTCAAACAGGTGACTTACATTTATATTCTTTATCTTTCTGTAAGAATCCCCACTGGTTGCTAAATATGTGGGCTCCCCTCTGATGCCTTTCCTATGGGACAAGCACTTATATCAGCAAGAAGGCAAACAACAGTAGCGGCTTCTTGGGCACTGCAGCAGCAGACAGCAGGTGGAAGAATATGGCTTGATTTGAATTGAACAGCACAGCAAAACTTTTGTGCCAAAAGCAGAGCCTGCAGTGGCTGAAATAGATTTTTTATCGAAATAGATATAAAACCTTAAATAAAAAGTGCTCCAAAGATTTTTTTATATGAAAATGACATCATGTATGGCTGTAAAACCTGGGAATATAAAGACTTGAATTGATGTGCTTGATTAAAATAATAAGAAACTTATTTCCTCCAAGGGATTCCTCTACTGTCACTATTGGTTTTGTACACCCTGCAGAGACCCAAATCGTAGTTAGGAGAAAAGGATACTGGCATTTCATTTAGAATACAGAAAGCAGAGCTTACAATGAACCCTACCAGGAGACAGAACACTCAGGCACACTTCACCTCACAGTTTCTTAAAAGGTTCAGCTCTGTTTGACTAGATAATTCCCAAAAGTCAGTTTGGCCACTTTAATGTTGTAGTCATAATTTCCATACTAACCCTACCCCCAGAAACCATCTTCTGAAAGGAAGGCATTAGAAGAAGGCTGGAACCACTAGACTTCAACCTGAGGACAACCTGATCTCAACAGGGAAGCCCACACTTCTTCCTTTGCATCAGGAAACCCATGGAGATTTCCATGGCTCGGTCACAGGAGCTCTACTAGGCGGTTAAGATGGATACTGTTAAGCAGTCTTGTGGCAATGCATCATTAGAATCATGTCCTTTTTCAACTGGGGACCTATTAACCCAGCTCCTAACTTCTTAATAATTTACTTGTCACTTTGGGAAATCTATTAAGTCACACTTTTGTTCTCTGTAAAATAAGAAAAGACAATGTATGTCCTTAACAGCCCAGGAATGGGAATAAAAAAGAAAATAAATGGGAAAAAGAATGCGGAAGAGTTGAGTCCCTATGAAATACAAAATGAGAGAATAAGGGACAATTCAGACATACTCCACTAGGAAAATGTCAACACTCAACAATGATCTAGCTAAATGTAAGCCCCCTGTACCTGTTCATGTGGAAAAAATCTCTAGTACTGAGAAGATTAGGCTAAATTCTGCTGACCACAATTCAATCTTTTGACATAACCTCTGTCTATTGACAACACAGTCGTATTTAAATATCAATATCTGTGATATAAGTTTCACACCATTTTGGAACCTTTTTAAATTCCTTAAATCCTTTGATAAGTTCTATCAAATCTTTCTTGATATTTTTTTCAGCCACTAAGACCTCACTACATCATTCTGTCTTCAGAGGCATGATGTTCAGTTTGAGAACATTTCTCCCTGGAATAAGTGTCATTTTTATAAGCTTTCAAAAGAAAATATCTGCTTAACAAAGATAGCGTCTATAAAAATATAAATATAGTTCCATCCCTTGTTCTACCCAAGCTATCTGCAAAACCACTCAAAAATATGGTGAAGCCATCAAAATTTTACTGAAGTGCAGCAAAATGCACACTCGAGTTAGTGATAGCCAGATGCCCATTTCTACCTAAGAATCCTGATTTGTCTTCAAAATTCAATGAAAGATTCACTTTTTTCCCACCATAAAAAAAAGTATACTTAAATTAGGTTTTGAAAAATGTGCAATATTTTAGGCAGCTGGCTACTTTCAAACTTATACTGTCACTTAGTCTAGCAAAGGTTTTATTGCGTGTTTGATTTTAAAATATCAGGATATTTTAAAAACTGATTTAATAATACACGATGAAATAATGTGTCCTGATAAATCCCTTGAAGAGCAATGAAAGAATGCATGACAGCTACCATTACGGACAGTATTTGAAAGACAGGAGAGATAGAAAGACTAATGTGTCCTTTCTTGCCACAAATTCCAAAATTCTTCTCAGCCCAGCAGTTCCCTGCCTTTCTTTAGAGCTCTGTGAAGACACTCAGCTCCTATTGCGTTTTATCTCACCAGCATCACAAGACAAGGATACCTCCTTTTCTTCAAAGCACACTCCAGTGTTTTTGGGCAATACTTGGATCCTTATAATTGTATTAATTTGTTATTTTCTTATAAATTTTAAAAATTTTATGTCTTTTTTGTTTCTCTGAAATTTTAACTTTTACTTCCAGCTACAAACACCTGTATAGTCATCTGCATCTACAGAATACCTCAACATTCTCTGAGACGTGAGTTTCAATTTCCATTCAAAAAATCGAAGGCAAACACAAATACCGGTTGAGCATTGCTGATCCAAAAATCCAACATTTGAAATGCTCCAGAATCTGAAACTTTTTGAGCAGTGACATGATGCCACAAGTGGAAAATTCCACAGTGGACCTCATGTGACAGGTTGAGTCTAAAAGTAGTCAAAACTTTATTTCATGAACAAAATTATTTAAAATATTATATTACCTTAAAGCCTTGTACATAAGATATATATATGAAACATAAATGTATTTTGTCTTTAGACTTTAGACATATTAGTCCTATCCCCAATATATCTCATTATGTATATGCAAATACTCCAATATCCCAAAAAAATTTGCAGTCAGAAACACTGTGGTCCCAAGCACTTCCAATATGGGATACTCAAACTATACAAAGAAAGACATTCTGATTGTATTGTATTTCTTCCCTGTCTGCCACTTTAGGTAGGAAGAATTGGATTGTGTAAAGTTTGTGGTTGGTTTAATATCATATAATAAGAATATAGACCACAGTAATGGAATACAGTGTGACAACAGCAATAATCAGTGGATGCATGTTATTGATCCTACTATTAGCAAAGATAACATTCTTATGTTAGTCAAAGTTCTAACTATGACCCTGGAAGGAAATGATGGTGTGCACTGAACAGTAATGAAAATTGTGACCCCAAGCTTAGCCAATACAAGTCAGCTTAGAATAGAGGTAGGAAGGTCTGTTCATTGCAACAACGTTTGTCCCAAGTAGATAAAGTGGATTGGGTTCATCAGTCTTGGGCAGAAGACAGAGTCAGACAGGATGTGGTCAAGATGACATGCATCTCACAGAGGGCTTAAGAACAAGTGATACATCTGTCAGGATTGAGGCAGATGAGCTCATGAGTAGGAGTCAGGATAAGGCCAACAGACAAAGTGGAAGGAAAGTTAATCAGCTGGAAAAAGTTAGATTCTAAAGAGCATTTAAGGAAGGCTCTGGAACCTAAGCCTAAGACAAACGGCATAGATTTCTCCCACTGCAGGAAGCTGCATCAATGAGAATTAAAGCAACTAATTTCTTTTATCTTGGTTTGCTCAGAAATTTCTGGTCTGGTCAGACTCAGTCTTAAGACATATATTATGTAATGATTCATACATAGGCTTATGAGGGCATATTTTAGTTGCTAGCTATGTGTGTATCCTCATTTACTCAGCAGTCTTTTGTTATCCAGTTAAAAGCATTGCAGCTTTCAAAAATACGTGGATGGGAGGTTGGTCCAATGGTATAAACACTGGGGTCACTGAAAACTAACTCATAATTCGTACTCTTTCTCATTTCTTCTGCTGTCATATCTGCTACTCATTTTTTTATTCTCTAGGAATATTTTGTCTTTCCAATTATGATTAAGAAATTGTGTATTAATCACTGACTCTGACTCTCTGTTCCAGTAATCCATCCTTGAAACACACCAGCTATTATCCTCCCCTGTCCTTCCACTCACTTGTTTCCCCCAACACATGATGTGGCTCCCAGGCTCCCAGGTCTCTGGATGTTGCCATTGCTGCCAGCCCAGGAAGGCTCAGTTAGGAGTGGGGCTTAGACAGATATAGATGTTAACACCAAACCACGGAAAACAATGGCTGGGAGTAAAGGAAAAGGCTTCAGAAACTGCCCAACACCGATGTTAAAGTAGCCTCGTGTGGTCAAGTGCCAGAAGAAGCAGCCTGAAAAATGTAAATATCCCATGTCAACCTCATCATACTACAAACGAGTGTGTTCTGTCTTAAAAGTGATATCTCTAAGGCATTTTAAGAACTTCCCAAAGGAAATAAATGAGTCAAAAGTAAGTTTTATGCTCCATTCTCCACAATCTCAGACACATGTAGGAACTCAATAATGAATTTCTGTTGGAGGAACAATAAACTAATTAATTAATTAATGGCAGATAAGCCACGTGTTAAACAAAGTAAATAATTCTTGCTCCAAGTGTCTACATAGCAACATCAGTATTCTCATTAAAAACCTTATCTATTTGAATGTTCCTAAATATTATTTTCTACAAAGAGGTGTAATCACTTTAAAAGAAGGCTATCTTTATCCAGTGCTGAATAATCTTTTGTCTGTGCTGTTTGTAAAGGAGGCCTTTTAAATAAATTGAAGAAGACAATTTCAAGCATATTAATAAGACAGCTACAAAAGTCCTTTGCATGTTTTTAAGTAGGTCAGTATATCATACTGCACTGGATTTTTACCCTTTGTTTGCTGGACCATGACAAGAAAGAATAAAAAGGCAGAGAATAAAGAACCTGGGAAGAGCAAATGGGCACTTACTCTTAAGTGTAGTAAGTAGTCATGACTTTCTTATTAAGTGGTGACAAATATAAATGAAATTTTATAATGAAAGAAAAGTATAATACAAGGATGAATTGAAGAGGAGAACGATTTCTATCAAGATGGGGATTTGTGTCTTAAATGATCAAGTAAAGAAATAGCTCAAAACACAGAGAAATGGAAACCCTGAAGTCTAGGAAACCTAACGGGCAAATGACAGGAGTTCTAGACTGCTTTTGTTCACATCCCCTAAATATACTATGCCCAAACATTTCCCATCTCATTTAATAGCAATTCTCACTTTCCAATTGCTCAGACCAAAACATTAGATCCTTGCTTGATTCCACTCTCTGTCATATCCCACGTAGAATTTATCATTAAATCCTATCCCATCTACTTTCAAAATTCTAATTTCTGAACCTGACCACTTGGCAGCAGCTCTGGCTGTTAGCACTGTTATCTATCCGGTGTTATCTCTTGCCTGGATATTCATGAAAGCTTGCAAGCTGTCTCTTCACTTTTACCCTTGCCAACCTACAGACGAGTCTATATCTGCCAGCCAGTGCTATCTTTTTAAAAATCAGTTCATGTCACTCTGCTGTTCAAAACCCTGTATCATTCAGAGTAAAAACCTGAGATGTTACCAACCACCCACAAGGCCCTAGGCAATCTCGTAGCTTTTATTTGTATGACCTCAACCTACCGCTCTATGCACTCCAGCCCATTCATGGCACTTCAAGGACCACTGGCCTCCTAGATATTGTTATGAACTAAATTGTGTCCCTCCAAAATTCATATGTTGATGTCCTAACCTGCACTACCTCAGAATGTGACCTTATTTGGAAATAGTGTCATTGCAGATGTAGTTAGTCAAGATGAAGTCACCATGGGGATAGGATGGGTCTTTAATCCAGTGTGACTGGTGGTGTCATAAAAAGGGGAAATTTGGGGCCAGGCACGGTGGCTCACGCCTGTAATCCCAGCACTTTGGGAGGCCAAGGAGGGCGGATCACGAGGTCAGAAGATCGAGACCATCCTGGCTAACATGGTGAAACCCCATCTCTACTAAAAATACAAAAAATTAGCCGGGCATGGTGGCAGGCATCTGTAGTCCCAGCTAGTTGGGAGGCTGAGGCAGGAGAATGGCATGAACCCAGGAGGTAGAGCTTGCAGTGAGCCGAGATCGTGACACTGCACTCCAGCCTGAGCGACAGAGCAAGACTCCGTCTCAAAAGGGGGGTGGGAAATTTCGATGCAAACACACCAACATGGAGAATGTCCTGCAACCATGAATACAGAGATTGGGATGATACACCTACAAGCCAAGGAAGGCCAAAGATTGCCACAAACCACCAGAAGTTAGGAGAGTGGCATGAACAGATTCTTCCTCACAGTCTCAGACAGAGCCAACCCTAAGGACACCTTGATGTTGGACTTCCAGCCTCCAGAACTGGGAGACTACACATTTCTGTTGTTTAAGCTATTCACTTTGTGGTGCTTTGTTATGGCAGCCCTAGCAAGCTAAAACATATTTCTGGGCACACTCTCAATGTTAGGGCTATTGCCCTGGTGGTTTTGCCAGATTCTGCTGAGAAGCCTGGAATGCATAAAGAACTCATGTGAATCAGAGATCTAATCTTCTTGCATCCACTGGAATCTTTAATTCATGCAGGCATGCTCATAGATGGCTGAGGTTTCCAGCAGCTATGTGGAGCCAGGGAACCCCTTGCCTCCAGGTGGAGGCACACCACATGACCTCCTGCATATCTAAATGTCTCAGTCAGAGCCAATATTCTTAAAGGAGCCTGCATCCTTGAACTGTGATGGCAAATCTCTGTCAAACACGTCACTATCAGGACATGTGACATTAGTTAAGTTAAAGAGGTTCTTCATTCCCTCAGCGATGACATAAAATTGTCATACATTAGACATGATACAAGTCTGGAGAGAAATATTTAAGTTATAATTTCCAAAGACAAGGAGAGAAAACAGGAAAGTTAGAAGGAAAGATAAGAAATGAGTCAAGTGTGAAAATACAAAATTATACATAGTTTGAACTTTGAAATAATGGTATAATTTTTAATCATTTTCTTAATCTTTTAATCATTAAAATTCTTATATACATAGTAACATTTCAGAGTATATGTTTTGGAAAATTGAGTTAGCCGACTTTCCTGTTTCTAGAGGGTGGATATGTCTTCTAAGACTTTTTTTAATGCCAGTGTATCTGAAATCTAAAATTTTTGAAACTTTCTAATTTTATTTTTTTAAAGGTTATAGTTGAATTGCATGTCACAATTTACAGGGAACTTTCTCACCTGTTATACTAGTTGAGACAATTGCCTGGCTACCAGAGGACCATTTCTTACATAATGTAAATTAAAATTGCTATAACATTACATTATTTTAGAAATAAATGTAAAATATTTAGTATAATACTAATGACTATCACAGATAGCTAATTTCAATATAATACTATTTTAAAGACTAACGTTCTATGATAATCACTCTTATTAAATAATTACCATTGGCTGTTTTAATTGTGTATATTCCTGATTTAATTTTAGCATGATTTGTAGAAATCTGGTAGTTAAGCATATATTTAATCCCTTAAAACATAATGCTCATTTGATTTAGCCATGAAAAATATTTTCATGTAGTATAAATTACTGTTTCTTTTACATTTCTTTCAATTATGACCAGTCATTTTTAATCTGCTATAAACATCAGTGCTGAAATAATAGATTAGATAAACACAGGTTGATGTTTTTTCATCTTCATCATTAAATATCCCAGATACAGTACATACGTCATGGGCCAAGGACCATTTCTTTTATATCTCCTCCAGCCTGTTGATATATCCTTGTCAGCACTTGGCAGTTTCACAACCTGGGTTTCGACTGGTATTTTCAGGGGGATGCCTGCAAGCTGCCTCATCATCACCAATGCCTCATCCAATAAGGCTGACCTAAGGACTAACTAATGTGAAAATTCAGCATATAAGGATGTGTATAGTTCCTCTGTCTCTCTCCTTCAAGCAGTTCTTTTTCAAAGTCTTGCCTTGAAAATCTAAGCCAGAGAGACAGAAGTGAAAACATGCCTCCTGATGATGCACACATGTGTAATGAGAATGTCTAAATATCATATTCAATTTTGTTTTTAGAGCTGGTGCAGTTCAAAGTCATCTATGCCACTGCAGTGTGCTGGTTTACCTAAGACTGCGTGGAGCTATCTGTCTTGAGGTTCTTTTCTACTGGAGGTGTGACTAGTTTTGCAATTATAGATTTTTGTCTATTTGGCTTAGTTCACGGATGGTATGGCACTATAGTGACCTGGGAAGGAAGGCGATGGGACAGTGACAGCCCTCATTTGTATCCATACGTGAGTCATAAACATCCATAAATCACCAAAACATCATAACCACCAAGCTGATGAATATAGCCTTAAAGCAGCGATCTCCCCGTAGCTGACTGTGGATGATTAACTAGTATGAATATGACATCTAAAAAAGAGAAGAAAAATAGAGACCACTTAAAGACTTACTAGCATGTAAGGAGGAACATAAAGTACAACAGAGAAAGAGACAAAATCAGAAAGTTCTGTTTTTATAATATTTTAGAAAATATTTTAATGGCCAAAATATCTTCAGAATAAATTATTTTTGAAGTCTTCTAATCTTAATACCAAAATGGTATTAAAAATTGCACCAGGAGCTTACAAAGGGCTTTTCATGTTATGTCACTTGGTAATATTTTCTTGTACATTAGGCTATTTTATAACATGAAAAAATATTACAATGTCAGAAAATTTCAGGTAAATTAAAAATTATTTTAGTAAAATGTTAATGAGACAACAATGTACATGTAATTACTTTTTTAAAGATTCTTATTCTTATATAGAGCAATTATAATTACTTTTGCAAATTATTTAATATTTAATATTTAAACATGCAGATGGAAAGATAAAGGTGCATAAAATATCTTTGGGACAAGGAAAATGTGAACTGAGAAAATAGGTAAACACACTCAAATTTTAAAGTGCCTACAATCTAACCAGGATCTAAAAAGGATAATAGAAGTATAAGGTAATCTATTCTTTATTCCTGCTTCTTATAGTCTTACCACAGAGAAATGGCTCACAGACGAATATAAAATAAAAAGCCCTCTTTGAGAGTGTTACCTTTTCAATACTATAGAATTTCAGAGGAGGATGACACTTTTAACTGAAATTTTTATGGAAAGTTTCACAGACCAGGGTTTTTGGACTACTTTCCTGCACCTAAATTCAGAACAATAAAGAGACAACAAAAACAAGGAGATTAAGGCAAATTTATACTTTTATTAAAGCAAAAGTCTAGACTACAGTATAGTTCATGTATGTGGCATCAATCAACTACCAAGTGCCACACATCAAAATTAGATGGATTGGAGAAGTGGAGCAAGATGGTAGAATGGAGCGTTCCACCGATCATCCCTCCCAGTAGGAAGACTAAGTTTGACAACTACCTACACAAAGGGAGCACATTCATAGGAACCAAAAATCAAGTACCAACTAGGTCACTGTGGGGTAGGGCACCAAGTGGACTCTTGGGGTTCTTGATTCCAGGCTCTGGCTCCCATTAGACAGCACTTCTTGACCTGCACTGGACTGGAGAGGAGCCCACTGTCATGAAGGGTGAGTCCCAGGCCTGGCAGAATTTACCACAAGCTGACTGGAGAGCCCTTGGGTGGTAACTGAATATCAGCGGTAGCCTAGTAGGCCCCCGTGGGCCTGTGATGATGGTGGCCGTGGGATGAAGCACCTCTGCCTGTGGAAGTGGAGGGAAGAGTGAGAAAGTCTGTGTCATGTGGTTTGAGTGTCAGTTCACCCACCATAGAATAGAGTGCAAGGTAGATTTCTAAGGTTTTGACTCCAGTCTTTGGGTACAAATGGCATCTCTGGACCTGCCCAGGGCCTGAGGGAAATCACCATCCTGATGAGAACAACACAAGACTGGCTGGCTCCACCATCTCTGATTGTAGATCCTTCCCAAGGATAACAGGCACATACAAGCCCAGATGGCAAACACTACAATAAATACCTAATCCTACAGTGTCCAGACACTACTTAACATCCACAATCATCAAGACCCTTCAGGAAAACATGGCCTCACTAAACAAACTAAATAAGGCACCAGGAAACAATCCTGGAGAAACTGAGATGTGTTGTCTTCCAGGTGGAGAATTTAAAATAGCTGTTTTGAGGAAACTCAAAGAAATTCAAGATAACACAGAGAAGGAATTCAAAATTCTATCAAAGAAATTGAACAAAGGGATTGAAATAATTATAAAGGATCAAACAGAAATTCTGGAGATGAAAAATGCAATGAATGTACTGAAGAATACATCAGAGTCACTTACTGGAAGAATTCATCAACCAGAAGAGAGAATTAGTGAGACTGAAGACAGGCTATTGGAAAATACACAGTCAGAGGAAACAAAAGAAAAAAGAATTAAAAAATGAAGCATGCCTACAAGACCCAGAAAATAGCCTCAAAAGGGAAAATATAAGAGTACTTAACCTTAAAGAGGAGGGAGGGAGGGAAGCAGAGAGGGAGGGAGGGCAGGAGGGAGAGTGAGAGATTGAGAGAGAGAGAGAGAAAGTTTATTCAAAGGAATAATAAGAGGGAACTTCCCAAACCTAGAGAACTATCTCAGTATTCAAGTACAAGAAGATTATAGAACACCAAGCAGATTTAACCCAAAGAAGACTACCTCAAGACATTTAATAAACTCCCAAAGGTCAAGGATGAAGAAAGGATCATAAAAGAATCAAGAGAAAAGAAAGAACTAACATACAGTGAAGCTCCAATATATCTGGCAGTGGACTTTTCAGTGGAAACCTTAGAGGACAGGAGAGAGTGGCATGACATATTTAAAGTGCTGAAGTTAAAAAAAAGTCACCCTAGAATACCATATCTGGCAAAAACCTACTTTAAACGTAAAGGAGAAACAAAGACTTTCCCAGACAAACAAAAGCTGAGGTATTTCATCAACACTAGACCTGTCCTACAGGAAATGATAAAAAAGAGCCCTTTGTTTAGAAAGAAAAGGATGCTAAGGAGCAATATGAAATCATCTGAAGGTAAAAAACTCACTGGCAATAGTAAGTACACAGAAAATCACACTCTTATAATCACACACTATTATAACACTCTTCTTGTGGTATGTAAAATACTCAAGTAGAAAGATTGAAAGATAAACCAATCAAAAATAACTACAACAACTCTTCAAGACATAAGCAGTAAAATAATATATAAATAGAAACAATAAGTTATGGATCGGGGGACAAAGTTAAAGTACAGAATTTTTATTAGTGTTCTATTTGCATTTTTGTTTGTTTATTCAAGTAGTTTTAAGTTGCTATCTGATTAAAATAATGGGTTAAAAGACAGTATTTGCAAACCTCATGGTAATCTCAAACCAAAAAACATACAATAGACACACAAAAACTAAAAAACAAGACACTACATCATATAACCAGAAAAAATCATTGTCGCTAGAAGAAGACAAGAATGAAAGAAAGAAGAAAGAGAAGACCACAAAACAACCTGAAAACAAATAACAAAATGGCAGGAATAAGTCCTTATTCATCAATAATAACATTGAATGTAAATCAAACCTAACTCTCCAACATAAAGATATAGAGTGGCTGAAAAAAAAAAAGAAGAAGAAGAAAGATCCAGTGACCTGTTGCCTACAGAAAACACACTTCACCTATAAGGACACACATAGGCTGAAAATAAAGGGAAGGAAAAACATATTCCACACCAAAGGAAACTAAAGAAAAAAGAGCAGGAGTTGCTATACTTATATCAGACAAAATAGATTTTAAATCCAAAGCTATAAGAAGAGACAAAGAAGATCATTATATAATGATAAAGGGGTCAATTTAGCAAGATGATAGAACAATTGTAAATATATATTCACCCAATACTGGAGCACCTGGATATATAAAATAAATATTATTAGAGCTATAGATGGAGATAGATTCCAATCTAATAATAGCTGGAGACTTCAACATCCCATTTTCAACAGTAGAAATACACTCCAGACAGAAACAAGAAAGAAACATTGGACTTAATCTGCACTATAAACCAAATGGACCTAAAATATATTTACAGAACATTTCATTTAATTGTTGCAGAATATACGTTTTTTCCTCATCCCATGAATCATTCTCAAAGATAGACCATGTGTTAGGTCTTAAAACATTCCAAAAAAATCCTGGCATGGTGGCTCACACCTGTAATCGCAGCACTTTGGGAGGCCAGGCAGGCAGATCACAAGGTCAGGAGATCAAGACCATCCTGGCTAACATGGTGAAATCCCGTCTCTACTAAAAATACAAAAAAAAAAAAAAAAATTAGCCGGGCATGGTGGCGGGTACCTGTAGTCCCAGCTACTCAGGAGGCTGAGGTGGGAGAATGGTGTGAACCCAGGAGGTGGAGCTTGCAGTGAGCTAAGATCTCACCACTGCACTCCAGCCTGGGTGACAGAGTGAAACTCTGTCTCAAAATCAATCAATTAATTAATTAATTTAAAAAATAATATCAAGCATATTATCTAGCCACAAAGGGATAAAAAACTAGAAATCAATAACGAGAAATTTTGTAAACTCTACAAACACATGGAATTTTAAAATATGCTCCTGAATAACAAGTGAGTCAATGAAGAGATTAAGAAGAAAATTGAAAATATTCTTGTAACAAATGGTAATGGAAACACAACATGCCAAAACCTATGGGATACAGTGAGAGCAGTAGTAAGAGAGAATTTTAAAGCTGTAAGCACCTATATCAAAAAAGAAGAAAAATTTCAAATCAATAACCTAAGGATTCATCCTAAAGAACTAGAAAAGCAAGAGCAAACCAAGCCCCAAATTACTTGTAGAAAAGAAATAATAAAGATTAGAGCAGAAATAAATGAAACCGAAATGAAAAGAACAACACAAAAGATCAATGAAAGAAAAAGCTGGCTCTGTGAAAAGACAAACAAAATTGACAAAATTCTAGCCAGACTCAGAAAAAAAAAAAGGGGAAGACCCAAATGAATAAAATTAGAGATGAAAAAGGAGACATTACAATCAATACCACAGAAATTTAAAGAATCAGTAGTGGTTACTATAAGCAACAATAATATGCCAATAAATTGGAAAATCTGGAAGAAATAGATTAATTCCTAGATACATACAACCTACCAAGATTGAACCATAAAGAAATCCAAAACCTGAACAGATCAATAATGAATAATGAAAGCAAAGCCATAATAAAAAGTCTCCCAGCCAAGAAAAGCCCAGGACCTGAAGGCTATTGATGAATTCTACCAAACTTTTAAAAACCTAATACCAAATCTACTCAAATTATTCTGAAAAATAGAGAAGAGAATGCTTCCAAACTCATTCTATGAGACCTGTATTACCCTGACACAAAAAACAAAAACACATTAAAAAAAGAAAACTACAG
Organism: Homo sapiens; assembly: GCF_000001405.40. Lineage (NCBI taxonomy): Eukaryota > Metazoa > Chordata > Mammalia > Primates > Hominidae > Homo > Homo sapiens. The sequence goes on along the minus strand of NC_000004.12, from coordinate 170,381,612 downwards.
ACCAATATCACTGATGGATATAAATGCAAAAATCCTCAACAAAATACCAGCAAACTGAATTCAAGAACACATTAAAAGATCACTCATCATTGTAAAACCCAAAACTATAAAAACTCTGGAAGGCCAGGCACGGTGGCTCAACGCCTGTAATCCCAGCAACTTTGGGAGGCCGAGGTGGGAGGTTCATGAGGTCAGGAGATGGAGACCATCCTGGCTAACACGGTGAAACCCCGTCTCTACTAAAAATACAAAAAAATTAGCCAGGCATGGTGGCAGGCACCTGTAGTCCCAGCTACCTGGGAGGCTGAGGCAGGAGAATGACGTGAACTGGGAGGCAGAGCTTGCAGTGAGTCGAGATCGTGCCGCTGCACTCCAGCCTGGGCAACAGAGTGAGACTCCATCTCAAAAAAAAAAAAAAAAAAAAAAACAGAAAAAAAAGAAAGCTCTGGAAGACAACCTAGGCAATACCATTCTGAACAGAGGCATGGGCAAAGATTTCATGATGAAGATGCCAAAAGCAATCACAACCAAACTAAAAACTGACAAATGGTATGTAATTAAACTTACGGGCTTCTGCACAGCAAAAGAAACTACCAACAGAGTAAACAGACAACCTACAGATGGGAGAAAATATTTGCAAACTATGCATCTGACAAAGCTCTAATACCCTGTATCTATAAAGAACTTAAATTTACACGAAAAGAAATGAAACAACCCACTAAAAGGTGAGCAAAGGACATGAACAGGCACTTTTCAAAAAAAAACACATACATGTAGCCAACAAGTATATGAATAAAAGTCCAATATCACTGATTATTAGGGAAATGAAAGTCAAAACCACGAGATACTATCTCACGCAAGTAAGAATGACTGTTATTAAAAAGTCAAAAAATAACAGGTGCTGGCCAGGTTGTGGAGAAATATATGCCACTTATACACTGTTGGTTGGAGTGTAAATTGATTCAACCGTTGTGGAAAGCAATATGGTGATTCCTCAAAGAGCTAAAAACAGAACTACATTTGATCCAGCAATCCCATTATTGGGTATATACCCAAAGGACTATGAATCATTCTACGGTAAAGACACATGCACACAAATGTTCACTGCAGCACTATTCACAACAGCAAAGACATGGAATCAACCTAGATTTCCATCAATGACAGACTGGATAAAGAAAATGTGGTATGTATACACAATGGAACACTATGCAGCTACAAAAAAGAATGAGATCACATCTTTTGCCAAGAACGTGGATGAAGCTGGAGGCCATTATCCTTAGTAAACTAGTGCAGGAACAGAAAACCAAATACCACATGTTCTTACTTATAGGTGGGAGCCAAATGATGAGAACACATGGACACATAGAGGGGAACAACAGATACTGCAGCCTACTTGAGGGTAGAGGGTGGAAGGAGGGAAAAGATCAGAAAAAATAACTAATGAGTAATAGGCCTAATACGTGGGTGATGAAATAATCTTTACAACAAACCCACATGACATGAGTTTACCTACCTAACAAATCTGCACATGTACTCCTGAACTTAAGAAAAAAGTTAAAACAATAATAATGTTAATAATAGCCATTCTGACTGATGTAAGATAGTATATCATTGTGGTATAATTTGCATCTCTCTGATTAGTGATGTTGAGAATTTTCTCATGTTTGTTGCTCACTTGTATATCTTCTTTTGTGAAATGTCTATTTATGTCCTTTGCCCACTTTTTTTTTTTCTTTTGAGACGGGTCTCTGTCACTCAGGCTGGAATGCGGTGGCACAATCTCAGCTCCCTGCAACCTGCACCTCCCAGGCTCAAGCGATCTTTCCACCTCAGCCTCCAAAGTATCTGGGACCACAGGTGCCCATCACACACCTGGCTAATATTTTGATTTTTAGTAGAGACAGGGTTTCACCATGCTACCCAGGCTGGTCTCGAACTCCTGGGCTTGAGCAGTCTGCCCACTTTGGCCACTTGGCCTCCCAAAGTGCTGGGATTACAAGCATGAGAGCTGCCACATCCAGCCTGTCTATTTTTTAATGGGGTTATTTGAATTTTTCTTGTTGAGTTTGAGATCCTTGAAGATTTTGAATATTAGTCATTCATCAGATGCATAATTTGCAAATATTTTCTCCCCTTCTATAGGCTATATGTTTACTCTGTTGATTGTTTCTTTTGTTGTGCAGAAGCTTTTAATTAAGTCTCATTTGTCTATTTTTGTTTCAGTAGCATTTGCTTTTGAGGTCTTAGTCATAAATTCTTTTCTTAAGCCTATGTCCAGAAGAGTTTTTCCTAGGTTATCTTCTAGGATTTTTATAGTTTCAGGCCTCATGTTTAGATTTTTAATACATCTTGAGTTAATTTTTGTATACTGTGAGAAAGTACCATTTTTCTGCATATAGCTAGCCAGTCTTCCTAACATTATTTATTGAATAGGATATCCTTTCCGCCCATTGTTGATTTTTGTCAACTTGGTCTAAGATCAGTTTGTTTTAGGTATGTGGTTTTACTTCTTTGTTCTGTATTCTGTTCCATTGATCTATGTATTTATTAATATTTTCATACTGGTGCCATGCTGTTTTAGTTACCATAGTCTTGTACTGTAATTTGAAGTAATGTGATACCTCCAAGCTTGTTCTTTTTGCTTAGGATTGCTTTGGCTATGTGGGCTCTTTTTTTGTTTTGTTTTTTGTTTTTTCATTCTGTATGAACTTTAAGATTGTTTTTTCTAATTCTGTGAAAAATGAACTTGGTAATTTTACAGGAACTGCATTGAAGCTGTGGACTGTTTGGGGTAGTATGATCATTTTTAATAATATTGATTCTTTCCATCCATGAACATCGGGTTTTTTTCCCTTAATTTCTGTCACTGACATTTTTTTTTTCATCAGTGTTTTATAGTTCTCCTTGTAGAGATCTTTCAACTCCTTGGTTAAATGTATTTCTATGCATTTTTATGGCTACTATAAATGGGATTGAGTTTTTAATTTGATTCTCAGCATCAATGTTATTGGTGTATAGAAATGTAACTGATGTTTATGCATTGATTTTGTACCCTGAAACTTTGCTGAAGTCATTTATCAGGTCTAGGAGTATTTTGGAAGAGTGTTTAGGGTTTTCTTGGTAAAACAGTTACATCATTAGCAAACAGAGATGATTTGACTTCCTCTTTTCCAATCTGGATGCCCGCTATTTCTTTCTCCTGCCTGATTGCTCTGGTTAGGACTTCCAGTACTGTGTCAAATAGGAATGGTAAGAGTGAGCATCATTGTCTTGCTCCAGTCCTTAGGGGGAATACTTTCAACTTTTCCTCATTCAGCGTGATACTGTCTGTGGGTTTGTCATAGATAGATCTTATTATTTTGAGGTATGTTCCTTTGGTGCCTAGTTTGATAGGGGGTTTTAATTATGAAGAGATATTGAATTTTATTTAATGCTTTTTCTACATCTATTGAGATGATCATATGGTTTCTGTTTTTAATTCTGTTTATGTGGTGAATCACATTTATTAATTTGTGTATGTTGAACCATCCTTGCATCCCTAGAATAAAATCCACTTCATTGTGATATATTATCTTTTTTATGTGCCATTGGATTTTGTTTGCTAGTATTTCGTTGAGGATTTTTTCATCTATGATCATCAGGAATATAGGCCTGTAGATTTCTTCTTTTGTTGTGCGCTTGCCTGATTTTGTTATCAGGGTGATATTGGTTTCATACAATGCATTAGGGAGAAATCCCTCCTTCCTGACTTTTTGGAATAGTTTCAGTAACATAGGTACCAGCTTTTCTTTGTACATCTGGTAGAATTTGGCTGTGAATCCATCTGGGATCCTGGGTTTTTTTGTTGTTGTTGGAAGATTTTTTATTACTAATTCAGTTTAATTACTCTCTATCGGTCTGCTCAAAATTTCTATTTCTTCCTGGTTTAATCTTGGAAGATTGTATGTTTCCAGGAATTTATCCATTTCTTCTAGTTTTTCTAGTTTGTGTGTATAGATATGCTTGAAGTAGTCTCTGATAATCTTTTGTACTTCTGTGTATAAATTATATGTCACCTTTATCATTTCTGACTGTGCTTATTTGAATCTTCTCTCTCTTTTCTGTTAATCTAGCCAACAGTCTTTCCATTTTCTTTGTCCTTTCAAAGAACCAACTTTTTATTTCTTTAATCCTTTGTATTTTTTGTCTCAATCTCATTTACTTCTGACCAGATCTTTGTTATTTCTTTTCTTCTGCTTACTTTAGGTTTGGTTTATTTTTGTTTTTCTAGTCCCTTAAGGTGTGACAGTAAGTAGTTTATTTGAGAATTCTCTGTATGTTTTATGTAGACATTTAATGCCGTAAGCTTTCCTCTTAGCCCTGCTTGTGCTGTATCTCATAGGTTTTGGCATGTTGTGTCTCTATCTTCATTCACTTAAGAACTTTTTTGGTCTCTGCTGTAATTTTATTGTTTGCCCAAAAGCCAATCAGGAGCAAGTTGTTTAGTTTCCATGTACTCATGTAATTTCAAGAGTTCCTCTTGGTATTGATTTCTAATTTTACTTCACTGTTGTACAAGAAGATACTTGATATTATTCAATTTTTTAATTTATTGAGACTTGCTTTATTACCAAGGATATGGAGTATTTTGGAAAATGTTACATGTGCAGAAGAAAAAAATGTATATTCTGCATTTATTGGGTGGAATATTCTGTAAATGTCTGTTAGGTCCGCTTGGCCTTGAGTCCAGTTTAAGTCCAAAGTTTCTTTGTTGATTTTCTGCCCCAATTATGTGTCTAGTACTATCAGTGGGGGTGTTGAAGTTCCACATTAGTATTGTATTGCTGTCAATCTCTTTTCTTAAGTTTATCAGTATTTGTTTTATGAATCTGGGTGCTCTGATATTGGGTGCATATATATTTAGGATTGTTAAATCTTCCTGTTGAATTGAACTCTTTATCATTATATTATGACCTTCTTTTTTTTTTTGCTGTTGCTGATTTAAAGTCTGTTTTATCTGATATGAAAGTAACTACTCCCACTTATTTTTCATTCTTTAACTTTGAGTCTGTATCTATACCTATTAGTTGAGTCTCTTGTGGGCAATAAATGGTTGGGTTTGCTTTTTTATCCAATTTGCTGGTCTGCATCTTTCAAGTGGAGCACTTAGGCCATTTACATTCAAGGTTAATATTGATATTTCAGGGTTTGTTCCTCTCATGGTATTGTTGTCTAGTTGTTTTGTAGTCTCACTTGCATAATTGCTTTATAGAGTCTATGTGCTTTGTATTTATATGTGATTTTATTATGGTCAGTATCATTGTTTCTATGTTTAGAATTCCTTTGAGTATTTCTTGTAGGTCTGGTCTAGTGATGATGAATTTCATTTGTGTTTGCTTGTCTGAGAAAGACTCTACGTCTCCTTTTTTTACGAAGCTTAGTTTGGCAGGATATCAAATTCCTGGGTGGCATTTTTATTCTTTAAGAAGGCTAAAAATAGGCCCCCAATCTCTTCTGGCTAGTAAAATTTCACTGAGAAGTCTGTTATTAGTCTGATGGGATTTCCTTTATAGGTAATTTGATGCTTCTCCCTAGCTCCTTTTAAATTATTTTTTCTTTAATATTGACCTTGGAAAGTCTGGTAACTATATGCCTTGGGGATGTTTGCCTTGTATGGCATCTTCTAGTTGTTTTCTGAATTTCTTGCATGTGGATATCTACATCTCTAGTAAGATCAGGGAAATTTTCTTCAATTATTGCCTCAAATATGTCTTCCAAATTTCTTGCTTTTTCTTTTTCTCCCTCAGGAATGCCTATAAGTTGTAGATTTACATGTTTTACATGGTTCATGTTTCTTAAAGGTTTTGTTCATTTTTTCTAAATTATGTTTCCTTTATTTTTCTGAGACTGGGTTTGAAAGTCTGGTCTGTAAGCTCTGAAATTTTTTCTTCTGCTTGGTCTAGTCTATTGTTAGCCCTTTCAACTGTATTTTGGACGTCCTTCAGTGAAATTTTCATTCTATAAGATTTTTTAAAAATATGTCTATCTCATTTTTTATATCCTGAATTGTTTTTCTGATTTCTTTGCGTTGGTTTTCAACTTTCTCTTGGATTTCAATGAGCTTCTTTACAATTCATACTTTGCATTTTTGATCTGTCATTTCAGAATTTTCATTTTGGTTTGAATCTATTGCTAGAGAGTTAATGTGGTCCTTTGAAGATGTCACAGCATTCTGTTTCTACATGGTGTTGGAGTTCTTATACTGATTCCTTCTCGTTTGGATAAGCTGTCACTCATTATTTTTGAATTTACTTTCATTTGAGTGCTATTTTTCCCCTTGAGGATGTGACTGTTGCATGTGCTGGGTAAAGTCCTTTGACTTTGTTTCTTTGTGCTTTTAGGGGGCCAAGGCTCCATATAAACTCCTTAGTTATAGAGATCCTATAGTAGTTTTCTCAAATGCTTGTTGTTTTTAGGTTATGGGAGCGGTAGGCTGTGTGTGTGGTCAGGTTCACTATCTCCTACAGACATGGAGAGGTGGAGGTCTCAGGAGACTCATCTTCTCCCCCAGTGCTGTGTACTTCTGGCAGCAGAAATTATATTGGGTTGTGCAGTTCACTCTACAGGCCAGCAGGTGGTGATTGTGGGTAAGAGCCAGCTGAGAGCTGTACAATGATATCAAGGAAAGCTGTGATGGGACATGCAGTTCATCACCCGGCCTAGAGGTGGAACTTGTAGGGAAGAGGCAATTGTGATGGCAGTGGAATTTATGCATGGCCTTTGTTAATCGGGGAAGTTCTGTGGGGTCCCAGGTGATGGGCAGGACATAGAGCTCCCAGGTGTCCTGCCCCAAGCTCTGCTGCCAAGGCTACTGTAAGGGGCAAACCTGGGTAGGACTGGGGTGGGCAAGCCCATGACCAAGTTCTCCAAGGTGGACGCAAGCACCAACCTTGGCAATGGCTAGAACCAGCTCTCAGGCCACTGGGACAACCCTCCAGGTAGGGGCAGGGGCAAAAGTGCCTCTCCTGTGCCACAGAGTCCACTCAGAGGAAGAGGGGCTAGTCAGGGTTTTCAGCCCAAAAGGTGGCCATGAGGCCTGCCCAGCTCCCACATTCCTGACCTGGAGGGTCTTTTTCCAGGATCCAGCCCTAGCAGCTGGCCAGATGAGTAGGCTAGTTCCACATTTTCACACCCAAATCACCAAGCCACTCCAGGTATTCCGGACCACAAGACTTCCTGAGGCAAAAACCGTGACTACCTAGCCACACCCTTCCTGGTCCAGTCTTGCAGAGGCAGAGGTACCAGCTCCCGTACCACATGAACCTGTGCCACACTCTTAGTATTCTGACAGTGGGAGCTCCTCCCTGACTTGAAATCAGACCACATATTTCATCCTCAAGCCCCTAGTCAGTGTGCTCAAGTCCTGGGGAACTGGGACTAGGCCAGCTGACTTGTCTTCAGGCCCCTCTGGCTCAAGCTCTGGCTGAAATAGGGAGGAGTGAACTGCTCCCAGACCACCAACAAAACACTGAGTTCAGGGAGGGGGAGCAATGGCAGCTACACTGTGGGTCATCCTGTATGAGAACAGCCAGGCAGGCAGTCTTAGGAAGGAACAGCAGACATGGGGCATGTGACTTGGATGCACTTCAGTCCTATGGCAATGGAAGTAGAGCTTGTCTTTAGGGCACATGAGCATGCCCAGGCCCCATTCACTCCCCAATATGGCAGAGAGCAGCAGTAGCAGCTGCTTGGGGTCAGACACAGAGCAGGGGTTGGTGCCCAGAGTCACATTTTGCTGCAGCTGCCCAGCACACTGAAGCATTTTGTACTCCATGAAAGTTCAAGCAGCATCTCTGTGGTTTCCAGGGAGCTCCCCCAGCCAGAAAGACCTTTACGGGTCTTGGAACTCTCTTGTATCTAGGATCTCAGAGGGAAGGAACACAGTGCCCCAGGGCTCCTTCATTCACCCCTTCCTTTTATCCAGGGGTCCAGTTCTTGCCTAGCAGGCAACCCCACTTCTTCCCTCTTCAATCACAGTGTCTTCCATTTCCTCTGTATTGAGTTTTAGTATTTTCTCTCAAAAGATCTTTCCCAACTATGGTTTATTTGATGTTTTAGTCTGTTTTCATGCTGCTGATAAAGACAAAGACATACCTGAGACTCGGAAGAAATGGAGGTTTAATGGAATTACAGTTCCACATGGCTGGGGAGGCCTCACATTCAGGGCAGAAGGCAAGGAGGAGTAAGTCACGTCTTACATGGATGGCAACAGGCAAAGAGAGAGTTGTGCAGGGTAACTTCTCTTTTTAAAACCATAAGATCTCATGTGATTTATTCACTACCGTGAGAACAGCGGTAAAGACCTGCCCCCGCATGATTCAATTACCTCTCCCTGGGTCCCTCCCCCAACACATGGGAATTCAAGATGAGATTTAGGTGAGGACACAGCCAAACCATATCACTTGATATTTTGGTTTCTGTGCATGGAAAAGGCACATCCCAGCTGCATCTAGTCTGTCACCTTAAACCAGATCACATAATTTTTTATTGTGTACATGTATAATGTACCATACCATGGTTTTTGAGTACCAAGTTAAAAATACATGGTCCTTACCTTCCAGGTGCTCATAGCTTAGTGTGAAAAATAGATAACAGATAAATAACATTATATTTATTTTATGCCTTACCTTACCATACCATACCTTATCATACCACATAAGAAATAATCATCTTAGTTTTACAGGTATAAACTATAGTATTAGTATACACATATACAAAATATGTGTATGAACCTCACTGCCATATCAACAGGGTATATAGTGGTAGGACATTGGTAAGATATTGGATATTGAGGCAGGCATCAAATCTGCCTGGGGAGATAAGGTAGGTCACTCAGAGGAGGGGGGTTGCCAAAAGATTGAATATGATATCACTAGCTGAACAAAGCAGGTAGACATATTTCATGAAAAAGGAGTAATGTCACTATAGACACAAACTGTGTGTAACAGACTGAGGTAGACAGTGGACTGGAGGAGAAAGATGTGGATGCAGGCAGAATGCCAACAAAGGGGCTATTAAGACAGTTCAAGCATGAAGGTTATAGGATTTTGCATAAGTTGTAGGAGCTACATTGTAGCAATGAATGAGAAAAGTATTGTGAAGAAAGGATTAACAAATTACATTTGGAGGAAGGAAAGAATTGAAGCAACAAGACGAGTGAAAATAACAGATTTCAAGCCTGGAAGTTGAGGGGAAACATCTTTGATCTAGAGTCTAGAAAGTAGGTAAGCTTTCTTGACAAAGTTTATTTTGAAATGGGTTTAATGTACATGGCTGGAGGGAAGTGGCTTGAAAATAAAAAGTGATAAGTTGTTCTTTTGCATACAAACTGGCAAAAATTAGGTGGGTAGAATCTGTAGTTCAGAGGAGTTAAATAGTTTGTCAGCCACTGGAATATAAAATCAGGTTCAGCTGGATATGGTGTCAGGAGCCTGTAGTCCCAGCTGCTTGAGAGGCTGAGGCAGGAGGGTCACTTGAGGCCAGGAGTTCCAGGTCATAGTGTGCCGATCACACCTGTGAATAGCCACTGCTCTCCAGCCTGGGTAACATAACAAGATCCCACATCTAAAAAAAAAAAAAAATCAAGTCCATCTCATGCTTTCACTTGCAGAATCTCAATAGTAAGTCATTCTCGTGAATCCACACAGGTTCTCCTATGCTATCAAGGGTCCTCTAGTTTGTGAAGCTAAGGCTGGCAGGGTGGGGGCCATATCATTTCCATCCTTGGTGAGTCTCAGGATTACTCTTCTCTGCTATCAGCTATGGGCATAGAGGGGAAGACTTTTTAAATTTTCTCTGTTTCTATCACCTTCCCTGCTCTGGCAACTGCTGTCTAACCATAGTTCAATATCAGTATCATCCACAGACATTTCAGGATATTCATTATATACTCTTAGGGTAAATCCCAAATACATTTTCAAACTCCTCAGCTGGCTTGGCAGATGTACAAAGTCATTAATTTTTCCCTTCATACTCATGAATATTATTATTTTTTTTTTTTTCTTTGAGATGGAGTTTCATTCTTGTTGCCCAGGCTGGAGTGCAATGGTGCAATCTCGGCTCACTGCAACCCCTGCTTCCTGGGCTCAGCAATTTTCCTGCTTCAGCCTCCCAAGTAGCTAGAATTACGGGTGCATGCCACCATGGCTGGCTAATTTTTTGTATTTTTAGTAGAGAGGGCGTTTCATGTTGGTCAGGCTGGTCTTGAACTCCTGACCTCAGGTGATCCACCCACCTCGGCCTCCTAAAGTGCTGGGATTACAGGCATGAGCCACTGCGCCTGACGTATTATTTCATTTTAATGCAAACCCAGGCCCTGAGAGTAACCTTTTCTTTTTGTTCTATTATGCTCCATCTTCAGCCTAGCCGTTGCTGATATTATATTCTTTTTTGAACCACAGACAATTCTTTGGCTTCTGGATGTAATTTTTGTCTCTAAAGTTTTTCCCCTCCCTCTTCCAACAGCTAAGCTGATAACCTAATGCCTGTCTTCTAGAAATGCTCTTTCCTCCATTATATTTTGTCTTTATCCTGGTTCCTGTTCAGGACTGTCAGTTTTACTCCCTGAAATCCAGACCTAAAATTTGGTCTTTATCCTGGTTCCTGTTCAGGACTGTCAGTTTTACTCCCTGAAATCCAGACCTATAAATTTGGTCTTTCTCTGACCTGAGTTTCCTTGCCCTTGGTCCACAGGGCCTCCTAAAGACTGTACACTTCCCTCAATTTTGGGCCAGAATATCAAGGATTCCTCTCATGGAAGAATACATAAGAAGCTGGAAACAGAAATTGCCACCGGCAAAAGAATCAGGAGACAAATGGAAAGAGTAGGAGGTAGACTTGCTCTTTACTGAATGTAATTTGTTCTTTTTGTGTGTGCCATGTGCACAAATAAGCCAGTAAAATTATTTAAATCTAAAAATTCATACAGAATCTTAATAGCTGGTTCTGCTATCCTCTGCCATTTTCTTCCCATAATTTATAAAAGTTATTGTTAAAAATAACTTTCATATCTACAACTCTAATTCCCAAACTTCATCATGGGAACAAAAACTGAAATTGATTGATCCCATACAATGTTTTAGACACTTTATCATCTCGTTAATCCTAATAGAAATAGAAAATTCAGGTTGGGTGTGGTGGCTCACGCCTATAATCCCAGCACTTTGGGAGGTCGAGGCAGGCGGACCACCTGAAGTCAGGAGTTCGAGACCGACCTGGCTAACATGGCAAAACTCCGTCTCTACTAAAAATAAAAAATTAGCTGGGTATCGTGGCACGCACACGTAATCCCTGCTACTCGGGAGGCTGAGGTGGGAGAATCGCTTGAACCCGGGAGGCAGAGGCTACAGTGAGCCGAAATCATGCCACTGCGCTCCAGCCTGTGCGACAGAGTGAGACTCTGTCTAAAAAGAAAAAAAAGAAAAGAAATAGAAAATTCACCATCTTTGAAGGCAAGTATTATTACTTATACTTTAGAGTGAAGGGACCAAGGCTCAGACAGGTTTAGTCACCCCTCCAAGGTCACACAGATAACAAGCATTGGAGATGGGACTGAAACGCAGTCTTACATGGCTTCTAAACTGCTGTTTTGCTTTGCGTTTCTCCACTCATAACGACATATATAGGGTCAAGCTTCACTTCACATAAGTACATTTTCAGAACATATCTTTCCAGAAGTTTTTATACTCTTGAATATTAGCAATTCTTATCTTCCTCCAATGGTTTAAATACTTAAAACCCAATATTTACATGTTGCAATTCTCTTGTTCCTCACCATAATCTCTTAAGAGTGATATTTGCCACATCAATATTTTTTCCTTTATGAAGGAGTCCTCATAGTGGGAACATTTTTGTTTCCTTCCTCTAAACCAGGTTTCTCAAGTTCAGCACTATTGAAATATAGGGCCAGATAAGTCTTTGTTAAGGGTAGGGAGGGAGTGATCCTGTGCATCATAGAATATGTAGCAGCATCCCTGGCCTCTACCCCACTAGATTTCAATGGCACAGCAGCACCCCCGCCACCAAGACGTGACAACCAAAAATGTCTCCAGGTTTTGCCAATTGTACCTTCAGAAATGAAGTCATTCCAAATTGAGGACCGCTGCTCTAAACAAACATTGATTTTAAAAATTAGGCTTCCTAGCTGATGATTCTAGATGAAAAACAAATAAAACTCTTGGCCACCAGAGTAACATGCTCCATCAGATGAAATTTTCCCAAGATAGGTATTATCCATGTTTATAAACTGTTGAAAGTGTGGTTTAAAGAAGATAAGCATCTTGTTCAAGCTCCAAAATTAATCTGTGCTGGAATGGAATTCCAACTCAGATCTGACAAACTCCAAATCCCATAATCTCCCTGCTAATTATAATACGAGGCAATAATGCTCTATAATAGAAAGCTATTTTTCCTCATTATAAAGAAAGACCATTTTTGGCAGCAACATGGCTAGACAAAATGTTACAAGAAGCTGCAATATAACAAACATATCAATCAATGTAGAACAAAAATACTTGTAAGTGTGAGAAATTTTTCTCTATTCCTTGTTTTTTGAATTGTTACTTTATAATTTCTAAAAGGATTTAAATAAGTTTTAGAGTTTTGAGATAGAAACTATATTTTTATATAGTATTTTCCTTCTGAACTGTACTTATCACCAGACGTCTGAGAGTTGGTTAATAACACCAGGTCTCTCCGGGAGGACCAGAATCTATGCATATTTTTTGGAAAGAAATTATAAACTATTCTTAGTATACAAAAAAAAAGACAAGAAATAAAATAACAGTCAAATGTGAGGTTGGCAATTACAAGAAGGAGTTGGCCACTTTTTTCTTCAAGCTACTCATCCTCAGTTGTCAGAGGCTAGGAGACACCATAGAAAATTAGTTCTTTCCAAATTGATACTAGAGGCAGTTTTAGAGAATGTTCTCCCTAGAAGCTAGTTGTTCCCATCAGCAGCTCCTGATTATAGTAGTAGCCCCACGTGGCTTTTATTAGCTGTGTAGGACAGCTATCACCAGGTCTCTAATGCCTCATGTTGTTCAGAGGATTGCATGAGAGGGAGAAGTTTTCCACACTGGACCTGCAGAGGTTTTTAGGTATCAAAGCCTGCAGAGGTCTTTGTGGTATATCAAGAAAAATTATTTCCAATGTTTCAGAGCTCTCCAGATTGCTCAAGGCAGCTAGTCTCTGTTACACTTCAGTGCATAACACACATCACTGTTCCGTCCGCCTCCCTCATCGCTGCACAGATTTTATTCAGTCGAGAGAAAGTTCTCCTGCATGCTCTCCACTGCTCAGGGTGTGGTGATCTACAGCACATGGGTCTCTTATCTTTAGCTCTAATCTCAGGTATTTGACACACTTATCAATAACCCCCAATTTTTGTACATCTATTCATATGGCACCATACTACACAGACAAATCAAGCCGTAGACTATCCCAGGATTCCCACACTTGTCAATGAATCATCCTTAACTTGTAAGTTTACAGGGAAGAATCAATGCATGTGTGGCCTTATATGAACAAACTTCATTTTCTCAGCCTGAAATCCTTGCTTGGATAGAGCTAACTCTCACTACCTGAAGGCAGCTGAACACACTAAGGAAATAAGGACTGGCAAGACCTCAAGTAACTAAAGCACCACCTTGTAATGAAAGTCACAGAGAGCCAAATTCCAGCACATAGGACAAGACAAGCCCTCCAATTATTCTAATCATCTGTCTTATGCAGAACACACAGAGTAAGCTGAAAAAATGTGATTGTCTTGAAGGCTCAGAGAGGACACACAATGCCAAACTCAAGTATCTGTATCAAGTTGACTCAAATTCTTATTCAAAGTAGATGTAAGATAATGTTAAAATAAATCAAATCCAACCACTTTGGAAAACAGTTTGGCAGCTTCTCAAAATACTAAACAGGGAGTTACCATATGACCCAAAAGTTCCATTCCTAAGTGTATAGTCAAGATCAACAAAACATATATCCACACAAAAATTCATACACAAATGTTCATAGTAGCATAATTTGTAATACCCAAAATGTGAAAACAATCCACTTTGCCACTCTATTAACTGACAAACGAATAAAGTGGTATAGTCTTATAATAGGATATTATTCAGCCACAAAGAGGAATGAAGTGTTGATATGCACCACAACATAAATGAACCTTGAAAATATTATGCTAAGTGAGAGGAGCCAAAAGACTATATGTTGTATGACTGTCTTTATATGAAACATCCAGAATCAAATCTATAGATACAGGAAATAGGTTAGTTGTTGCCTAGGGATGAGGAAGTGGGTAAGAATAGAGGTGAGTGAGGAGTGACTGGTAATGGATATGAGGTTTCTTTTTAGGGTGGCAGAATATTCTAAAATTTATTCTAGTGATGATTGTACAACTCTATGAATATATTTTAAAACATCAAATTATACAATTTAAGTTGGTGAATTGAATGTTATGAGGATTACGTCCCAATAAACTTATTAAAAATAAATAAGAGCAAAGCAAATAAACAGAAAGTACAACACTCTGATTGAGTCCAAAGGCAAAAAGACAGTAAACTCTGAAACTTTATATGACATTAGTTCTATTGGCCACTTTGGAGTAAATATCAACAGCAACCTTGGCAAACAAAGGAGAAAAACTATGAATTCCTTTAACCTTTTCTGATTTACAGCCTTTAAAAGTACAAAAAGGAGTTTGATTATGATCCCTGTTGTATTTTCACCATATTGAAAAGAACATATATTTGATCTAAATAAGATAAAATCAGTGTTCTCATAAAGTTTGTAAATGAATGAAATGTTTATTTTTACCTAAATTACTTTTCAATTACCACACTAACATCTAGCATATATGCTCACAACATCTGCAGTAGTTATAATATAAAAGTTCATGGCTCACATAACTTATATTTTTCAGAAAAGCATGCAATTCTTAGATTTAAAGAAAGTCTTTTCATGTACACTCTGAAAGACCAGAAATATTGTGAAATTCGTAATCTATCCATTATTTGTGTAGTCTGAAAATACATAAACTTAAATACATAATCCCAGATTATCTCATTCTGAAGTACATTGTTAAAAATAAACATATTGGCCGGGCATGTTTGCTCACGCCTGTAATCCTAGCACTTTTGGAGGCCGAGGTGGGCAGATCACGAGGTCAGGAGTTTGAGACCAGCCTGACCAACATAGTGAAACCCTGTCTCTACTAAAAATACAAAAAATTAGCTGGGCATGGTGATGTGTGCCTGTAATCCCAGCTACTCAGGAGGCTGAGGCAGAAGAATTGCTTGAACCTGGGAGGCGGAAGTTGCAGTGAGCCAAGATCGCACCACTGCACTCCAGCCTAGACAACAGAGCAAGACTCCATCTCAATACATACATACATACCTACATAAATATCTTCACTTAAGCCTTCAAGGAAATTTGCACATAATGGACCTGCAAAATTAATATGAAGCCTTGTTCACTGCCTGTAAAAATAACTCCAAATGTACTACAACATATAAAATCTATCACGATGAAGCTGTTCTTTCCAGCAGCACCTTCTCACAACCCATTCAAATGCTTCAATTCCAAATAGGACTTTCAATCCCCTGTACCTCTATAAAAGCCACTTTATCTGCCTGGAGGATCATTCCCTTGTCCACCTGGAACATTCTTCAACATCCTTCACCAAAGAATCTGTCTTAAGTTATCCCTCACCATCTGGTTCATCCCTATCCACAAGGCCAAGAACCATTTAATACACTCTCCTCTGCAAACCTATAGCACTGTGTGTGCTATTGCACCATAGCACACATAGCTCACTCTATAATGGTTTTCATGTGTCTTTTCCCTATTGGTCAGAGAGCTTTGCATTCAGAGATCACATGCCACTCATCTTCGTACTTGGGGAAACTGGCAAGGGGCTTGCAATATAGTAGATGCTTAAAAACTATCTAATGACTGCTCAATGAAATAATAGTATTGTGAGATAGCCAAAGTTTGAGTAGGTGTTGAAAATTATTTAAAACTTTTTAAAAATTTGAAGCAAAAGATACAATTCTTGCTTTCCAATGTATTGAATTGGTGAAACTTGCTTCCTTGGAAAAGCTCTTTATTCTACTCTTTGGTCACTACTTACTGAATGGCAACCACGTGCCAAGTCTTATGGTGGAGAGGGAAAGAATATCATGAGAGATCTCCCCCAAGCTTCCAAATCATTGTATGGTTTGGAAAAATCATACGAACCTTATCAAAATCAACAAAAATCATACAAGAGAGGAGGCAATAGTTCCTGTATGCAATTCTAATAGATTTTGTGCCTGGGAACAGAGAATTGCAGACAGTGCAAAGGCCAGCATATATGAAGAAATATTTAAATTCTGACTATCTACTTTTACACAGATGTTATAGTTTGCATTTATATGGGAATTTGATACTGTAAGTTCTCTAACACAGTATGATGTAATCTCATTAGCCAAGGCATTTTCTTGGGTCATGGTGGGTGCCAATGGGGTTCAATTAAAAGGTGCTGCTGGTGAGCTGCTTTGGATGACATCTAAAAATCTGCCAAACAGAGGATTGCCCGAAGCACACACAGCAGCATGACTGTTGATTCACTCAATTCGCATTATTTAAAATCCTTGATCCATGAATAATGATACTGGAGACAAAAGCACCTTCAAAAGTTCTACAAATGCACCAAATATCTTCATATTAGATGAAGTAGTAAATCTTATGTAATAATTTCAGGTGCCTAAAGGCAGTCAAGAACATATCTTGGGAATTTCAAAATGTATTAGAACTTCCTCTCACTGTGAATTCTAGGCATCAACCTAATTGTCATCAAAAGTCTCATTGAACCATCCTTAGAGCAGTACTCAAAAGGAGGCCATGTGCTATTGCTTATGAAATGTCCTTAAGAGAGTTACAAAATGGACTTTATCAGGAAAAAGAAAACAAAATGTTCTTAAGAGAGGGTTTGCAGTCAGAAGTCATCCCTTTTTAACAAAATCCAGTCCTCATTTTGAAGGTGATTTACCTGACAGCAGTAAAAATATTCCAGATGGTCAGGTGGTCTTCAGTAGAAAGATTCTTAATTTGCCCTTAAAGTAAGATTGTCTTAAATCAGAATCCAGATTAATCATATTATCTATGAAAACTCAAACCACTGAGTCTCCAAAGATTTAAAAATATTCATAGTTGTTGCCTTAAAAAACCTGTTGATTCTCAATCAATGGTTTAAGTGAAGACTATAAAATATTTTGAAATGATAGTTCAGTTTCATTTTTTAAAGATGTGGTTTTATATACTTCAGATAATGATATTTCATTCTGTTTAGGACAAAATCAGTAAACTCAAGATAAACAGAAACTAAAGAGGATGTACCAACTAAATGAGGTTTTCTTAGATTCTGAAGGCATTAATTCAACAAGTATATATAAAATTTGTTTCTATGCTTAAATGATATTAATTTTTCATTAAATAATGTTTTCCAGATTCAATACATTTTATTCCAAATATACACTCTGAAGACTATGACCACCTTTTATTTTAAACAGAAAAACCTGAGATCCCTCCAAGATGGCCAAATAGGAACAGCTCCAATCTATAGCTCCCAGAGTGAGCCACGCAGAAGACGGGTGATTTCCGCATTTCCAACTGAGGTACCAGGTTCATCTCACTGGGACTTGTTGGACAGTGGATGCAGCCCATGGAGTGTGAGCCGAAGCAGGGCAGGGCATTGCCTCACCCAGGAAGTGCAAGGGGTTGGAGAATTCCATTTCCTAGCCAAAGGAAGCCGTGACAGATGGTACCTGGAAAATCGGGACACTCCCACCCTAATACTGTGCTTTTCCAATGGTCTTAGAAAATGGCACACCAGGAGATTATATCCCACAGCTGGCTTGGCAGATCTCATGCCCACGGAGCCTTGCTCACTGCTACCACAGCAGTCCAAGATCAAACTGCAAGGCAACAGTGAGGCTGCGGAAGGGGAATCTGCCATTGCTGAGGCTTGAGTAGGTAAACAAAGCGGCCAGGAAGCTCAAACTAGTTGAAGCCCACCGCAGCTCAAGGAGGCTTGCCTGCCTCTGTAGACTCCACCTCTCGGGGCAGGGCATAGCTGAACAAAAGGCAGCAGAAACTTCTGCAGACTTAAACGTCCCTGTCTGACAGCTTTGAAGAGAGTAGTGTTTCTTCCATTATGGAGTTTGAGATCTGAGAACACACAGACTGCCTCCTCAAGTGGGTCCCTGACCACCAAGTAGCCTAACTGGGAGATACCTCCCAGTATGGGCCAACTGCCACCTCATACAGCCAGGTGCCCTTCTGAGACAAAGCTTCCAGAGGAAGGATCAGAGAGCAACATTTGCTGTTCTGCAATATTTGCTGTTCTGCAGCCTCCGCTGGTGATACCCAGGCAAACAGGGTCTGGAGTGGACCTCCAGCAAACTCCAACAGACCTGTAGCTGAGGGTCCTGACTGTCAGAAGGAAAACTAACAAACAGAAAGGAATAGCATCAACATCAACAAAAAGGACATCCACACCAAAACCCTATCTATAGGTCACCATCATCAAAGACCAAAGGTAGATAAAACCACAAAGATGGGGAGAAACCAGAGCAGAAAAACTGAAAAATTCTAAAAATCAGAGCACCTCTTCTCCTCCAAAGGAATGCAGCTCCTCACCAGCAATGAAACCAAGCTGCATGGTGAATGACTTTGACGAGTTGACAGAAGTAGGCTTCAAAAGATCAGTAATAACAAACTTATCCAAGCTAAAGGAGGATGTTCGAACCCATCGGAAAGAAGCTAAAAACCTTGAAAGAAGATTAGACGAATGGCTAACTAGAATAAACAGAGTAGTGAAGACCTTCCTCATGGAGCTGGAAACAATGGCATGAAAACTATGTGATGCATGCACGAGCTTCAGTAGCCAATTTGATCAAGTTGAAGAAAGGGTATCAGTGATTGAAGATCAAATGAATGAAATGAAGCTAGAAGAGAAGTTTAGAGAAAAAAGAGTAAAAAGAAATGAACAAAGCCTCCATGAAATATGGGACTATGTGAAAAGACCAAATCTACATGTCATTGGTGTACCTGAAATTCACAGGGAGAATGGAACTAAGTTGGAAAACACTCTTCAGGATATTATCCGGGAGAACTTACTTCCCCGACCTATAAAGGCAGGCCAACATTCAAATTCAGGAAATTCAGAGAATGCCACAAAGGTACTCCTCAAGAAGAGCAACCTCAAGACACATACTTGTCAGATTCACCAAGGTTGAAATGAAGGAAAAAATGTTAAGGGCAGCCAGAGAGAAAAGTCAGGTTACCCACAAAGGGAAGCCCATCAGACTAACAGTGGATCTCTCGGCAGAAACTCTACAAGCCAGAAGAGAGTGGGGGCCAATATTCAACATTCTTAAAGAAAAGAATTTTCAACCCAGAATTTCATATCCAGCCAAACTAAGCTTCATAACTGAAGGAGAAATAAAATCCTTTACAGACAAGCAAATGCTGAGAGATTTTGTCACCACCAGGCCTGCCTTACAAGAGCTCCTGAAGGAAGCACTAAACATGGAAAAGAACAACCAGTACCAGCCACTCCAAAAACATACCAAATTGTAAAGACCATCGATGCTAGGAAGAAACTGCATCAACTATTGAGCAAAATAACCAGCTAACATCATAATGACAGGATCAAATTCACACATAACAATATTAACCTTAAATGTAAATGGGCTAAATGCTCCCAATTAAAAGACACAGACTGGCAAATTGGATAAACAGTCAAGACCCATCAGTGTGCTGTATTCAGGAGACCCATCTCACGTGCAGAGACACACATAGGCTCAAAATAAAGGAATGGAGGAAGATCTACCAAGCAAATGGAAAACAAAAAAAAGCAGGGGTTGCAATCCTAGTCTCTGACAAGACAGATTTTAAACCAACAAAGATCAAAAGAGACAAAGAAGGCCATTACATAATGGTAAAGGGATCAATTCAACAGGAAGAGCTAACCATCTTAAATATATATGCACCCACTACAGGAGCACCCAGATTCATAAAGCAAGTCCTTAGAGGCCTACAAAGAGACTTAGACTCCCACACAATAATAATGGGATACTTTAACACCCCACTGTCAACATTAGACAGATCAATGAGACAGAAAGTTAACAAGGATATGCAGGACTTGAACTCATCTCTGCACCAAATGGACCTAATAGACTTCTACAGAACTCTCCACCCCAAATCAACAGAATATACATTCTTCTCAGTACCACATTGCACTTATTCCAAAATTGACCACATAATTGGAAGTAAAGCACTCCTCAGCAATTCTAAAAGAACAGAAATGATAACAAACTGTCTCTCATACCACAGTGCAATCAAACTAGAACTCAGGATTAAGAAACTCAAAACTGGACAACTACATGGAAACTGAACAACCTGTTCCTGAATGACACTGGGTAAATAACGAAATGAAGGCAGAAATAAAGATGTTCTCTGAAACCAACGAGAACAAAGACACAACATACCAGAATCTTGGGGACACATTTAAAACAGTGTGTAGAGAGAAATTTACAGCACTAAATGCCCACAGGAGAAAGCAGGAAAGATCAAAAATTGACACCCTAACATCACAATTAAAAGAACTAGAGAAGCAAGAGCAAACAAATTGAAAAGCTAGCAGAAGGCAAGAAATAACTAAGATCAGAGCAGAACTGAAGGAGATAGAGACACAAAAAACCCTTCAAAAAATCAATGAATCCAGGAGCTGGTTTTTTGAAAAGATCAACAAAATTGATAGATCGCTAGCAAGACTAACAAAGAAGAAAAGAGAGAAGAATAAAATAGACACAATAAAAAATGATAAAGGGGATATCACCACCGATCCCACAGAAATACAAACTACCATCAGAGAATACTATAAACACCTCTATGCAAATAAACTAGAAAATCTAGAAGAAATGGATAAATTCCTTGACACATACACCCTCCCAAAATTAAACCAGGAAGAAGTTGAATCCCTGCATAGACCAATAACAGGCTCTGAAATTGAGGCAAAAATCAATAGCCTACCAACCAAAAAAAGTCCAGGACCAGATGGATTCACAGCTGAATTCTACCAGAGGTACAAAGAGGAGCTGGTACCATTCCTTCTGAAACTATTCCAAACAATAGAAAAAGAGGGAATCCTCCCTAACTCATTTTATGAGGCCAGCATCATCCTGATAGCAAAGCCTGATAGAGATACAACAAAAAAAGAGAATTTTAGACCAATATCCCTGATGATCATTGATGTGAAAATCCTCAATAAAATGCTGGCAAACCAAATCCAGCAGCACATCAAAAAGCTTATCCACCTCGATCTAGTTGGCTTCTTCCCTGGGATGCAAGGCTGGTTCAACATACGCAAATCAATAAATGTAACCCAGCATATAAAAAGAACCAAAGACAAAAACCACATGATTATCTCAATAGATGCAGAAAAGGCCTTTGACAAAATTCAACAGCCCTTCATGCTAAAAACTCTCAATAAACTAGGTATTGATGGGATGTATCTCAAAATAATAAGAGCTATTTATGACAAACCCACAGCCAATATCATACTGAATGGGCAAAAACTGGAAGCATTCCCTTTGAAAACTGGCGCAAGACAGGAATGCCCTCTCTCACCACTCCTATTCAACATAGTGTTGGAAGTTCTGGCCAGGGCAATCAGGCAGGAGAAAGAAATAAAGGGTATTCAGTTAGGAAAAGAGGAAGTCAAATTGTCCCTGTTTGCAGATGACATGATTCTATATTTAGAAAACCTCACGTCTCAGCCCAAAATCTCCTAAAGCTGATAAGCAACTTCAGCAAAGTCGCAGGATACAAAATCACAATGTGCAAAAATCACAAGCATTCCTATACACCAATAATAGACAAACAAAGAGCCAAATCATGAGTGAACTCCCATTCACAATTGCTTCAAAGAGAATAAAATACCTAGCAATCCAACTTACAAGGGATGTGAAGGACCTCTTCAAGGAGAACTAAAAACCACTGCTCAGTGAAATAAAAGAGGACACAAACAAATGGAAGAACATTCCATGCTCATGGATAAGAAGAATCAATATCACGACAATGGCCATACTGCCCAAGATAATTTATAGATTCAATGCCATCCCCATCAAGCTACCAATGACTTTCTTCACAGAATTGGAAAAAACTACTTTAAAGTTCATGTGGAACCAAAAAAGAGCCCACATTGCCAAGACAATCATAAGCCAAAAGAACAAAGCTGGAGGCATCATGCTACCTGACTTCAAACTAGACCAATTGAACAGAACAGAGCCCTCAGAAATAATACCACACATCTACAACCATCTGATCTTAGACAAACCTGACAAAAACAAGAAATGGGGAAAGGATTCCCTATTTAATAAATGGTGCTGGGAAAACTGGCTAGCCATACGTAGAAAGCTGAAACTGGACCCCTTCCTTACACCTTATACAAAAATTAATTCAAGATGGATTAAAGACTTAAATGTTATGGACACCCTAACATCACAATTAAAAGAACTAGAAATGCAAGAGCAAACACATTCAAAAGCTAGCAGAAGGCAAGAAATAACTAAAATCAGAGCAGAACTGAAGGAAATAGAGACACAAAAAACCCTTCAAAAAATTAATGAATCCAGGAGCTGGTTTTTTGAAAGGATCAACAAGATTGATAGACCACCAGCAAGACTAATAAAGAAAAAGAGAAGAATCGAATGGACGCAATAAAAAAATGATAAAGGGGATATCACCACCGATCCCACAGAAATACAAACTACCATCAGAGAATACTACAAACACCTCTACGCAAATAAACTAGAAAATCTAGAAGAAACGGATAAATTCCTTGACACATACACTCTCCCAAGACTAAACCAGGAAGAAGTTGAATCTCTGAATAGACCAATAAAAGGATCTGAAATTGTGGCAATAATCAATAGCTTACCAACCAAAAACAGTCCAGGACCAGATGGATTCACAGCCGAATTCTACCAGAGGTACAAGGAGGAACTGGTACCATTCCTTCTGAAACTATTCCAATCAATAGAAAAAGAGGGAATCCTCCCTAACTCATTTTATGAGGCCAGCATCATTCTGATACCAAAGCCAGGCAGAGACATAACAAAAAAAGAGAATTTTAGACCAATATCCTTGATGAACATTGATGCAAAAATTCTCAATAAAATACTAGCAAAACAAATGCAGCAGCACATCAAAAAGCTTATCCACCATGATCACGTGGGCTTCATCCCTGGGATGCAAGGCTGGTTCAATATACGCAAATCAATAAATGTAATCCAGCATATAAACAGAGCTAAAGACAAAAACCACATGATTATCTCAATAGATGCAGAAAAAGCCTTTGGCAAAATTCAACAACCCTTCATGCTAAAAACTCTCAGTAAATTAGGTATTGATGGGACATATCTCAAAATAATAAGAGATATTTATGACAAACCCACAGCCAATATCATACTGAATGGGCAAAAACTGGAAGCATTCCCTTTGAAAACTGGCACAAGACAGGGATGCCCTCTCTCACCACTCCTATTCAACATAGTGTTGGAAGTTCTGGCCAGGGCAATTAGGCAGGAGAAGGAAATAAAGGGTATTCATTTAGGAAAAGAGGAAGTCAAATTGTCCCTGTTTGCAGACGACATGATTGTATATCTAGAAAACCCCATTGTCTCAGCCCAAAATCTCCTTAAGCTGATAAGCAACTTCAGCAAAGTCTCAGGATACAAAATCAATGTACAAAAATCACAAGCATTCTTATACACCAGCAACAGACAAACAGAGAGCCAAATCATGAGTGAACTCCCATTCACAATTGCTTCAAAGAGAATAAAATACCTAGGAATCCAACTTACAAGGGATGTGAAGGACTTCTTCAAGGAGAACTACAAACCACTGCTCAAGGAAATAAAAGAGGATACAAACAAATGGAAGAACATTCCATGCTCATGGGTAGGAAGAATCAATATTGTGAAAATGGCCATACTGCCCAAGGTAATTTACAGATTCAATGCCATCCCCATCAAGCTACCAATGACTTTCTTCACAGAACTGGAAAAAACTACTTTAAAGTTCATATGGAACCAAAAAAGAGCCCGCATCACCAAGTCAATACTAAGCCAAAAGAACAAAGCTGGAGGCATCACACTATCTGACTTCAAACTATATTACAAGGCTACAGTAACCAAAACAGCATGGTACTGGTACCAAAACAGAGATATAGATCAATGGAACAGAACAGAGCCCTCAGAAATAATGCCACATATCTACAACTATCTGATCTTTGACAAACCTGAAAAAAACAAACAAGCAATGGGGAAAGGATTCCCTATTTAATAAATGGTGCTGGGAAAACTGGCTAGCCATATGTAGCAAGCTGAAACTGGATCCCTTCCTTACACCTTATACAAAAATCAATTCAAGATGGATTAAAGACTTAAACGTTAGACCTAAAACCATAAAAACCCTAGAAGAAAACCTAGGCATTATCATTCAGGACATAGGCATGGGCAAGCACTTCATGTCTAAAACACCAAAAGCAATGGCAACAAAAGACAAAATTGACAAATGGGATCTAATTAAACTAAAGAGCTTCTGCACAGCAAAAGAAACTACCATCAGAGTGAACAGGCAACCTACAAAATGGGAGAAAATTTTCACAACCTACTCATCTGACAAAGGGCTAATATCCAGAATCTATAATGAACTCAAACAAATTTACAAGAAAAAAACAAACAACCCCATCAAAAAGTGGGCAAAGGGCATGAACAGACACTTCTCAAAAGAAGACATTTATGCAGCCAAAAAACATGTGAAAAAATGCTCATCATCACTGGCCATCAGAGAAATGCAAATCAAAACCACAATGAGATACCATCTCACACCAGTTAGAATGGCAATCATTAAAAAGTCAGGAAACAACAGGTGCTGGAGAGGATGTGGAGAAATAGGAACACTTGTACACTGTTGGTGGGACTGTAAACTAGTTCAACCATTGTGGAAGTCAGTGTGGCGATTCCTCAGGGATCTAGAACTGGAAATACCATTTGACCCAGCCATCCCATTACTGGGTATATACCCAAAGGACTATAAATCATGCTGCTATAAAGACACATGCACACGTATGTTTATTGCGGCATTATTCACAATAGCAAAGACTTGGAACCAACCCAAATGTCCAACAATGATAGACTGGATTAAGAAAATGTGGCACATATACACCATGGAATACTATGCAGCCATAAAAAATGATGAGTTCATGTCCTTTGTAGGGACATGGATGAAATTAGAAAACATCATTCTCAGTAAACTATCGCAAGAACAAAAAACCAAACACCACATATTCTCACTCATAGGTGGGGATTGAACAATGAGATCACATGGACACAGGAAGGGGAATATCACACTCTGGGGACTGTTGTGGGTTGGGGGGAGGGGGGAGGGATAGCATTGGGACATATACCTAATGCTAGATGACGAGTTAGTGGGTGCAGCGCACCAGCATGGCACATGTATACATATGTAACTAACCTGCACAATGTGCACATGTACCCTAAAACTTAAAGTATAATAATAAAAAAAAGATTTAAATGTTAGACATAAAACCATAAAAACCCTAGAAGAAAACCTAGGCAATACCATTCAGGACATAGGCATGGGCAAGGACTTCAAGACTAAAGCACCAAAAGCAATGGCAACAAAAGCCAAAATAGACAAATGAGATCTAATTAAACTAAATAGCTTCTGCACAGCAAAAGAAACTACCATCAGAGTGAATAGGCAACCTACAGAATGGGAGAAAATTTTTTCAATCTATCCATCTGACAAAGCGCTAATATGCACAATCTACAAAAAACTTTAAAAACTTTATAAGAAAAAATCAAACAACCCCATCAAAAAGTGGGCAAAGGATATGAACAGACACTTCTCAAAAGAAGACATTTATTCAGCCAACAGACACATGAAAAAATGCTCATCATCACTGGCCATCAGAGAAATGCAAATCAAAACCACAATGAGATACCATCTCACACCAGTTAGAATGGCAATCATTAAAAAATCAGGACACAACAGGTGCTGGAGAGGATGTGGAGAAATAAGAACACTTGTACACTGTTGGTGGGACTGTAAACTAGTTCAACCATTGTGGAAGTCAGTGTGGTGATTCCTCAAGGATCTAGAACTAGAAATACCACTTGACCCAGCCATCCCATTACTGGGCATATACCCAAAGGATTATAAATCATGCTACTATAAAGACACATGCACTGTATGTTTATTGCAGCACTGTTCACAATAGCAAAGACTTGGAACCAACCCAAATGTCCATCAATGATAGACTGGATTAAGAAAATGTGGCACATATACACCATGGAATACTATGCAGCCATACAAAATGATGAGTTCATGTCCTTTGTAGGGACATGGATGAAGATAGAAACCATCATTCTCAGCAAACTATTGCAAGGACAGAAAACCAAACACGACATGTTCTCACTCATAGGTGGGAATTGAACAATGAGAACATTTGGATGCAGGGTGGAGAACATCACACATGGGGGCCTGTCATGGGGTGGGGGAAAGGGGGAGGGATAGCATTAGGAGATATACCTAATGTAAATGTGGAGTTAATGGGTGCAGCACACCAACATGGCACATGTATACATATGTATCAAACCTGATGTTGTACACATTTACCCTGGAACTTACAGTATAATAATAAAAAAAGAAAAACCCATGTATATGTGTTTCAATAAAAATATGACCTCAAGTATTTCAGGTGCTACGTAAGATAATAAGCTTAATATAGTAGAAAGTAAGGTGGCCTCTTTAATGATTGATATTTATCAGCATAATAATTTGTGTTTAAGTAGAGGTGTTCTAATACGAAGACGAGCACATTGCAAACTAAATAGCCTAGTTTTGCTTCATCTTGTGCTGGTGTGATACTTGTTAAGTGAATAGTCTTTCATTATAAGTTTAATCTTTAATTCAATGAGTACCCCCATTCCCCTGCAAGGGATGTGAATTAAGATTTAAACAGCAGCCTATTTCAACATTCATTGCAATGTAGTCACTCAAGAGATCAAACACATACAACTTCATACTTTTTGGGTTTTTTTTTTTTTTTTGAGACAGGGTCTCACTCTGCCACCCAGGCTGGAGTGCAGTGGCACAACCTCAGCTCACTGCAACCTCTGCCTCCCGGATTCAAAGGATTCTCCAGCTTTGGCCTCCCGAGTAGCTGGGACTACAGGCACCCACCACCATGCCTGGCTAATTTTTGTATTTTTAGTAGAGACGGGGTTTCACCATGTTGGCCAGGCTGGTCTCGAACTCCTGACTTCAGGTGATCTGCCCACCTTGGCCTCCCAAAGTGCTGGGATTACAGGGGTGAGCCACCATACCCGGCCAACTTCATACTCTTTTAAGTGAAGGAAATAGACTAGGCTATACCCTTGAGAAAAATGTATAGGAGATTGAAGATTTAAGTAAAAACAAACAAAAAACGTGTTGAGAGAAAATAATAAAATACTGCAAAAAGAAAAATTAGGAAAATGTGGACATCTGTCATTCAAGCCTTTTTGGTAAATGGAAAACTGAACCCTGGATTTTCTTCATGAAGCTTTGTCCTGTTCATTTGAATATCATCCAGAGAACGTATGAAGCAATGAATGTGGCTGCTTCCGCCGCAATAGCTCTGACACTGGCTTGACACTGGAGGCATCCAAAAGAAATGGCTTTGGCACACAGGGTGAATTTTTTCAGGTATTTCTTAGCCTGGAAGCTGTTCTTTTCCTGCCAAAAACCCAACCCTATCTATAACAACCTCTTACCGCTAGTGTAAAGAAAAGGGTAGACAAAGCTAAGAGAGATTTTAGAGAGCACAGCCATAGGTGGTAACTGGCAGTGTGGATGGCATTTTCAGAGCCTGCAGTGAGGAACAAACCTTTAGTAACCAATTAGGAACCTGGGGAGTTAAAGCTATAAAGTGTGATTGATAAAGACTTATGTAATAATTAACAGCAGGGTATTGCATACAGAGAAAATAAAAACACCCTTGTGTTAGGATAAATGTCGTAAGAGAAAAATGTAGGACACAGAAGAGTAATATCGGATCCTGGGGCTGGACCTTGCACACCAGGGTCCCAGTCTCAGCAGAGCCCATATGCCCTGCCTGGCACAGCGGCAGTGAAATTGTTCACCTTCAAGAATCTACAGAGGGCATTTAGGAGGGGATGACAGTTAGAGGCATTCACCTGTTTTCCCAGTAAACTCACACCTCCTGAGAGGTATATGTGGATTAATACATAACCATCATAAGAGAGAGAATGTGCACTAAAATGACTCAAGTTGAATTTTCCACTAATTTGAAGACAGCAAGAAAGGGGAGCATGGATATTTAGTTTCATTTAGAGAAAAATAAACATACATGCGTGTGTTTTTTAGACTCAACTAATTTTGTAAAGTACAACTCATAGCAAATGTGTATATAGCTAATTGTTTAGTAAACTAGTAATTGTGTAATACTTTTCTATTAGCACACGTTTAATTCTCCCAAACCTATGCTTTTCTGTTGTCTTTAAAAATATCAGGTCTGTAAACCCAGTACTTTGGGAGGAGAATCGCTTGAGCACAGGAGTTTGAGAATAGAATGGACAGCATGCAAAAACCCTGTCTCTACAAAAAATACAAAAATTAGTTGGGCATGGTGGCACACGCCTGTGTTTCCAGTTACTTGGGAGGCCAAGGTTGGAGCATCACTTGAGCACAGGATGTGGAGGTTGCAGTGAGCAGAGATCATGCCACTGCGCTCCAGCCTGGGCAACAGAGCGAGAACCTGTCTCAAAAAAAGTAAAACAAAACAAAAAATTCAGAAGCCCCTTTGAAATCGTTTTAGAGGATTAACTGAACAAAAGCCAACCCAACAAGCACTCCTATCACAGACAAGTGGCATACCTTTAAGAAAGGTGCCCAGGTAAGCTCCCTACTGTGTGATTCATGCCACAGGAAGAGCCTTGCGGAGGTCTTGATGCCTTTGTTTTTTACCTAAACTTGACTCAATACACACCACACACCAAATTCTTTTCATTCATGCCCTTAAGCCCTGAAATATTTTAGACATTTTGTATTTCCTTCATACTTTAAAATCATATCCACCATCAGGATCTTAAAGTGGAAGTTACTTACTGTTGCTATAAAAAAAAATATCCACATAATATCTGACTTCACTTGGGCTTTTTATAACTTCTTTTAGAAAAGGAATGGAACTCAGCATGAATTCCTGCTTCCAACAGAAGTCCAGGCATAGTTGCCAGTTCTATGAATCCCAAGTATCTGTACTTACAATAGTAAAAAATAATAAAAACTTGATATCTACCTATTTTTTAAACCTAAACTGCAAAAATATTATATTGCTGCAGTTAAATGGTGCTTCGTGTTATAGCTGAATTTCTCTATGTGTTTCTAACCCTGAATAAAAAGAACTTCAGTGGACTCACGATTCGAGTGACTGTTAGTTAAGTCTTCTTTGTGTGTGTTCTTTACTTGATCCTCCCGCAGGATGGCCCCCTCTAGCTTTCATATATGTGTGCTGTGCTCCTTTGGCTTGGATGTCCTGGCCAGATACTTATAACTATAGGTTGGTGCAAAAGTAATTGCAGTTTTTGCTATTAATGGCAAAAAACACAATAACCTTTGTACTAACCTAATACATGCAAGGGGCTGAGGTAGGAGGTGGGATTTGACTCCAGAGGTGGGGCTTGGACACGGAACAGATTGAGGACTAGCTAAAACAGGGCCTGGGCAAAGCAGCTTTCAATCAGACATGTCCAATAGTGTGCCATGTCAATTTACTCTTGCCATGGCAACACCCCGTGGTTATCACCCCCTTCTGTGGCAGTGACCTAATGACCTAAAGGTACTACCCCCTCCCTAGAAATTTCTGCATAAGTCACTCCTTAATCTGCATGCAATTAAGAGTGGATAAAAATATGACTGCAAAACTGACCTGAGCTGCTAGTCTCTGCCTAAGGGGTAACCCTGCCCTGCAAGAGCAGCCATAGAACCCACTGCTAGAGCTGTAGCACTGCCTCTTCAGTAGCTGTTTTCTTCTACCTCTGTCTTGTCCTTGAATTCTTTCCTGGGCAAAACCAAGCCCTCTCATGAGCTAAACTCCATGTCGGGGCTCACCTGCCTGCATCAGTGCCTAATAAGTATTTGTCATCTCTGGGTTAAGACTAAGATACGGTACAGGTTTGATGGTTATAGCAAGTGAAGACAAATTTTCAATCAAATCCTTATCTAATAGTGTTTGAGGATAGGACTAACTTACATTTATGGGCCAACTATTTTATATCAGGAAACTGTAAGTAATCACTTTTTTGTGTTTTAAGAATCACGGATTCACTTAAGGCACATCAAACTTCATTTGTGATGCACGTCTGCTATGATGGTAACGTTAAATCAGTCGTTGTCAAAGAGCTTGTTAACTTGGAATGGGTTGATTATGTTAATGAAGTTACAGACAACAAAATTCCTAATCAACTTAAGTATCCTTTTTCTTCTGGAAAAAAAACCACCTTTTTATCTCCTTTAATACTTATCTACTACCATTTCTATGCACTAACTGCTCTTATAAGCATTTTATACATATTATCTCATTTAGTCCTCACAACTCCTTAAACTGACTCTGTCATTATCCCTATGTTATTGGTAGAGGCAAGCGGAAGGTGAGTGCTTTGCCAAGATCAGCCAGCTAACATGGGGAGCTGGCTTCCAAACTAGGCAGTCTGGCTCCAGAATCCACATCCTTAGCTCTTAACCTTCATATATCCTCTCTATGCTGCCTCTTTGACTCACCATTAAATGAGGAGCAACCCTCAAAACTTCGTTGCTTCACTTTCTGTTGTGAAAAAATTCTGCTTCTGTTCATAGGAACCAGAAAACTACAGGAGGAAACGAGAAATTTGTTAGCATAAAAAATAAAACAAGATGAAGCTGACACTTTACGAAGTCATCGATCTCAGCCTAGCCTACTAAAATCACATGGACTATTATTCTTGATGCCTCTCTGTATCTCTCTTCCCAAGCTTGCATAAGACCAGGATTGATGACAGTGACATAGAGCAGTGGTTCTCAACCAGGCACAATTTCTGTCCCCTCGCCCCACCCCTGGGAATATTTGGCAAAGTCCAGAAGCTTTTTGAGTGTCACAATTGAAGGAATCTATTGGTTAGAGGCCAGCAATGCTGCTAAACATCCGGCAGTGGACAAGATAGCTTCCCAAAATGAAGACGCATCCAGTCGAAAATATCAGTAGTACCACTGTTGATAAACCCTGACTTAGGGTATTCCATCTTCACAGATATTCATGTCAGCAGCAGTATCAATCTTTGGCCTTGTGGCTTCAGTTGATTGGATATAAAGCATAGTACTAATGAGCTATAGCTCATCCATCCTACATTCTCCCAGCCACTTTTTTTGTCTTTATGTGGCTATGGTGGATGACATGACTTTGAGGTCTAAAAAACTTTGGAAACCCCCAAAGAAAATTTTTTAAACATCTGCTGTAATTGTCACCTAATTATCGAATTATCTAAGAAGGAACCCTTTGACAAGGAAATGCTGTCAAATTAAGGGAAAAACAAATTCCATTTACCCCTTGTCATTTAGAAAGGCAAAGAGATTTAGCAGCCATCAGAGATGTACAATTTTCACATTCACCCATCAACGCCTAAGGAAAAAAAAAAGAGTTTCAGGGAATGAGTTTGACTCATACTGTTATGCTGGAGCAGTTACTGACAGGGAAGGTATGAAAACAAATCATATCCCTCAACTCAAAGAAGATTACAAAGATGTTTGCCTCTACAGAAACAGACTTGTGTAAAAAGTTATTTCTGCAAAATATAATACGTAGAAATATCCTTAATGACAAAAACAAATTCTTAGAGATTTCTCATTTTTTGTATTATTTTCAAGTACAAAAGGAGTCAGAAATGAAAGTAAATCAAAATGATTCTTTGAAATGCTATAGTTCATATGCAAAATGCTGCTACTAAAACACCAGCAGTACAACAGGTGCATAATTGTCCTATACTGAATCTACCTAACAGCCAGTGTGTCACCAACTCACATTTTTGAACAAAGGCATGAGTTTTCTAGGGCTGGAGTTTCAAATGAAGAAAACCAACACCCAAGAAAAGAAGCCTCCTTTATTTTTATGTTATAACCAGGGTGGTGCTGGTTTATGTTATAACCAGCACCATCCTCAAAGCACAGCTATGAATATCACCTCCCACGCAATGTGTGCACATTTCTAGGTTAGTGGGTTGAGGGTCAATGTATAACATAGGTAGAGTATAATCTATATTATGCTTAGTCAACAATATTTCCTTTATGGAAGAAACAATGCTCCCAGAATCCCAACTAACAAGTCACAAGGCCATTTTTCACACTTCGGAGGTAGATAAGAATACAGAAAAAATGAGCAAAACAGCCCATAGTGAAGATATGACCCTAAAATATAAAAAGTATTTTTTTCCACAGAAGAATAAGAAATAATAAAGTTTTCCACAGAGAGGGATTGCGTTACGATTACTAACATACATGAAATGTATAAAAGTTGTCTTCAAAAGGCAAATCCTCAGATCTTGTACCATAAATTTAGGAAGCCACAAATATACAGAATGGGAAACATAACCATCTCACTTTGTCATCATTAAGGGAAAAATGAAAAACACTATGTAAATTTAGAAATTCACATCATTTATGGGTTATCTACTTGACTCATTTTCAAACTGTTAGGTCTTTATACATACAATTTCCTATCTGAAGATACTCTCAGACTTGTCTATCATTTATTTAAACATACTTATCAAAAGTTTCTTCCTCTTTTAATCTGTCAATTTCTAATAGCCTAATTAATTTATAGAATATGTTCCTCCTGGCTGTTTTGTTCTGCTGGCTACCACACTTACTATGCTTCATTTCTTGTATGGTCAGTAATTGTTTATAGGGAGCTACTCATTTTCCTGAAAAATTATTTGTGTGAATTCTCTGAGATGAAGATGAAGTTGTATTACTCCAGAGAAGGTTCGTCTATGCTTCCACCAGGAAATTTTACAGTTCAATATTTCATTGAATTGAAGACATTGTTGATCCTTGGGTACATTTTGATGTAAAATGTGGGGGCAGGGAGGATTAAGTGCATGACAGAATCAATGAAATACAATAAATTTATGGTTTGGGATTTTATGGACAATCCAAAATATACATCTTTGGACACCAAATCCATGCTGGCTTAGAGTTACAACTCTTCAGTTGAATTTCCCATCCCACTCCCGCTCTTTGAAGCATCAAGACTAAATTCCTATAATCTCTTTAAGGTAGGGAAGGTGGAAAGGGAGATTTTCCTCTTGTTCCTCACAGAATGAGGCAAATGCCATCTGAGTTCAGCTTTCTGGAGTTCTCCTATCAGACTCCTCAACTTAGAAGAACTCTGGTCTTTGTCTTTTGAGGGAATTCTGTTCTTTTGATCCCATACTCCACTAGATTAGAAAAATCAAGGTTTTGGCAAGTCCCCTTCTGACAAAAACAACTCTATTGCTATACTTATCTCCCTGGGCTTCTGTCTTCAATTTGACTTTGGCCCTAAAATTTTGTATTATCTTGTCATCTCTGCCATGTTTTTAAGGAGATGTATTTGTATTTTATTCATTCTTTCAGCAAACTGCCTAGCCACTATATTACTGGACAGAGATAGCTCTATTGAAATAACTACAATCCAACTTTGGTATTATTTCTTAGAAGAAAACTGAGCTGCAATTCAAGATGGTAGTTGACAGAGCAGGAGCACCGTCATCTCGGACAAACACCACTACTTTAAGTTCCAGCTCCCTTTCTAGCCTCATGCATTTCAAGGAAATCACTTCTCTTCTAACTATAAGCAGCCAGAAAGAGCAGACAGTAAAACACAGATAAGACAGCTTGGGCACAGAGGGAGGTGGGGGAGAGTCTCTTGAGTAACTGCCAAACTTCCCTCATACAATGGGCCCCAGCAAAACAGTGGGCCTTAATAAGCACATTCCTTTCCTTTCAGGATGCACTGAAATAGGAAAGCTAAAAGCAGACTCGGGGGTATGCCTGCAGCTGCAGAAAAGTGTATGGGAACAGACACACAACTCTCCCTCCCAAATAAGCACAACAAAGGGACACAGAAGCAGTCCAAGCCTCTGATAAACTCTCCCACCCTGAATCCTTAAAAATTCTCAGTCTGTAAAAGAGTGTGCCTCTGACCTAACTTGGCCAGAAGCTCCTCTCTGGTTCGTTTTCTCTAAAATAAACCTGTCTTGACTGGCAAACCACCTTTCATGTTTCTTTCCTCTTTCTTTAATTCTTTCTTTAATTTAATTTCTTTAATTCTTTAATTTCTTTCCTCTTTCTTTAAGTAGCACATGCAGTTGCCTCCTGACTTTCTTGAGAAAATTTTAAAGTTATGGTAAAGAAACATAAAAAATAAATTATGACAGTAAAGAAAACAGGGGGCAGCATCAGCAGGCTAGAGATTTTTACACACTTCTGGAAGATGTGGTAAAACAAAGAGTATTGAATGACTTTTTTAAAATTTTGAAAGTTGCCAAAAAAGTAGATTTTAAGTGTTCTCACCACAAAAAAAAAATGAAAGTATGTGAGGTAATACTTATGTATATTAGCTCAATTTAGCCATTTTACAATGCATACATTATATTGTATACATGTATTTAAAATGTGTACATATTTCAAAGCAATATGTTGTCCATGAAAAATAAATACAATTTTTTGTTGCTCAATTAATATTAATAAAATAAAACAAAAACAAACAAATGAGTGGGGGAAAGATCTGAAGGTCTCAGATCAAATATATGTGAGAGGGAGATGCATAGAGGTGGTAGCTGATTTTCCTGGTGCAACAACTGATCAGTTGTGAGCATGAAGTTAGGCTGAAAACAGGTGAAGTAATTGAAATTATGTCCTCAGAACAATTGTGCCAGTTCTTACCTGTTCTTACCCATGTTTTCTCTCTCTCTCTCTCTCTCTCTCACACACACACACACACACACACACACACACACACACCCTTCCTTCTATATCCCAGGTAAAACAATTGGTGTTAAAAGTGAACATTTTCCTGGGAAAAACTAGATGTTGCTAGTACAAAGTCCTGATGACCAACAGAAAGCATTTAGAGTCCTACAACTTTATAGCTGGCTTCCCACCTGCTCAACCTGAAGAAAACCCTGCCAGGTGACAAGCCCTACCCACTTACAGAGAACTGTCAATCAGACTTCCCAGTCAGGGGAGAGTTCTTTAGGGGAAGCAAGGCAAATGAAATCCACACCGGGTACCTGGAATATTACCTCCTCCCATTTAAGTAAAAAATAACAACCAAGAATTCCCAGACATATAAAGAAAAACAAAAGCATAAAAATAATTGACTATCATAGATTCACTGTAAATTGGAAAAAGGGACCTGTTTGGGGATGACAAAAATGTTCTAAAACTGAATTGTGGTGCAGGCTGCCTGCACAAAGTTGGGGAATTATTTAAAAACATTAAATTTGACACTGAAGGTGGGTAAATGCTATTTGTGGTATGTAAGTGATACCTCAATTAAAGCTGGTTTTAAAAAGCAATATACTGATTAAAAAACGGTGTCAATGCGAAAATAGCACCAGATCATGTTAAACAAGTAAGGAAGACTTTATTCAAGGATATTGCAATAAGGGAGAGAGCTCAGCTTAGTCTGAACTCGACATTACTAAAACAAAGGGTGCAGGAGAGCTGGGATGGAGGGATGTGTTTGCTAATTGGCCTTACCCAGAGAAAAGGTAAACATTCTGTTCTATCTTCATGACAAGAGGTGGTTTTATAACTTGGAGCAAGGTGTCCATTAGAATTAGACTCTTCCCCAAATACTGAGCCTGGGAGATAGGGGCACTATCTTTCTTGATGATTACATTTCAAAAGGATGGCTCCCAGGTTCTGGAGAGGAACAGTCCTGGGTTGCAAAAGTGATAAGAAGCTTTTTTTTTTTTTTTTTTTTGAGACGAAGTCTTGCTCTGTCACCCAGGCTGGAATGCAGTGACGTGATCTCGGCTCACTGCCACCTCTGCCACTCGGGTTGATGCCATTCTCCTGCCTCAGCCTCCCGAGTAGCTGGGACTACAGGTGCCCGCCACCACGTCCAGCTAATTTTTTTGTATTTTTAGTAGAGACGGGGTTTCACCGTGTTAGCCAGGCTGGTCTTGAACTCCTGACCTTGTGATCCACCTGCCTTGGCCTCCCAAAGTGCTGGAATTACAGGCATGAGCCACCGCTCCCGGCCTAAGAAGCTTTTTTAAAGATTTGCATCTCAAAGGGACAGGGAAATAATTTATAATTGCCAGTTTTCTAAAGTAAATGCAGTAAGAAAAGTGAGTTTAGAGGCCTAAAGGCAAGAAGCATGTCTAAAGTTTAGTCAAGCTGAGGGGAACTTTAAGGCCCTCTTGATGACAAGCAACCCAACAAAAGAAAATAATTGGCCCCCAAAACAAAAACAGAAAAACAAGAGGGCAAAAAGCATTCACTACTTTTAAAATTTGTTAACTAATTTTTGCAGATGCATTAAAAATTGTATCTCTAAAATAAGAACTCAAAAGTCAGCATACAATAATCATCTCTTCTCCAAAATAATAATTATAATAATTTAAAAATTTATGAAATCATAGAAATTTCCCAGAAAAGGGGGGGAAATGAGAAACAATATGATGGAAAATATAAATGTATTATTTCCTTCAAATCCCCAAAAGTTGTAAACATAAAATGTGCTGAAAAGCAATACACAGAAACCAAATTCCATTACTAAGAAAAACTTGGGCGGCAAAAACTTTCAGTTTATATTATATGACCTGGCTTTTCACAGTATTTTCTACCAAAAAAAAATGCAACTTATTTTTCTATGTTGGATCAAGGAATAAGGTGGAAAGAAAAGATTTTACAGACATTTGGGATAAATTTATTTTTTAAGAGGTGAGAACCACAGAGAAAAACTTGAGCTTTATGTTTGACATTAATATACTTCTGAATGAATTATTAAATAAGCACTTGGTATTTTTTGGTATACTTCACCTGTGACTTGGCCTCTAAAATAATTATCACAACATGGTCTGGTGAAATGAAAAAGCTAAAATTAGGCTTCAGAAAGTCATTTTTAATTAAAATGCTTTGATTACACTTTAATATATCTTTTGTGTCATGTTGCTTCACTCTTAATATTACTTTTTCTTTTACTTTTGATCTCTTGATTTGGAACAAAGAAATTAATGAAAAAATTAATTACACTGGGCTAAAAGGTAATTACAAAATAATCAGGAATTTCTAATAAAAAAATTTATAATAACTTTGCTGCTGTTAGAAATCTATTCCCTTTATGTTATGTAGGTAGAAGCCAGAGATTATAACTACTTTACAAGGTAAACATATGTCACCTCAGCATTGAAAATGTTATCAACAAAAATGCCAGAGTTGACAGTTATCAGAAAACTTGTCTCCCTACAGGTCAGCCTTGGGTTCTCTAGTACTATGAATCCAGTTAGTAAGGTGGGTATTTCGGGGGAGGGGAGCCCTTGCAGGTATTAAGAGTCTGGATAAGATGGTCAGTAATACAGAGAAAAACATGTATGATGCAAGTTCATTTGGGTAGTGGAATCCAGAAGGCATCTGGACCATGAATCTAGTTAATGAGGTTGGGAATGGGGTGGTAGGGTGAGGAATTCTTACAGATATCCAAAGCCTGTAAGAACCGAAGGGAAAGAAAGAATGATGATGGGTTTCCAATTAGTCTCAGGGTTCTGGGACCCACATGAACCATGGCATGGGGTTCTGCCACTAGGTACCAGGTAGCAGCACCCAGGACACCTGAAAAAAGGAACTGAGGCATAAAAAGAGCACTTTCTTCTTCCCTAAGACAAAGGCTCTTTATTCCCTGCCCAGTGCAACATGAGGTTCAAACTCTGGGCAGACTGAATTCATAAGCAGGAACAAGTAAGTCTACCAGACAAAAGTCAGTAAGTATGAATAAGTATGCAGTAGCAGAAGCGAGAAAATTCTGTCAGGCATATTTCTCATGTGGTAGATAAAGCATTCACTCCACATGAAAATCAGGATAAAATTGTATATTCTACAAATTCACATATCTATTAGTGGAGGTTAAAACAGCGTGAGCATTTTAACATATCAGGAAAACAACTTGAGATAACAGAATATTGAGGACAGAAAGGCAAAATCAAACATTCCTTATTCAGGTGCTTTTGTGGATTAGATATGCTGAGCTCTAAAACCATAGGAATGATGCATCTTAATACTCTTACCAAGAAATGTAGCTTTGCTTCCTTCAGCCGATCTTGAGCAGCTCCAGAAAGGATGGTCCTGTTAATTCTCTAGCAGATGTTTTAAGCAAGATTTAGCTTAAGTTAAAGCAATGACCAATAGACTTTATATATTTTTTAAATTAATCCTCACCTAGAAAATTGATAGAAGTTCATACCAGCCTCTGGCTTGCTAAAATTTTTACTTACTGTATCTACTTAGGTTAATAAGTATGAAGTTCAAATAATATGGTTTTTGTTATCTTATGTTCAATGGATTTATTTGCTACTGCTCTACTTGTGCAATTTGCTAACAAGCTCCTTCTAAGGCATAGACTACACGTGGGAATCAGAAAAACGCATCCACTGCAGCTCTCTTCATAATTGCTGAAATGATGACACAGAGAGGAGGAAAAAGTGGACAGTATTTCCTATCTGTCATCAATTTGAGGGAATCAAAGGCATTAATTAATCTGTAGTTTTAACCCTGACTGCACGTTGGAACCATGTGGCTCATCTAAAATCAATTCATAATTTCAGCGTATGTTACCCAGACCTGGAAATTTTCCTAGGGTCTTGGGTAATTCTCCTGTACAGCCAGGATTGAAACCACTAGGTTAAAAGGCCATTCTTAAGACTCAGTTTTGGATTCAAATCCATGTTAATTCTCTAGTGCAGTAGTCCCCAACCTTTTTGGCACCAGGGACTGGTTTTGTGGAAGACAATTTTTCCATGGACTGGGGCAGGAGGGGATGGTTTGGGGATTATTCAAGTGCATTACATCTAGTGTGCACTTTATTATTAATACATTGTAATATGTATAATGAAACAATTATACAACTCACCATAATGTAGAATCAGTGGGAGTTCTGAGCTTGTTTTCCTGCAACGAGATGGTTCCATCTGTGGGTGATGGGAGATAGTGACAGATCATCAGGCATTAGATTCT
The DNA here is from genome assembly GCF_000001405.40 of Homo sapiens. Taxonomy (NCBI): domain Eukaryota; kingdom Metazoa; phylum Chordata; class Mammalia; order Primates; family Hominidae; genus Homo; species Homo sapiens. The sequence continues at coordinate 170,342,183 of NC_000004.12, read as the reverse complement.
CATAAGCAGCACACAACCTAGTTCCTTTGCACGCACAGTCCACAATAGGGTTCATACTCCTGTGAGAATATAATGTCACCGCTGATCTGACAGGAGGCGGAGTTCAGGAGGTAATGTGAGTGACGGGGAGCAGCTGTAAATAGAGCTGAAGCTTTACTTGCTTGCTGGCCACTCACCTCCTGCTGTGCAACCTGATTCCTAACAGGCCATGGACCAGTCCATGGCCTGGGGCCTGGGGACCTCCTACTCTAGTGGGCAAAGGACACAATCATAAATTTTTCAAAAGAAGACATACAAGCAGCAACAAACATATGAAAAAATGCTCAACATCACTCATTACTCATCAGAGAAACACAAATTAAAACCACAGTGAGACACCAACTTAAACCACTCAGAATGGCTCCTATTAAAAAGTCAAAAAACAACAGATATTGGTGAGGTTGAGGAGAAAAGGGAATGCTTATACACTGTCAGTGAGAACGTAAATTAGTTCAATCCCTATGGAAAACAGTGTGGAGATTTCTCAAAGAACTAAAAATAGAATTACCATGTGATCCAGCAGTCCCACTATGGGTATCTACCCAAAGGAAACTAAATCATTATATTAAAAAGACCCCTGGCCGGGCACGGTGGCTCATGCTGTAATCCCAGCACTTTGGGAAGCCAAGGTGGGTGGATCATGAGGTCAAGAGATCAACACCATCCTGGCCAACATAGTGAAACCCCGTCTCTACTAAAAATACAAAAATTAGCTGGGCGTGGCGGCATATGCCTGTAGTCCCAGCTACTCAGGAGGCTGAGGAAGGAGGCGGAGGTTGCAGTGAGCTGAGATCACACCACTGCACTCCAGCCTGGCAACAGAGCAAGACTCCGTCTCAATTAAAAAAAAAAAAAAAAAAAGACCCCTGCACATGTATGTTTATTGCAGCAGTATTTATAACAGCAGTCATGGAATCAATCTAAGTGTCTATCAATGGATGCTGGATAAAGAAAATGTGGTACATATACACAATGGAATACTACTCAGCCATAAAAGAAATTGTGTCTTTTGCAGTAACATGGATGGAATTGGAGGCCATTACCTTAAGTGAAATAACTCACAAACAGAAAGTCAAATACTTCACATTCTCCCTTGTAAGTGGGAACTAAACAATGTGTACACACATGGACATACAATTGGAATAATACACATTGGAAACTACAAAAGGTGGGAGGGTGGGGGTGTGAGGGATGAGAAATTACCTACTGGGTGTGGTGTAAACTATTCAAGTGATGGGTACACCAAAAGCCAAGACTTCACCACTACACAATATATCCATGTAGCAAAAATGCATTCATTCCCCTAAATCTACTTTTTAAATTGTAATAATAATTTTTTTAATGTATTTGACCTTAAGTGAGTCACTTCACCTGTATGATTCTGTTTCTTTACCTGTAAATAATACCTACCTTTTAGGGTTGATACATGGGTTAAATGAGATTATCTATTTAGGTTCTAGAGCCTGGCACACTGTAAACTCTCAATAAATGACAGGTTTTGTTTTTAGGTAGAATCTAAAACTCCATATTAACTATGATATTATTAATTCACTTTTTGATGATCCTAAGCAGTAGTATATAGTAGCACCTATTATGAAAGCAACATTGACATACATCCCCCTAAATAAGTTAATGTTCTCATCTCAATTGATCTTTTTGGTGGAAATAGTTTTAGATGCTAAGGAAGTAGGCAAGAGGTTCCTGAAGAGAGGCATATTACAATATATACTTTATGTATAGCAGAATTTCACTATTTAACAAAAACAAAGCAAAAGAAAAAAAACTAAAAAGACCTAAAAAGAATTCAGTGCTAATGCTTGCCTCCAAAAAAAAAGTATTTATCACACCAGATAGCATGTTTTCAATTGTCTTTCTTAATGAGACTTTATCATCCATCTAGTTATAATGGATACAACTGCATATCTTAGAATCTACACTTTTAGGTAGTTTTGACAAAATCATTAATAAATAAGATGAAAAGAACTTTTAGGCATCAATTGGCATATCAGAAGGCAAAGTAAAACTTTACATAGCTATAAGAGGCAGCAGAGTCCCTTGTACAGTAATGACAATTCAGACTACTCTTTCTTTTAGCTAGATAGAGAAAATAGTGTGAGAAACAAATTTTCAGTGCCACAAAAGAAATAGCACTGAAACATAAATTTAATTTTCTCAGCAAGGCAATTTTTACTTCTATAGAAGGGTGCAACTCGTGAATGGAGTAATGGCCAAAGCACACCTGAACAAGGGAGGGGAAGGAGTTCTTATCCCTGACGCAGGTAGCCCCCACTGCTGTGTCATTCACCTATTGGCTAGGGTTGGACTGCACAGTCTAAGCTAACTCTGATTGGCTATTTTAAAGAGAGCAGAGGTACAAGCTGGAGTGGTGGGGTGAGTAGTTTAGTGGAAAGGACGGTTACAGAACAGGTGACTCAGGATGACTCAGGTCAGAGCAGATGACCAGGGGTGACTCAGAATGGAGCAGGTGATAGAGGCTAGGAGGGGGTTGTTTGCTGAAACTAGGGGCAAGGAGACAAAGAGAATGAGGAAGTTAAACTTTCAAATGAAGAACAAAGAACAGGGGAGGTGAACATACTGATACATTGGTTCTTTGGAGAGGATCTCAGAACTCATTGTACTTAACAATTTACAGGCTAAAACCTTTGAAGAGGAATTTATTATGCCCTACAATAATACTGTGCCTCACTAGGTTGGAAGAAAAAAGTGGGCTATCAATGAATTAATGTTCAGCTCCCTTAAGACGAATCTGCAGTTTGTCTCATATATGTTGACAGGACACAACAAAGAAACATCCTCTCTGAAATCTGTGTGTGGACAAAAGTTGTCAAATGTCTACCGGACCCCAGTCCCAGCAGATAAAACACATCATTGTACATAGGACTTTCTGTCTTTCATGTTAATCTCTATTGCATTGTCTCAATCTCAAAACAAGACTGCCATATAAGAAGGTGTTACCCATTGTATCCAGCTGACAGTGGTGACATTGAGTGAGTCAAGCTAATAATGCTTAAACGTGGAATTCTCATGAATCTCGTTTAACACTTTTGCCACTTGCCAAGAGAAACACAATAACATCTGTCATTGAGGAGTTAATAATCTAGGAACAATCCCAGATTTACGTTCAGAACAAATCACCCACCACCAACGTAACTCCATTTCAAACTTAAAAGGACCTACCTCCCTGTGAAACACACAGCTGTTTTCCTGTGAACTGTTGAAGGAGTCCTTCTGTATTCCACATGAGATCATTATTATGAAAAGACTTTGAAAACTATCAACCAAAGCCTTCACAGTAACTCTTTGAACCTATTTTTTAATTGATGAGTAATATTTTATATATTTTATGAGGTACAATGTGATGTTTTGATATAGGTTTACATAAGAATAATTAAATCAAGTTAATTAACATATCTATCACCTCACATACTGTTTTTCGCAGTAAGAACATTTAAAATCTACATTTTAAAACAATTTTGAAATACACAATGCATTATTAATTACAGTCACCATGCTGTGCAATAAATCTCTAAAACATATCCCTCCTGTCTAACTGAAACTTTGTACCCTTTGAACATCTCCCCATTCCACCTACCTCCCTCCAGCCTCTGGTAAGCACCATTGTACTCTACTTCCATGAATTCAACTTTTTTTGATTCCACATATAAGTGAGATCATGCAGTATTTATATTTCTTTCTTCTTTCTTTCTTTCTTTCTTTCTTCCTTTCTTTCTTTCTTTCTTTTTCTTTTTTTTTTTTTTGACAGAGTTTTGCTCTTGTTGCCTGGGCTAGAGTGCAGTGGCACGATCTCAGCTCACTGCAAGCGCCACCTTCCAGTTTCAAGTGATTCTCCTGCCTGAGCCTCCTGAATAGCTGGGATTACAGGCACCCACCACCATGCCCAGTTTTTAGTAGAGACGGGGTTTCACTATGTTGGCCAGGCTGGTCTCGAACTCCTGATCTCGTGATCTGCCCGCCTTGGCCTCCCAAAGTGCTGGGATTACAGGTGTGAGCCACCACGCCCAGCCAGTATTTGTCTTTCTATGCCTGGCTTATTTCACTTAACCTAATGTCCTTCATGTTCATCCATGTTGTCACAAACGCCAGAATTTTCTTCTTTTTTAAGACTGAATAGTATTACATTGTCTATATATGCCATATTTTCTTTATCCTTTCATCCATTGATGGATGCTTCTAAGTTTGACTCCAATTCGAAGGAATAAATTATATTTCGAAGATTTTTTTTTTTTCATGCTATTCCATGGCTCTGGAAATGTCTGGACCAAAACAGGTATCATCAATGTATTCTTCTTACTTGTCATTGTAAAAGTCCTCTTAGCATACATGGGCAAAGCTAATAGTAAGTTAATTTTAAAAGTTTGTTAAAAGGATAAGTCAAAAACATATAGGTTTTAATTTTTTTATTTTATCTAAAAATGTATACATTTGCCAATGTACTTATATATAACAAAGGCTTTTTTTAATTAAAGAATGAATCTGCTGGTTGAAGTCTTAAGACATCTTATTTGCAGTAATCCTTAGGCTTTAGTATTTTATTTAAATACAATGGAAATCTAAAGATTCTTACAATAATCAGAGTATATAACCTTTTGAAAATTTAAGATTTTCTCTAATCTTTTGTAGTCATCTTGCCCACACATAATTTGATTATTTTTATTACCTTTATTATAACCTTTCCAAAGACTTCAACTTAGTCTTCATAGAAATAAGACACTCTTTTATTCACAATGTCGTTAGTTTCTATAATATTTGCTTGTAATATATTATTACCAAAATAAATACAACTGTCATAAATAGGTTTGGGAACCAACAACTAATTCTTGGCAAGCAGGTGCCTCACTGCAGACTTAGTAAAAAATAATCTACTAGCTGTGAGCATTCAGCATGTCCTGGCCATAAATTAGAAAATGTTCCCTAGGGAATGGCAAGGTTTGATTTCAGTGAGTCAGTCTAACAGAGGTGCATTTAAAGAACGTCATTTATATTTGATGAGTGTTTTCATTTCATCATTTCACCTGACTCTCTTACTTGATTATAAACTCCATGAGGACTGAACTCCCTTAAGGAACTGACACTTAGTTATACACCTTACAAACCAAACAAAAACATCCGGACTAATTTTAGTAAAATGTACTTAAAAAGTGAAATTATCAGTAAGCCATTCAGGTAGTGTATCTACATGATTACAAAGCTTCAGTTTCCTCTTTTCAAAGTTATTTTACATCTCTGTTTTTAAACTACAAATGATGCTATGTTTAAATATGCTTTAAAATGTATGTAATAATAAGCTCAGACTGTAACTAAAATCAGATTGAATCAGATGTAGGTTTGTAAATGATCTGGAAACCTTTTAGGACCATTGCTAGGGGAACATTAAACCAGCAGAGCAGTGTTTAATGAGTGAGTCATCTCTTTATTTTTAAATTAACAATAACACACTAATAAGGTAAAAAAAAAAAGTGAAATGAAACTGCAGGGAAGCTGGTGATAAAATCATAAAGGTTTTATGGTGATAAAAATCATAAGAGGATTCACACAGAACAATCTACATAACGGTTTCTTCCTCTTTCTATGTAGCAAAGGAAAAAGGGGATAAAATGAATTTTCAGGAACATAGCAGAGACCTTCCAACACAACGAATGCTAAAATACCTGAGAAAGCTCTGCCCCTGCTAGCTAACACCTAGAAGAGTGAGTGAGCCACTTGTGTCTATAAGTGGAAAGCAGCTCCTGGCGATGGGTCCTGGAAAGACAGAAGCTAAAATCAAGACAGTTTCAGAATGAGTTTGCTCTGATCTAGATAGAAGTAGCATGACATAAATGAGAAACAGAGATGACTGGCAGAATTAGATGTTTTCTCACCAATTTTCAACCAGTGTTCACATTTCTTTAAATCTTGTATTTTAATTGCATCTCAAATTTTTTAAAGTTTATATCAGCATGAATTAATTTTTAACAGCTTTATTGAGGTATAATTAATATACAGAAAAACCATACTGCAAGTTTGATCAGTTTGGACCAATTCATGCAGCCAGAGATACCATCACTGAAATCAAGTTATTAAACATATCTATCACCTCCCAAAATGCCCTTGTATTCTTTTATGTTTTGTTTTTGTCATTGTCTTTTATGTTGTTTTTTTTGTGATAAGAACAGTCAACTTGAGATTTATCCTCTTAACAAATTACTGTGTCTAATACCATATTGTTACCTATAGTCACTGTGTTGTACAGAAGATTTCTAGAACTTATTCATCTTTCATAATTGAAATTTTATACCTGTTAAGCAACAATTCCCCATTCTTCCCCTCCTGACAACCTCTAGCAACCATCATCCTATTTTCAGCTTCTATGCGTTTAAGTATCTTAGATACATCATATAGGTGAAATAGATGAACCTAGAGGGAGTTATGCTAAGTAAAATAAGCCAGTCACAGAAGGACAGATATTGCATGATTCAACTTATATGAGATATCAATTAATTCTTTATTATTTTAGATACGAATTCTATTTTTGTAGCAAAAATCTGAGTAGAAATGTGGGCTCTCCTCTATATCACAATTGAGATTGTGGGCCTGACTCTTCAAAGCCAAATTGAGTGTTGACCATTATCCAGGCAAAAGATCATCCAGATTTCAGACAAAATCATGAAGGTGAGCAGCTTCTGGAGTTGCAAGTCAAGACAAAAACATGAAAGAACCATCAAATGGATCTTTTAGTGACTCATTAAAACTTTTACTTTCTATCCACATATTTGGAATTATCTTACAAGTCATATGATAGCAATAACAACTGTAGTGACAGAGGTTAAATGAGGCTATTAAAGAAAAGACAAATGGAACTCGTAATTAAATACTACCAATAAAAATCATATGATCATTTAAGCAACTTTAACATAAGACATGTAGTCAGCACTTCCAGTAATAGAAGAAACATTCTTTTTTTTTTTCGAGATGGAGGGTCGCACTGTTGCCCAGGCTGGAGTCCACGTGGAGTGCAGTGAGGCAATCTCGGCTCACTGCAAGCTCCGCCTCCTGGGTTCACGCCATTCTCCTGCCTCAGCCTCCCGAGTAGCTGGGACTACAGGCGCCCGCCACCACGCCCAGCTAATTTTTTGTATTTTTAGTAGAAATGGGGTTTCACCATGTAAGCCAGGATGGTGTCGACCTCCTGACCTCATGATCCGCCCGCCTCAGCCTCCCAAAGTGCTGGGATTACAGGCGTGAGCCACCGTGCCCCGGCCCGAAACATTCTTAAACAAGCTCTTGCCATGAACTTTCTTACAGAAGTGCAAAGAAACATCTAAGAAAAGAGGTTATGAAAGTTTACTAAAAGCATTTACTAAAAAAGTAACTTCACTTAAACAGAGATTTTGAAAAAAAAAAAACCCTCACAAATCTTTAAGAAATTTCCTAGCTGATTTAGGGTAGAACACAGTTCCTTATGCTGGAGATGTGAGCACACATCTCCAAATGATTCCTGTTTACATTTCCAGCTAGAGTTGATGTTCTTTTAGTAAACTTTCAAAAAATTTAAAAAAGAGATTTTGAAAGTAAACTTTCAAAAAATTTAAAAAAGAGATTTTGAAAGTAAATTTTCAAAAAATTTAAAAAAGAGATTTTGAAAGTAAACTTTCAAAAAATTTTAAAAAGAGATCTTGAAAGTAAACTTTCAAAAAATTTTAAAAAGAGATTTTGAAAGTTTACTAAAAGAACATCAACTCTAGCTGGAAATGTAAACAGGAATCATTTGGACATGTGTGCTCACATCTCCAGCATAAGGAACTGTGTTCTACCCTAAATCAGCTAGGAAATTTCTTGAAGATTTGTGGCAGTTTTTTTGTTTGTTCGTTTTGTTTTGTTTTTTTTGAGATGGAGTCTCATTCTGTCACCCAGGCTGGAGTGCAGTGGCGCCATCTCGGCTCACTGCAACCTCCACTTCCCAGGTTCAGGCAATTCTCCTGTCTCAGCCTCCCGAGTAGCTGGGACTACAGGTGCAACTAATTGTCATATTTTTAGTAGAGATGGGGTTTCACCATATTGGTCAGGCTGGTCTGGAACTCCTGACCTCAGATGATCCACCCACCTCGGCCTCCCAAAGTGCTGAGATTACAGGAGTGAGCCAACATGCCTGGCCTTAAGATTTATTAGACAAAAGAATGTCCCCATTTAGAGTACGTTCTTTGATTCTGCTTTTTTGTCATTGTTGTTGTTTTTGATACAGGGTCTCACTCTGTTGTTCCCCAGGCTGGAGTGCAGTGGCGTAATCACAGCTCACTACAGCCTCAACCTCCTGAGCACAAACAATCCTGCCACTTCAGCCTCCTGAGTCACTGGGACTACAGGCATGTGCCACCATGTCTGGCTCATTTTTTTTCTTTAGAGATGGGGGCCTCACTGTGTTATGCAGGCTGATCTCACCTTCAGCGATCCTCCTGCTTCTGTGTCCCAAAGTGCTGGGATTACAGGTGTGAGCCACTGCACCCAGCCCTATGCACTCTTTAATTCTAATTCTCCTAATTCTATTTGTTAGATCTAAATAGAATGCAGGTAACCATCTTTGACCCATTTCATGCTTCTAACCACACAGATACACACAGGCACATTCATTTCATCATATTAAATAGCTCCAGTGCTTCCTAAAGTTCTATAGCATGGCATCTTCTTCCCCAGACCCTTCCATTAACTGTCCTCAATTTGTGCATTTTTCCCTTAAACTGTGGCACTTAGGACTAAAAGCAATCAGCAAAGTGTTGCCTGACACACAGAAAAGAGAAAGATAATGCCTCCCTCATTCTCTAAACTACATTTCTATTAATTTAGCCAAAGTTGCACTAGCCTCTATAGCGATCATATCTGATTGATGATTCATATTAAATGTATTTTCAGTTAAAATCTCGTTCCATTTTCCATGCTTTGTGCCATGTCTGTCCCTACTCTCATGGGATTTGAGTTCACCAGTGTCGGATTTTACTTTCATCCTTAATAAAAGTAATATTATTAGGCATAACACAATTTCCCAGTCTGATAACTTTTTCAGTGGCTCCTGATGCCACTGCTCACTTTCCTTCTAGGCTGCACATCATACAAAAAAAAAAAAAAGTATTTTTCGTATGTTAATTTTCTTTTTTTTTTTTTTTAAACATGGTCCCACTCTGTCACCCAGGCTGGAGTGCAGTGGCTTGATCTCTGCTCATTGCAGCTTTTACCTCATAGACTCAGGTGATTCTCTGACCACAGCCTCCCAAGTAGCTGGGACTACAGGCACATGCCACCATGCTCAGCTAATTTTCTGTATTTTTTTGTAGAGATGGGGTTTCACCACGTTGCCCAGGCTGGTCTCAAATTCCTGAGCTTGAGTGAATTGCCCACCTCAGCATCCCAAAGTGCTGGGAGTACAGGTGTGAGCCACCACACCCTGCCTGTATGTGTTCATTTAAGAACATAGTAAAGAGAAAAGGGACCCAGCTACCACTTACACCGATCGAACTTTTTTCTTCTTGTTGACAGCAGTTCATTAGTAGTCATTCTATGAATGCAGACATTTGATTATTAATCTATCTACAGCATCTAGCTTATATTGCTATAGCTAACCCACAATATATTGGAGATAACTTGCAAAGTGACTTGATGAACTCAAGATACTACATGGACACATTTTGTTCTGATCTATTAGTGTAGCTGTCATATCAAAGAAAATAATGAGGTAAATACATCAATTGGTATTATTGGTATTCATGAACCTGAAAGTAATTACCATTTTCTCTCCAGGGGAGATCGGATTACAATTAACAGGATACTGAATACCTGAAATGAAAGAGAGAGACGGTGCTTAGGAGTAAATGAAAAAAAAAGTAAACGGGAGCAATGGAAAGTAACCTTACCTCCTTTGCCATTCCACCACAGTTTGCCCCATTTATCTGCCCACTTCCATGTAGAACAGAATTCTATCCATGAAGAATGTTCTGTCCTGAGATGCTAAGCAAATCCAAATTTTACTTAAAAAAATTAAAATTTCTCATCAATCACCAATTTCTATGAATTGTGAAGATAAATTTCAACAAGAATAATGTCAACATAAAAGTTTCAACTTGGCTGCTACACAAACACACACACACACTCAAGTATTTTCTTTATCTCTAAATAGAAATAATAAAAAAGTTGAGATTACTCTTTTGAGAACTTTAATCAAATAACAGCATATCTTTTTGGTCATAGAGCAACATTTATATAGTAAAAGTAATAAAGCCTTCAGTTGGGGAGTTTATCTTTCCCTTTTTAAAACCAAAGCCAATAAAAATGAAATAATAAAGAAACAAACTTTAAATGGCCTATAGATAATGACACCCCTGCTAAGATACCAGTTTAGTATCCTGCAGTTTAAACAGCTGCCATTTGTCAGATAATTGCTTATTTCCCATATTTGCATTAAAGCAGAAGGCTATATTTGCATTTTTGACCCACTTTGTTTTTGCAAGCAAAGTTGTCATATAAGAATCATTGGATAACCTATCCAATTATCTTCACTAGTTGGAAGGCATAAAAAAGTTCAAAGAAACTTACCATCATAAAAAGAGATTTGTTGCATATATGACTTAATTTTCCATCTTACCTCTGGAAAAAAAATCACAGCAACTTAACTCCTTGAACGTGCAGAAGAATAATTATCTCCATCCTTCAGTCCCATCCCAGTATTCTATATTTACTTTCAGTTCACACAGCTAATCATTCTGCCCTCAATAGTTCTCATTTTTACACCTTTTAAAAGATCTTTTGGCCTAGACTTTGGCCCAGTGGAACATCCCTCAAAGACTCACCTTGTGCACATAGAACTCGAAGAGAGACACTACGTTGATTACCTAGGTTTTTAAAATCTCCAGTCACCTAGCACGAACACGTGCTACTATGGCCAATTTCACCTTATACTGAAACTCTTTTGGCTATAGATTTATGTGGCCATCTTTTAGTGTGATTCTAGGCAAACCGTATGTCAAAGAAAAGTTGCAGTGGACAAGTTAAACAGGTAAGGAAGATTTATTCCACACCTATTGCGTTTGGGGCCAAGGTTATGGCAATAAGGGAAAGAGATTGAACTCAATTCTGCAGAAACCAAAGTTGGAAGAGCTTTTAAATGCTGAGGTGAGAGAGTGGAAAAAGTACAGGAGGCATTTGTGGGGAATTGGTCAATGCAATTAGGCCATCTGTGTTTGCTAATTTTTGCTTATCTAAGTTAGGCTCCTATCCCCACACAGAGCCAGAAAGATGGGGGCTCTTTCTTGATGATTGCATTTCGAAAGGAGGACCACCCCCCGACACCCCACCCCCCACCACCACCATGGCCGGGCGCGGTGGTTCACGCCTGTAATCCCAGCACTTTGGGAGGCCGAGGTGGGCGGATCACGAGGTCAGGAGGTGGAGACCATCCTGGCTAACACAGTGAAACCCCGTCTCTACTGAAAATATAAAAAATTAGCCGGGCATGGTGGTGGGCGCCTGTAGTCCCAGCTACTCGGGAGGCTGAGGCAGGAGGATGGTGTGAACCGACATCGCATCACTGCACTCCAGCCTGGGCGACAGAGCGAGATTCGGTCTCAAAAAAAAAAAAAAAAGGAGGGGGAAGACCCTCAGCTCCCTGAGAAAAACAATTCTAGATTGCAAAACTGGCAAGAGGCTTTTTTAAAGATTTTCATTTCAAAGGAGCACAGAAATAGTTACAATTTGCAAGTTTTCTAAAATGAATGAATGCTCTAAGAAAAGAGAGATCTGGGGCTGCCGTCAGAAAGAAGGCTAAAGTTTAGTCAGGCTAAGGTGAACTTCAAAGCCATCCAGGTCACCTGTCTCAATTAGATGTGCACAGGTGATCTTCCCTGGAGTAAATCTGAAAGGGATATCCCAATTGCCTTGACTTAATCAATACACATTGTGTACGTGTATAAATTATTACACTTACCCCAAAAATATGTACGACCATAATATATCAATTATAAATTAAATAAATAAACAAAAATAAAAGTAAAGGGAATATGAGCAACAGGCAAGAAGACAACTAAGAGCAGAGGCTACCATCCACCTCAACCATCCTCCCTAAAAACACCCGCCCACCTTTATGGAATCACAGCTAAGATCCCTCTTCATGGAAATAAAGAATTGATTCCTTATTACTTTTTAATTTATTATTGCATATAATCATCAATATATCATGAAAAATAACAACATATAATCAAGTATTTCATATCTTTCATCTCTTCTAAAATCACATTCTCCCCATGGGCAGAAAAATATGACTAATCAAAGTTCCATTTCCCCAGAATTTTCTGCAATTTTATAAAATTCATGCAAAAAAAGCAACAGGCCAACATCTGGCTTTTCCAGCAGGACACAGGCAGTGCTATTTGAGGCTGCCACCTGGGTGTCTGATGCTGGTCAAAAGACACTCCACGACTCATAAAGCCATAAAGCCACACACTAGAGAAAGCTTTATATAAAAAAAGTAATATTCAGAAGATTAGTTCTGTCTGCCCTTCAACCCACTCTTATATCAGGCTTACCTCTAACCATCCTATTTCAACCCAGCTTTATGCCCTCCCCTTCCAGCCAGCAACTCATTTTATTGAGCTCCCAGCTGTCCATTCACCTGCTTCACTCTCCATTTCATGACTGGTCCAGCACTTTCTTGGGGCATCAGTTACCTGGCAGTATCAGACTGTTTGATACCTCTGAATTATTCTACTGCTGGAATCCTTTCATTCCTCTTCATGTAGCGCACATGAATTCACTCTTCCAAATTTGGAGCTCGAATCTCACATTTTCCATGAAGCCTTCCTGACTTTCCTTTCTGAATACATGCCCCTCCTCTCTGATCTGCAGCAATTCGATGTGCTTCTATTATTGTGTCTGTCTTAACGTACTGTAATTTTAGGTTCACCTATCTGTTTCTCCCACTGACTGTGACTCTTAGTGAAAAAATAACATAGTGTGTTTACCATTCTATCCTTGATCCCTTAAAGGCACACAAACACCTTTTAAATTAATTGAAAATGTATTTCAAACACCCCCATATGCATTACTTAGTGAAACACCCTAACAAGGTACAAGTCAACACCGTGGGACCTATCTCCTTCTGTCTCTGGACAGTTAGACCTGTTTTTAGATCTTATTATTTTTTCTTTTCCATATGATATACAATTAGTTACTTAATAAGTATAAAAAATAGTGCAATGGTTAATATGTTCTACGGAACTAATAAGTCCTGCATCACTTAAACTCATCTTTTAGAACATACATACATATATATACATATATACATATGGACCTATTAAAACTTATAACTGTAATAACCATTATAGCTAATAAAATGGTAGAAAATCAGCAATATATCAAATATAACATTTTAAATTTTATAAAAGATTGACCTGGATATTTTCCTTTCTCCATCTGATTTAGGGATTTGAACCTAGCATTTATTCTGTTTGGAGTATTATAGATTTTAGCTACTTATGAAATGTGTCATAATACTCTCTGTTATTCATTCTAAGATAGCATTTTATCAATTCTATTTGGTTATGAGAAAAGGAAAGAATAAAGAAATAGAGAGGTGTTTTCCCATGTCCTTTGTGGGATACTACATTCTATAGAATCTACAAATTAGAAGAAATTTCATCGAATGTCTTCTCAATGTCTTGGCCATCCAACACCCAGAGAGGTGGTCACCCAGGCCCTGTTTGAACATTTCCAGTAATGAGTGTGCCTTCCTCCATGAGGTCCTTCTGCCTGGTGCTGCACAGCTCTGATGCTTTGAAAGTTATCAATATTGAAATGAAGCCAACCTGTGTTGACTTCCAATTTGTGCCTACTTTGTGAAGTTATCAATCATATTCCACTTCAGTCCTCTTTTTCCAGCCCAAGTTCCTACAAAACATGAATTCTAGATGCTTTCCCATTTTTGTCAGTCTCTTTCTCTATGTCTTTCTGTACCTTCTCTATCTTTTTGTTTTTTGTTGCTTGGATTGGGTGGTTTAAATTTGTTTTTGATATGATTCGAGCACCACAATTTTCTTACACAATTATGAATTAAACCAAAAGCTTGTAAAACTGGCTTATAAAATTACAGGAGGATTTTAGAATAAAATTAATAGACAGTGAATTCTAGTTCAATTCAGGGATTAAACTTGAAAAATGGATAAACTCAAGCCACATGTGATTCATACTTTAGGATATAATTCTTTGCCTTGCCTTTTCTCTGCTGTAACTTCATGCAGCCTATTCTTAATTTTTAAAAATTAAAATAGTTCTCATTTTTACACCTGTTTAGTCTAGACTTTGGCCTGGTGGAATGTCCCTCAAAGATTCATTTGATGCATGTAGAACTCAAAGGGAGAAAATATGCTTATTGTCTACGTTTCATTGCCTATGTCTTAATTTAAGAATGAAATTACCATTGGTCAATAGTAAGCTACTTATTTTTCTGTGTCAGGCACACAAGAATTTGCACCATGACCTGCTTTGAGAGATTTGTCAACCCTGCTCAACTAAATTGTCTTTTTTTCCTTTTTCCTTTCCTTTCCCTTTCCCTTTCTTTTTTATTTCTTTTTTCTCTTCTTTCTTCGTACTCTTAAATAATTAAAATAATTAATAGGCATTGAGAATGTCTACTAACGCTAGACAGTTTCAGATTATTAGCAAGCAGGTATAACAGTTTCCCCTCTGAAGGTCAATAGCCCCAACTGACAACTTTTTCACTCACCAAACACCTATTGACTATGTGCTGAGGACAAGCAAACCAACCTTTGTGATATTTTTGTTTATAAACTGTAGTGCTAGGGGTTTGAACTATAGAAATGTAGAGCTGCATTAGCTAGGCAATCCAAAAAACTTTCTGGAGAAGGTGAATACCAATAGACATGTTCAAGAAAGAATTGAGACAGATAAGGACTTAGGAAACGGGTATTCCAGGCTGGGCAAAGCTCTTTTATGGTCCCTTGATCTTCTTGAAAAAGGAGTTTGATTTTTAGTATAATTCAAGTCCCCTCCTGTGTGGTTCTTAGATTTCCAGAGAAATCTTTACATATAGTCTATCAAAAAATTAAAGGATATCAGCCCTTCTTCCCTATAGCAGATGATTTTTGACATTAATCAGAGAAATCAACCTCAATATCCACAACATTGGAAAATAGATAACTTCTAAGATAACTGACATTTTAAAAATAGATAATAATGAATATGTTTACTATTTATTGTCTTGGATATCACAGTATCTATGCCTTATAATGTTAAATCAACAGAAAGAAATATACCCAGACTTTAATACCTTATCTTCCTGCAGCATGATGTCAAATGAGTTAAGATTTAATGATATTTTCTTACTTTTATAGAGGATCAAATAAGGACAATGTAAATTTGAGCAATGTGTCTTTAAAACATGATCATTGAAGACTCACCTACTATACAATTTATTGGCTCACACAGAACACGTAGTCCAAAAAGATAAACTCCCACACACAAATTTAGTTATTTTATATCTCCAGGTAAAAGGAAGTATTATGTTTCTCCCCCATAGCTATAACAAGCTAACTGCAGTAACCAACTGCAATACAGCCCAGGATGAAATTTAATTATTTGCTCTTTTTAATACATTTGGAGCTCTCTTTAATTTTTTATTTGCATATGAACTTTTAATTAAAATATACTAGATATAAAGAAAAGCATACAAATTATTCATGTAGAGATTGATGAATTATACGTAATGATTACAAAGGAAGCAAAATAAGGACCTCATAAATCAAGAGATGAAATTTGACCAGCAACTCAGCAGCCCTCCATAAGTTTCATCCAATTTACAACCACTAACATCTACCACAGTAATGTTAACCACAATAAAAAGAATTAAACATAGTATCTTCTTCCTCCTTTCTCTTCCCCCACTTCACAATAGTTATTCACTGTAATAAAAATCTGTGATGTTTTAATGCATAGGATGACTTCAAATAAAAATTTCAATCCTTTGAGGAAGTGAGTTAAGAGCTCTCTTGTTTTCTTCAATTCCTTTGTACAATTTACTCTTTAACCTTAAATGTTGTGTCTGGGTTTCTTTTCTTCATTTTATTTTTCTATTTATTTTATTTTTTCTAGGAGGATACACAGAGAATTTGAAAAACCAAAGCAACATAAAAGGAAGGGTGAGGTTAAAGATAGGAAGACAAATACACTTTTAAGTGTGAAATATACTTCATGTCCTTCAACGATGGGAACTTTTCTTGAAACAGGTTAATCGGATATCCTGTGGTGTTGGGTATTACTGTTCACAAGAACAGCTTTGTCCTTAAAAGGATATGACTTGTTTCCTTGATATTTTCTTTCTGCCTTCATCATGTATTTCTGTGTAGCTTGCCAACAGTAAATATTGTCTTTGTTGTAACAAAAATAATGTCTACACATATACGTCAGTGGAGGAACCAATGTAGTTATATTTAGCTCTTTCTTTGCATAACAAATAGGATAGATTTAAATCTTAAAGAATATAAAGTGATACATATATTATCAAAATATATTTTAGTACAAGAACAAAACAGTTGATATATTTTTCCATAAAGTGCTGTGTTTGGTTAAATAACTTTTTTGTATGCTCTATTTTGTTTTGCATCCTTTCTTTCCTTTTGTTCAATAAATACTGAATATTTAAACTAGGTACCATGCACTGATCTGACTACTTTATAAGCATTATTTTATTTCTTACAACAACCTTAGGAGATATAAACTATTATCATCATGTCTAAAACATGATCACTACCACATAATCCAGCAATCCCACCACTGGGTATATATCCAAAGGAAATGAAATCAATATGTTGAAGAATTATTGGCACTCCCATGTTTGCCGCAGCACTGTTCACAACAGCCAAGATATGGAATCAAGCTAAGTACCCAAAACACGTGAACAAATAAAGAAAATGTGGTATAAATACACAATGGGATACTAGTCAGCCTTTAAAAGGAAGGAAATCCTGTCATTTGCAATAACAATGATAAACCTGGAAGACATCATGCTACGTGAAATAAGTCAGACACAGAAAAACACAGAAAGTGCACGATCTCACTTATTTGTGTAGCCTAAAAAGTTGAAGTCACAGTAGCAGGGAGTAGAATCGTAGTTACCAGGGACTGGGGTAGGTTGATTGTATCCTTTGATGTTTATCAAAGTATTCAATATTTCAGTTAGACAGGAGGAATAAGTTCAAGAGATATATCATACAACATTGTAACCATAGTTAATAGCAATGTATTATATACTTGGAAATCGCTAATATAATAGATTTCAAGTGTTCTTGCCACAAAAAATAAGTATGTGGAGTAATGCATATATTATGTAGCCTGACTTAGCCATTCTACAGTGTATGTATACATATTTTAAAGCATCGTGTTGTATACCATAAATATATACAATATTTATTTGTCAATTTAAATAAATATGGTCACTGAAGAGTCACCTAATGTACAATTCAGTGTCTGACATAAGAACTTTTAATGTCCCCCAAATAAAAACTTCCACACACAATCTGAATATATTATTTTGCAGATAATAAGCATACAACTCATTATGTTTCTACCCTGCAGCTATCATAAACTTACTGCGGTACCCAACTGTAGGAAAGTCCAGATTTTACAGAGGCAGAGAGAACTCCAATAACTCACGCAAGCTTATACTAGGAAGTAGTATAACTAAGATTTAACTGAAATACAGAGCCTGTGATCTTAACCACTAAGCTGTAATGTCTTTTGGGAGGTTTTACTAATAATCACATCCCCCCAATAATTTCTTCAAACAGTTTCTCATGTTTGTATATATATTTTATAGCATAATATATACATTAAACATACCAATAGTTTTGCCAATCTATATTTTTGACCCAAATTTTAATTCTGAAGTTTCAGACATGCAAATTGTTTAATAGGAGGAGTAGTGGAAAAGCCTCAGGCTATCTCCCAGAAATCTGCCACACCGCATGAAAGTTTGTTATTGGAGGCTGATTCCTATAGATGAGTAAGAAACTTTTTAAACATACAAATACCTCAAGAAGGCTTAATATGTTGATATGGTTTGGCTAGGCATCTCCACCCAAATCTCACCTTGAATCATAATAATCCCCACATGTCAAGGGTGGGACCAGATGGAGATAACTAAATCATTGGGGCAGGTTCCCCATGATATTCTCAAGACAGTGAGTGAGTTCTCACAAGATCTGATCGTTTTATAAGGGGCTTCCTCCCTTTGCTCAGCACTTCTCCTTCCTGCAGGCATGTGAAGAAGGACGTGTTTGCTTCCCATTCCACTATGATTGTAAGTTTCCTGAGGCCTTCCCAGTCATGTGGAATGTGAACCAATTAAACCTCTTTCCTTTATCAATTACCCAGTCTCAGGCAGCTCTTTATAGCAGCATGAGAACAGAATAATACATATGTTGTCCATTCATTCAACAAATATTTATTGTCTGCTATTTACTAGATACCATACAAAATACTTGGGATACATCAACAAAAAATCCATCCTTATACAGCTACAGCTTTCTGATAGAAAGAAGAAATAAGAAAAATATGGTAAATAATAAATAAGTAACTTATATAAAATTTGAAAAGATGATATGTGCATTCAGAAAAGGGTACAGCGGGATAAGGAGGATTTGTAGTAGTGGGGTGGGGACAGCCCACAATCTTAAATGTCAGGTTCAAGTTAGTCCTATTGAGAGGACAAAGATTTGAGGAAAGAGGTAAGAAAGATAGCCAAGGGGATTTAGGGGGAAGGAGGAGTGGGTAAGGGGTTCCAGACAGAGGTAGCAGACAGAGTGAAGAACCTGAGGACAGAGGATGCTTCACAACCTAATGTGTTATAGAAGAAGCAAGAAAGCAGGCACCCAGCTGGAAAATGTGAGGGAGATCAGATCAGGTAGGAATAGAGGTCAAGATTTTGATCATATAGGGCCTTACAGAGCACAGTCAGAATATTGGTTTTTAACCTCAGTGAAGCAGGGTGCCCCTACAGGGTTTTCAGTTATGTGAACCAACATTTTGAAAAGATCCTCCTGACATCTATCTTGAAAGCAGTAACAGATGGAAGAAAGTTGAATCAGGGGATGTGACTGGGATGATTATTGCCTAATCCAGGCAAAAAATGAAAAAATTTACGACATGATAGTTGTTAGAAGTAGCAATAAAGAATCAGATTTGAAATATATTTTAAAGTTTCAGACACTAAGATTTCCTGATAATTGGAAGTAGGGTGGGAGAGAAAGAAGTGTCAACGAGGTACTCCAAAGTTTTTACATAGTGATCAGAAGAGCAGAGTTGCTGTCCAAGAGATATTAATTGGGTATTTGTGATAGGGGTTTGGTTGGGGAGGGAGGATCAGAAGTTCAGTCTGGACATGTTAAGTTTAAGGAAATTACCATATATCCAAATGAAGATCTCCAGCCTGGAGATAACACATTTGTTCTTAAGTACTTATCATTCCTGCACATGTAAAGGCAAAATAATTAGGACAGATAATTTTTTTCCAACAGCTGTTGAGTAGGGTTGGCAATTTCTTTTTTTTTATTATTATTATACTTTACGTTACACAGTACATGTGCACAATGTGCAGGTTTGTTACACAGGTATACATGGGCCACGTTGGTTTGCTGCACCCATTAACTCATCATTTACATTAGGTATTTCTCCTAATGCTACCCCTCCCCGAGCCCCCAACCCCAAGACAGGCCCCAATGTGTGATGGTCCCTGCCCTGTGTCCAAGTGTTCTCATTGTTCAATTCCCACCTATGAGTGAGAACATGTCGTGTTTGGTTTTCTGTCCTTGTGATAGTTTCCTTAGAATGATAGTTTCCAGCTTCATCCATGTCCATGCAAAGAACATGAACTCATCCTTTTTATGGCTGCGTAGTATTCCATGGTGTATATGTGCCACATTTTCTTAATCCAGTGTATCACTGATGGACATTTGGGTTGGTTCCAAGTCTTTGCTATTGTGAATAGTGCTGCAATAAACATATATGTGTATGTGTCTTTATAGCAGCATGATTTATAATCGTTTGAGTATATACCCAGTAATGGGATGGCTGGGTCAAATGGTATTTCTAGTTCTAGCTCCTTGAGGAATCGCCACACTGTCTTCCACAACGGGTGAGCTAGTTTACACTCCCACCAACAGTGTAAAAGTGTTCCTATTTCTCCACATCCTCTCCAGCATCTGTTGTTTCCTGACTTTTTAATGATTGCCATTCTAACTGGTGTGAGATGGTATCTCATTGTGGTTTTGATTTGCATTTCTCTGATGGCCAGGGACGATGAGCATTTTTCATGTGTCTGCTGGCTGAATAAATGTCTTCTTTTGAGAAGTCTCTGTTCATATCCTTTGTTCACTTTCTGATGGGGTCGTTTGTTTTTTTCTTGTAAATTTGAGTTCTTTGTAGATTCTGGATATTAGCCCTTTGTCAGACGGGTAGATTGCAAAAATGTTCTCCCATTCTGTAGGTTGCCTGTTGGTAGTTTCTTTTGCTGTGAAGAAGTTCTTCAGTTTAATTAGATCCTGTTTGTCAATTTTGGCTTTTGTTGCCATTGCTATTTGGTGATTTAGTCATTAAGTCCTTGCCCATGCCTATGTCCTGAATGGTATTGCCTAGGTTTTCTTCTAGGGTTTTTATGGTTTTAGGTCTAACATTTAAGTCTTTAATCCAACTTAACTTTTGTATAAGGTGTAAGGAAGGGATCCAGTTTCAGCTTTCTACATATGGCTAGCCAGTTTTCCCAGCACCATTTATTAAATAGCAAATCCTTTCCCCATTTCTTGTTTTTGTCAGGTTTGTCAAAGATCAGGTGGCTGTACATGTGTGGTGTTATTTCTGAGGCTTCTGTTCTGTTCCATTGGTCTATATCTCTGTTTTAGTACCAGTACCATGCTGTTTTGGTTACTGTAGTCTTATAGTATTGTTTGAAGTCAGGTAGTGTGATGCCTCCAGCTTTGTTCTTTTTGCTTAGAATTGTCTTGGCAATGCAGGCTCTTTTTTGGTTCCATATGAACGTTAACTTTTTCCAATTCTGTGAAGAAAGTCATTGGTAGCTTGATGGGGATGGCATTGAATCTATAAATTTCTTTGGGAAGTATGTCCATTTTCACGATATTGATTCTTCCCTTCCATGAGCATGGAATGTTCTTCCATTTGTTTGTGTCTTCTATTATTTTGTTGAGCAGTGGTTTGTAGTTCTTTTTGAAGAGGTCCTTCACATCCCTCGTAAGTTGGATTCCTAGGTATTTTATTCTCTTTGAAGCAATTATGAATGGGAGTTCACTCATGATTTGGCTCTCTGTTTGTTTATTATTGGTGTATAGGAATGCTTGTGATTTTTGCACATTGATTTTGTATCCTGAGACTTAGCTGAAGTTGCTTATCAGCTTAAGGAGATTTTGGGCTGAGACCATGCGGTTTTCTAAATATACAATCATGTCATCTGCATATAGGGACAATTTGACTTCCTCTTTTCCTAATTGAATACTCTTTATTTCTTTCTTCTGCCTGATTGCCCTGGCCAGAACTTCCAACACTATGTTGAATAGGAGTAGTGAGAGAGGGCATCCCTGTCTTGTGCCAGTTTTCAAAGGGAATGCTTCCAGTTTTTGCCCATTCAGTATGATATTGGCTGTGGGTTTGTCATAAATAGCTCTTACTATTTTGAGATACGTCTCATCAATACCCAGTTTATTGAGAGTTTTTAGCATGAAGGGCTGATGAAATTTGTAGAAGGCCTTTTCAGCATCTATTGAGGTAATCATGTGGTTTTTGTCATTGGTTTTGTATATGTGATGGATTACATTTATTGATTTGCATATGTTGAACCAGCCTTGCATCCCAGGGATGAAGCTGACTTGATCATGCTGGATAAGCTTTTTGATGTGCTTGCTGCTGGATTCGGTTTGCCAGTATTTTATTTACAATTTTTGCATTGATGTTCATCAGGGATACTGGTCTAAAATTCTCTTTTTTTGTTGTGTCTCTGACAGGCTTTGGTATCAGGATGATGCTGGCCTCATTAAATGAGTTAGGGAGGATTCCTTCTTTTTCTATTGATTGGAATAGTTTCAGAAGGAATGGTACCAGCTCCTCTTTGTACCTTTGGTAGATTTCGGCTGTGAATCCCTCAGGTCCTGGACTTTTTTTGGTTGGCAGGCTATTAATTATTGCCTCAATTTCAGAGTCTGTTATTGTTCTATTCAGAGATTGGACTTCTTCCTGGTTTAGCCTTGGGAGGGTATATGTGTACAGGAATTTATCCATTTCTTCTAGATTTTCTAGTATATTTGCATAGAGGTGTTTATAGTATTCTCTGATGGTAGTTTGTATCTCTGTGGGATTGGTGGTGATATCCCCTTTATCATTTTTATTGCGTCTATTTGATTCTTCTGTCTTTTCTTCTTTATTAGTCTTGCTAGCAGTCTATCAATTTCATTGATCCTTTCAAAAAACCAGCTCCTGGATTCATTGATTTTTTGAAGGGTTTTTTTGCATCTCTATCTCCTTCAGTTCTGCTCTGATCTTAGTTATTTCTTGCCTTCTGCTAGCTTTTCAATTTGTTTGCTCTTGCTTCTCTAGTTCTTTTAATTGTGATGTTAGGGTGTCAATTTTGTATCTTTCCTGCTTTCTCTTGTAGGCATTTAATGCTATAAATTTCCCTCTACACACTGCTTTAAATGTGTCCCAGAGATTCTGGTACATTATGTCTTTGTTCTCATTGGTTTCAAAGAACATCTTTATTTCTGCCTTCATTTCGTTATTTACCCAGTAGTCATTCAGGAGAAGGTTGTTCAGTTTCCATGTAGTTGAGCACTTTTGAGTGAGTGTCTTAATCCTGAGTTCTAGTTTGATTGCACTGTGGTATGAGAGACAGTTTGTTATAATTTCTGTTCTTTTACATTTGCTGAGGAGTGCTTTACTTCCAACTATGTGGTCAATTTTTTAATAGGTATGGTGTGGTGCTGAAAAGAATGTACATTCTGTTGACTTGGGGTGGAGAGTTCTGTAGATGTCTATTAGGTCTGCTTGGTGCAGAGCTGAGTTCAATTCCTGCATATCCTTGTTAACTTTCTGTCTTGTTGATCTGTCTAATGTTGACAGTGGGGTGTTAAAGTCTCTCATTATTATTGTGTGGGAGTCTAAGTCTCTTTGTAGGTCTCTAAGGACTTGCTTTATGAATCTGGGTGCTCCTGTATTCGGTGCATATATATTTAGGATAGTTAGCTCTTCTTGTTGAATTGATCCCTTTACCATTATGTAATGGCCTTCTTTGTCTCTTTTGATCTTTGTTGGTTTAAAGTCTGTTTTATCAGAGAATAGGATTGCAACCCCTGCTTTTTTTTTATTTTCATTTGCTTGGTAGATCTTCCTCCATCCCTTTATTTTGAGCCTATGTGTGTCTCTGCATGTGAGATGGGTCTCCTGAACACAGCACACTGATGGGTCTTGATTCTTTATCCAATTTGCCAGTCTGTGTCTTTTACTTGAGGCATTTAGCCCATTTACATTTAAGGTTGATATTGTTATGTGTGAATTTGATCCTGTCATTGTGATGTTAGCTGGTTATTTTGCCCATTAGTTGATGCAGTTTCTTCCTAGCATCGATGGTCTTTACAATTTGGCATGTTTTTGCAGTGGCTGGTACCAGTTGTTCTTTTCCATGTTTAGTGCTTCCTTCAGGAGCTCTTGTAAGGTAGGCCTGGTGGTGACAAAATCTCTCAGCATTTGCTTGTCTGTAAAGGATTTTATTTCTCCTTCACTTATGAAGCTTAGTTTGGCTGGATATGAAATTCTAGGTTGAAGATTCTTTTCTTTAACAGTGTTGAATATTGGCCCCCACTCTCTTCTGGCTTGTAGAGTTTCTGCTGAGAGATCAGCTGTTAGTCTGACGGGCTTCCCTTTGTGGGTAACCTGACCTTTCTCTCTCGCTACCCTTAACAGTTTTTCCTTCATTTCAACCTTGGTGAATCTGACAATTATGTGTCTTGGGGTTGCTCTTCTCAAGGAGTATCTTTGTGGTGTTCTCTGCATTTCCTGAATTTGAATGTTGGTCTGCCTTTCTAGGCTGGGGAAGTTCTCCTGGATAATATCCTGAAGAGTGTTTTCAAACTTGGCTCCATTCTCCCCATCACTTTCAGGTACACCAATCAGACATAGATTTGGTCTTTTCACATAGTCCCATATTTCTTGGAGGCTTTGTTCATTTTGTTTTACTCTTTTTTCTCTAAACTTCTCTTCTCGCTTCATTTCGATCTTCAATCACTGATACCTTTTCCTTCACTTGATCGAATCAGCTACTGAAACTTGTGCACACATCATGTAGTTCTTGTGCCATTGTTTTCAGCTGCATCAGGTCATTTAAGGTCTTCTCTACACTGTTTATTCTGGTTAGCCATTCATCTAATCTTTTTTCAGTGTTTTTAGCTACCTTGCTATGGGTTCAAACATCCTCCTTTAGCTCAGAGAAATTTGTTATTACCAACCTTTGGAAGACTACTTCTCTCAACTCGTCAAAGTCATTCTCTGTCCAGCTTTGTTCCATTGCTGGCGAGGAGCTGCAATCCTTTGGAGGTGAAGAGGCACTCTGGTTTTTAGAATTTTCAGCTTTTCTGCTCTGGTTTCTCCCCATCTTTGTGGTTTTATCTACCTTTGGTCTTTGATGATGGTGACCTACAGATGAGGTTTTGGTGTGGATGTCCTTTTTGTTGATGTCGATGCTATTCCTTTCTGTTTGTTAGTTTTCTTTTAACAGTGAGGTCCCTCAGCTGCAGGTCTTTTGGAGTTTGCTGGAGGTCGACTCCAGACCCTGTTTGCCTAGGTATCACCAGCAGAGGCTGCAGAACAGCAAATATTGCTGCCTGATCCTTCCTCTGGAAGCTTCATCCCGGAGGGCACCTGCCTGTATGAGGTGTCAGTTGGCCCCTACTGGGAGGTGTCTCCCAGTTAGGCTATACGGGGTTTAGGGACCTACTTGAGGAGGCAGTTTGTCCGTTCTCAGAGCTCAAACACCATGCTGGGAGAACCACTGCTGTCTTCAGTGCTGTCAGACAGGGATGTTTAAGTCTGCAGAAGTTTCTGCTGCCTTTTGTTCAGCTATGCCCTGCTCCCAGAGGTGGAGTCTACAGAGGCAGCAGGCCCTGTTGAGCTGCCATAGGCTCCATCCAGTTCGAGCTTCCTGGCCACTTCGTTTACCTACTCAAGCCTCAGCAATGACAGATGCCCCTCTCCCTAACAGGCTGCCACCTCACAGTTTGATCTCAGATTGCTGTGCTAGCAGTGAGCAAGGCTCTGTGGGCATGGGATCTGCCAAGCCAGCTGTGGGACATAATCTCCTGGTGTGCTGTTTGCTAAGACCATTGGAAAAGCGCAGTATTTGGGCATCAGTGTCCCAATTTTCCAGGTACCGTCTGTCATGGCTTCCCTTGGCTAGGAAAGGGAAATCCCCTGACCCCTTGTGTTCCCTGGGTGAAGCAATGCCCCACCCTGCTTTGGCTCACTCTCCATGGGCTGCACCCACTGTCCAACCAGTCCCAGTGAGATGAACCAGGAAGCTCAGCTGGAAATGCAGAAATCACCTGTTTTCTGCGTTGATCACTCTGGGGGCTGCAGACCAGAGCTGTTCCTGTTTGGCCATCTTGGAATGGACCAGGCTGGCAATTTCAATACAGTTTTGGTTGTAAGCAGAAAGGAAGTTAAGAAAGGAGGTATAATTTTAACCTCTTCATGGACCCTATGGCCCATCTGAGGGAAAAATGACTTTGTGTGCATTTAACTCAGTCCTAAAAGGTACATATTATTACCACCATTATATGGTGAAGATCAAGGAGGCTCAAAGAGTAAAGAAGATATGGCAAAGTTTGTACAGTAAGAGATTTAGACAGGACTTGCAACCCTTGCATCTATCTCCCCAGTATGACTCCTTGCCTCCATTCAAGCACCACCAGGAAGCTGAAAGACAAGGTGCGAGAGTTATAAAAGAGACACACAAATGGTGAGATGAAAGAATGTGTTGGGAAAATGTGCATATCTCATTAACTTGCCTAGCATCAACCTCTGAACACTGGGATAGGTGATAGACTGTAAGGTTACCTTTCTCAATGCAATTATACAAAAGTTATCTGTCTAAATCAGTTTAGAACATTCCTAAGTAGAGGTGGGAAAAATATCTAGATAATTTATGGAAGCTGCTTCTCAACCTATGAGTCAACGAAAACTTATTGTGTAGCTTCCCTAATTTATATTTCTAACCAGAAAACTGCCAAATCTTAAAATTCTTTTATGTAAGCATTTTTTAACAAAGAAAGTAATGCCTGTGGGGAAATCATTTTGCTTGGCTATGACCATTTTGCTCGGCATTCATATGACCTATGAATTTCAGTGGTCACGTTTTTATATATTTTCAAACTAAGTTAGCTCAGAGTTTATACTAAGATTGATATATATTTTTAAATAGTATCATAAATTATATTTCCACCTATTGTTTTCTGGGAATCTGTTTTTACTGGACATAGCTTTTTCGGTCTATTATACCCTTTTAGTTGTCAATTATATTTTCCAAAATAGCAAGAAGAAAGATAGAGGTTGTTTTTTTTAAAATTATTGTTTTAAGAAAATAATAATTAAGACTTACTAGATAGAACCCTCATTATGTGTATATAATATAACTGAAGAAATCAATATTCAAAATAAGAAAAAATATTGTTAAATTATGAAATTCAGTCTTGCTTACATTTCTACTGCCAAGTAAAATTATTTGTTTGTAAATATTCAGACACAGTAAAACATATTGGTATCTGGAAACTTATTATGCTTCACTTCATTACTTTGATTTAAATATGTTTTTTAAGTTGATAGCAAAGGACTCATGAATATTTTCAAATGCAAACCAAGTATAAAGGAACAAAGCACTTTTCTTCACACAGAAGTATAAACTGTTATTACTTTCTGGTTTTTTTATTATAAGAGCTGTCAACTGGTATTCAGGTACCAGTCATAACATATGCAGCAAGAGACTTACTATTGAAAGTGACTGTGAAACAGAAAAAAAGAAAACATTTTAAAAATTGTGGCTAAGACACAGGAAGAAAAATACTCACTGTGAAATGCTATATAGAAAAAAATCAGGTCCACCTGACCACCAGAGAGATGTCACCATATACTTGAAACTGGCTTCAGGGCTTCCTCAAACTCACATTTAGTCTGTTTCTATCTGCAAATAAATGGAAAATACAGTGAAAGATGAAAAACACTTTTAAAAAATAGAAAAAGCATCAGATAAAATAGAGAAATTATTTATCCAGATTCCAAATTATACAGCAAGTTCGGAAAACTCAGCTTCACAAAGATAGGACATTATCAAAAGGAATGTAGTGAAATCTAACATTGAAATTGTGAATTACCTTGAGCTAATAGTTTACACAGTATCTGACAAACATTATTGTGTTTCCCTCGGCCTTTTGAAATACTCTGAAATGCTCCTATAAAATTCACTGTGATGCCATAGTTTAGGAACCACAGGTCTAGGTTAATAAGTAGTCCATCGTATTCTGGGACAAGATAAAACAAAACAAAAAAAACACAAATAATTACAGTTCAATAAGGAAAGTCCTGTGTTGCAAGAAGACAGTAATAACAGTAATGGGAAAGTTGGATCCAGTTTTATATAATATTAGATTAAATAGCATATTAAGGCCTTCTGCCTTTTCTGTAGTTCATCATCTCAAGAGGTTTATAGGCAAAGGGAATAGATGAAAAATCAATTAGAGGTAAGAAAGGAATCAATTCCTAAAATGAGAGCAAATGTATGGACAATCATTTGGTAATCCAACAATATCTAAACACCCTCTGCCTGGCCAGCAGACATATCACACCACACAAAGCAAGAAAAAAGACAAGCATTCAACTGAAAATGCTCTCCACCTCTTACCATCTTCTACATCATCTCTTGGACACAGTGATTCTGTTGTGCCATTGACACTAGAATGGTGGCCAGCATGTAGTAGGTGCCTAATAAATGATTATATATTAAATAGAAGAGACAGAACATATGGGAATATTCAAGAAGCCACATATGTAGATTTCAACAACTGAATAAGTATTTATTTATTACATAGAAAAGGAAGCCTATAGTAAAGTGCTTCGCATATCCAGTTGAGAAGATCAAAAGCTTTGCAGTCAAAGGAAATAAAACAAATTTATTCAATGTAAACTGCACAAATATCTTGAAGGGAAGTTGAGAATGTGAATTCTATGAGATTTTTTTTTTCTGTTCTGTAAGCACAATAAAATTCTTAATAGATACGAA
This sequence comes from Homo sapiens, assembly GCF_000001405.40. Taxonomy (NCBI): domain Eukaryota; kingdom Metazoa; phylum Chordata; class Mammalia; order Primates; family Hominidae; genus Homo; species Homo sapiens. The sequence goes on along the minus strand of NC_000004.12, from coordinate 170,313,751 downwards.
TCTAATCTACACTGACAAAGGAGGAACCAACTTTATGGGCCAAGTCACATCATGGTCAATGGTAGAATAAATGTACATCTGAATGAAAAGAACATTGTTTTCCTCTTCAATCGTGGAAAAAATTACAACTCTGTGCACAAGTGGGCAGACCTGACAGCGGTTTGTCCAGTTGTGCTTCCCCACCCACTCATTCTTACCACATAATTTAGTGATGGTTCAACTGGGGAATTATAAAACATGACTCTCCATTAGAGTAATAATAATCCATTTTCATAATCTTGCCCTCAAAGTAAAACTGAGTACACAGATTTTAATTTTGCAGATAAGGAACCCCCTGGGTATGGCTAGATCCAAGTTGTTTCAGGCCAATACTGTTGTATATCTTCTCTTAAGAGAGTTTTTGCTTTTTCTTTTTCCCCCAACTTGACTACCTTTAGAAACACTGCTTTTAATCAACCAGGAAATCATCCCAGATACAGCCTTGTTAGGTACACAGGTACGTACAACTGCTTAATGGTAACATTATTGTAACTAAGGTATGAAGTTTTTCATCCATTAAGTTACTTCCGAGGGACTGGTTTTCTCCACGTTTTGCTGTCCTTCTTATCTAAGATTTCCTCTGGAATTACCATTATGTTCATTTTGTATAATGCAGATTAATTCAATATCACCAGCCCCTACTTCCAAACTCATCTCCAAGCTCATGCTTGGCAATGACAAAATCCATCAGGGAACTCAACTGAACCAAGTGTGACATTTATAACAAGAAAATTTGGTTATTTCTGTGACATACAACAAAAATTATAACCACACAACAAGATATTGAAAAATTTCTATGACCTTCATACAATTTTCTTACAATTAATATAATGCCTACTTATGTCATCAGCCAAACAAAAGGTTGGCAAAGTCCCTTCTAAAAACAATTTATATTTTAGTATTAATTTCCTTTTCCAGCATTTCACAATGGCAGTACACTAACATTTTCTAAAGTCCTCATTGAATCAAATGTTAATGTTCTTTGTTAAAGAAACAATTATTCAATGATACTTGCTAAAGAACTGCAAGGCTGACTTTGTTCGAGGAGACTATTGCAATACAAGTAGGGACCACTGCAGTGAGAGAAAGAGAATGAGCTCATCTTCTTATACAATAAGGAGAAGTGGGAATTTATAGACAAGAAGCAGGGTGGGCATCACTGGATGAAAAATCACTAAGAGGAAACAATAGGTAAGGAGTTTTCAGGCTAAACCAACCCAACAGGCTTCTTGCTGAAGACAGGCCAGGGTGATCAGACATCACCTGGGGGATGGTGGAGGAGGAACTCTGTCAGGTGTCTAGGGTGATCAAGTATCATGGACAGGTTAAGGCTGGCTAAACTAAGTTAGCAGGATTCTTGCTAAAATTGGACAAAGGATGCAAAGATGAACACAGAAGCCCAAAATTCAACGTTTAATTGAGAAGAGAGTTTGAAAGAGTCTACTTAAGAGTTTCATCAAGGAAAGAATCTTCGTCAGTCCCTGCACTTGTTCAAGGAAAAAAAAGACACTCTTCTTTCCTTTAAATAATATAAGTCCATTTTCTCACCTTTGACCAAATCGTTCATTAACAGCCAACTGAGTCATCTGTTGGGGCCCAGTATGGGATATTTGCTGTATGGTGTAAACATTCAGGCATTTAATGAGGAAAATTTCTGTGGAAACAAAATAAAAACAAAGATTATTGGTCGGAAGGCTGGCTTTTGAGTCCTAAAGGCAGCCAGTCAAAAAGATTTCTAGATGTTGGGCTCCAAGTCTCTTCAGATGGTAGAAGGAGGACAGCAATGGTCATCTGACAAATATTCTGGCTTGCAATTGGGATGTCTTTGGTGATGGCATTGGGTGTTTTGGTGAACTGCCTGAGTGGCCTACATAGCAGCAGGCATGGAGGTTGTCAGTACATGATTTGCTATGATTTTTTGGTAGTTTATGACAACTCATCTAGCCTCAGCTTGCAATACTTCAGGAAAAGGGCAGTTTTAGTTATCAGTGATGCCAAGTTAGGAGAGTGGGGAAAAAAAGTGGAAACATTAGTTTGGAGAATTGTAACCAGATATAGGAAGAAACTAGAATAATTCAGGATATAGTCCAGTTTATACATGGATAACAAGGGAGAAAGTGAAATGAAGTTACCAAGAGGCAGAAAATCACTCAGATGAACAGGATTATAATCTAATACCCACAAGGGTGCATGATAATTTTCCACTGAAACAAAATTTCTACAATCACCTTCCTTTGGACCTCGTTTACAAAATAAATCTAGTCTCATCAGATTAAGCCTGATTATTTACATAAGTGCAGCAAGAGCCATTGACCACGTAGACCTTTAATAAGGAATTTTAGATTAGATTTTTTTTGAAGCCCTTTGAGCCCAGGAAGCCAAAGCCAAGAACTCACCACCAGATTTTTCTTGTGGTAACCATAGATTTCAGTGAATTCCTCTTTTCTTGAGATTCCCACGATATCATGAGGTTCCTGAGTCTGCCAAAAAGTGATCTCCTTACACACATGTAAAACTGGGAATGCTATGAGCCAGGTACCAGGCCAGTTTTCCCAAGAGGGCTTTGTAAGCATTGGCCCCATAAAATCAATTGTTGTTTCTTAAAGCCAGATTCTATGTACATCATTTTCTGATATGACATTCCAGTCAAAGCCTTAGTAAAACAAATAATTTTTCCAATTCTATTCTGTTACAAGGAGAACAGATTCTGACTGAACTTATGCAAATAATTATATTGCCAGGACGATAAGAATACTCAATAATAGTTTACAAATTTTGGAAAGACCAGATAGGGAAAAACAATAAATGTTTCATCTCCGTTCACAAAGATATACTTTACCAAACTGCTGTAAGTTATGCATAGCTTGAGAGAAAGAAGGAACAGGATTCCTTAAATCTGGAAAATAAAACATTAAATTACCAGCCATATTCCAAACAAAACGACAATCACTCTTTGTCAGTTCATTCAGTTCCATGTAATTAATTCTTATGTGCTTGATTTGTGGTTCACAGTTTCATAAACCTTTCTCTTTCTAAATATCTGATGAGAGTTCACATGACAAGAAAATTTGGTTATTTCTGTGACATACAACAAAAATTATAACCACACAACAAGATATTGAAAAATTTCTATGACCTTCATACAATTTTATTACAATTAATATAATGCCTACTTATGTAATATTCACTCATACAAATATAATCCAGGAAAAGCAAAAGCGTCTCTTCTTTTATTTATTTGCAGAAAAGCAACATCTCCTCTTATTTGACATGCCTTTCCACAAAATTTTTAAAACAACTTCATTGAGGTATAATTGATGTACAATTAAAACTGCACATTTTTTCAACTTTCATTTTAGAGTCAGTGGGTTTATGTGTGACTTTTTTACCTGGGTACATTATGTGATGCTGAGGTTTGGAGTACAAATGGATGATCTTGTCACCCAGGTACTGAGTGTCATACCCAATAGTTAGTTTTTCAACCCTTGCCCCCCTCCCATTCCCAGCTGCAATAGTCCCCAGTGTCTATTATTGACATCTCTATGTCCAAGAGCACTCAATGTTTAGCTCCCAGTTTTAAGTGAAAATATGCGGTATTTGTTTTTCTGTTCTTGTGTTAATTTACTTAGGATAATAGCTTCCAGCTGCATCCATGTTCCTAGAAAGGACAAGATTCCATTTTTCTTTATGCCTACATAGTATTCCATGGTGTTTGTATACCATATTTTCTTTATCCAATACACCACTGATGGGCACCTGAGTTGATACCTTGTCTTTGCTATTGTGAATAGTGCTGAGATGAACATTTAGGTAAAACACTTTGTTTTCGTTTGAATACTGTAATAGGCCATTCCTGCATTGCTATAAAGAAATATCTGAGACTGAGTAATTTATTGGAGACGTGGTTTAATTGGTTCACAGTTTTGCAGGCTCTACAGGAAGCATGGCACCAGCATCTGCTTCTGGGGAGGCCTCAGGAAGCTTTTACTCATGGCAGAAGGTGAGGTAGGAGCAGATACTTCACGTGGCAAAAGTAGGAGAAAGAGAGAAAGGGGCTGGGGGAGGTGTCACACACTTTTAAATGCATCTCGTGAGAACTCAGAGACAGAGGTCACTTACCAACAAGAGGATGGCCCAAGCCATTCATGAGGGATCTACCCCTATGATCGAAACACCTCTCACCAGGCCTCACCTCCAACATTGTGGTGGCTCACACCTGTGATCTCAGCACTTTGGGATTTGGGCAGGCGGATCACCTGAGGTTAGGAGTTCAAGACCAGCCTGACCAACATGGTGAAACACCATTATCTACTAAAAATACAAAATTAGCTGGGTGTGGTGACGCATGCCTGTAATCCCAGCTACTTGGGAATCTTAGGCAGGAGAATCGCTTGAACCTCAGAGGCAGAGGTTGCAGTGAGCCGAGATCGTGCCATTGCACTCCTGCCTGGGCAACAAGAGCAAAACTCCATCTCAAAAAAAAGAAAAAGAAAAAAGAAGAAGAAGCCTGGGACTCTAACCCAGCTTTAGAGAGTATATCAGAATCTCAAGAATCAAAATCTGTCCTTACCAGCTTCAGCAGATATTTGTCCAGAGCAATGGTTCTGGAGTCTGTCTCACCAATGGATCCCCAACAGTCAGTCGGGAGTGAAGACAAAGTCTTCAAAGCCTTCTCACTTAGGTGAGAAGCAGGAAGTCAAGAAGAGGGGTTTTTGACCTCTCTTCAAAAAGATTCAAGAGCCTAATAATGAATCTAATCTTGAGTCACAGAATCATAACTGTTATAGAACAAGATTATTCATTTATTTGTTAGAGAAAGAAAGGAAGACCTTATCCACGGGGACTATAGATATAGGTATAGAGACCACTGCAATGAGGCATTGCAGTTGGAGAGAGAGATTGAGCTCAACTCCAAATACAATGAGAAGAGTGGAAATTCATAGACAAGGAGCAGGGTGAGGGTCATTGGATAAAAAATCACTAAGAAAAACATCAAGAATTAGAGGACATTTAGGCTAAGCTAACTGACTAGGTCTGTTGCTAAAGGCATGCTTACAGTGATCAGACATCACAAGGGGATTGTGGAGAATGAGGAACCCAACTAAGTATCGTGAGTGAAGGACTCTGGCTAAACTGACTTGGAAAGCTTCTTGCTAAAATTGAGCAATGCAGAGACAAACACAGAAGCCCAAAAGTCATGGTCTAGTTGAGAAGAAAATTTTGAGTCTGACTAGAGTTTCCTCAAGGAGAGAATCTATTACCTTTTGTTCTTGTCTTTGAACCATTTTCCACATTGCCTTGTTTCTCAGTCTCCCCCGAACCTCCTTAAGGAGCCTCAAGAAACCAAACTCCTCATGCTCGAGGATTCTCATTCCCATCACTTTTCAAATTCTATCCCTGCTTTCACAGAGGAAACAAAAAGGTGAAGAGAGATGAGCAAAGGAAAAAATTATTGGTTATTAAAAACACCAACTTGTAATCTATGTCCTTTTTCAAGAGTGAAGAAAGTGTTGGGTTGTCTGAGCTAAAAAACCAAAACTACAACCCGATAGACTTCATGTCAGTATATGAAATTATCCTGAAATCAATTTTAATGAGAAGCTGTCAGTCTGTAAAATATCCTATATGCAATTTAATTGCCTGCTTGTTTATTTTTTAATCAAGATGCACAAACAATTCCCTCTACTCCCATATTTCTGAATTAATAAAGATGGTTTTTCATCTGCTGGAAAGGTTTCACAAGACAAGGTAAGTATTAAATGTGTGTGAGCTGATACTTATGAACTTGACAGAAGAAAGCTGAGTCTTTTAAAAAGTGAAAAAGAAATGAAATTGCCATAAGATACAAGTCCCAGAAATCTTCAGTTTGCAGATAGGTGAGTTAATGGTCACTTTTGATCTCGGCTGAAGTCATCTAGTTCTTGCAATTCATTATGCAGGCAATTACCAGTAATAAGAAGTTTCTCCAGAAACACAGCAACTACTTTTTCAAGACTATTTCCAATTATAACAGCAATAGTTACCTGTCAGGAAATTACTAGTAGATGAGTGGCAACAGGAATATATTAACAAGCAGAGTTTAAAGACAAAAGAATTTTATAAAGTTCTTTCTTTGTTACATTCTTAAGGGGAAAAATCAATATACTGTGTAAAAAGAGACAAATGAATCCACAGCAGTGATTATGGTGCATGGCTATTCTAACTCACATGTTATTAACCCATAGATTTATTAGTGTGATTTGAAATACCATCCACTCCCCTTGCAGGAAATGGTTTAATTATAAGGCACAAAAAACTACCTCCAAGTTCTTATGTTTCTTTCCAATATTATACTGCCCTCCTATGGAAACAGAGATAGGTCTCCTACCTTTGGATGCTGAATTTTTAAAAATGTGTTTCAAGCTTATCACCAGGTATTTCAGGAAAGTAGAAGAATTTTAGAAAGTTCTAAACAAATACCATATATACAAACAATAGCATTTCCGAATCCACTTGAGCTTCTAACTTAGTAAAGAATGCCATTTACATTTCTAAAAAATGTGTGGCCACTGGAGTTCTGAAACAAGCCAAGACAATTACTGTTATTGAGCAAGTCTGTATAACTAGGCTATCGTCAACATAAAAAGCCTTTTAGTAAGCTTCTAATGCTTATATTGCAATGAGGTGGTTTGAAATATTATGCTCTTCCTACCAGATCAATTTCAAGGAGTGTGAAGTAGAAAGCCCATCCCAGCAGACTTTCAAAACAGCAATATTTGCAGTTGGAAATGTACAAGAATGCAGACAAGTACTCAAGTATGTACATCTTGTGCAGTGTTTGTGGATAAAAAATCATAATGAAAATAGAATGAGATGAGCGCATTATAGAACATATCTGTTTTAGTTCTTGTTGTGTGATATATGCATTTATTATCATAAACCATAAGATGCAATGAACACATCAATCACATAAGCAGCTTTCATATCACACACAAAGTGCTGCTCATGCTATACAATAAAATAAAGCTATTAATTTCTTTGCCTCAGTCAATGAGCCAAAACCAGGAAAATGAATTCTCATTGTAAACACTTGCTAATATCACCCCTCTAATATTTATCAAGATATGTGAGGATGGCAAGTCTAAACATATGAACTCTTGATTTTCCCCACACAGCAGTTGGCCTCAGTTGATTCCCCTTCACTGAGTTTTTTCTATCTCATAAATTCTTACATGAGAAGTTTAACTCCAAGAGAAAAAAAAAGCAGCCAAAGTCCAGTACTGCTATTTATGATGTATATAAATCTGAGTCATTTCAGCATCACTTGTTCATGTAAGTTGAAAAACAAGTTCTATTGATTCCCACAAGTCTAACCTAGCTCTATTTCCCTTAGGATCTAATGAAACTCAGGCATTTTCTTGCATTATAATGACTCTATTTCCTCAATAGCAGTGCATTCATTGCTATATCTTAGAAGTCTACTAAAGTTTATGGCTCTTTCACTAAAACTGTGATAAATTTTTGGTAAAGCATAACAAAATAGCTAACAAATTATAATTTTACCTTCTGCTCGGCATAATTATAATTACTTCCCTTAAGAATACAGAGTAGCCTTTTGTCAATTTTCTGTCATTATTTTCAAAGGAAGAGTTTTTAAAATTATTAATATGAAGAGGCTAAAAATAGCAACAACAGCACTTGAATATTGAGAAATACACATAGGTACTCAGATATCTGTGCTTAAGTCACATTTTAAGAAAGTAAGTATAGAATGCATTCAGGTATAGATTTGTATCAAAGAGGTTTAGTTAAAATTTATCTCAGGGCTTAACATTTAGCAACAATAAGGGCAGCTAACTGCTACTGAGTCATAATACATAACAGGCTGTTTCTTAGAAACTTGATATACATTACCGTATTTAATCCTCAAGCAATCCCTTGGGCAAATATTGTTATGGACCTACAGACAAGGAAATAAAACTTAGCAAGTTTGTTCCAAGAACAATGAGTTGTTATTATAAAGGAGCGGCAATTGTTATTATCATTCAGACTATTTTCCTGTTCAATTTCCCTGGATTCACTTCTACTCCCTAGAAAGAGGGAACCATAATAAAGTAGCAGAACCTAATATTCAAAATATCTGTGAGACACTAAAAGCATATGGACAAATTTCTCTTTAGCCTCTTTAAAAAAATTATAATCCAGTACGGGTGGGGGACACTGTTGCAGCCTGGAAACTACTGGGTGGACTATACTCCAGATATCTTCCCTCTAGGATGGAGGGAAGAGATAGGATAACATGGACAAGCATGAGCACCTCTGTGAGGGGTCTGTCAGTTACCTTGACTCCAACCATCCCTATAGTCAGAATAAGAACAAAAATTTCAGGCACCAGAGGACAAATGATAGGCTTGCTTGGGAGTACAATGCTATATAATTCATAAAGGGACTTGTTTCATGATTTCTAATACTGAGCACTATAATAAAAAGAACAAGATAACATGAGGGTGACCAAGGCTGATTGAAAGATTACTTTGAATGGGGAGGTCAGGGAAGGCCTCTCAGTGGAGACAACATTTGTCCCTGAGTGACATTTTTTTTAAGGGACAAGAAGGAGCCAGCCAATCAAAGATTAGGATGCAAATGATTCTAGGCATAGAGAATAATAAATGCCATGACCCTTTGCTCACATTTACTATGTTTATTATGTTTATGTTTACTGGGCTGAATGCAGAGGATGAAAAACAATAAAAATCGGGAGCAAGGGTTAAGGAGAAGAGGATTATAAGGAGAAGTGAGAGGTATAGGCCTGTGTATTACTTTGCTAGGGCTGCCATAGCAAAGTACCACACACTGAGTGATTTAAACAACAGAAATTTATTTTCTCACAATTCTGGAGGCCACAAGTCCAAGATCAAAGTATTGGCAGGGTTGGAGTTTTCTGAGGTCGCTCTCCTTGACTTCTAGATGGCTATCTTTTCACTATCTTTACATGGTCTCCCCTCCGTGTTTGTGTGTGTGTGTGTGTCCTAATTTCTTCCTTTTTTAAAGATACCAGTGGTATTGGATGAAGATCCACCCTAATGACCTAATTTTTAATGTAATTACCTTTTTAAAGACTACATCTTCAATTACATGCACATCCTGAGGTACTATGGATTAGGACTTTATTATTTTGGGGGAGACACAATTCAGCCCATGACAACATGATATGTTGACTTGTAGACCACAGTAAGGAATGTGGATTGTATTCTAAATGCAAGGAAGCCAAATTATCTGATTTGCATTTTTTAAGGAAGATTCTGGCTACTTTGTAGAAAATAGATTATAGAGAGGCAAGAATGAAAGCATGAAGTCTGGTCAATAGTTTACTGCAGGAATCCACATGAGAGCTAATACAGGGTAGTTTGCCTCCCCCGTTACTTTTGTTGATACAAACCAAGAGCATTTCAAACCAGAGATACAAACTAAGTAGCATTTCTTTATAAAGAAGATTTTTTCTTAACAGTTTTCAAAGAATTACTATGTTATCAAATGTGTAAAAGCAAGTCTCAAGGTTGTAAAAACAAGTCTCAAGTTTATATAAACAATCAGTACTTTAATAACCATATAACTTTACACTTTCTCAGAATACCATGTTTCTACATCTTTAAGAGAAGTAGTTTAAATTAAATGATCCAAAATGTTTCTTCCAGATCTAAAATTGTAGATTTGAGCCAGTTAACAAAAAAAGATAAATCTTGGAATGTCAAGTATAAAATTATTTGAGACACAGTCTATGAATATTTTAATCAGTTTCATATCAAGTCCGGAAGTATTGGACCAAGAGTTCAGGGATAACCTTGAATTAAAGTGAATACTTTTCAAGAATCTGTAGAGATCATTACGAGCCATTGTTTCAGTCTCCAGCAAAGAGGCTTTTTACAGTTTTTAAGTTTATCATTGTTCAGCTACTGAATCTGAAATAGACCCATCAGACTCATCTCTCAACTTATCAAAGCCTGTGACCATTTTTAGACTTATTTCATGTCCAGACCATTAAAATCATATTCACAATCACAGGCATGACAATCATGACTAGTCACTCATCTTTTAAAACACTCTCATAAAGACAAATTGCATCCTTCCTCCCATCAGTACTTCTGTCCACTAATAGTACTGTATTCTGAGAAAGGCTGACCATTTTCAGATGACTACACTCACCCTTACCTTTACAACTTTTCCACTTCTGATTTCGCCAGCCAACAAAATTGAAATTTCAGTAAGAGAGGCTGATCAAATGCAATTAATGGTGGTAAAAGCTGAAGATTCTTTGTCATTAATTTCACTGGCTTAAAGAAATCCTCAGGCCCAGTTAATAGCTGTAAGCTGAGGAAAAGCGAAAAATGATCAACTAACTCCCTTCTCCCCATATTTATCAGTAGTCCCAAAGCCAGAGTACAGGGACATAAATCATATTATCACACAGATGTGTCCTGCGATAGGAACCTATCTCACATACTTATTCCACTTCTGTGGAAAGAAGACTTGGCTGACTAGACAACCCCCTCCACAAGAAAAAAAAAATGCCACTTATCATTTATCCCTTCATGTCACAACCCATTTATTTTGCCATTAGGTAAAGTGAAAAATAAGGCTTTTCGTTTGTCTGTTATTGACTCAGTTGTTTGCACTGGATTTCCTCACTACTGTCCTGCACCATCAGGCAATGTCGTGCTTCCTGGAGGGCTACAGCCCAGGAAATGTTATTGCTCTATGAATAACCTTGATTCCTAGTCAGAATTTCTGCCCTGCCTCCTCTTCCAATCTGTGCAACTGTACTAATCTCCTGAGATGAACCTGTTAGGTCCTAGAGCAAGTTCTAAGGATCCAGCACCCTACCTCCTGTTCTCTGAGCCCTAATATTTGCTTGTAGCTCTGTGGCATTAGAGATTATCTCCCAAGATGAAAAAGAGTCCTTGAAATAAATGGCAAAGTAAAGAAGAGGAAATTCTTTAGCCAAAATTCTCCATAACACCCCACAATGTTCTTGTCCCACGTCTCTCAAAATTTCCAATCTTTTTTTAACCAGAGATTCACCCTCACTCCAATGATAGTGACATTTGAAAAGGAAAATGTAGAAGAGGAGTCCAGCCCTTTCCACATCACATATACACATAAGAATAGGATACTATTACCCTTCCCCTATATTTTCCAATTTCTAGTATGATAGACATTTTCACAATTATTCATACTTTAAGTAGTAGCTTTATGTGGCTTCCCACCACTTTCCTCATTCCTTTTTCTACTACATATCTTCCATGCTACCAACTCTTCTTCCAGGGTAGGTTGAAATGTCAACATAGGACCAATAGTTCTCAAGTCCTTTAAAGATCTGTGTCCAGAAAACTCAAGAGCCATATTTCCTATATATTATAAAGCAACTGGTAATTCATTCTAACGGTGAATGGGGATATGATGAAGACAAGGAGACTTATCATTTACTGAGTGCTTGTAACATGCAAAAAAAAAAAACTGGGATTGGTATTTTATCACATTATCTCATCTAATCCTCAAATAATTCTATGAAGTAGGGATTCCTTCATCCTCATTTTAGAAATGAGAAGAATAAGATTTAGAGGAACTAAGGAACTTGCTCAAGTTTGCATAACTAATAAGGAGCAGAAATGAATAATTAAACTTGGGTACCTCGGTTGCAAATTTTGTACCCTAAAGCAGCACTTATGAAATAATGGAGAGCATACATTAATACTTTAGAAGTACCCAAGGAAGACTTTTTTGACTGCATTTTCTTGTCTCAGTCTTCTATCTGCCTGTCAGTATTGGTGTATGATCCTTATTAAGCCTCAGCCTGAAGGAGCTAAGATTAACTAAATCCAGCCTCCTCCAGACAGGAAAAAGCTTCCTAAATATAGGACATCACTGAGATAAGAAGAGTCATTAGTAAGTCCTTTTCTCAATATGTTTGCTGAATACATGAATGAGTGAACTGAATGAAATTGATTGGGGTTCTCTGAAACAGTTAATGCACATAATGAAAAATATGCTTAGAATCAAAGAAAAATATTATGTATCACAGAGTCATTAAGTTGACATGTTCACAATCTCTACAAAAGATAAGAAGATACCAAAAATAATATTAAAAGGAATAAGAAGGCTTAGTTGTTCAGTTCCTGGTGCTTCAAGATGGAATCATACCTGCCACCCATTTTACATTTCTCACCCTCAGCCAGCACATTATGTTTTTTAATTTTTAATTTTTGTGGGTACATAGTAGGCATATATATTTATGGGTTACGTGAGATAGTTTGATACAGGTATGCAATACATAATACATCAGGGTAAATGAGGTATCCATCAATTCAAGCATTTATCCTTTGTGTTACTAACAATCCAGTTACACTCTTTTAGTTCTTTTTAAATGTATAATTAAATTACGTTTGGCTATAGTCACTCTGTTGTGCTAGCAAATACTAGGTCTTATTCATTCTTTCTAATTGTTTTTGTAGCCATTAACCATCTCCATCTCCATGTCCCCCTCCCACTACTCTTCCCAGGCCCTGGTCACCATCCTTTTACTCTCTATATCCATGAGTTCAATTGTTTTCATTTTTAGCTCCCACAAATAAATGAGAACATGCACAAATTGTCTTTCTGTGCCTGGCTTATTTCGCTTAACATAATGACCTCCAGTTCCATTCAAGTTGTTGCAAATGATAGGATCTCATTCTTTTTGTAGCTGAATAGTACTCTGTTATGTATATGTACCACATTTTCTTTATGCATTCATCTGTTGATGGACACAGATTGCTTCCAAATCTTAGTAATTGTGAATAGTGTTACAATAAACACGATAGTGCAGATATGTCTTGGGTATACTGATTTCTGATAGTGCAGATATCTCTTTGGTATACTGATTTCTTTTTTGGGGGGTATATACATAGCAGTGGGACTGCTGGATCATATGTTAGCTCTAGTTTTGGCTTTTTGAGGTACCTCCAAAATGTTCTCCATAGTGGTTGTACTAACTTACATTCCTACCAAGAAGGAAAGGAAAGTTTCCCTTTTTCCATATCCTCGCCAGCATTTGTTATTGCCTATCTTTTCGATAAAAGCTATTTTAGCTGGGGTGAGATGATATCTCATTGTAGTTTTGATGTACATTTCTCTGATGTCCAGTGATGTTGAATGCCTTTTCATATATCTGTTTGCCAATTGTAGGTCTTTCTTGAGAAATGTCTATTCAGACCTTTTGCCCATTTTTAAATTAGATTATTAAATTTTTTCCTATAGAGTTGTTTGAGCTCCTTATATATTCTGGTTATTAATCCCTTGTCAGATGGGTAGTTTGGAAATATTCTTTCCCATTCTGTGGGTTGTATCTTCACTTTGTTGATTGTTTCCTTTCCTGTGAAGAAGCTTTTTAACTTGATGCGATCCCATTTGTCCATTTTTTCTTTGGTTGCCTGTGCTTGTCAGGTATTACTCAAGAAATCTTTGCCCACACCAGTGTCCTGGGGAGTTGTCCCAATATTTTCTTTTAGTAATTTCATAGTTCGAGGTCTTATATTTAGGTCTTTCATCCATTTGATTTGATTTTTTATATGACAAGAGATAGGGGTCTAGTTCTATTCTTTTGCATATGAATATCCAGTTTTCCCAGAATCATTTATTGAAGAAATTGTCCTTTCCTCAATGTATATTCTTAGCACTTTTGTCAAAATGAGTTCACTGTAGACATATAGATTTATATCTGGGTTCTCTATTTGGTTTCATGGGTCTATGTGTCTGTTTTTATGCCAGCACCATGTCATTTTGGTTACTATAGCTCTGTAGTATAATTTGAAGTCAGGTAATATAATTCCTCCAGATTTCTTCCTTCTGCTTAAAATAACTTTGCCTATTCTGGGTCTTTTATGGTTCCATATAAAATTTAGGATTGTTTTTTCTATTTCTGTGAAGAATGTCATTGATATTTTGACAGGGATCGCAATGAATCTGTAGATTGCTTTGGGTAGTATGGATATTTTAAAAATATTGATGTTTCTAATCCATAAACATGGAGTATATTTCCATTTTTTGGTGTCCTCTTCAATTTCTTCCATGAATGTTTTATTGTTTTCATTATAGAGATCTTTCACTTCTTGGATTATTTCCTAGGTATTTTATTTTATTTGTACCTATTGTAAATGGAAATACTTTTTTATTTCTTTTTCAGATCCTTTGCTGTTGGCATATAGAAATGCTACTGATTTTATATGTTAATTTTGTATTCTGCAACTTTATTGAACTTATCAGTTCTAATAGTTTTTTGGTGGAGTCTGTGGGCTTTGCCAAATATAGGACCATATCATCTGCAAATAAGGATAATTTCACTTATTCCTTTCCAATTTATGTGCCTTTATTTCTTTGTCTTGTCTGATGCTCTAGCTAGAACTTCCAATACTATTGAATAACAGTGGTGAAACTGGGAATCCTTGTCATGTTCCAGATCTTAAAGGAAAGGCTTTCAGTTTTTCCTCATTTAGAATGATGCATAGCTGTGGGTCTGTCATAAATAGCTTTTATTATGTTATGTTCCTTCTATACCCAGTTTCTTGAGGGTTTATATCATGCAGGGATGTTGAATTTTATCAAATGCTTTATCATCATCAATAGAAATAATCGTATGGTTTGTGTCCTTTGTTTTGTTGATATGATGTATCACATTGACTGATTTGCATATGTTGAACCATCCTTACATCCCTGGGATAAATCCTACTTGATCATGATGAATGATCTTTTCAATGTGTTGTTGAATTTTATTTGCTCATATTTTGTTGGGATTTTTGTATCAATATTCATCAGTGATATTGGCCTATAGTTTTCCTTTTTCTCAATGTGTCTTTGTCTGGTTTTGGTACGAGGGTAAAACTGGCCTCACAGAATGCATTTGGAAATATTCCCTCCTCCTCTATTTTCTTTTAATAGTTTGAGTAGGATTGTTATTAGTTCTTCTTTAAATGTTTGGTAGAATTCAGGAGTGAAGACATCAGGTCCCAGACTTGTATTTGCCAGGAGACATTTTATTATGACTTCAATCTTAGTACTTTGCTTTTTGGTCTGCTCAGAATTTGAATTTCTTCATGCTTCCCTCATGGTAGGTTGTATGTATCTAGAAATTTGGCCATTTCCTCTAGATTTTCCAATTTATTTGCATATAGTTGCTCATAGTAGCCACTAATCATACTTTGAATTTCTGTGGTATTAGTGTAATGTCTCTCTTTTTTCATCTCTAATTTTATTTATTTGGGTCTTCTCTCTCTTTTTAGTCTGGTTAAAGGTTTGTCAATTTTATCTTTTCAAAAAAACAATTTTTATTGATCTTTTATATTCTTTGTTTCATTTTCATTTATCTCTGCTCTGATCTTTATTATTTTTTCTATTAATTTTGGGTTTTGTTTGCTCTTGCTTTTCTAGTTCTGTAAGAGGCATAATTATGTTATTTATTTGATTTTTTTCTTATTTTTTTATATAGGTGCTAATAGCTATAAACGTCTCAGTACTGCTTTCGCTGTATCCCATAGGTTTTGTTATGTCATGTTTCCATTATCATTTGTTTTAATAAATTTTTCTGTTTTATCTTAATCTCCTCATTGACCCACTTGTCATTCAGGGCATATTTTAAAGTTCTATGTGTTTGTATAGTTTCCAAAATTCCTCTTGTTATTGATTTATAGTTTCATGTCATTATGGTCAGAGAAGGTGCTTGATATAATTTCAATTTTTTTGAATGTTTTAAGACTTGTTTTGTGACCTAATATATTGTCTATCCTTGAAAATGATCCATGTTTTGAGAAGAATGTGTATTCTGCAGCCACTGGATAGAATGTTCTATAAATATCTATTAGGTTTACTTGGTCTATAGTGCAGATTAAGTCCAATGTTTCTTTGTTGATTTACTGTCTGGAATATCTGGCTAATCCTGAAAGTAGGGTGTTGAAGTTTCCAGCTATTATTGTATTGGGGTCTTTTTCTTTATCTCTAATAACATTTGCTTTATATGCCTGACTGCTCCCATGTTGGATGCATATATATTTAAAATAGCTATATCCTCTGTTTTTTAGATCTTGTAGGTGTGTTTTATTGTTTTTTATTATTTCTTCTTTTGTCTCCTCTGATTGTGTATTTTCAAACAATCTGTCTTTAAGCTCACTAATTCTTTCTTCTGCTTGATCCATTCTGCTATTAGGAGACTCTGATGCATTCTTCAGTATGTCCATTGCATCTTTCAACTCCAGAATTTCTACTTGATTCTTTTTAATTATTTCAATCTCTTTGTTAAATTTATCTGATAGAATTTTGAATTCCTTCTCTGTATCATCTTGAATTGCTTTGAGTTTACCCAAAATAGCTATTTTGAATTCTCTGTCTGCAAAGTCACACATCTCTGTTTCTCAAGGACTGGTCCCTGGTGACTTATTTAGTTCATTTGGTGAAATTATGTTTTCCTGGATGGTCTTGGGGTTTGTAAATATTTTTTACTGTTTTGGCATTGAAGAGTTAGGTATTTATTTTAGTCTTAGTAGTTTGGGCTTGTTTGTACCTGTCCTTCTTTAGAAGACTTTCCAAAGGACATGGGTCTTGTGATGTAAGTTGTATCTGCATTTGGACTTGGGTGTTGTGATCTAAGTTGTATCTACATTAGGATGCACCCCAACCCCAGTAATGCCATGGTTCTTGCAGACTCATAGAGGCCCCACCTTGGTGGTCTTGGATAAGATATAAAAGAATTCTCTGGATTACCAGGGAGAAACTCTTGTTTTCCTCTCTCACTTTCTCCCAAACAAACGGAGTGTCTCTGTCTCTGCCAGCACTTTATCTTTAAGGAGTTGAAGCCTGCAATGACTTTATTCTTGAGTAGAGCAGCTGCAATTACCCATATACAATTATCACTGTGCATGAAGCCACAAAAAAAAAAAAACCACCAGTGAATCCTCCAGTAGCTAAAGAAAATCCTTTTTGCTCTCATTGTGTGGCAGTCAACTCCAGATCATCATGATAATCAGGATCAATTTCTTCTGTCTATCTCAGCTGACAGTTACAAATTCAGGTTTAGTGAAACCTTTATTGCCATCACAAAATACTATTTGCAGCTTCAGGTTCTGTGAAACCACCACAGTAATCAGAATTTCCAATTCATCAGAGTTTAAAATTGTAGGAGCACAGATGATAAATTCTGAAATTGTGTCACTGGAAGTGATGATTGAAAGGCCAAAAGCCACATTACCCCTTAGGTTCTGCACACAGAACCACATATCAGCAACATAACAAAATGGAAGATTGCATTTCCAACACTATATGGGGTTGTCTTTGACCTGGCATCTTAATTAAGCCCTTAACAGATTATTCCATCATTTTAGTAATTAAGATTTATGTGCTTTGTATCCATTCACATGGTCCACCCACCAGCCTCTGCTCTAAACTTTCTTAAATATTATCCTCCAGTTTAGTTATTTCAAGATCTTTGACAAAGCAATCAAACCATTTGCTAATGTTCTGGCATCTGTGATATCCCTATCTCCAGCCATTTCTTCCTGCACACAACCAAGTGAACTTCTTGCAGCTCAGTTCCTTGGGAGAATTTCACTTTACTACTGTCTTTCAAAGTTAGTTGTGTGTGTTGCCAGATTGGCCCTTGTAGATTTTTAGCTACCACCAACATATTGATCCAAGCAATCTGTAAACTAGACTTTTCTACCACTGGTTGATCATAGGGAACCCTGCATGAGTCCACAGGTGACAGTTGTAGGACAGGAATTGGCACAACAGAAATAGGTGACATGGAGTCCAGGCCACTTGTCATGCAACATCCTATGCCTTCAGAACCTGTTTGTATTCAGTCTTTAATGTAACATTTGCATTGAACAAAGTGTCCCTCGAATGCCGAATCTCATGATGCAGTGGGTTTGAACTATCAACATGATTAGCAACTCAGTTTCATACTCATTTGATGTTCCATGGTCAAGTAGCCAATCTACTAAGGCCCAGCAGGATGTCAAGGGCAGCTTTTTAAATATCAAGTAGTCATTCTTTGCTGTAGAAGGTACGGCCTTGCTCCAGAACCTTAAGGGACTATGTTGTGACTCATCACACAACATCCTTATCCATTATGATCACTTCTAACACTATTTGTTCTGTTAGATTACACATTTGGGATTGCTGGGCAACTTTTAACCTAACCTAGATGGGCTGCAGAGCCTCTCTTGCTCTGAGCCACACTCAAAGCTAGTGTCACTCTGAATTATCCAATAAAAGAGTAAGAATATTGTTCCCAAGCACAGCATATGCTACCTTCAGAATTCAAACAAACCCATCAAACATTATGCCTCCTCTTAGTGACAGTAAATGCAAGATGCAACAAATTTTCCTTTACTTTAGAGAGAATGTCCAAGCACACCAAAGATATCTACATACCTAAAAAAGTCACCCCTTGGACTGAAACCTAAAATCTTATAAGGTTTATCTCCCAGACTCTAGAATGCATGGGTGTTAACTAATGTACCCACAGTACTTTTTATTTGCTGCTCAGCAAGTCCAATTTGTATATTATTAATATAGCAAAATACCATGACCTTTCACAGAATTTTTTAATGATCAAGATCCCTGAAGATTATATTGCAGTGGAATTTGGGGGCAAGAGAGTGAATATGTACTGCTGTCTTTCCTATATAAACACAGGATACTTTTTTTTTTTTTTGAGATGAAGTCTCGCTCTGTCACCCAAGCTGGAGTACAGTGGCACAACCTCGGATCACTGCAGCCAACTCCTCCTCCTGGATTCAAGCAATTCTCCTGCAAATCATTATATTCTATAATGATTTGTTACAGTAAAGATTCTACAATGAGCACAACACTTGGGATTAGGGCTAATAATAGGTTACATTTACAGTCAGCCATTGTCGTATGTCACATCTGTTTGGTTTTTGCAAAGACCAACAAATAAATTGAGCAAGGACACAATAGGAACCTTCTGAGAAACTACGTAGAATGTGCTTTAGGACAATCCACTCAAGTCAAGACGAGGTTAATATCTACATTAACATTGATGTGGATTGGTCAATGGTTACAGAGAGAGTGTTAATGGTCTCATACTTCAAGGTTTGTACATTCATCAGAATGGGTGAATGTGCTCTCACAAAATCCTAAATAGCAGTGGCAGAGAGGACCTAGGGTAGGTATGCGATACAACTGAGGTGCAACAGATGCTTACAACTAGAGGCCACAATAGTTGGAGCACAAAGGTGGCTCAAGAAAATGTGAGATCAGGCCTAAAAAATACACTAGGCATTTGGAAGACGGTTGCAATATTTTAGGCATAACTCCATAAAGGTCTGAACTAAGGTACTGATGGCACTATGATGAAAAGGGGATAGTTTCAGTAGATACTTACGAGGAAGCTGTCAAGGAGGTAAAATAAAAAGTGACCAACATATTGTTTCTTACATTTTTGACCTCAGACTCTAAGATGGCCTGTAACAAAATGATTCCTTAGAAAACATCAAGTTGAGAAATATTGGTTTATACCCAAGCAGTCCTCTTTTCTGTAAGAGTTTTATTCTAAAATGCAAATTCCTGTATCTAATCTATGCTAATGACCACCAGACATCAGAGAGAAAAGTCCATGTTGCAGCATTTAAATCTAAGCCAATTTAATATAGACAATTCTGATATTTTTATTTTACTACATTGTTTTAAAATGTTAATTAGTTGAAACAGCATTCAAATCAATGATTAAGTAGCCCTTTGAATACAAAATAAAATCAAATTAACTTATGGCTGACTATAAAGTAGATGAAAGCTAGCACCAGGGTAGTCTCCTAATTCATGAAGATATTTCATAGCCAGGAAGTGTTTAGGTCTGGAATTCTTTGAATTGGGGATATTTTTAAAATCTTCCCCTTCTTTACATTGCTGGTGAGAATGTAAAATGGCACAGCCAATGTGGAAAATAATTTTGTGATTCCTCAATAAATTAAACATGGAATTAGCATAAGATCCAGCAATTTCACTCCCAGGTATATATACACAAAATAATTAAAACAGGTGTTCTGGCAAAAAATTCAACATGAATTTTCATAGGATCCTTAGTCACAATAGCCAAAAGATGGAAATTACCCAAATGTTTCTCATGGATGAACGGATAGACTGTGATATATCCATAGAATGGGAATGAAGTACTGATAGATACTACAACTAGAAGAGCTTTGAAAATATTATGCTAAGGAAAAGAAGCTAGTCACAGAAAAACATATTTTTATATATATATATATAAAAAACAGAATATATATACATAACATGTTATATATACATAATATATATAATCACATAATATATATATATACTTATATGAAATGTTCAGAATAGGTAAAAGTATAGAGAATGAAATTCAACTGGTGGTTACTTGAGGCTGGGAGGGTAAAAGTATAGAAGGATTGCTCTAAAAAGTACAGGGCTACTGTTTGTAGTAATAAAAAATGATCTAAATTGACTGTGGTGATAGTTGTACATACCTGTGAAAATACTCAAAATGCATTGAGTTGTATGTTTTCTTTTTTTAAAAAAAGAATTGTATAAATTTAGGGGGCACAAGTGCAGTTTTGTTACATGGATATATTGCTCAGTGGCAATGTCTAGGCTTTTAGTGTTACCATCACCCAAATGGTGTACACCATACCCATTAAGTAATTTCTCATCCCTCAACCGCCTCTACTACCCCAACTCTTCTGGGTCGCCTATGATTATTGTTCCACAAGTTATGTCTATATCATTATTTGGCTCTTACTTATGTGAGAACACATATTTGGCTTTCTGATTCTGAGCTGTTTCACTTAAGGTGATGGCCTCCAGTTCCATCCATGTTGCTGGAAAAGACATGATTTCATTCTTTTTATGGCTGAATAGTATTCTGTTGTGTGTGTATATACAGTGTGAAATATATATTGTGAGATATATATATATCATAATTTCTTTACTCATTCATCTGTTGATGGACAGAGGTTGATTTCATATCTTCAGTATTGTGAATAGTGCTGCTATAAACATACAAGTGCAGGTATCTTTTTTATATAATGATTTCTTTTCCTTTGAGTATATGTCCAGTCGTGGGATTACTGAATCAAATAGTAGCTGTACTTTTAGTTCTTTGATAAATATCCAAACTATTTTCCATAGAGGTAGCTCTAATTTACAATCCCACCAGTAGGAGGATGCAAAGGAAAGCATTCCATTTTCTCTGCATCCTCACCAACATCTCTTCTTTTTTTTTTTTTTTGTCTTTTTAATAATATTCATTCTGACTGGTGTAAGATATCTCATTGTAGTTTTAATTTGCATTTATCTGATGATTAGCATTTTTTCATATGCTTGTTGACCATATGTATGTTTTCTTTTGCAAAATGTCTATGTATGTTCTTTATCCATTGTTTAATGAGATGATTTGGATTTTTTTGTGTGTACTGAGTTGTGTGAGTTCAAATGAGTGAATTGTATGACATATGATTATATCTCAATAAAGCTGTTTAAACTTTTTTTAAAAAGTCTTCTCCTTCTTTTTAAAAATGTACATCTATCTACATTTATTTTTCAAGAATGGTTTTGCTGAACATAAAATCCATCCCTCAGATTTCCTTTGGAGGCCCCAAAAGGATTCCCAAGCACATTTTGGCTGCATAATAGCAGCATAAATTAATGATGGATGGACACCATTTTTCACACTAGAAAAGGAGTGAAAGAATACTTCAAAATGTTAAAACTAGGTCATAAACAACATCGGAAAAAGAAACTTTGATTGTGCAGTTGTGAAAATTAGAAGCTGTTTCTTGTGTGTAGTAGGGAAGAATTGAGCCAAGGGATGCAGTAGCTTGTTTTAACAATGTTCTAAGAAAGTTTACTTTACTCCCTAGTCAACTGTGAACATATTTCTTACAAGAGGGTTGGAAGCAAACTTTCTGAATAACCTTCAAGCGTTCTTACCAATTTCCATCAAATCCAACAAACTTAAGTCGCTGGAGATACTAACAGAAAGAGACTCAAAAGTCCTAAGCAATTCTCTGAGAAACTGTAGAAATCATAAGTGATAAGAATCTAGTCTTCTTTCCCAAACCACTAGTGATTTATAACAGTTTTATCAGGCTTTCTATACTAAAGCCAGCTATCATTTCAACTCTTGAAGAAATACTGCTACAACACAATAATAATAGCTTTTTAGTAAATTGTAGGATACAAGTTGACCTTCTACAAAAGAGTTGAAAGGAAGAAGGGAGGACTGCGTGCTTCAGGATACGGTTTCTGTATTCTATTTCATGTCAAGTGCCAATTATTTTTCATTCCAAAAAGGCATAGAGAAGGCAAATACTTCTATTTTATTTTTTCCACTAGCTTTCCTAATAATTACAAAGGAAAAGACACAATAGTAACAACATGAATATTGCTTACCTATTATAATTATGATATTCCCAAACACATTTAATAACCTCTTCGTTTTCTCTTCAAATATTCACTGTGGAGATACAATATTCTAAGTACAATTTATATGGTCAAGACAAAGGACATAACATCAAAAATTGCAAAAGGAAAAATGCATGCCTTCAAATTTAAAACATAAAGATATTGTGATGTAGAAGTTGCCCCATAGGTGATAAGCCAATTCCTGCATAAGCTAATTATTCCAGTTTACCATGCCTACAGTTAGGCTACCAAATAAGACCACTTGATATTTTGCACTCTAGCCAATTGGCCATATTTTTCTCAGATAACTAAATCTAAGGCCATTAGCACATAATTCATTCAAGAATGTCTTTTTTAAAAAGGAAAACAAGCCTTTTGTTTAACTAAACACTAATTTCTAATATGAAGCTAAGTGAATTTAAGAAAATATACTATCATAGGAAAGAAAAGATAAATATGAAAGTCTGTTCACTCAGAGTTTTAGCTGAGGACCCAAAACTCATAAAAATAAGTATTTCTACATTCTAAAGAGAGCCACCAAACCTGTAGCAGTAAGACTTACTAAAATGTAACAGGACAGTTCCCTTGTTTGGGCTCCCCTAGAAAAGAGAGTCTGAGGAAAGTATTTGTATTCAGCTAGTTCATGTAGCAGTCTGTCCCAGAAAACAAGAGTGAAGAAACAGGAAAATTAAGACAGGGAAGGTGCAAAGCCAACTCATGGGGCATTAGTGAGGCTGCTGCCACAGGCAACAGGGGTTCCCTTCTGCAGGAACCTCTGAGGAACACAGAATGCCCCACAGGATGGCGTACCCAGAAAAGAGGAGTCTGGGGCATTTGTCTACAGGTTTGTCCACTGGTTGAGGGTTGCTTGGAATATTAACTGCACTGCACTTTGGGACTCAACCTACAAGGGGCCAAGGGGACCCCTGCTATTTACAGAAGGTCCTAAGACAGAGAAATGGAGAGATCTATAATAGATGCTTGAGGTGGAATGATAGCCACATACTTAATTCTGTCCATCACAGCCATGGCTGGAATTTGGGAAAAAAAATGAAGCAAAAGAATCAGATTCAGGGTACCAAAAATGAAACAGACTGAATGTTTCTGTCCCCACAAAACCCATATGTTCAAATCCTAACTCTCAATGTGATGGTATTAAAAGGTGGGGCCTTTGGGAGATAATTGGGTCATGAAGATGAAGACCTCATAAATGGTACTGGTGCCCTAAGGGACCCCAGAGAACTTTCTAGCCCTCTTTGCACCATGTGAGGATATAAGAAAGAAAACAGATCATTTGCAAACTGGAAGAGGACTCTCACCAGAATCTGGCCATGCTGACACCCTTATCTTGGACTTTCCAGCCTCCAGAACTGTGGAGAATACATTTCTGTTATTTATTAGCCACTCAGTCTTCTGCTATAGCAGCCTGAACTAAGACCAAAAAAAAAAAGCATTCGTTACATAGATCCACCCCACTCCTACCCTTCTTTATAAGAATCATTTGAAATGTTTGAAACTGATCAGAAAGAATAATGCCTTGAAGCAAAAAAAAAAAAAAAATTTAACACATTCTGGCATTTCTCTTACTATTCTTATAGGAGAGAGTATAGGGTTGCTTTTCAGCTGCCAAGGCAAGTGAGGAAGCTTTAAAAAAAAGAACTCTTCTACGTGCCTGGAGACGTTTGCAAGAGAAGAGCCTTGCATCTCACCAGGCATCTTTCTCCCTACCTGAAAGAAATGCTAAGGCCTGCCTCTGCTGCTAACAGAATAGAAAACCAAAGAGTTTCTACAAGATCTTAACATGTCTCCTTACACTTGCCATCTTCTTATTTGGAAATTCTGAAGATAGCAGGCTAGCTGGAGCTATTCATATGCACAGAGCAAAGAGAAGAGAATGCAGTTATGAGATCAAAGTGCCCCTCTGCCATATAATGCAGCAAGGTTATATGAGCTTCCTTTGGCCATATAGACACTTTGCATGATCAGCTAGAATGGTCTTCGAAGGATATTGCCCAAGAGAGCTGCCTGCAGGATGAGGGACCACAGCAGAAAGGGGCCGTGTGGGATATATCACTGAAAGGCAACAGTGAAAGGGAGTCAGAAGCGGTCAAAGAGTGCATTTTCTTGGTCAGTATGGCAGATGACTAGTTGTCCCCACAAAATTATTTTCCCTTCTTGTTGGACATGTGACTGTCAAGCTTCAAATTATATTTCCCAGCCTCCTCCCATGAAAAGAAACCACATGACTAAGTTATCATCATTGCAATGTAACAGAAGTAATGGGTGCAACTTCTGCCTCACTTGCTAAAATGAAGTTGCTTGTCCTGGATTCACCTCTTTCCTCTTCTCTCTCTGAAAAACAGACATGTCCATGACAGCTTTTTGGTCATGCAAACCAGGTTAACACCTTAGGGGTTGGTGGAAGAATGAGATGGAAAGAACTCGGGTCCCTAAATGATCTTTTCAGGCAAAGCTGGACTATCAAGTGAGAGAGTAATAAATCCCTATTTAAGCAAATGTTCATCATTTTTTTTATTATTGCTCCATGAAAAAGAAAATAAATAAACTTAAGGTTAATCCTATTAATTTTTTATTTTAATTTGATTATGTTTCTAACAAGAGAGATTAAATCCAAAGAAATTAGACCTTATTGGATGTTAGAAGGCCACAAACCATTGTAATAGCTAAGATGCTTTTCATTCCCCCTTTGCCAATAACCAATTTTCACTACCATTAAGGATGCATGATTTAAGCTGTTGTGTGTTTGTTCTCTTTGTTAGAGCAGCCTAATCTTTGCCCTCCCTTATACAGTGAGGAAGCTAAGAAGGGTGGAAATTTCTTTTGCATCCCCCGAGGGGCCCACTATTATAGCCATGAGAGAAGGCTTGCCATGAGAAAAGTCACTTGAAAATTAAGAAAGAGCTAGAAACACCAGACAAAGCACCAGGTAAGTAAAATGGGCTTTGCCACATTTTCTGTCTTCTTTTCCTCCTCAATCCCTGCTCCTCAACCCTGCTTGGAGAAGCCAGACAAAGGGCAGAGGAGAGAGGATATAAAAACAGGAGCTTATGGAAGTGCACCAGATCTTACTTTGCTTAGGTGAGAGAGATGGGTAGAGGAGCTTAAGAAAACAAAGTTCTAATTTAGACTAGACTGGACATTTTAAAATTTATAAAGGTATTTAAAGCTATGGGTTTCATACAAGATGTCACCCAGAAATAACAGTGAGACATCCACAAAAGCAGTAGAGGCAGAAAAATAAACCTGTTTCCAAATTGTACTCTACCAAATTCAGTACACCCGATTAACCTAGTTATTCGATATCCAATAAGTAAAGCATATACACTGCAAATGTTCAAGAACAAATGATATTTCTCCCACTCATCCTTAGCTGTTATCAAACCTGGCTAAACTAATTGTGACAGCTTTTATCCTATTTGAGGTTCAATCTTTTACTTCTCTTCATAGATACCTGCTAGAACTCTGAAGTCTGTTCACGGATCCCAATTATTTAATATGCCAATTATGATTTTGCAACTACTAAAAGAATTTAGAATCCTTTACAACAGGGGTTGTTCTGTTTTTCTAGCCAGAGATTGTCACTCCATATTTACTAATGAGCTTTTCTAGAAATAACAGAAAATGATTAGCATCTCTACTTTTTTTATCTACTGAAGACAAACATCTCAGGGTGATAGCAGGATTATGGGCGGCATCACTTAACAATAACAGTTTTTCAAAGTTATTTATTTATTTATTTATTTATTTATTTATTTTTGAGACGGAGTTTCGCTCTTGTTGCCCAGGCTGGAGTGCAATGGCACTATCTCGGCTCACCGAAACCTCTGCCTCCCAGGTTCAAGCAATTCTCCTGCCTCAGCCTCCCAAGTAGCTGGGATTACAGGCATGCATCACCAAGCCCAGCCAATTTTTTGTATTTTTAGTAGAGATGGGGTTTCTCCATGTTGAGGCTGGTCTCGAACTCCTGACCTCAGGTGATCCGCCCGCCTCGGCCTCCCAAAGTGCTGGGATTACAGGCATGAGCCACTGCGCCCAGCAATTTCTTTATTTTTATAAAGCTTTTTTATTTTTATAAAGCTTTGGCACAAAAATTGTTGTGACATGTTTCCTAATTGCATAAGGAGAGAGTGTTGCTTTTTAAAGTACATTTTTAAAGGAAGAACTTTTTAAAAATCTACAAAGTGATTTCTTACAAATGCCATTAGTCACAGAATTAAATGTGTTTTTCTCCAATTATTTATTTTACACTAAAATGTAATAATATTATTCTTCCTCTGGAGAGTACAGATGTTAAGGGATAGTAGCATGAAACATTTAAAGAAAGCTGTCTTGGAAGGCTGAGGCAGGAGGATTGCTTGAGGCCAGGAGTTCAAGACTAGTTGAGTAAATAGCAAGACCCTGTCTCTACAAAAATATGTAAAAATTAGCCAGGCACGGTGGCACGCAACTGTAGTCCTGGCTACTTGGGAGGCTGTGGCAAGAGGATTACTCGAGCCCAGAAGTTTGAGGCTACAATGAGCTATGATCGCACCACTGCACTTCAGCCTGGGTGACAGAGTGGGGCCCTGTATCAAAATGCTGCTTTGTCTCTTTATCCCATCCCAGCTCTTATGAGCCTAAAACTCTGTCTAAGCATAAAATGTGTCCAGCTTTAAATAAGAGAGATGGAGAGCAAGGAGAATCTTTATACATATATCTATATAACTATATTGATAGATACAAATACAGATCTTAAAGAAGTCAAAACATCCAGCTCAAAAATGTCACCTATGAAAATACTTAGGTCTCAGAAACTCATAAACCCCAAAAGATAAACAAACAAATAAAAAGACTTATCTACTTCTAATTCACCAAGCGCTGACATCCTCTTTAATCCTCATCTCAAAACCTCTCACACCTTGAATGTAGCCTCTCTCTGTCCCAAGATGAGATACACATCCTCCTATCTCCTCTATCTTTCCTATCCTGTTATGAAGTCCTATCTCTGTAGTGGCTCATTGTTCTGCTCCACACAGCCTTCCTAGTTTCCCTAGTTTGATTGCCTTTGATGCTTTCTCCAAGGATTCCTCTGAAAGAGCCACATGTACCAGGTCAACAAATTAAGCAAGACAGTAGCCTATGCACTCATCAAGGGAGGGAACAAAGTCTTATTCAACCCTCTATTCCATTTCCCCAGCATAGCAAGTACTAGTTGAAAATGTTTTTATTTTGTTTTGCTTTGTTCTTGCATTAATTGAGTCACTGGATGAAGAGAAAGAAAAGGAAACATATCTCCTCCCAATGACATTATCACAGCATAGGTCCTAGATGTTTATTGTCAGGAAGTCAGGCACCTGGTGAGGAAGTTAAACTGTTTTCCTCACCTCAGCACCCTCAGCCTGCCTATTACCTGGTTATCAGTCATTTGATTTACCTCAGTGGCTGATGAGGACAGAGGCTGAGCGGTCCTCACCTACTCCTTGCTTGTTAGATGCCACCTGCATCTATCTCTGCTTGACTAGATGCCACCAAGAAGCTATCTTGAGTCACTAGACAGACCCACCATTTCCACACTAACAGTCATCCAAAAGCTTTCACTTAGATGAATGGAGTAATTTATAAGCAAGATAGGAAAGACAGAAAGAAAGATGGCATAAAGAGTGCTGCTTCAGCCCTTTCAATAAGGTCCAGCTTGTACACCAATAGCCAGTCTTGTCAAGTGCTCACTCTCCATATGCACAGAAGCTGTTACCCTGCTGTTGAAAGAGCTGCAGGTTTTTGTGGTTTTTTTTTGGCACATCACCATTCATTACCAGGAATAAAAATCAGCTTCTTATTTGAAGCTCTTTTTTCATCATGGCCCATTGGCCATGACTGATGTTACTTTAAGTAATCCAGCTAAAACTGCTTAACCCCAGAAAACCTCATACATAGGAATTGCTTGCTCTAGTTAAGATAAAATCCAGAGGAGGCAGAAACTGTACAGGATAACAGGTGTCTTCAAACTTCCCCTTACCACCTTTCTTATATAGAAAGACACAAAAGCCTACTCTCAAGCCACACTTACTTACAAGTCATTACACAAATGTCCAAGAATCCAGAATTGTATCCTTATACAACCTAAATATTTCATAATACTGTTGACATTGATTCACCTCTTAAGATCATACCTTGGACAAGGATATGTGAGTTATTTTCACTGTAAATAATAAATACATCATTTTATATTTCATTTGTCATATCTCCCATTAAATCATTTCTTAAAAAGAAATCCAACAGCATCATTTCTTTTTTAATGTTGTTCCAATTATTCCTAAAATAATTAGAATATGGCTTACTGTATTCTTTTAGTAATCAATATTTCTTTTTGGCAAAATATTATGTGATTTTTTTAAATAAGATAATAGCTTCCATTACAACAAAATGACTATTTCTCTTAACATACTTGAACTTCATATGAAGATGGAACCAGCAAAAGGAGGAATGCTTTTGGCGATTTATTAACATTTAGTCAGTTAGATTTCACTTACAAGAAGGGCACCTGGCATCTTCCATTAGTTATATTATCACAATTGCAAGGGCTAAGATAATAGTGGCATATAGGAGGGAAAAAACTAAAAGAGGGATTTACTTTAAAATTAGCTCAAGATGCATGAAGTAAACAATTTTTAAAACCCATAAGTAGACAGCTAGCTAATAGTTATTACATTCAATAATTTAGCATGATATGCATGACGATTTTGACCTCCAAAATAATTTAGTGCCTTGAGCTGAGATTAAATGCAGAACATTAATTTTTCCCTCTGGTTGTCAAGCCAACCAAGAGACCCATCAAATCCATTTAAATAAAGCCTGCATCATGTAATAATATTAAAGGGAATAAAATATTAATATGGGCCTGTGGTAGAACATTGGCCAACAGCGCTGCAGTGAGGTGCCTTTAATTTATTACCCTGACAATCTGTCTTGCACTAAAACTAGGCGTTAAAGCACCATCTAAGAATTATTTTTTTGAGCTAGAAGATGGACCCATTTAAGAAAGGTCACAGTTCCTTCCACTGCACAGAATTTTTAGTATCTCCAAGCAAAAGAAGTCGAGTTCCACTTTAATTGTATGAACTTGAAGAGATAACAAAGTACAAATGCCCAAAACCCATTGTAATGAAAATGAAATTTTCAAAGAAAAGGGTAGACACTAACTCATTACGTGAGGCTTGATGAGCTTTCCCCCATAGTAAAAGTCCATCTAAATCAATGTATTATTTACATGCCACATACACCAACCTTCGTCAGTGCTCTTCTCCCAAACACATTCTGATTTTTATCTCTGAATACCATTTTTCTGGATCATTTTCCAATGGGTTTGCTAAGTTTTAAGTACATATTCTTAAATACTTTATCCTTATTCTAAAGATAATTTCCTTGCAAGAACCACACTTATTCCATATAAAAAATCTCAAACTGATGAGTAGGGAGGTTATAGATGGAGAAAAACAGTGGGAGAAACATGCGCAACGCATGCTTTGTTGTATTCAAGTGGTTGTTTTATTGACATGAATACTCAATAGTCATTCATTTTACTAAATGACAAATTTGTATAAATTCTTTAAAATACGTTTGGTTTACAATTTATTTTAAACATGCCAAACATACTCTTTAATCCTAGTCGTGTTATTTTTCCAGGTACATCACACACACACACACACACACACACACACAAAACAAAAGCCGGAGGCTGCCTTCTCGCTCCCCCATGGTCATCCACCACACAGAGCAGTAGATCTTCCTTTAAGCTGAGCTTCCACTAACTTCAAAGAATCTTCTCTGTAGGAGAACAAGGCATAAGACACAGTAGCAAACAGAAATCTGACCACAGGAAAAGAACCTTTAAAAAATTCTAAACAAAGCACAGAATTCTCCAAACAAAGGAATTGCTTGGCAACAATCAGGTCGGGCGTGAAATCACAAACGTTAGAGTGAAGCCAGACAGCTCACCTTCATGTGGAGAGGGAAGACAGCACAGTGATGACACAAAATCTCACAGCAACCACAGTGACAGGAGATAAGGAAACTTCAGATTTCCCAGGCTGACCTATAGTTAACTTGATAAAATGCAATGGACACCATTCCAATGTCTCAAAGAGTGGCTACAATCTTTCACAGCATGGAAGGCCACTTGTTTCAAAGAGTCAAAGGGTCAGCCGAGTTCTTTATTTCTAAATGTATGTGTTTATTAATGTTTTAATTTCTACAAAATAAGCTTCCTGAATTAACTAATTTGAGCTGTATCTATAATAAAGCTTGTTAATTAAATGTGAGGAAAGCTCAATGTTTACTTCATATCCACTTCTAATATGGACCTGCAACTCAGGAGATGTCATTATCACATCGTTTCTACAGCCTCTTATCTCATTGGCTAAGTGATCACATGCCAATCATCGCTGTGAGGTACTTTTCTTCTTTATCATATCCCCATCATAGAGGTCACAATTAACCTGGGAGAAAAGACAAAGAAAGTTGTATTAAGTTTACATTATTTGCCCAGATGAAAGCAGAAAACTATAGAGTAATGCAAAAAGTATCTCTGTCTCTGAAGGGCCATTATAAATTCATCTTCTGGAACAAAGGCAGACACACAAAGGTTTGTATGCGACTGTCTTCCTGGGCTGGCACGCTATAGAATTGCCAAGGTAAATGTTTGTTCCCTTATAGTACAGCTTTCCTTATAAACTTCCAGGCAGTGCTCGTGATAAATAGGATCATAAATTATTAATAAACAATCTAGGCTTAGAAGGTCCTAAGGGAAATTATATAAAAATATCTGACTGTAGGCCGGACGCAATGGCTCATGCCTGTAATCCCAGCACTTTGGGAGGCCAAGGCAGGTGGATCACCTGAGGTCAGGAGTTTGAGACCAGCCTGGCTAACATGGTGAAACCCCATTTCTACTAAAAAAAAAAAAAAAAAAAAAATACCAAAAAAAGAAATATCTGATTGTTTGGGATGCTTTTCATCCCAAAGACTTTTCCTCCAATCTATAAGTACATATTAAGAAGCTACCGCTGCTCTTTTTACTGTAAAGATACAGTGTAGCATGCATAAGCCTGTATTCAGAGACCTTATAATCCAAAGTGGTGGAAGGGGTAGGGTTGCCAGTGAAAATACAGGAAACTCAGTTAAATTTGAATTTCAAATAAACAATGAATAGGTTGTTTGTTTTTGTTTTTTTTTGAGACGGAGTCTCGCTCTGTCTCCCAGGCTGGAATGCAGTGGCGTGATCTTGGCTCACTGCAACCTCTGCCTCCGAGGTTCAAGCAATTCTCCTGCCTCAGTCTCCCAAGTAGCTGGGATTACAGTCACGTGCCACCATGCCTGGCTAATTTTTTATATTTTTAGTAGAGATGGGGTTTCACCGTGTTAGCCAGGATGGTCTTGATCTCTTGGACCTCGTGATCCACCCACCTTGGCCTCCCAAAATGCTGGGATTACAGGCGTGAGCCACTGTGCCCAGTCAACAATGAATAGGTTTTTTTCTTTTTAACTTTTGGGAAGTATTTGGATATACCTCTATATCTCAAATATTGCTTGGAACATTCTTATACTAAAAATTATGTTATCTGACAATTCAAAGTTAACTGGGCATTCTGTATTTTCACTAATACTTAAATTATTAATTTTTACATTTTTAAAAATTTTAACCTTTATTTATGCAAAATCTGACAATCCTAGGAGGGGGGCAATGATAGGAAAAGAAAAAGATGGGAAAAGCTACTGACTTATGGTAGGGAAGCAGGAATAATACCATTTATGGGATGCCTACCTGTGCCAAGAACTGAACTTAAACTTGTCAAAGAATTGTGACACATGTGTGTGTAAATGTGCTTAATCAAGACTTAATAAACACCCAAATAAATCATTTTAAAATAATAAAGCAGTAATATGGGTGAACTATATATGACTATATTAAATAATTAAGTTTGTGTAAGAGTTAAAGAAATAGGAAAGAAACATGAAACGTGGCTTGACAGTAAAGATGGGTTTATTTTAGATAAAACATGAGAGGGGCTTCTGGCCGATTTCAGTCAGGAGCACTTTCTCTTACAGACTAAGACTATATATTGGTTTTAGGGTGAGGGGGTTTATTACAAGCTTGGAATATTTCTGTGTGAGGGAGAAGTTTTATGGCAGGGTTGGAATGTCTCTGGGAGGAGGGGAGGTTATCTTGGGGCTGACGACATCTTTCTAGCCAGAGGAGTGTTATCTTGAGGTTGGCAACTTCCTGGCTGGAGGGGGGTTATCTCAGGGCTAGCATGTCTCTGGCTGGGGAGGAGCTTGGAATGTTTCTGGTTGGAGATGTTATTTGTGGTTCATGTTCATGCTGCCCTTAACCATTAGGCTGATGCCCTTTGGATTTAGGCGTTTTTTTTATTAAGGTAAACTTTAGAATGAGGGGCTTGTCCAAGATGGCGATGTTCTTGCTCTGTAATCCCAGCACTTTGGGAGGCCAAGGCAGGCAGATCACGAGATTTAGACCATCCTGGCTAACATGGTGAAACCCTGTCTCTACTAAAAATACAAAAATTAGCCAGGCGTAGTGGCAGGTGCTGTAGTCCCAGCTACTCGGGAGGCTGAGGCAGGAGAATGGCGTGAACCCAGGAGGCAGAGCTCGCAGTGAGCCAAGATTGCACCACTGCACTCCAGCCTGGGTGACAGAGCGAGACTCTGTCTCAAAAAAAAAAAAAAAAAGTTAAGCTGTCATATATCAAATGGTAGTATGTGTAACAGACATAATCTTTCTTAATCATTAAAAATTCCTCCTCACTAATATACGTAAACATTTTTCCCCAGGATAATAGAGTCCCTTTAAAAATAGCACTTCATCTTTGAAAACTAGTGTTTGGCAAAAAAAAAAAAAAAAAAAAAAAAAAAAAAGCACCTATCCACATATAGAGATGATAGAAAGATGGATAGATAAATGATAGGTATTTTCTAGCAGCACACATGAACAAGTAATAGTGGAGGACTTGAGGAAGGGGTATGGAGAATTGGAGGACTGGGGGTTGTGGGGAGCTGAATGGGAGGAATGAAGGTCAGCTTCATGGACACATGACCTGTGAGGTCACATAGGACCCAGGGCTTAGAAGGGCTCCACTTGGCTTAATGTTCTACTGCCATAATCTTAACATTCTTAATAATTGTTGAGCAAAAGCCCCTGTATTTTTATTGCACTTGGTCCAACCAACTATGTAGCTGGTCCTGGGAGGGATTTTCTGGGCTTTCTAGAAAACAGAGCCTTAGTCAAAAGTGTACGTGCTCCCATTTTATTGAGGAGTATGACTCCAGAGACACAGGAGTGAGTCGAAAAGGAATCCCAAATTAGGTATGGAAAGAAGAGGAGAAAACACAGGGGAAGTGGAACAGAACTGGCCTTTATTTGACAGCAATTGCAACTGATGCCTTGATCTCCCAGGATGTTTTCTAAGAGGCCATCTAAGTACCTCATTTCACATGTATCTGTTTATTGGTGATTGGAAAAGAAAATAATTTATCCTCAGCTTCTTCCTCTTCTCCATCTTCCATTGGTCAAAATCCACCATGAGCTGTTAACTCCTCCTTTTTCCAAGGTGAGTCAGCAATTTCTCCAAGCAACAACTGGAAAGGCCAAAGCCTTACAGGACCAATCTGGCTGGGGCATAGCTACAGCATCTTTCTCACCAGGCAGCATAGCACAGAAGGCTTCCCATCTGTAGCAGCAGCTAGGAACAGTACCACCATTCCTAAGACACCTCAGCTAGGAAGCCAGGCTAGAACACGAGTCTGAAATGGTCCAGGAACTGGATCCCAGACAAATTCACGTGTCTATCAACTGTAGAATAAATATATTGTGATATTTTCCTCTGATGAACTAGTATAAAGTGAAGAAAATTACTCCTATAGTTCTTCTCAATGCAGATATAGCTCATAAATATGATGTGGAATAAAAGAAGCCTGACACAAAAATAATGTCTTTTGCATAATCCCTTAGAGAAAGCTCAAAAAAAAACAGACAAAAATCAAGTATAATTTTTAGGAATCCATGGTGAAATGGAAAAGCTATAAGAGAAAGAAAGTAATGATGATAAAAAGCTAGAAAGTGGCTCACTTGGAGAGAAGGAAAATGATGGTAATTGGAAGAGGGTCCCAGGGGCACTTCTGAGTCTGGCCATGTTCTATTTCTGTGGTGTCCTTCAAGCAAAGTGAAGAAGGTGAAGTAGAGGAATCAACTGTATCAGATGTTGTGGAAAGATGAAATAAGATATGGCCTGAAAAATAAATGTTAGATTTGACACCAGAAAGGTCAATGGTTATCTTGGATTGACTGGAGTGAAGTCACAAGAGAAAATGAGGAAGAACTAGGAAACAGCTAGTATAGAAATTTCTCTTAAGAAGTTTAGTTGTAGAGGAAAGGATAACAAAGGGGCTGTACCTGGAGAGGAGAAGTGGGTGCCTGGGGAGTTGTTTGTTTTTTATAAAGTGTGAGGTGAGAAATGTAAGTCTGCTTGTATGTACTTGTGGGAATGATCTAATAGAAACTGTCTGCTAGACAGATGAGAAAGATGCTGTAGCTATGCCTTGGCCAGACTGGTCCTGTAAGGCTTTGGCCTTTCTAGTTGTTGCTTAGAAACTGATGAAACAGAAGGCAAGGGCAGATTGCTAAGGCAATGTCTTTGAATAAGCTAGAGATGACATGATCTTGTGCACATGGAAAGGGATAGGAGGGACATGGTCACTTCATACAAAGTTCAGAAGAGAAGGTGATCTGTAAGTGCCCCAATGCAGATGGGTAGGGATCTGTGGTCATAGGATGTTGCAGAAATTCTCTCCTGATTTTAAAAATAAAAACTGAAAATGAGAAAGGGAAAGAACATGTTAGAGTTTTGAAAATAGAAAATGCATGAGGCCGGGCATGGTGGCTCACGCCTGTAATCCCAGCACTTTGGGAGGCCGAGTCGGGCAAATCACTTCAGGTCAGGAGTTCAAGACCAGCCTGGGCAACATAGTGAAACTCTGTCTCTACTAAAAAATATAGAAATTAGCCGGGCATGGTGATACATGCCTGTAATCCCAGCTACTTGGGAGGCTGAGGCATGAGAATCGCTTAAACCTGGGAGGCGGAGGTTGCAGTGAGCTGAGATCATGCCACTGCTCTCCAGCCTGGGTGACAGAGCAAGGCTCTGTCTCAAAACAAAACAAAAAAAAAAAAAAAAGAAAGAAAAGAAAAAAAAGAAAAGAAAAGGAATGAAACAGTTATCTAGGACAGAGCAGAAGAATTAAAGTACTAGGGAAAAATAGTATAATTGCCAACAGCACTAAGGGCCCACTTGAGATTAGTGATCATGACTTTATTTATTTTTCCTTTTTCTTTTTTTTAT
The DNA here is from genome assembly GCF_000001405.40 of Homo sapiens. NCBI lineage: Eukaryota > Metazoa > Chordata > Mammalia > Primates > Hominidae > Homo > Homo sapiens. The sequence continues at coordinate 170,277,833 of NC_000004.12, read as the reverse complement.
TTTTATAATTTTTTTTTAGAGATAGGATCTCACTGTGTTGCCCAGGCTGGTCTCAAACTCCTGGGCTCAAGAGATCCTCTTGCCTTGGCCTCCCAAAATGTTGAGATTACAGGCATGAGCCACTGTGCCTGGCCATGAGCATGACTTTAAACACAGCGTGACTGTGTGTTTCTCCCACAATGAGCAGATACTAGCACAAGTGGGCAGAAAGTAAAGAAAGGGTAGCTGTCCTCTTGAAAAGTAGAAAGCTGTTCAGCATGAGAGACTCCTTTCTAGGACATTTCTAATTTAGGGATAAAATTTGGCTTAAGAAAGATTAAAAACAAGACAGAAAACTATTACCTAAGCTAATAAAAATCAGATCAATAAAAATCTACACCTTGAAGCTGATAATTTTATAAGTAATATAATTTAATAATATTCAAATATTATTGTACTATAGTTCCCAGTAGAACTAAAAGTATCTAGGGAAAAATTCTGGGATCTAAGATTATAGACTATCAGTTCTTTTATTGATTTAATTGATGATTTACTTCATTTAAGGAAATAATGGGTTTTTTTCCCATAAGTAAAATAGAAGACTAGTAAATTTGCTCTTATTTAGGTGAATAGGTAAACAAGTAAAGAATAGTTAGCATTTTGCTATTGTCTGGGGTATTATTACAATGTCTGTATTTAACAAAAGAATACATATGATTAACAACAGTAGCACATGTTTGATGATAGTAAATATTTTAATAAATTTCAGTAATTGCCATAGTTATTAAAGGCAGTCAAATTTTTTTTTTTTTGGTCACCTGTCACCCAGGCTGGAGTGCAGTGGCATGATCTTGGCTCACTGCAACCTCCACCCCCCCGGGGTTCAAGCAATTTTTGTGCCTCAGCCTCCCAAGCCGCTGGGACTACAGGCACACACTACCACATCTGGATAATTTTTTGCATTTTTAGTAAGACGGGGTTTTGCCATGTTGCCCAGGCTGGTTTCGAACTCCTGGCCTCAAGTGATGCACCTGCCTCGGCCTTCCAAAGTGCTGGGATCACAGGGGTGAGCCACCATGCCTGGCCATATTTAGTCAATTTTTTAAATACTGGAAGTCTTACTTTTTCTTCATAGAAAATGATTTCCAGTTTTCTAAACTAGAAATAGTAGTATCTTACCTTACATAACATGTTTTCCAAAATCTTGGTGTAGTTGCTCTCCTGCTTGTATGTAAAAAGTGCCACATTCAACATGAGAGAATAGTCCGTGCTCCTGAAAAGAACATGCAATTTGGATCAAATTTTCTAGTTTTAATTTTCTTAAAAACTACCAGATATGTTTAATTTCCTTGAAAATGTTTATATGTTAAGCAAAATGAAGACTTTTTTGTATTTACGTTACTTTTACTAAGATTTTTTTTTTTTGGTCCAAAAACATTGAGATAATGAATATTTTCTTTCAAACTTCTCATATAATAATAATATTGTATTTTATATTTCTTTCTCAATAGAAATATAAAACACTTCATTTCAGCAATCATTTTAGTAATCCTGATTTAGGTATTGAGAGTCTGTTTTTTAAGAGTCCACTTAGAAATTTGTTAAGATTCTCAAACTGCATTGCATTTATTAAAGTTTATAGCACCCAGCGTCAAACATTTTGCTATATTATTATAGTAATATTAAAGCTGTTTTGGGTGTGCACACAGACATGTGTTGGGGGGGGGTTCTTCAAAGAAGGATAAAACACAGTTACAGGCTGAAATATCTTATAGATAATTGTGTGCTTTCCCATCAGGGAAGAGATAAAACTAGCATAACTATATATATTTGCTGTAAGAGTTGCAGGGATGGTTCATTTCACTGAGGAGGAATATTTTTATCAAAAGTCACATTCCAAAACGGTGTTTATGTAAAATATAGGAAAATTTTAAAATACATTAATTCATTCAAAAAGCACTGAAATTCCCATTTTAAGACTTGTTTGATAACAATGCTGAGAAAAGAAAGATAATTGGAATCTAGAGCACAATTACATTTTTAAGTTAAAATACAATAGATTTATGTTCCCAGTAAATAATGGCAAGAGAGTTAAAAATGAACTCTCATTGAATGAATACACTTGGTTTTACATAACTCTCTATTTTGAATTCATTTTTTTGCCTTGTACTATAAAGCTTAATATGAAGTCATAGCTCAGTCTTTCGGGTTAAGATTTTTTTTTTAAATAAAGAAAAAGTAAATGGCCTCAAATTTACCAGCAGCAAGCAAACAAGGGAAGGGAAGTAGCTTCATGCTGTAAATGTCAAGCAATGGAAACAGAACATAAGTCAGAAATTCAGATTTGTTCGTATTTTAAAATGTATGTATAAACTTTGCATTACATTTGGCATGTTAGGGGTGGTGCTACATAATCAAATACATCAAAATGTTATAGCAAGTGCTGTGAATATTCACAATAGGTATGATAAATAAATACCATGGAATCCAACAAGACACCCAACAGATTCTCATTCTCCAAAAACCTTACTAAAGAAAAAGAGTAGGTTGAAGAAATTCTAAGAATGCTGCTAATGTCCTCCAACTTAGAGAGAGGGTGACTGAGAGCTGAGTAGAAAGACACAGGAAGATATTCGATACTAGAGGTCCCGGAGGATCTGGAGGATCCTGGAGGATCGCACCCCTGGAGGATCTCAGAAAGACAAAAACAGATACTGGAACTTACCACCTTCAGATGGAGAAAATAGATAATATTAATGGAAATAGGTAGTCCCTAGTAGGAGACATTTGTAGGATTTCAGTGAGAAAGCCAAACCCAAATTGTCCAGAACAAGGGTTATAATTCTTTAATCCTTGAACCCTCAGGCTTCAGAAAAGCCGATAGAACAGACAACCAAGCCGTCAAAATGTAGCACCTAAATTAACAATCAAACAACTCTCCAAAACAAAGGAACTATAGCAAAGAGAATTTACCCATACTATGTCATAACAGAAACTTCCAGACAAAGCACTCTGTTAACCAATAACCGAATGAAAATGCATGCCACGGAAACAATGGCAACAGACTACAGTTGAAAAAAAAATTAGCTAGTGAATAACATATGAAGAATCCATCATCAAGAAGACATAACCCAAAGAACAGAACTTATTTCCCACAAGTACTTCACAGTATAAAAGAATTTAGAAGAAAATGAATTCAATAAAAGAACTCAAAGACAAGATGATAAAACAAATTAGGGAAACTGAAGTGCTAAAGGGGAAAAAATGAGAAACAAAAGATTCTATTATTATAGACCTAATACATAAATTAGAAACAGAAGAAAACAAGTTAAAAATTGAAATTACAGCATGGAAAATGTCTTAAAACATGTATAAATGCAGAGAGAAAAAGACAAAAAGCTCAAAGCTAATGAAAAGAAATTGGTGAATATAAATAGCAGATAAATGACATCTATCAATCATTGAAAAATAGGAAAGAAAAGGTATATGGAGAAAGAATACAAAAGTATTTCTTTAAATTTTGAATAAAACTAAATAAAAATTTTAAAATATATCTTCTAATATGAAAGCTGTTGCAGAATAAGCAAGCCAGGTATATTCTCATTAAGTTACTAAATTTTAAAGATGAAGTTAGAATTGTTGAAGCATCCAGGCAGAAAAAGCAAATCAACATTAAAAGAGAAAGAAAAAAACATTTGGCTTCAGACTTGGCTTTTTGAACAGTAACATTCAAAATCTAAATGCATTGGGTGCAAATTTCAGTCCGTATATTAAAGCAATTATTTTCTTTTATAACAACTTAGCTTCTGTTGCAAACTTTGACTTTGTGGTGGAAAGTCAATATTACTGCTTTCCAGGATGCATATGAGTTTCCAGTGACTATGGAATACCTGTGAAACAGAGGAAAACCTCCTCCTGGTCTTGTTCATCCTGTTTCCATGTTGGCTGCCAAAGAGGAAGGCCTATTCTCTCCTGGTCTCTTTCATGGTTCGAGGAGGAAACTAAATCCTGTTGCAGTGGTCCCTTCTATCTGGTTCATTAGAGTCGCTTAATTTAGTGCCTTCTGCAAATGTACCACCACTTCCTTCCTCACATTGGAATACGGAGGACCTCTGTAAGGCCAACATATGATGCAGTGCTAAGTGTTCCATGTCTCTGGGTAATTCTGGTGTGCAGAGGGCTTCTTTTCCCCAACCCTGCAGTGGGAGAAAAGGATGCAAACAGGAACCTTACTCTTATATCATCAACTTTCCCTTTGGACCTGAGATTTTTACAACATAAAAGTCAATACCTTTGAAACCCAAAAGCTTTTCTTTGCTGTTCTGTAGAATCATAAACTCTTCTGAGGCAAGGATTGACAACTGGTTGAAAAGACAGAAGGACAGGAGGGAGAACCACAAGAAAAGTGGAAATATTCATATTTTTTAAAAGTCATGTCCCTTTACATAAGGAAATGTTTTTGTTTTTTGGTTTTGGTTTTGATTTTTTTTTTTTTTTTTTTTTGGTAAAAGACAAAGGGTTTATAAGATCCAAAGAGAAACCAGAGTATGAGGAAATGTTATTGGCTATTCATTAAGCAATTAGTTTGTCCCACAATAAAGGCGCTATCCCATCATTCCTTGCAAGGCTCTTGCTTCTTCCTCGTGACTGTAGAAAGCATGCTAACAGTTCACAGTCTGCTGATTTAATTGTTCCTGAGTCCCAACCCACTCCCTGAGTCTATAAAATCTACCTTCCTAGAACAGTCTTTCAAGCTCTTAGCGAGTAATAAGTAAACATAGTGATTCCTGAAAAGTCTTAATTTAAAATGAAATTAGTTGGCTAGTTTTAGCATTCATTTATTTATCCAGATACTGATTACCGACTTTCTGCAATGTGCTAAGGAAACAACACTGAAAAAAACAAACAAACAAAGCCCTGTATATATATATTCCAGGGAAAGAAACAGAAAATACACAAATGAACAAGTTAACCTCCCTACCCAATCACCCTTACCCTTCTAATCCACTAGGGGAATTTTCAATTAACACTAGAGTCCCCTATATATTAATTAAGCTGATTTTAACTAATAAAAACAAGTTCATGTATGTTCCTGACAGCAACATGACAAGTATTTCCTCGCCTCTCTTAGCATCTTCACCTTCCGTAATCTATTTGCTTCCCACTTCACATAATGGCCTTGGGATGGCACTGCAGGCATTGCAGCATTCTCCAAAAGAGAGTATCTGTCCCAAAGTTATATGGCTAGCTGTCTTTTTAAGAAAGGCAGGTCTTTCAACTGACTCCTAACTCTTTTAGGTAATAAAATTCCTGATAATAAAAATGCCTTTTTCCCATTTCTCAAAACTACATGTTAACAAAAGGTCACAAGCTGGCTCCAGTTCCCTGTGTACTTTGCAAGGTAATATAGTTCTGAAAAGAAAAGCTTAATGTAAAGGTCAAGATACAAAATCTATTTTTCCTGACTATAAAGTATTGAACACTTCCTGAGATTCATGAGCCAAGCTTTAGTAGCCTGAATAGTACCAACATTCCTTTAAACTCATGAGAATTTTTAAGTATGAGAAAATATGCGAGAAACTAAAACGAACTACACAAAAGTGTACTAAAGGCTGTATCGATTCAAGTCTCTGAAATTGACTTATGTCCAACACCTCATTTCATAAACACACTCATACATGAAACCAAATACACTTTACGTGGCTTTGTGTAATAAAGGTAATTTAAATAAAATTTTGTTAAGATTTTTCCAACAAAGGTGACTCTAAATTTGAATGAATTGAATTCTAGTATCAAAAATGAATTACATTTTAAAGTCAGAATATGTTTCCCGTAAGAAAACACATTCCTGGGGAATTGAGATGAAAATGTTTAACAAGACCACAGAAAGATAACACGGCCCTGGGAACTCTGTTTCAAAAAACCACAGATCAGCTCTCTGGCTGCCCACATCCACTCTTGGGCATCATGAAACTTGAATAATTCTGCCCATTCTGAATGAGGGCTCCCTCAGCCAGTGACCTCACTCACCTAAAAGCCTTACTATTACCTGGAAATCTCCTGGTTCCCCTTCCCAATATCTATTACTTTAAATGGAATTCTGACAAAACAGAATTCTTCCCATTTTCTCTTTGGCAGGATATTTCAATAGCTCATAGAGCTGGTTACACATTCCTTTAATCAATCATTATTATTTATCACTCAATAAACACTTTTCTCCTTTTGTAAATTCTTTAATTAAAAATTAAAGGTATTTTGTTTTCTTCATGTGTGAATTAATCATGCAAAAGCATGGCAAGCAGCCTAAAAAGTTTCATCTTTCTTAACTTTTACCATTTTGGGGAAAATTGTGACAAAGAAGGAACAAAGAGTAGTGTGATTTATGGAAACATGAAATAAGGACAATAAAACTGCTCTAGACGGATAGGAAACTTTCTCTCTAGGAAACGGAGCCATCTACTATGAAGTGCCTTGCTTACAAATGTAATTTCACAGGTTAGGGGTGTGCGAGATGGGGAGGTGGGTTTAGTTCTTTTTGTTTGTTTTACAAATATTGGAATGCTCTAAGACTCCACCTCCTCAATTCTCACAACCTCTAAAAAATATTGAAAAAGCTAATAACTGTTATAAATAAATTTTCGGTGCCACAAAGAAATAGCACTCGAACATAAATTTAATTTTCTCAACAAGGCAATTTTTACTTCTATAGAAGGGTACAACTCGTGAATGGAGAAATGGTGAAAGCGCACCTGAACATGGGAGGGGAAGGGGTTCTTATCCCTAAAGCAGGTAGCCCCCACTGCTGTGTCGTTCCCCTATTGGCTAGGGTTGGACCACACAGTCTAAGCTAATTCCGACTGGCTATTTTAAAGAGAGCATGGGTACAAGTCAGAGTGGCAGGGTGAGTAGTTTGGTGGGAACAATAGTTACAGAACAGGTGACTCAGGATAACTGAAGTCAGAGCAAGTGACCAGGGGCGACTCAGGATGGAGCAGGTGATAGAGGCTAGGAGGGGGTTGTTTACTGAAACTAGAAGCAAGAGGGTGAAGAGAACCAGGAAGTTAAACTTTAAAATAGAGAACAGAGAATAAGAGAGCTGAATATACTGACATACTGATTCTTTGAAGAGAAACTTGGAGTTCACTATATTTAACATAACATTTTTAAGTAGATCCCCTTTGCTTACTTTTAGCTCTACAGAGTAGAATAAAGTGAATATAATGAAACTTCTTTTTAAATTATACATTATAAAGATACATATCAACTATGTAAAAAAATAGCCATTTATCATAGAACCTAAATAAGTAAAAAACAATTATACAAATTTATTTTTCTACCCACCTAATTGAAAGTCAAAAAAATAAATATCTGTTTTATTTCTTCTTAAAAATTAGGGTTCATCCAAGCCATTAGATAAAGGGTTGTTTGGCAATTTGATATCTGCGTGTTAAAATAATCAAATATATATTGTAGCTGATGGCTTCAATAATAATAACAAATCTAGATTTTTGTTGTTGTCGTTGTTGTTACATCCATGGGACAAGAATTTATTATCTATCCTCAGTAGCAAAATTTGAAAAAAATAAAAGCCTAGCACTTAGTAGAGCAAAATAAATATTAGTTTAGTGAATAAATTTGTACTCTGAATTTAAGCACTTTGGTCCTTTCCTAAGATTTGCCCAAAGCAGAACGCAAGATGGTCAATCTTTAACCATCCCTGCTACCAACTCTGTAATCAAGTCTCAGCACTGCAAATATTTCCAAACTGTATCTAAATTGCAGGACACTTTATTCTGGTTTGCTAGAGTTGGTGTTTAAATAGAAAAAAAAAACAGCTCCTTTCTGGATTATTAATTATTTTAGGAATACAGAATTTAAATTTCAACTTGGCCATGGTAGAGGGATAAGAAAAGATCATACAGCTAAATAATAATTCACAGAAATAAATTGCTTCCTTCTGGGTTAATTGTATGAATCTTGACACACATTTCCTAGGAGAGCTAGAAATAGAAAAAGTAAACAGTAACTTAGCTGGACATGGAGACTGAAAGATTCCCATTTACTCTGTATATATGTGAGGTACCAAAAATAACAAGCTCATTCAGAGGCTTTCATTTTGCAGGAAAGGAGTGAAGAAAGATTGAAAGAGAGGCAGGAAGGAAACTATTCACTGTTTTCTCACTGTTTTCATGATTGCTATGACCAATGATTGTATGTGGTGATAGCTTGAATATTGCATGAGCCTGGTGGTTGGGTCCTACACACAGTAGGTATAATAATCAATATAACTTGTTTTGACTCATTGATACATGGAGTCATTAAGCTTCTAGGAACTCCAAAAAATTCATGAGAAAGCAGAAGACTGAAGCAATTTTAACTTACGGAAGTATGAGTTTAAAAATTCACTAATATAAGATGGCCGAATAGGAACAGCTCCAGTCTGCAGCTCCCAGCGTGAGCGACACAGAAGACAGGTGATTTCTGCATTTCCAACTGAGGTACTGGGTTCATCACACTGGGGATTGAGGGACACTGGGTGCAGGACAGTGGGTGCAGTGCACCAAGCGTGAGCCGAAGCAGGGTGAAGCATCGCCTCACCCAGGAAGTGCAAGGGGTCAGGGAATTCCCTTTCCTAGCCAAGGAAAGGGGTGACAGACGGCACCTGGAAAATTGGGTCACTCCCACCCTAATACTGTGCTTTTCCAATGGTCTTAGCAAACGGCACACCAGGAGATTATATCCTGCACATGACTTGGAGGGTCCTATGCCCACGGAGCCTCGCTCATTGCTAGCACAGCAGTCTGAGATCAAACTGCAAGGTGGCAGCGAGGCTAGGGGAGGGGCGCCCACCATTACCCAGGCTTGAATAGGTAAACAAAGCGGCTGGGAAGCTTGAACTGGGTGGAGCCCACTGCAGGTCAAGGAGGCCTGCCTGCAACTGTAGACTCCACCTCTGTGGGCAAGGCATAGCCAAACAAAAGGCAGCAGAAACCTCTGCAGACTTAAATGTCCCTGTCTGACAGCTTTGAAGAGAGTAGTGGTTCTCCCAGCACACAGCTTAAGATCTGAGAACAGAGAGACTGTCTCCTCAAGTGGGTCCCTGACCCCCAAGTACCATAACTAGGAGGCACCCCCAAGTAGGGGCAGACTGACACCTCACACGGCCAGGTACTCCTCTGAGACAAAACTTCCAGAGGAACGATCAGGCAGCAACATTTGCTGTTCACCAATATCCGCTGTTCTGCAGCCTCCGCTACTGAGACCCAGGCAAACAGGGTCTGGGGTGGACCTCCAGCAAACTCCAACAGACCTGCAGCCGAGGGTCCTGACTGTTAGAAGGAAAACTAACAAACAGAAAGGACATCCACACCAAAACCCCATCTGTACGTCACCATCATCAAAGACCAAAGGTAGATAAAACCACAAAGATGGGGAAAAAACAGAGCAGAAAAACTGAAAATTCTAAAATTCAGAGTGCCTCTCCTCCTCCAAAGGAACGCAGCTCCTCACCAGCAACGGAAAAAAGCTGGACAGAGAATGACTTTGATGACTTGAGAGAAGAAGGCTTCAGACGATCAAACTACTCCAAGCTAAAGGAGGAAGTTCAAACCCATGGCAAAGAAGTTAAAAACCTCGAAAAAAGATTAGACGAATGGCTAACTAGAATAACCAATGCAGAGAAGTCCTTAAAAGACCTGATGGAGCTGAAAACCATGGCACGAGAACTACGTGACAAATGCACAAGCCTCAGTAGCTGATTCGATCAACTGGAATCAGCTTGGAAGAAAGGGTATCAGTGATGGAAGATCAAATGAATGAAATGAAGTGAGAAGAGAAGCTTAGAGAAAAAAGAATAAAAAGAAATGAACAAAGCCTCCAAGAAATATGGCACTATGTGAAAAGACCAAATCTATGTCTGATTGGTGTACCTGAAAGTGACAGGGAGAATGGAACCAAGTTAGAAAACACTCTGCAGGATATTATCCAGGAGAACTTCCCCAATCTAGCAAGGCAGGCCAACATTCAAATTCAGGAAATACAGACAACGCCACAAAGATACTCCTCGAGAAGATCAACTCCAAGACATATAATTGTCAAATTCACCAAAGTTGAAATGAAGGAAAAAATATTTAGGGCAGCCAGAGAGGGTTACCCACAAAGGGAAGCCCATCAGACTAACAGCTGATATCTAGGCAGAAACTCTACAAGCCAAAAGAGAGTGGGGGCCAATATTCAACATTCTTAAAGAAAAGAATTTTCAACCCAGAATTTCATATCCAGCCAAACTAAGCTTCATAACTGAAGGAGAAATAAAATCCTTTACAGACAAGCAAATGCTGAGAAATTTTTGTCACCATCAGGCCTGCACTAAAAGAGCTCCTGAAGGAAGCACTAAACATGGAAAGGAACAACCGGTACCAGCCACTGCAAAAACATGCCAAATTGTAAAGACCATCGAGGCTAGGAAGAAACTACATCAACTAACGAGCAAAATAACCAGCTAACATCATAATGACAGGATCAAATTCACATATAACAATATTAACCTTAAATGTAAATGGGCTAAATGCTCCAATTAAAAGACACAGACTGGCAAATTGGATAAAGAGTCAAGACCCATCAGTGTGCTGTATTCAGGAAACCCATCTCACGTGCAGAGACACACACAGGCTCAAAATAAAGGGATGGAGGAAGATCTACCAAGCAAATGGAAAACAAAAAAAGGCAGGGGTTGCAATCCCAGTCTCTGATAAAACAGACTTTAAACCAACAAAGATCAAAAAAGACAAAGAAGGCTATTACATAATGGTAAAGGGATCAATTCAACAAGAAGAGCTAACTATCCTAAATATATATGCACCCAATACAGGAGCACCCAGATTCATAAAGCAAGTCCTTAGAGACCTACAAAGAGACTTAGACTCCCACACAATAATAATGGGAGACTTTAACACCCCACTGTCAACATTAGACAGATCAACAAGACAGAAAGTTAACAAGGATATGCAGGAATTGAACTCAGCTCTGCACCAAGCAGACCTAATAGACATCTACAGAACTCTCCACCCCAAGTCAACAGAATGTACATTCTTTTCAGCACCACACCATACCTATTAAAAAATTGACCACATAGTTGGAAGTAAAGCACTCCTCAGCAAATGTAAAAGAACAGAAATTATAACAAACTGTCTCTCAGATCACAGTGCAATCAAACTAGAACTCAGGATTAAGACACTCACTCAAAACTGCTCAACTACATGGAAACTGAATAACCTGCTCCTGAATGACTACTGGGTACATAACGAAATGAAGGCAGAAATAAAGATTTTCTTTGAAACCAACGAGAACAAAGACACAACATACCAGAATCTCTGGGACACATTCAAAGCAGTGTGTAGACGGAAATTTATAGCAGTAGAGGGAAATTTATAGCACTAAATGCCCACAAGAGAAAGCAGGAAAGATCTAAAATTGACACCCTAACATCACAATTAAAAGAACTAGAGAAACAAGAGCAAACACAATCAAAAGGTAGCAGAAGGCAAGAAATAACTGAGATCAGAGCAGAACTGAAGGAAATAGAGACACAAAAAACCGTTCAAAAAATTAATGAATCCAGGAGCTGGTTTTTTGAAAAGATCAACAAAATTGGTAGACCGCTAGCAAAACTAATAAAGAAGAAAAGAGAGAAGAATTAAATAGACACAATAAAAAATGATAAAGGGGATATCACCACCAATCCCACAGAAATACAAACTACCATCAGAGAATACTACAAACACCTCTACACAAATAAACTAGAAAATCTAGAAGAAATGGATAAATTCCTCGACACATACACCCTCCCAAGACTAAACCAGGAAGAAGTTGAATCTCTGAATAGACCAATAACAGGCTCTGAAATTGAGGCAATAATTAATAGCTTACCAACCAAAAAAAGTCCAGACCAGATGGATTCACAGCCAAATTCTATCAGAGGTACAAGGAGGAGCTGGTACCATTCCTTCTGAAACTATTCCAATCAATAGAAAAAGAGGGAATCCTCCCTAACTCACTTTATGAGGCCAGCATCATCCTGATACCAAAGCCTGGCAGAGGCACAACAAAAAAAGAGAATTTTAGACCAATATCCCTGATGAACATCAATGCAAAAATCCTCAATAAAATACTAGCAAACCGAATCCAGCAGCACATCAAAAAGCTTATCCACCACGATCAAGTGGGCTTCATCCCTGAGATGCAAGGCTGGTTCAACATATGCAAATCAATAAACATAATCCAGCATATAAACAGAACCAAAGACAAAAACCACATGATTATCTCAATACATGCAGAAAAGGCCTTTGACAAAATTCAACAAACCTTCATGCTAAAAACTCTCAATAAATTAGGTATTGGTGGGACGTATCTCAAAATAATAAGAGCTATTTATGACAAATCCACAGCCAATATCATATTGAATGGGTAAAAACTGGGAGCATTCCCTTTGAAAACTGGCACAAGACAGGGATGCCCTCTCTCACCACTCCTATTCAACATAGTGTTGAAAGTTCTGGCCAGGGCAATGAGGCAGGAGAAGGAAATAAAGAGTATTCAATTAGGAAATGAGGAAGTCAAATTGTCCCTGTTTGCAGATGACATGATTGGATATCTAGAAAACCCCATCGTCTCAGCCCAAAATCTCCTCAAGCTGATAAGCAACCTCAGTAAAGTCTCAGGACATAAAATCAATGTGCAAAAATCACAAGCATTCTTATACACAAATACCAGACAAACAGAGAGCCAAATCATGAGTGAACTCCCATTCACAACTGATTCAAAGAGAATAAAATACCTAGGAATCCAACTTACAAGGGATGTGAAGGACCTCTTCAAGGAGAACTACAAACCACTGCTCAAGGAAATAAAAGAGAATACAAACAAATGGAAGAACATTCCATGCTCATGGGTAGGAAGAATCAATATCATGAAAATGGCCATACTGCCCAAGGTAATTTATAGATTCAATGCCATCCCCATCAAGCTACCAATGACTTTCTTCACAGAATTGGAAAAAACTACTTTAAAATTCATATGGAACCAAAAAACACCCCGCATTTCCAAGTCAATCCTAAGCCAAAAGAACAAAGCTAGAGGGATCTCGCTACCTGACTTCAAACTATACTACAAGGTTACAGTAACCAAAACAGCATGGTACTGGTACCAAAACAGAGATATAGATCAATGGAACAGAACAGAGCCCTCAGAAATAATGCCACATATCTACAACTATCTGATCTTTGATAAACCTGACAAAAACAAGCAATGGGGAAAGGATTCCCTATTTAATAAATGGTGCTGGGAAAACTGGCTAGCCATATGTAGAAAGCTGAAACTGGATCCCTTCCTTACACCTTATACAAAAATTAATTCAAGATGGATTAAAGACTTAAATGGTAAACCTAAAACCATAAAAACCCTAGAAGAAAACCTAGGCATTACCATTCAGGACATAGGCATGGGCAAGCACTTCATGTCTAAAACACCAAAAGCAATGGCAACAAAAGACAAAATTGACAAATGGGATCTAATTAAACTAAAGAGCTTCTGCACAGCAAAAGAAACTACCATCAGAGTGAACAGGCAACCTACAGAATGGGAGAAAATTTTTGCAACCTACTCATCTGACAAAGGGCTAATATCCAGAATCTACAATGAACTCAAACAAATTTACAAGAAAAAAACAAACAACCCCATCAAAAAGCAGGCAAAGGATATGAACAGACACTTCTCAAAAGAAGACATTTATGCAGCCAAAAGACAGATGAAAAAATGCTCATCATCATTGGCCATCAGAGAAATGCAAACCAAAACCACAATGAGATACCATCTCACACCAGTTAGAATGGCGATCATTAAAAAGTCAGGAAACAACAGGTGCTGGAGAGGATGTGGAGAAATAGGAACACTTTTACACTGTTGGTGGGGCCGTAAACTAGTTCAACCATTGTGGAAGTCAGTGTGGCAATTCCTCAGGGATCTAGAACTAGAAATACCATTTGACCCAGCCATCCCATTACTGGGTATATACCCAAAGGATTATAAATCATGCTGCTATAAAGACACATGCACATGTATGTTTATTGCAGCACTGTTCACAATAGCAAAGACTTGGAACCAACCCAAATATCCATCAGTGATAGACTGGATTAAGAAAATGTGGCACATATACACCATGGAATACTATGCAGCCATAAAAAAGGATGAGTTTATGTCCTTTGTAGGGACATGGATGAAGCCGGAAACCATCATTCTCAGCAAACTATCGCAAGGACAAAAAACCAAACACCACATGTTCTCACTCAAAGGTGGGAATTGAACAATGAGAACACATGGTCACAGGAAGGGGAACATCACACACCGGCGGGGCCTGTTGTGGGTTGGGGGCAGTGGGGAGGAATAGCATTAGGAGATATACCTAATGTTAAACGACGAGTTAATGGGTGCAGCACACCAACATGGCACATGTATACATATGTAACAAACCTGCACATTGTGCACATGTACCCTAAAACTTAAAGTATAATAAAAAAAAATTCAAATTTAAAAAAGAAATTCACTAATATACCAGTCCAGGTACTTCCATGAAGCAGATATTAAACCCAAATGGTTCCAAGTTTTTTAATAATGAAATTAACCTTTCAATAAATTTTCCCTGAAAGTATGTATTTCATCAACAGATATGAAAAATAACAATTATTATTTTTATAAAAGACAAATTTATGGAAGTTTTCATTCTAATATTTCACAAACATATTGTTACTTAAATTACCTTATCCAAAAAACAGTTGCCATAGATACTATGGTATCTAAGGTGTTTACATGTGTTTCACTCATTTAGAGCACTGATTTCTATGCTCTTTGAAATTTTTTAAGAGAAAAGTAGAGTATTACAGCAATAAAAGGACAGACCAAAGTAATTATTGCTTTCTAAGAGGTTACAAAAGTGCAGCTGATTATGAAAAGAAGAAAATATTATATCAGAAAAACAACAAAGACTAGATACTGTTTATTGCTTCTTTGAAATGGGCAAAAAGAGTCTAAAAAACGAATGAATTGGGGATATGCTTTTAAAAATCAGTAAATCCATCACTTGATTTTTACTGTGAATACATGTATACATGTACTTATTGTATAATGAAGGCTTGACTTTTGATACAATTATATATGATAACAACAAAAGTGCAATAAATAGGGAAAATAAACACACCCTTTGAGTGAGACATATTGTTATGTACTGCATGAATGGTAAATAAATTGAAGAATATTCAACCATTCTTTTTAGGTGAGGAGGTGATCACCACAATAGTGCCATAAAATACATAATGTTATTTCCCATGTTAAAATAAGGATATTTTTATGTTATACTTTTAAATAACTTGGCAGTTAGAACATCTTTTAAAGGTAGTTTTTCTAAAAGTAATATTTTAAGGCTACTAAACTAGGACAATCACAGAATATTATTGGTTTGTTTAATTAATTTTTACCCCTTCCCAAAAATAATTTGGAACAACATGTAAACTATGGCTTAAAAAGGTTTATAAATTGCAATAGTATTTCAGAACCATAGAAATAAAATGTAAGTGTGTAAATAATACTGAGTTCTTATAACCTAAGAGAAAGAAGCTTAGCAACAAATTCCTTAGGAGAGACAAGTTTTTTACCTGTAACCAAACTCTAAAGGAATGGCTCATGTGAGGATTTATACAAAGTACATTAAATAACGTAATAGAGGGTGTCAGAGTAAATGAAGGAGCAAATTTCATATGCCTCTTTCTTGTTGCGACCTCCATAAAAACTGGGAACATCCCATTATGCTGCAGCTCAGGGAGGGTAGCTACAAAGGGCAAAGCTAATAACCAGGTACATTGCTTTTCAGCCATCAAATCCGACTCAAGGACAACACTGAAAGCATACTGAGGATGAGATGTCAATTACTGTCCCAAGGTGGCTTTTTCTAATAGACACTTCTTTCGAAGGGGCATTTTAAAAGGTCTGAAATAGGGCAATTTGGGTTCACACTCTCAGATGGCATCCTAGTAAATTTCTCCATTGGGCTCAAGGGCAGACCTGCATGCTGTAGATACCATAAGAAGCTTAACCAGTACTTTTGCCCTGAGGGTACCCATCCCATCCCTGCATAGGACACTAAGCAAGGGTGAACCAGCAGGAAAGCCAGAATTTTCTTTAGGTACTAGCTTTTGATTTACACTTTAAGAAATTTTACTTAGTACAAGAAAAGAAACCCATGCTTGCAAGAACTAACAATGCAATTTTGGTTCAGCAAAATGCTTCATTTTCACAATTTCTTTATATTCGAAAACGTGAAGCTTAATAAAAACGTTTATAGTCACAAAATCAATAATCAAATTGTTCCTATATTATTTAGAGGATTATGGTTAGGGTTAAGTTTAGAAAAAAAGAATTAGGGTTTTTCCAAGGGAAAAAGGATAGAGATTAGGACTATTTCAAGTTCATATTCCAGTTTATTTTATTTCTAATTTTATGTCTAAGATTTTTATCCTGTTATGAATAAGCCATATAATTTCCACCTCTATACTAAGGGGTTCACAAGCATATAGGAGTTTACAAATTCAGGCAAAAGGAGATTGGAATTTAGATAATTTAGATATATGACATTACCTCTTCATTTCATCTTCTGCATTCTTGAGTAGAAATCAAAAATTTCAACTCAATTGCATAGATTTTACAAGTTGTAAAAGGATGAAGATAGCAAAATAAGACTGAAATTCCCAAGCAGCTAAAGGCTCATATTATAGGCTTAGCTACTGACCAAAGACCATCAAAGGAAGTTAACAGCAGCTTCTAAAAACTAGGGATAAGTCAGTGAAGACGTGGCAGCA
This sequence comes from Homo sapiens, assembly GCF_000001405.40. Classification (NCBI taxonomy): domain Eukaryota; kingdom Metazoa; phylum Chordata; class Mammalia; order Primates; family Hominidae; genus Homo; species Homo sapiens. The sequence goes on along the minus strand of NC_000004.12, from coordinate 170,260,950 downwards.
GCTCCAGTGCCACTGAGCAAGATTTTCTTCTGCAACAAGGCTCAGTTTTGTCTTATCTGATGCTCTTCAACTACATGCAACTGCATTTACTTACTTCGGCAAAATCTTCCAAATATTCAGAAACTCTTTTCTTCTACTTGTCTTTCAAGTAAATAAATAAACTGGAGTCAAAATAAGCTGGATGAAACTACTATGGGTTGCCTGACATTTTTACCATGGCAAGTCACTGCTAAGCTGAACATTCATGACCATGTGACTTAATCAGAAACTAACTTTATTCTTTGTCCCACTGCTCTTTAAACTCACTCTGTGCGCCAGTTCTTTCCCTGCCACTGTATGAATTCTCTGATAAAGTCCATAACTTCTTCAATCACTACTCAATACTCAAAAACCTGTTTACCTTCAATCGTAAGAATAGTAACAAATACATACAACTTAGTCCAATGTTTTTCAAAGCGTGAATTTTACCTAACGTGAAAGCACCTCGCCTCTCCTAGGTTAGACAAGCTCAGAAGGTTGTAATAGGGTATATTTCAGCTTCTCTTCTGTTTCCCCACCTCACTGCCTCTTCTCCCAGATGATTTTCTAGCTCTGCCATGGGTCCCTCCAGGCGTGGAGAAGATAAAGGAAAAAAAGTCAAGGTCAGACCCAGTACAATCTGGAGCGGGTTTTTCCTGGCATTTGCAGATGTCTCCAGCCACCTCTCGCTGGGAGGGATGACCAAAACCGACTCCTTTCCTTGGATGGCTTGTGTGGGCGCTTCAGTCTCGCCAGAGAACAACCAAGGAGGCTTACCTAGACAGCAGCAACAGATTTTTCTCAGACAGGCTGCTCATGTGTGGTCCTTCCAGCTCTCTTGCAGAGACCTCTTGGACAGAATTTGAATGGCCCCAGAACAGCTCTCTCCTTTGGGGCTCACCTCTGGCCCACAAGGAACACTCCAATGCATGCTCGCCCCCACCACTGGCACCCAATTCATCTGCCTTAGAAGCATCAGAGCCAGGGCCTCCTGCCTTTGGAGTCCTCAGATGTATACCTAGCTTCTCTGATTTCCCTGAAAACTGACTTATCCCCCATCTCAGTGCTTCAGGAAGGCTGGTTGGTGCTCTTTCTCTGATCCTCCAGCGCCCTCTACTGGGCCTTCACTTACCCAACATCTTCGCAATCAGGTAAGACGCCTTCATTCACAGCATTCATAGTGACTCTGTTTTCCTGATCGAACCCTCACTGATACATTCTCCTGTAGGTGGCGCTGCAGGAATAAATCTGTTAGATCCTGTAACTTGTCCCTGAGGCTAACTGGAAAAGAAGTTAGGTTCCACAAAGAAGGAAACAACAGACACTGAGGTCTACTTGAGGGGTGAGGTTTGGGGGAGGGAGAGGAACAGAAAAGATAGCATTAGGTACTGAGCTTAATATCTGGGTGATGTAATAATCTGCACAACAAACCCCCGTGACACAAGTTTAACCATGTAACCAACCTTCACATGTACCCCTAAACCTGAAATAATTTTTTAAGTGAGGTTCCCTATAATGTGTCCCTTAACTATACAAAAATAAAGATCGATGGGCATCTAAGCTTTCAGCCATGGCATCAATAGTAAGGGACAGTTCCAGTGGCATCTCTTCTGACGTATTGGAAGTACATAATTGGAATGCCATGTGCTAGCTCCATTATCTCTTCTGGTCAAGGGAAAATATCCTTGATGTATTTTGCAGAGTTCAGTAAATCTATCAGGATAGGGGTCTTCCTGGGAAGTAGCTCCAGTTACCTCTACAAAGACTAACTGAAACCCTTCCAAAAGCGGCTGGTTTTCACTGAAAGATCTCCTCCAGGGTGCCTGATGACTCGGTGCATCCTATTAATCCAAGATATAAACTTGTGCATGATGGGTAAATGTATCCAATACTACAAATTTATCTTCTAGATGCCAGCTATTGGATTCCAATTCTTTCCACCAACTCCAGAGTTCTCAGGATAAGCTGGCCATTTCACTAGACTTAGGAGGCACACAGCTAACATTTGAAATGGCATCTTCTGCCATTTGGGGCCAAAAGGAGTGTTATTCTCCATCACCAAGGGAAACGAGATTAAATATTTCCTGCAGCATGCTCTGAGGACCATCTGCATCACCACCGTCTGCAGTGCTTAGTCAATATTAAGCACTCTATGCGCACCTCAAACAGACAGAATGAGACTTTCTAGGGCTTGGATGCAGGAAACTACCTATTGAAGAAACACTCCAGGTAATCCTCTTGCACAACCAAATTTCAGAATCCTGAGGTAGATAATCAGAGAAGTAAACACCAGAGGAATTACACTGTTTAACCTCACTTTTCTTTAAACCTTTGTTCCTGACTTATTTGCCAGATGGCCTCACATTCTCCCTTTTTACATTCAAGGCTGAACTTAACAACGAAAAGCAAAGGTACTGATGACAGAACCATGAGACAGAGGAGATAGAAAAGAGGTACAAAGAAGGATGAGAGAGATAATATTCCCGCTTACAACATGAGCATTAAAGGATGCCATTTCAACTTGAAAGTTGAAATCAATTTGTGTTGAAACAATACAAAGCATATAATTTACAGCTACCAAGGTCATTTTAAAGATCTAACGTAACAAATAAAAGTGCATTTGGCAAGGGCAGCAACAGTCTTAAGCAAGTTAAATCTATAGCACAATTTTTTAACCATAGATATGTACTATTTTCTAAAAGTGTTTATATATCCTTTTCAAAATAAATTTTACTACCCATACTGATAGGCAATAAATTCTAATACTTCATGTGGCCTGATAGTGATTCTTCCTCCTTGAAGGTCTAAGGGGTTGGTTCTGAGCCAATCAGAAACCTCCTCTGAACATTCTGGGAGATTATTTTCCCTTTAGGTCTAGAATGCTTTCACATGGCTGCAGCATTCTTCTGCTGTCAAAAATGGAAGGGATGAGGAAAATTAAATTTTTTAAAGAAAGTAGCTGAAAAGGAACTCTCTGTTTCCACAAAGCCATGACACTACCCATGTAAGACCATTCAACATCCCTCTGCTAACAGCAGCCCAGAACATAACAGTTAAATCATTTCATGCCCAATATAGCAGGAGTTGTATGTCCCTGGAGCTAGCACTGATAGGGTTGAAGGCAAGACCCGGCCATTGATCATCAGCTTTTATTTCCGCTGGATTCTTTTCAGTGTTGCCAGTGATACATATGTTATAGGAGCTCTATCCTTGAGAAGCCATGTGTGAAAGAATGACAATTCCTTTCATTTTAATGTAAAATGGAAAGAATGTAGAAGAGGAAACATTCATTGAATTATGATAGTACGCTCAATATTTTAGTATTGTAAATTATTTTATTTCATTTGATTCTCATCCTGGAAGTAGATATTATTAATTACAACCAATTTAATCTTTTGGGGACACTGATTTTCAGGAAAGTTAAGTAGCTTGACCAAGATCCATTTAGAAAGCAGTGAATTCAGCCTTAAGTTGCCTAAAAAGCTATTGAGAGTTGGTGGCTGCTGGTAGATATGCTGTGGGACTCTTCCACACCACTGAATTTTTTCAAGGATTATGTGGTATATAATGAATGTTAAGGCCCCTAGCATAGTGCTTGGACACAGTCAAAATTCAGCAAATGTTAGTTTCTTTCTTTAAAATGAAGGCCTCCAGCCAGTCTCGTATTAAGCAAGAAGGAATGATCTATTTACATCTCCAACTTCAACTTCAGACTCCTTGAGGATGCTGATGTATCCATCATGGTATCCATAAAGCTTAGAATAGTACATGTGCCAGATGACCTGCTGTGTATTAAATGGTTAAGCAACAAGACTGAAAAAAAAAAAAACAGAATTAAAGATTCAGTTCCTCTTTCAAAAGGAAAGAAAAAAAGACTGGAAAGTCTAGAAAACAGCAAAAGCAACCCAGCTACACATCTTGACATAACCAGCTGATGTACTCATGCTAACACTGCCTGGCCAAAGTGCTGCATCAAAATGAAAATCACTGCTTTCCTCTTTCTTTAACCAAGTGTATTAGATTGTTTGCTTTACTACAAAGGAATACCAGAGGCTGAGTAATTTACAAAGAAAAGAGGCTTATTTAAAGCTCTTGGTGTATAAGAATGCTTGTCATTTTTGTACATTGATTTTGTATCCTGAGACTTTGCTGAAGTTGTTTATCAGCTTAAGGAGATTTTGGGCTGAGACAATGGGGTTTTCTAGATATACAATCATGTCATCTGCAAACAGGGACAATTTGACTTCCTCTTTTCCTAATTGAATACCCTTTATTTCCTTCTCCTGCCTAATTGCCCTCACCAACAACAGACAAACAGAGAGCCAAATCATGAGTGAACTCCCATTCACAATTGCTTCAAAGAGAATAAAATACCTAGGAATCCAACTTACAAGGGATGTGAAGGACCTCTTCAAGGAGAACTACAAACCACTGCTCAAGGAAATAAAAGAGAATACAAACAAATGGAAGAACATTCCATGCTCATGGGTAGGAAGAATCAATATCATGAAAATGGCCATACTGTCCAAGGTAATTTACAGATTCAATGCCATCCCCATCAAGCTACCAATGACTTTCTTCACAGAATTGGAAAAAACTACTTTAAAGTTCGTATGGAACCAAAAAAGAGCCCGCATCGCCAAGTCAATCCTAAGCCAAAGGAACAAAGCTGGAGGCATCACACTACCTGACTTCAAACTATACTACAAGGCTACAGTAACCAAAATAGCATGGTACTGTTACCAAAACAGAGATATAGATCAATGGAACAGAACAGAGCCCTCAGAAATAACGCCGCATATCTACAACTATCTGATCTTTGACAAACCTGAGAAAAACAAGCAATGGGGAAAGGATTCCCTATTTAATAAATGGTGCTGGGAAAACTGGCTAGCCATATGTAGAAAGCTGAAACTGGATCCCTTCCTTACACCTTATACAAAAATCAATTCAAGATGGATTAAAGACTTAAACGTTAGACCTAAAACCATAAAAACCCTAGAAGAAAACCTAGGCATTACCATTCAGGACATAGGCATGGGCAAGGACTTCATGTCCAAAACACCAAAAGCAATGGCAATAAAAGACAAAATTGACAAATGGGATCTAATTAAACTAAAGAGCTTCTGCACAGCAAAAGAAACTACCATCAGAGTGAACAGGCAACCTACAAAATGGGAGAAAATTTTCGCAACCTACTCATCTGACAAAGGGCTAATATCCAGAATCTACAATGAACTCAAACAAATTTACAAGAAAAAAACAAACAACCCCATCAAAAAGTGGGCAAAGGACACGAACAGACACTTCTCAAAAAAAGACATTTATGCAGCCAAAAAACACATGAAAAAATGCTCATCATCACTGGCCATCAGAGAAATGCAAATCAAAACCACAATGAGATACCATCTCACACCAGTTAGAATGGCGATCATTAAAAAGTCAGGAAACAACAGGTGCTGGAGAGGATGTGGAGAAATAGGAACACTTGTACACTGTTGGTGGGACTGTAAACTAGTTCAACCATTGTGGAAGTCAGTGTGGCGATTCCTCAGGGATCTAGAACTGGAAATACCATTTGACCCAGCCATCCCATTACTGGGTATATACCCAAAGAACTATAAATCATGCTGCTATAAAGACACATGCACACGTATGTTTATTGCGGCACTATTCACAATAGCAAAGACTTGGAACCAACCCAAATGTCCAACAATGATAGACTGGATTAAGAAAATGTGGCACATATACACCATGGAATACTATGCAGCCATAAAAAGTGATGAGTTCATGTCCTTTGTAGGGACATGGATGAAACTGGAAATCATCATTCTCAGTAAACTATCGCAAAAACAAAAAACCAAACACTGCATATTCTGACTCATAGGTGGGAATTGAACAATGAGATCACATGGACACAGGAAGGGGAATATCACACTCTGGGGACTGTTGTGGGGTGGGAGGAGGGGGGAGGGATAGCATTGGAAGATATACCTAATGCTAGATGACGAGTTAGTGGGTGCAGCGCACCAGCATGGCACATGTATACATATGTAACTAACCTGCACAATGTGCACATGTACCCTAAAACTTAAGGTATAATAAAAGTAAAATAAAATAAAATAAAATAAAATAAAATAAAATAAAATAAAATAAAATAAAATAAAATAAAAAATAAATAAAAATAAAATACCTCAAGGCCTAGGAGATAGAGCAAGACTCCGTCTCAAAAAAACAACAACAACAAAACCCCTCAATGCCCTATTTGTGCACTGTGGAAGTTCTAGAAGACTTTTAATATGTTTAAAAAAATGTAGTTGTATGAGAAAAATAAAAAGTTATATTTCTCTTCATCTGCAAAAAAAAAAATAAATAAATAAAGCTCTTGTTTCTGTAGGCTTACAAGAAGCATGGAGCCAGCATCTGCTTCTGGTGGGGCCTCAGGAAGCTTTTGCTCATAGCAGAAGGCAATGGGAGCTGGCATGTCAAAAGGTGAGGGAGGGAGTAAGGAGGACAGAAGGTGCCAGACTCTTTCTAACAACCAGCTCTTGGGTGAACTAATGGAGTGAAAACTCACTCATCACTACAGGGGAGCAAGCCATTTATGAGAGATCCACCCCCATAACCCAAACACTTCCCACCAAGCCCCACCTCCAACATTGAGAATGAAATTTCAACAGGAGATTTGGAGGGGACAAATATCCAAACCATGTCACCAAATTAGTGTGCCACAGAAATCCCAGCCTCTTTCTCCTCCTTTCTCTGGTGCCTGATCGCACATACTTTACCTCCCAACCCCTGGTCCTACATGATGCCTCCATCTACTGGCATCATGTCTAAATCCCACACCTAACAGGGTAGTTTGCAGTGTGAAGTGTGCAATAGCCAGGGCGCTTGTACATAACTGGTGAATTCACAAGTCCTTATAACCATTGGGGTCACTATGATAATAGACATTAATAGTGTTTTCAAATATCAAGGGATATTTGGACTTGTAGTTTTACATGTTTAAATAAGGATTCTGCCTGAGATATGTCTCTTAACTCCATGTTTAGCTCCATAACCTTCATCAAGGACTCTAGTAGGTGACTATAAAAGCCTGATAAACTTACCGATCTGTCTACTCTGTAGCTCTGGTTAATTTACAATTCATATGCACAAATCTACCTCTTTGCACACATTCTATGGCCTACATACATCAGTGCATACACACAACTACAAATGAGTGTGGTTGGTCAGGGAGGGAAGGAAGAAATATCAAAATATATGAAATCTAAGATTACTAGCAAAAAATCAGTAACTGAATACAGTGTTCACACTCTAGTGAAGATTGCTTCTGCCTCTCAGTCTTTAATCAGATAAGAAATTCTTCACTTCAGTTTTCTCAAGTTTCAGTCAGCTGTTTCTGATGCATTTTTTACACTGAAAATTAATCCAAAGTCTCTGCTACGGATCAACAAGTTCCATTATAGCCAGCAACATCTGGCTATTGATTTATTATGTATTCTCACTTGTCGTAATATACCTTAGGTTCTTTCTAAAAACCTCATGAGATCTACCTTTGTCCCATATGGCTAAGTAATAGAATGGAATCGATGGTGGTCACAGCAGAATCCAGGTGCAGCTTTCCTTGTCATTTTCAAAAAGCTCAGGTATTCCTTCCAGATTTCAACTTTCTCTTGAACTTGGATGTCTGTTTTGCCTGGTTTGCTCTTCAGCAAGTTGTCATTTCTTATGCTTTAATGCAAACCCTGCAAAATGCCAACTTAGCTGGACTTTTTACTGACTACATTTGAACAGAGGTCTATTTTACTACTGAGTTGACTAGCTCAATTTGTCTTCATGACAGCAAGTTAAATAAGAGCCGTATTTTATATAGAAAAAAAGGTTTTTTCAATAAAAAATGAGTAATGTTCAATTTTAAAAGGATTGAGGGAAACAGGTCCATTGTTTCTGTGAATTATAAACAATGGGCACTTCACTCTTGATATCAGGGAATACCTAAGTGTTTGAAGAACACCCACGCTACTCTCCAAGTTGGGTTGTACAATTGAAGTTGTAGATCTACTCCCTCACAGGACAAGATTTCTTTAAGTAACATGTCTGATTGGTTTGCACTATCAGGATATTCATGCTCAAATCAATTCTGTAACTTTCCTTGAAAAAATGACAATACAGACATCATAATATCATTTCCCTTAATTTTCATATGACACATATTATAAAGTCCATTCCGGTTTTATAACAAAATGATATTGACTGGGCAGCTTAAACAATAGGCATTTATTTATCACAGTTCTGAACGCTAAAAAGTCCAAAATTAAGGTGCCAGCAGATTTGGTACCTGGGGTGGGACCACTTCCTGAATCACAGATGACCATCTTCTCACTGTGATCTCACAGGATGGAAAGAGCGAGGGAGCCCTTTGGGATCTCTTTGATAAGGGCACTAATCTCATCATAAGGGTTTGCCCTCATGACCTAATCACCTCCCAGCAGCCCCACCTCCTAATACCATCACATTGGGGGTTAGGATTTCAACCAATGAACTTAGAACACAAACATTCAGTACATACAGCATATTTACAAATAATCTCACAAATGATCTGATCTAAATATCTGCTTAACCTCCATTCTTGACCTCCCACTTAATTATTTTCTTATGACATAGAATATAATTTTCTCATTATCAAATAATTTTAAAAAATTACTTGCCTCCCTATGAAAAGAAACACTTTGATTAAGGAAGAAAAAGAAGACACATCGAGAGAAAGGAAATTGATCCCTTAGCCACAACCAATCAAATCTCCACCATCAGGGGCTGGCAAGACAGATCCATCACGTCTCTGTGTGTTTTGTGTATTTTAATGTGATTTATGTTCATAAGCAAGACAACCCTTCTTCTCAAAATTAGAATGAAAAAGAGGAAGAAGAATAGCTCCATTTTACAAAACCACTCGTTGTCCTGCTTCCATTCTAGTTGTTCTCAACCTGGGACCTATGGATAGAATTTACAGGGCCCATGAAAGTGAATTGAAAAAGAATCCATCTTTTGTTTTTAATCTCTAGTGAAAATTTAGCATTTCATTAAATTATAAATATAGGAAAAAAGTACTAGTGGTATCTGTCATTTTGTCACAAATAGCATAGATATTTTCATACCACAATATGGTTTTCAAGGTATATCAAAATAATATTTATACTCATCTCTAATTTGAAATCATGGTAGTTATTAAACCCCTTTGGAGACTGCATGGAATTTTTCTAACAATACTTATGCAAGATAGCTGGCCAACTACTGGGTAGTTCTCCCTCTCAGTTATTCAGTTAACAGTGACATCATGGACTTTCTTATTGGTGACCCAGACAATGACTTTGTTTTCCAGTGTTCCCCACGTACAATTGTTCCTTGACCAAACTTGGAAAAAGATGAAAACTCAAAGTTTTACAAATCTCTACTGTTCAAATTTCAATTCTTAATCCTCTATAGGACTGTACAACTTGTTAAACATGAATTGGGCAGAGTCAACAAATGGTTAGCCTTCACACTGACAAATATTTACAAGATCACATTTAACTTGTCTATATTTTAAATGATTTACCTTGTCATTTAAGATATTAACACAAAGTACATATATTACTATATCACAAATTTGTTTAATGTTATGGTAAAAGTTTTTAATCTACTTGATTTCCTTTTCAGTATCTCTGTATTTTATTTTATACATAGAGATGTGTGTTATCTCTATTTTATTTTCTGCATTTTAAAATATTATCCTGCAAAGAGACTCATAGGTTTCACCAGACTTTCAGACGGTATCTATCCATATCAGGTTCCTATTGCTGCTGTAAAAATTTACCATAAACATAGTAGTTTAAAACCACACAAATTTATCTTACAGATCTGGAGGGGTCAGAAGCCCAAAGTGGGTATCACAAGGCTAAAATCAAGGTATAGGCAGGCTGCACACCTTCTGGAGGCTGTGGGGGAGAATCTGTTTCCTTGTCTCTTCTAGCTTCTAGAGGATGACCACATTTCTTGGTTTATATCTACCAGTCAGCAGTCACATCACTCTGATCCCCATTTCCATCATCATATCTCCCTCTCTCACCCTCCAGCTTCCCTCTTTCACTTTAAAGGAAACGTGTAATTAAACTAGGCCCATCTGGATAATCAAGATGCTCTTAATCATGTCTACAAAATTCCCTTTGCATGTAAGGTAACAGATTTACAAATTCCAGAAATCAGCACATGGACATCTTTCGGAAGCTATTATGTTGCCTGTCACAGTGTCCACAGCTCGCACGCGCACACACACACACACACACACACACACACACACAGAACTTCTGTTCAATTTGCTACCACTTTTCTGATATTACAAAATTATCAATAGCATCTTCCATAACCCTTTAATTTTGTTAGAAATCTTATTTAGCTAATAACTACTCTTGAGATTCACAACCATGAATCTCTAGAGAATAGGGTAACATTGTAATCACAAAATCTGTAACATAGGAAGTCAAAAACTCAATAGAAAACTATCATATATACAAGTCTAAGAAGTTGAGAAATCCAAAATGTGTACTAAGTTGGTACAATGTATTGAATAAAGCAAAATGATTTCAAGGAAAGCGTCCCTCTTATATCCCTTAGAGGAATCAGTCTAAGAGCTTCCGTGAACAAATCGAGAAGCCTTTTTTTTCCACCAATAAGAAAATACTTAAACAATCTGTCCTGAAATAGAGGTCAAAGCTGATTGATAAAAAGTAGTTCTAGAAGTTACATTTTATTCCCATTTCTCTCCATTTGCCATGCCATGTTGGAAGATTTATGTGATGGTCATCTCACATACAGATTCTCACACTCTCTCTCTCCTTTGCCGAATAAATATTGATAAATTTATTTTATATTCTTAGATGTTTAGGAACCTAAAACAAAATGTGCAACTACAGTATCAAGGGCTTATAACTATCTGATCAATTTAAGCTATTTCTCAGTTTCTTACCACACACCTAGTCTCTTCTACCTACCTAAGGAAAAAAAATAGGATGTCATTGATCCTCTGAAATCCTGCCTGAGTTGATGGCATCAAACAATGCTTTCTGTTTCTTTAACATTGAACTGATGGTCTCTGTTGCCTGATTCTACAATGTGTTTAAAACTGTAAGAAGCCTCACATCCTATTGAAGATTAGTGGTGACTACTTTCAAATACTTAACATTAACATAAATAATGTTAACCATGTAATCTGTTGACATAATTTTTAAATCGTAAAATATTCTATTTATGTGAAGTTGTTTATAATTTTGCATTTTAATAATTATAATAAAAAACTTACTGCTATGTATGTATGTACCTATACATATATAGACACAGATATATACACGTCCTATCAAAAAGTCACATCTAAAAGGAGAGAATGAACTGGCAGAAATGCCTCTGCTTCCCAATATATATGGTGTTAATGCTATGGTTGAGGCAGGCAAAGTTTTCAGATAATTTTCACTTTGCTGCACTTTTATTACAAAGCTGCTGCAGAATTCATTTTACTCTAGAATAAAAATCACATTACTATTCTCAAAATAATTTAGTGGAAAAAAATCTCCAGATGTTCTTAAACACTTTTGTAGAATCATAGTTTTTTAATCAAATGTGAAGCTTTCTAGAATCCAATGGACTTTAATAACCTGTTTTTGTCTGTTCCCTCATTTACATACAAATTCTTTTCTCCTACTGAAATGCCATCGAGTTATCTTAAATTAGCGGTGAGGTGAGAAAATAGGAAAAAATGGAGTATTCTAGGAGATACAATAATTATTGCTTTTGCAATTCAGTAGAGATAATTGTCTTTGGTGCTGTGCTATTTAAGAAGGAAGCTTGGAAGGGGCACTTCATCTACCTGCCTGTGTGCACATGCATGCTATCACCATCTCAGGCACTTCATTGGTAATTCCCTCCTGATAGCTTTCCACAGTTGACATCATATCATGATTATTACTTTGGATCATCTTGCCCCACCAGTTAAATATGTGAAATTATATAAGTTTGTTGATTTATTTGCTTGTATCATTCCTTACTAGGAGAAAATTTAAAGGACATTCGAGGAGCTAGTGTGGTTTGATGTGAGTCAGGAAACCTGAGTCCTGGTCTTGAGTGAATGACTAACGATACTAACCAGTTGTGGGACTTAAGTGAATCACTACCTCACTGCCTCAATGACCTTTCTAGGTCCCTGCCATCCCCCACCTCCCACCCCACACCATGCTCCAGGGTTCTTGGAAACCACGACATATATATATTTTATTGTTGATTCTAATTATCAGGCATATTGTTTCTCAAATATTTTAATAAATCGTAAAAGTCAGAGTAAAGAAGCTGAGAGATTATCAAGGAGACAATGCTTTTGTTTAAGGTGCATTAAAAATGTAGAGAAAGATGGGAAGTGCAATTATATTAACAGCTGGCCCCAGATTTCCTCATTGGAGGTAAACGTGCCAGGAGACATTGTTTTAGGTGAAACTAAGCTGTAGTAGATAAGAAAATAAATTTGCCAGACATTGCAGGGAGGGAGAGGATTGGGTAGAAAGTGGTAAAAAAAGAATGATGTATAGAGTCAGAAAAGAGTCAAAGAGCAATAACTCCAGTGTGAGCACTCGGCAAGTCGTGTGTAGCTGACCCATGAACAGCACAGCTTTGAACTGCATGAGTCAACTTATGCATGGATTTTTTTCAAAAAAAAGTTACACCGAGTGTGCCTGCCTCTCCTGCCTCCCCTTCCATGTCTTCCACCTCTTCTGCCTCTACTATCCCTGAGAAAGCAAGGCCAGCCCCTTCTCCTCCGTACTCAATATAAAAACAATAAAGATGAAGACCTTTCCAATTATCCACTTCCACTTAATGAATAGTTAATACATTTTCTCTTCCTTACGTTTTCTTAATAACATTTTCTTTTGTCTAACTTATCTGATTGTAAGATTACAGTATATAATACATATCACATACAAAATATGAGTTAATTGACTGTGTTATCAGTAAAGCTTCTGTGAAACTCATTCTTAGTTCACAGGTCATACAAAGACAGGCAATAGGCCAGATTTGGCCAGCAGGAAATGATCATAATTTACCAACCCCTGCTCTAGGGAAGAGTGAAAGACAGAACAAACAAAGCAGCTTTTATCTCAGTGATGAGAAAGTGACCCCAGACATTCAGCAACTGGAGGGAGAATTCTGGCCTGTCACTAGCTGGGGAAGCAAGGTTTGATCAAGTTTAATCAGATCCCTAGGAAGTAGCTAGGCCCCAAAAGACACTTAGATTCTAGGTAGAAGTTTGCAAATAACTCAGAATAATTTTGGCAAGTGTGAGCCAAGAAAAAAAAAATAGAGAAATGGAATTGTCTCACTGAACACAAGTATAAGACAGTATGGAATAATCTCTACATTTGCAGAAGAGACCCTACGTGCTGAGGAGTTAAGATGACAAAAGCCTTGAAGGATAAGTCAAATTTGAAATGTCATAAGGAAAAGGACTCCAGAAAACAGGAACTGCGCGAGTGAGGGTTCAAAGGCAAGAACAAGCTAGATGTGCTGTGGATTGCCACACAGAAACTAGGCTGTGAGAAAGGAAAGAAAGTGGTGGTCACTTCCGGCCCCTGGAGATCCAGGGCTTTCAACCCCCATGTAGGAGCAGAAGGCAGGCATGTCCCTCCCTGAGCCCTCAGCCACTCTCAAGGAGCTCTGAGACACAGAACCCACCCTGAGCCAAGAGCCTAGGGAAAGGCTGGAGGTCTTATCCACCAAAGTCATGAAACTCCAGCAGAAGGAGATGCCCAGGAGAAGACAGGCCTATGTCAAAAGCTATTGTTGGCAACAAAATGGGAAAGCATTGAAATACATGGTACTGGCTGAAATGACTGACTTCCAGAAGGAAGTCAGTGCTTTTTTCTCCCCCTGCTGCTCACCTCCTTTACCTCCAAGGAAGAAGAGAAGTCTCACTAGTAGTCAAAGTGAACAAAAACAGAGGGACTTTAAAGACACAATTAGGGCATTATAAAAGGTGATGGATAACCTTACAATAAAAAGCAAATAGGAAGCTCTGAGTGAGTAGTCTTGTGGCCTCTTTGGCCCCTCCATATAGCTTTGAATCGCCTCTGTGTGGCCAGTGCAGGGACAGAAGCCAGGGCTGTTTTTTGCGGGGAAGGAGCCCCTGGCTGGCAATACCTAACAGGACTTTTCATGAGTTTATCTTTCCATGCCCTTTTTCATCTGCAGAGTGATATGACCATGTAGCCTCACGTTTAGAGGCCCTGTCCCCATCAGTAGTTGAGACTTCAATGAGAAGGCAAGAGGGGCCCTCCCAGCTCATGCAAGGTTCACTTGCCAGGGCACGAGAGGTATTTCTCCAAAACCCTGCCTTGTCATGAGGAAGAGTCCTTAGCCAGAGTATCCTCTCAGCACTTCTTCTCCTTTATGGGCCTATGGGGAGGCTGAGCTATAATCAAATGACTGATGGAGAATTCAGGCATTCAGAATCGAAATTCAATTAGTTTTCATGAGAAATACATCGAGTCCATGCTGGAGATCAGAGTAGCATTCTGAGGCCTGAGCCAGGCAGGGGGTGTGGACAGGGGCAGGGACACAGCCACAAGCTCAGCAGCAGCCCAGAGACACAGCAGTCACAGACGGTACAGGAGGAGTACTAATCTGAAGTATGCGGAAACAGAGTTTATGCTCTTCAAAAGAGGATATTTCCAGCCGGGCATGGTGGCTCATGCCTGTAATCCCAGTGCTGTGGGAGGTCAAGGCAGGAGGATTGCTCGAACCCAGGAGTGAGCCATGATCAGGCCACTGCATTCCAGCCTGGGCAAGAGAGCGACACACTGTCTCTAAATAAAAGGGGGCAGGGGAAGGGAGTGGATACTTCCCTTTTAAAAGACCCAACAGATAATCTTGCTGCTCTACCCTAAGGCCTGGAGAAGAAAGAAAAAATTCCCGTATTGGTACTCAGAAAACAGTCCAACTCCGTTTCCATGATGCACCTGAGGGAGAGACCTCTCTAGATACCTCCAAGAACAAAACAGCATCTGTCTTGGCACTAGTTAGCATAAAAATAACCAGGACTATCAATTCTTCCTCCCTAGATCATAAACTTGTCATTAGTTGAAGAGAGGGAGCAGTTTTTGCCCACCTGGGATTACATAATTAGACATAGTCTAGGAGGTTTTATACTTTTCTTAGAGGCAGCCATGGGGATGAAGAGAAATGACAAAGACCGACAAGGGACAGCGTTCTGCTGGCATCTGCCATCCCAGTGCACTGAAATGTTTAGAATGCAAACTGGGCTTCACTGAATATGGCTCCCACAAGCACGGCACCTTCCCTACTCATGCAGAGGTGTATTCTGAGGTGGTCATAGATAGAAGAGAATGTGACAGCCCTGGCTAATATTCCGGAAAGAAAAATACTGAACAGGGTTTATACTCAATGAGAGAGACTGTCAGTTTTCAGGCTTCCCTACTATGTTATGTGATATTTGACTTGGAATAGAAAAGAAAATGCAAAAGGAGAAGTCACTGAGAGTCTTCTCAATGTTTGATTCACCCACTAGACACAACAAAGAGCAATCAATAGGTGTTCGTACCTTTTGTCTGCCAGTTTGGATATGCCACGTGCTGTTCACAGACTGAAAAGATAGCACATCAGTTTAACAATGGCGTCCTTCTGAACAGCTCTGAAAGTCATTGGTTCAAAAGCTATACTTTTGATGGAATTATGATGTTTCCTGAAACCAGTTTAATGTAGTTTTTGTCTCTGAAAATATCTTGTAGATGATCACTATTCAATGACCACTCATTTCCTCATCCATATTCAGCATGTATAAATTACATAAATTTCCTCTGTTGGATGTAAACTTCCTAACACATACATACACATGAACACACACACAAAGATCCAGTTCCTTTCTTCAAGGAGCTTACAAGTGGCTGACGATTAATCAGAGTCATATAAAATCGGTTATCATTTCCAAAGTTATTTTTCAGTCAAATCCCTTAAAAGCTCATTTTAGACATAAAAATTCTTTTTCAGAAAAAAGGAACATTGGCAATTTCTAAAACACAAAGAGATAATATACAAATAACATAAGGTAGCCAAAACACAGCACAAGTTATTAAACCTTTGCTATACCTGTCTCATTACCACCACTGAAAACCTTCAGACTAGTGAATTTGGGCTACAATGTGATTAGACTGAAAACCATGATAAAGCCGAACTTTTCTCCCAAACAGCTTTATTAAAAAAAAATCATAATTCCAAGAACATGTTTTTACTCACTGACAAAGAACTGGTTTAATTTGTAATTTAACATTGTTATTTTCACCACATTCTCTGTTTTAGAAAGGCTACCTGTTTTGTTGAAACCAACCTTATTCCTAATATTGCATAACTGAATATTTCTTTCTAATTTTAATATATTGCTATAGCATTCAACAAAACAGTAAAATTAACTCTTGTTCAAGACCTGTGATAAAGTCTGAATGTCTTGCAGAAGTTGTTAATCATCGTATTTTTAAAAAGCTAGCATTAGGGAGATTGAAAATAAGAGATCAGGAACACTTAGCCATTGTGTTGAAAATCCAATCTCCTCTCAGTCTGCAAGTTTATCTTCTAAATTAGAAAGAAAATCATAATAATACAACTATTTAAGGTTAACATTTCTTTTCTTTGGAGTAATTGGTAGAAAAATGGAAAGAAGAAATGGGGTGGGGAGTATATGACACATTATTTCATTCAGTATTCAGTGTAATGTCTGTGCCAGCCACTAAAGGTTGGAAACACAGGAGTGAACAAAACCTAGACCTGCCCTCCAAGGACTGACTGTGCTCACACTGAGAAAACATTTCCTACAAGTAGATGACTGACAATTCTATGTCTTTCATCCCTGACCTCAATCCTAAATTCTGCCGACTAGCTGGACCTTAATTAACAGAAAAATGTCTCATCAGTCCTTCAACCTCCACATATTCAAACCTCAACATTTTCTCAGCAAAACCTATTTCCTCATGTGCTGCATACCTCGCATAACAAAGCCATCATTTCTGCCCCCACAGGCTAGAAAACTCTGAGTTAGCTTCAGCTCTTCCTGTTTTCTCTCTTACCTCTGTGACATGCCAAGTCTTGCCTTACCTACTACAGAACTTGCTCTTCTTATCCCTCTTACAGCCCCTTCCCTAATTTAAGTCCTCATTATCTTGGTGATGAGCTAACAAAAATGTTCAGTTCTTGTTCCAGTTTTCCTCTTGCTCCCTAAGTCCTTCACCCTAAGACAGCTATCTTCCAAAAACATACGAAAAGATGGTCATGTCTCATTATCCTGTTTGAAAACTTCAAGTCTACAAGATATTGCCAAGCTGTTATGAGTGGCATTTGAGCCCCTTACGATCAGGTGGAGCTTAACATTAGAGTCTACTGCACCGTATGCATCCACAGACCCCATGCCATGCTGAAATACAGCCTGTTCTTCCAGAAACAACCTAGATGTTCATATTTCCAAGCCTTTCACTGGCTCTCATGCGAGAATTGCTTTCTTAGTTACAGCCACTCCCCAAACTGCCCAAGTCTAAAATCTCCAATTGGAAGCCAAAAAAGTTAAGACTTGTAGAAAACCAGTTTTCAAAAAAAAAAAAAAAATGTGGGTAGATATGGTATGGTCAGTTATTGGCAAAGTTTATTACTAACTGACAAATCTCAGTGTGCAGACACATCAAAATCTGAAAGGGCAAATCCAAGTGCAAAGCTGGCAAATTTAAACAAGAAGAAAGGCTTAGTTCCTATACCAGGTCTTTAAAATGGTCATGGACAGTGATTCTTGATTTGGTTCTTCTTTGCAGAATCCAGGACCCAGTTCCCATGGGTTCGCCTGTAGGCACAGACCTTTATAAAGCTAAAGTCTGACAGAATGTAACAATACAACCCATTCATAGCAGGTGATCATTAGGAAATGTCACTTGCTTAGAAAATAAGAAACTACTTCTCTTAGGTTGACTAGCAGGTTGGTTTCAAATGTTTTTGGTAGCATTTGTTTCATAATGTTCTCTGTTTGGCAGGGTTTCCTAACTCTAAGATCTTTTTAAGTGAAAAAAAAAATTACTGCCATGCAAAGAAAACCTAAAAACAGCATATGCAGTTTTACATAACCAGGCTTGCACTAGCATGTCAGGTCACCTTAATCCCTCAGTGAGTAAGCACTAGTTGAACTACTGAGATATTTCCATTCATTATAGTCTCATTTCTTAAATGTCCATGGCATCTGTAACCAAGAGCCAATTACCAGTGTAGGTCATTAATCATCAGTGTTGCTTATTGCCAAGAACTGGAGTGAAGCTGCCTACATTGCTTTAGTTAAATTTCTCTACAAAATGCCACATAATGAATAGTTAGTCTTTTAAGAGGAGGCCATTCTTGTGTAGGCTCTGAATTAACTGCACATTAAGCTTCATAAAAAGTTTTTTTCCCCAAAAAATGGGACATTTCAAGTAGTTTATTTATAACATTCTTAAGTTTTAGCAATAGAGCATGAATTCAGATATAATAATATTTTTATCTGTCATAAAATATACATTAGACAATTAAAACCATTCACAGTTTTTACTATATCAAGAGATCCATTAAGAAAGTTTTTTGAAAAAGCCAATATGTATTAATAAATGCAGGCTATAATGTGGCTAATGAGCTTATATCTGAGGCCTAATCACTATAAAGCATATTTTTTTCCAAAATAAATAGAACTTTCCAGATGGAGGAATGGTTTTCGTTTTAAGAAAACTATGTTTAGTCAAATTATCCAGGCTTATAATACTTTCGTAGAGCCCCAGAAGACTGAGAAGCACTGAAAAAGGGATGTTATTTGTTCTAAATGAGCGTTACAGAATTAGGAAAATGAATTTTATCTGCTAATGCGTAGAAACCATATGAGATAGTCTGGCTCAGAAATGAAAGAATGCTCTGATAATCAGATGTCCTAAGAAGGAATGCAGTACTTTGGGAAAGAGAAAAAGCAAAACCAAGGAAATAGAAGGAGGCTGGAGTTTGAGTAGATGAATCCATCAAAAGTTCTCAGTGCAGAAAGTAATGGCTTTTAAGAAAGCAAGGACCTAAACATTAATTATTCCAAATCTTAACCAAGCCTGCTATACACAGAGCTGTGGGGAGTGAAGGATTCAAGCATGCACAACAGAGCAACATAATGCAGAAAAAGGACAGCACACACGGAAGGCAGAATGCAGAATGCAAACAAAAACTTCAGAGGAAATCAGGATTTAGGGCTTTTGAAAACTAAAAAGAAGGCCATGCATGGTGGTTCACGCCTATAGTCCCAACACTTTGGGAGATAAAGGCTGGTGGATCACAAGGTCAAGAGATCGAGACCATCCTGGCCAACATGGTGAAACCCCATCTCTACCAAAAATACAAAAATTAGCTGGGAGTGGCAGCGGGCGCCTGTAGTCCCAGCTACTCAGGAGGCTGAGGCAGAAGAATCGCTTGAACCCGGGAGGCGGAGGTTGCAGTGAGCCGAGATCACACCACTGCACTCCAGCCTGGCGACAGGGTGAGATTCCATCTCAAAAAAATAATAATAATAGAGAAAGAAAAATAAAAAGATATTTAAGGTCCCCCAGGAACTTACAAGGGACATTAGGAGCTAAACACAAAATGGGGGACTTAGTCCATTTTTCTTTGAATTTCTGATCACAGTATAAGCACAGAAGATACTTGGTTTTCCATTCATCTATCCAAAATTTATTGAGTACCTACTATGTGACAGCCACTATTCCAGGGTTTGAAGATAAGGGAAAGCAATGGGTCAGTGTGGCTGAAGTAGAGTGAGCAGGGAAAATGAGGAAATGAGACAAGAGAGCTAACATGAACAGAATGTAAGGCCTGGTTGGCCACTGGAAGGGCCATGACTGGAACCCTGAGTAAGATGGAAAATGATCACAGGGTTTCGAGTGGAGGGGTAACATGATCTGACTTAACATTTTAACAGACCTCTGTCTAAGGTGTTGAAAAAAGAATCTAACAGGAGCAAGGAGGGAAACAGGAAGACCAGTTTGAAGACCAGTAGAGTCACCCAGGAGAGAGATGGTGGCCATGACATGGATGCTCACAGAGAAGGTAGTGAGAAGTGATGGAGTATGAATATATTCTGAAGGTAAAGGTGACAACATTTGCTGACAAACCATATGTGAGGTGCAAGAGAAAAAGAAGGTCCAAGGAATGTTCCAAGGTTTTCAGCTGCACATCTGTAAAAATGGAAATCAATTCTGATTTCCAAATCAGAGATATTTTTACCCTGCCTTTAAACTCCAGAGAGAGACAGAAAAAATGTTTGAGTGGCCACATTAGAATATGCAAGGTTTTTGGCCACATTAAGCCTGTTTCCTTCTCCATTCTTAACCTGAAACATAAAAAGAAAGGCATTTTGAGCCTGCTAAAAGTTATGCCTCAACAGTTTTTAATAGAATTTGAACTGCAAATAGTAACACTTCGAGCACGTTCTCATTCAGTATAACTAACTTAGTGCTATGGTTTAAGTGTGTTCACCAAAGTTTATGTGTTGGAGACTTAATCCCCAGTGCAACAGTGTTGGGAAGTTGGACGCTTTAGAGGTAATTAACTCATGAGGGTAGAGCCCTTATGCCTGGATTCATGCTGTTATTGAAGGAGTAGTTTCCTGATAAAAGGATGAGTTCAGCCCTCTCTGTTGTGCGTGCTCTGTTGCCCTTCCACCTTCCACCATGGGATGATGCAGCAAGAAAGCCCTCACCAGATGCCACGCCCTCAACTTTGGACTTCCCAGCTCTAAGAAATAAGTCTCTCCTCTTTATAAATATCTCAGTCTTGGATATTCAGTTATAGCAGCACAAAATGGACAAAGACCCTTAGCTTGTTTTGATTTTAAATAACTTTTGAACACATTTTCATTATTTGCAGTTCTCTCCTTAAGAGAAAAACTGCCTTTATTTTAAAATAGTCTGGTATATGGAATACTATGCAGTCATATAAAAGAATGAATCATATCCTTTGCAGCAACATAGATGCAGCTGGAAGCCATTATCCTAAGCAAATTAATACAGGAACAGAAAACCAAATATCACATGTTCTCGCTCATAAGTAAGAGCTAAACATTGAGTACTTATAGACATAAAAGTAAGAACAATAGACACTGGGGACTACTAGAGGTGGGAAGGAGAGGGAGGGCAGGTGTTGAGAAACTAACTGTTGCATACTCTGCTTACTACCTGGGTGACAGGATCAATCGTACACCAAGCCTCAGCCTCATGCAATATACCCAAGTAACAAACCTGCACATGTACCCCCTGAATCTAAAATACAGGCTGAAATTACAAAAAGTAAATAAATAATAAAAAGCAAATGTGTGACATAACTTTAAAAAAACAGTCTGTATACATTTACAAGTTCCTTTGACTATGGTTAACATGGTTCTGAAAATATGACCATATACCTGAGTCTTCATTAATCCTGCAATGGATAAAGAAAGAGAGGAGAAAATTGGAAATAGGCGATTACAACTAGTTTGGGCCATGAAAGGCCACCCAAGACATACCAGTCTCTGGGCCTGCTTTCCAATTTGCAAACTTAAAAACATATCACAGGATATGGTGATATGAGGAAATGTCTTGCTCACTTTTTAAATAAAACCATTTAATGAAAGTACTTAGACATTACCGATGTTTGGGGTATATTTTTACTAAGCAATGAAAGTAAAATGTAGTCAGACAAAAAAGTTGTGATTGCTTGCCAGTTTCAACCTAACAAACTCTAGGACTTGCTTCCTTTTCAAAACATATGGCCATTTTAGCCACTGCTAAATCCAACAGCTCCAAGATGATTGTCCACAGAATCACACACTGCTGTGCTTATTCCCTTCCTCATGAGGAGGTGTGAAGGTTCCCAACCATGCAGAGACTTCAGTGATGTTGTGATGCCAGCTCCAGCCCCAATTTCATGTGCTAGAGGAAGATAAAACTGACCTAAACTTTATAGTGATAAACTTTATTAGTGATCTTGTTTCTATTATCTAATTTCCATATTCCTTCCACCACTGTTGCACAAATGCTTATATTTACTTTCCACATTACTCTTAAACTTTCTTTTTTTCCCCCCTTCTAGTTCTTTTTTTTTTATTTTATTCTTTTTTTTATTATTATACTTTAAGTTTTAGGGTACATGTGCACAATGTGCAGGTTAGTTACATATGTATACATGTGCCATGCTGGTGCGCTGCACCCACTAACTCGTCATCTAGCATTAGGTATATCTGCCAATGCTATCCCCTCCCCCCTCCCCCCACCCCACAACAGTCCCCAGAGTGTGATGTTCCCCTTCCTGTGTCCATGTGTTCTCATTGTTCAATTCCCACCTATGAGTGAGAATATGAGGTGTTTGGTTTTTTGTTGTTGCGATAGTTTACTGAGAATGATGATTTCCAATTTCATCCATGTCCCTACAAAGGACATGAACTCATCAGTTTTTATGGCTGCATAGTATTCCATGGTGTATATGTGCCACATTTTCTTAATCCAGTCTATCATTGTTGGACATTTGGGTTGGTTCCAAGTCTTTGCTATTGTGAATAGCGCCGCAATAAACATACGTGTGCATGTGTCTTTATAGCAGCATGATTTATAGTCCTTTGGGTATATACCCAGTAATGGGATGGCTGGGTCAAATGGTATTTCTAGTTCTAGATCCCTGAGGAATTGCCATACTGACTTCCACAATGGCTCATAGACCTTTCAGGCAGTTTGTGGAAGTCTGAGTCCTCAAAAATCATGTTTTAAAATTTATTACTGTAAAATGCATAATTACAGAGGAAATTGATTGCACGGAACTGCAGTTCTCTCTGCACTCCCCTTGGTGGTCCATGGACAAAGAAATGGGTTCCCAAGGATTTCTTGTTCATAATCATGGAAATCCATTTCAAATTACTTATATTTTAACTCTCAGCTTTATCTCAAATAATCTTGCAGGAAATAAGAATGTTCATCAGAGAATTTACATAAGATGAGAATTAATACAATTTGACATGCTGATGAGGGGGCAGTTACATTTTTTGTTGTTGTTGTTTGTTTGTTTTTTTAATTTTATTATTATTATACTTTAAGTTTGAGGGTACATGTGCACAACGTGAACACCCACATGGCACAGTTACATTGTTTGATGCCCCCTGACAACCCAAACCACAGACAGTTCCTGTCGACCACCTGCAACAAGTTCATAATCCACAAGTCCAGCTCACCGACCCTGAGGTGAGTACAAGGCACACTCCTGCCTGCATGCAGTCCATCATTCTTGACTGCTTTTTTCTAGCCACACACTTATGCTCACATAGTAATATAATTTGGAATATCAATAGTATGGCCAAGGGAATTACAGGAGCTTCTGAGGCATTTTTACTACGCAGTAGGGCCCGGGGCCTCCAGGGGTTTTATAAGTTTGAATGTAGAATGGCCTGGAACATAGTAGAGACGCAATAATTATTTTTTAATGACAAATGATGAATGTGTAACCTTTTACATCAAAGAAGACATTTACACATTTTACTTTAATATACAACAACCTGTACTCTCTATTGAACTGGCTCAAACAACCTACTGTTATAGTTACTGGGTTACTGGTACTTTTTTGTTTTTTTTTTTGAGTTGGAGTCTGGAGTGCAGTGGCTCTATCTCGGCTCACTGCAACCTCCGCCTCCCAGGTTCAAGCAATTCTCCTGCCTCAGCCTCCCAATTAGCTGGGACTATAGGCACGTGCCACCACCCGGCTAATTTTTTGTATTTTTAGTAGAAACAGGATTTCACCGTGTTAGTCAGGATGGTCTCAATCTCCTGACCTCGTGATCTGCCCGCCTCAGCCTCCCAAAGTGCTGGGATTACAGGCGTGAGCCACTGAGCCTGGCCAATTGCTGGTACTTTAAAAAAAATCAGATCTAGATCTAGGTCCTTACCTGATCTGTATGTACCATTTCTCACTAATTTTTTTTAAAGAATATGACAGCCTGTCTGCAGCTTCCAAGACAAAAGAAGTTTCAAATTTCTGATTGGTATCACAGGGTCTAATAAAATCCGAAAAGATTTCAAATTTCCGGGATTGGTATGTTTATACATTCTTAATTTCCTTTAGCTTTGTAGGCTGTCAGAGATAAGCAGAAGAAAGGGAAGAGAAAGATCTCCAATAGAGGAATAAAAATACAACAGAAATTAGGATTCTCCTCTGCAGTGAGTATTACCCATGTAATTAAAAGAAGGAACAAGAAATACCTTCTTTTATGTAAATTATGGGCATGAAGGAAGAGCTATTTTTCATGGATCACCCAAACTGGATGTGATCCATAATTATGGATTCTAACATGAACCTGTGTACTACATAAACCTAACCTAAAATGCTGCTATTTAATAGGTTGATTTTTAAAAATTCATTTAAAAACCCCAGTTCTGTCTCTTGAGATGGTTTTTAAGTGCTCTTTAATTAGAGGCAGGAAGTTAATTTAAATTTTAGATATAAATAATTATTATTAAATTCCCTTCCAAAGTATAAGTCTATGGCATTCTGCTTTGCCTTTAAAATAAACATAACTGATTGAATTCAAGTAAATTTTATTAGATCTTCCTTGAAATCGAAAAAAAAATGGTTTTTTAAGATTTTTAAATTTCCAAAATTCTAAAAAGTATTATAGAATTGCAGCTGGAATTCAGTTGGGGATTATTTTCTATTAATTCAAGGATATAGATTTTAATAAATACCAATTTGCCCTTTTAAAATATACTGATTAACACATATTATTAACAGTCTACTTTTTGCGTTGGATGCTTTTGGTTACAAATAATGGGAAATACTACCCAGAGTGCTTTAAACACAGGATATTTATTGTGTTTAACAAAAGGCTGGAAGAGGCTGTCTCATGGTTGCTCCATAATGACCTGGGGACCCACATTCAAACTCAAGCTCAGCTTTTCATACTCAGTTTTGTCTCAGTCAGTTGGCTACTGCAGCACCAGGCCTCAAGTTCTCATATAACAAAAGTCCAACACCAAACAGAACTTTTCCTCCAACCCCTCTGTCTTTTCAAGGTGAAAAACCTCTCCTAGAAGCCCCAGAGGTCTCCCCGCTACATATCATTGGCCATAACTGAATGTCATATTTGAAAATCAGCCATGGCAATGGAAAATGAGATTGCCACATAGTACAAAAACAGTCAGGACTAATCCCCCGGCCCTGGGTACTCTGTGACTCAAATATCCTCAGGATTCTATGGGCAAGGAAAGAGTAAGGAAACCCAGCAGCTTCTGCTGTGCATAACATGTGCAAAGTATTATATACATACTTTTAAACCTTTTTTAAAAAAATGATGCATATACTTAAACTTATAAATGAAGAAACAGGCTTTAAGAAACCCCATAATTTGCCAAGGTCACACTGTTCCTGAGCAGCCAAGTCTGAACTGAGGCTTGCCTAGCTCTGCAGCCTCCCTCTGAGCCATGCACTCACTGATTCTACCATACCTAGAAGAAAACAATGAGCCAGGCTACTGAGGCTTGCAAGCCACTGATCTCAGCGCTCTGTTTGCCGAGATAATGATGAGCGTTTCGGACATATTTTCTTAGGAAAAGATGCTCATGTGTATATCCTCCAAAAACGAATATGTTTTGGTTCAAAGACAAACCTTCCCTCAAGTTGAGATGACAGGGACCATCAGTTCCACAGAAGAAAAAATATTACCCCTTCTAGTCTCTTCATAAACGGGTGCCAAGACCAGCATAGGTCATATGTCATAGGTGGCATCTTTTTGATGATTTGAGAGCCTCGTAATTTTTTATTGACTCATACCCAGCTTCACTTCACTTCTGCTTTAGGAGAAACTATTGTTTCTATAATTTAGTAGTAAATGATTTTTGAATAATGAGAACTTGGAGGGAGGAAAGAGGAAGTTACATGAAGCGAGGCAAATAACTGAAGATGTTCATAATGCTAGTCATTTTTCTCCAGAAATAGCACCTGCTGAATTCCCTGTCTGGTTTTTTTTCAGGTAGAAAAAAAATAATAAAAAATAAGGCTCTGTGTTGTCTTAAGATATTGATGCTTAGGTAGTAAGTGGCAGAGCAGCTGCTACTATCATAAAATTCGACAGCAGCAAAATTTAATGTTCTCGACATGCTGCTAATTATATTTTCTGTTGATATATTCTTACTAAAATTTCCTATTCTTTGTCTTATTTTATATTTGCAATCTTTCATCATGAAAACATATATATATACTTTTTAATATATACTTTTTATAAAGTATATGTACTTTTTATACATAAAGTATATATATACTTTTTTATATATAAACTTTATATATGTATACTTTATATATAGTATGTATATACTGTTTGCATATATAAATATATATACTAATAATATATATACAAGTATATATAATTACATATAAATTATATATAATAAAATATATAAGTATATATATAGAGATGTACTTTTATGTGTACAGATATATATACTCCCATCTTTCTAAGCTTTTAATACATTGTTTTAAAGTAAATGTTTACTTTACAAACACTTTCAATCCCAAATGCATTTAATGAAACTATAATTATATTGATAAGTGAGTAGAAGCAAAAAAGAAATGGCTCTTCAGGGTCATATTCCCAGCATTGCTTTTAACTTGCCAATTGATGTGAATTTTAATAATAGCTCTTTATTATGTTTTTCCTTCTTTTTTAAATGGAACTTGAAAAACTCTTTATACGTAACAAACCTGCATGTTGTGCACATGTACCCTAAAACTTAAAGTATAATAAAAAAAAATGGTGTGTTTTGGTATTGGTATCACAAGAAGAGAGCAAAGGAAATGTGTTATATATATTTTACTTTAAATAGCCACAGTTCACCTATCCCTTTACCTCTTATTTTTGCCTGCAAAAATATAAAATCAGCTCCAAGAGATGGAGTTAAGAATGGGGTGAGCTTCAAGTGTTTGTGGGAAATAAGGAAAGAACTGAGCAATCTGCAACCTGAAATTACGCAAAATACAAATTCAGTTTCTCTGTAATGTATGTGCTCCATGCTCCTTCCAATATCTTCCAAGAAAGCCTTTTGAAGGAATGTTTCATGTTGGATGTGGTAGCTAAGCAAATGTTTCAATTCTTCCTAATTTTATATTTTTATTTGTGCCTATTAGTTTAGAAATGTGCCTTTAAATGCTTTAAATAGTGCTGATCATTAATTATAGGTAGGTGTGAAAAAAATAAGCATAAGTGCTCTGAACATTTAAAATATCCCTTCAAACATTTATAATAAGCACAGTTATACTTGGCCCATAG
This sequence comes from Homo sapiens, assembly GCF_000001405.40. NCBI lineage: Eukaryota > Metazoa > Chordata > Mammalia > Primates > Hominidae > Homo > Homo sapiens. The sequence continues at coordinate 170,233,532 of NC_000004.12, read as the reverse complement.
AAATGCCTTACCTTTTAGGGCTTGATAGTTTAGAGTACAGGGCCAGGTGTGGTGGCTCACACCTGTAATCCTAGCACTTCGGGAAGCCGAGCTGGGTGGATCACAAGGTCAGGAGTTCAAGACCAGCCTGGCCAAGATGCCGAAACCCTGTCTCTACTACAAATACAAAAATTAGCCGGGTGTGGTGGCACGCACCTGTAATCCCAGCTACTCAGGAGGCTGAGGCAGGAGAATCTCTTGAACCCGGGCGGCAGAGATTGCAGTGAGCCGAGACTGTGCCACTGCACTCCAGCCTGGGTAACAGAGCAAGACTCCGTCTCAAAACACATAAACAAATAAATAGTTCACAGAGTACTGTGTGCTACATAGCTCATTTTTTATCACATATCCCCATCTCCTTAGGTGCACAGGTGGATAATTATTCCTGTTCCACAGGTGAAGGTGGGGTTCCAGGATACAAAGTAATGTCCCATGGATTGTGGGGGAGCTCAGAGAAAAAATGGGTCTTGGACCTAAATTTAGACATTCCAGCTATTTTACTGGGTATACGGTTAAAAAAAATTGCTGTCAAAATGTCTTAAGAGAAATACAGATAAAAAATTGAATAGCCTCAATCTGGTTTGTTTATACATAAGACCTACAAAAGGCAGCTTCAAAAGGCAGCAAAAAAGCTTTCTTCAGTGTATGCATGATACTGCTGCCAAACCCCTGATGCAGTTGGTATTCAGAGAACTTTAGTACTAAGACCAGTCCCTTCCTTTAATGGTGCTGTTCTTCTCTCCTGCTGATATTTTTAGTTTTATTTTTTCAATATCTTAACATCTTTATCAAAAACCTGTTGCCATTTTCTATATCTAGAAATGCAAAGTGAAAGAGTACATTAGCATTAACTTGGCCAAATCCTTATTGCTGCCAACGAAAAGCCTGTTATATACTGGCTGGTTTAAATGTAGACTATGCAAATTATTCACAATGTAGAAAGCATGATTATTGCTTTTCATAGTCTTATTTTAATGATGAGGACTTTCTTGTGCCTCTTCATGATTTTTAACTATGTATTAATATACACCAACTTTTCCATATGGATGGTTATATACTTTGAAAATCAGCTGAACATCGCCCTGATTCATGGTAGTTGTTAGTATAATATTGTGACATTGTTTTAAAAACAAACTAGGAAAAAATAGTTTGGCAGTTCTTCAAAATATTGAACATAGGTTTACCATATGACCCAACAATTTCACTTCCAAATATATACCCATGAGAAATTAAAATATATGTGCAGTGCACACAAAAACTTTCACACAATATTTATAACAGCACTATTCATAATAGCCAAAAAATGAAAACAGCCTATATGATTTTTCAACTCATTAACAGATTAACAAAATGTGGAGTGTTTGTACAATAAAATACTATTTGGCAATAAAAAAATGAAATACGGATTATCATTTTAACATGGAAGTATTACAATATTATGCCAAGTGAAAGAAGCTACTCACAAAAGACCACATGTCAAATGATCCCATTTGTATGAAATGTCCAGAATAGGAAAATCCATCAGGACAGACAGTAGACCAGTGCTTGCCTAGGACGAGGGTGGAGGCGGGCCTTTAGGTGTGAATAGGAAGTGACTGCTAGAGGAGAAAGGTTTTCTTTTGGGAGTTTTGATATGTTCTAAAGTCATGTTCACATGTGGTGATAACTCCAAAACTCTGTGAATAGGTTTGTACTAGTTCGTTCTCGCATTGCTATAATGAAGTACCTGAGACTGGGTAATTTATAAAGAAAATAGGTTTAATTGTCTCACAGTTCCACAGGCTGTGCAGGAAGCATGGCTGAGGAGGCCTCAAGAAACTTACAATCATGGTGGAAGGCAAAGGGGAAGCAAGCACATCCTACATGACTGGAGCAGGAGGAAGAGACCAAAGGGGGAAGTGTTACACACTTTTAAACAACCAGATTTCGTGAGAACTCACTCACTATCAGGAGAGCAGCAAGAGGGAATCAGCCCCCATGATCCAATCACCTCCCACCAGGCCCCTCCTCCAACACTGAGGACTACAATTTGACATGAGATTTGGGTGGGGATACAAATCCAAACAACAGCAACACTAAAAAACAGCCCAGTTCTGTATATATTAAATGGGTGAATTATCTCAATAAAGATGTAAAAACAAAGTACCTAGTACACTTCTCTCAGGCTTTCTAATTTGATATTCAGGATTGGCTTAGTCAAAAGACCTAAATTCAGATCCTGGCTGACTGAGCAGTGTGTAGGCAATCACTTATCTCTCTGCTGTTACTGTTGCTGCTTCCTCCTTTTACACAAAGCAAGGTTTCCACTAGCTGATTTAAGATCAGTTCTAACTCTATGAACTAGGATTATTTGGATCTCTTCTTTTGTGATACCCTACCTTGTTTTAACCTGAATTGACTCTCCCTTAGCTAAAAGAGCCAGACAAACTCCATCTTGGCTCCTTCACTTGCAGCCCCTTACCCATCCTCCTTCCTCAAGGACTTAACTTGTGCAAGCTGACTCCCAGCACATCCAAGAATGCAATTAAACTGATAAGTTACTGTGGCAAGCTATATCCACAGTTCCCAGGAATTCACCCAGTTAATAGCACCCAGAGCCCCCATGTTTGTATCTGGTTGATAATACCCAAAGCCCCACGTCTATCACCTTGTGATAGATCTAAAGCCCCTGCACCTGGAACTGTTTGCTTTCCTGTAACCATTTATCCTTTTAACTTTTTGCCTGCTTTACTTCTGTAAGATTGTTTTAACTAGACTCCCCCACTTCCATTTCTAAACCAAAGTATAAAAGAAAATCTAGCCCTTTCTTCGGGGCCAAGAGAATTTTGAGTGCTAGCCATTTCTTGGTCGCCAGCTAATAAAGGAATCCTGAATTCATCTCACAGTGTGGCGTTTCTCTGTAACTCGCTTGGTTACAACACTTTCATAAAGGCAGAATAAGAAAAACACTTTTTAATTACATATTACTTTGCCTGCCTTTTACTCGGATTTTCAGACATTGTGAGTGAAGGATATGCTATTGCTAAGGGCAGCTTTCCAGCTGAGAAAAGCTTGAGCTCACGTTAATCACATGGCTCAGAGTCCACATGTGTGTTCACCAACAGGCTTGCAAAATACTCAAAAGCTTCACGTTTTTAAAATCTACTTTAATATATACCTGATTACTCCTTATCTTAATGTCAGCAGACTTTAAAGAGTCTATAGACTTATGGAACTTGAGTTTGAAATATTTGTCCTGTTCTATAATATCTTTATGTATTCCCTAGAGTGCAGATTCTATACTTTTTTGTATATTTGCTAAAATATAAAACCCATTGTCAATTAGGTAAACGAATATTTCATTTGAGATGTCACATGCTCATTCTGATTATTTAAAAGGTGAAGGCAAAACATGTACCCCGGCTGTGTGTTTCAGCTCATTATGTTAGCAGTTTCCTTAGTTCCCTGCTCCCACCTTCATCCCATCCTCTTGTTCCAAAGCAAAAAGAAGTCTAGAAACTGACCAAAAACAGAAAGGATGTGTTATTTGAGTACCAGTTTAGTTACCCCTACTCCTACCACCACCACACACAAACACACACAAATCATTAAAATAAGACATAGTCTATGTGTAGCAATCTGAAAGGTATACAAATGTATTCATGATACTAATATTTGTAAATGATCATAGCAGTGATTTATCTTAATACACATGAGACCCGACTCTACAAGTGAAAAGGCTAGATAAGACAAGGCCATGTGTACTTTCTCTAATCTTCTACAAGGAATGTACTCATTCACTTTTGAGAAAGGAAAACAGGACCAATAGGGAAAGAACCTGCCTTTTTGAGGCTCTGAAATCATAGCACATGTCTCTCTTTCAATTCGTCATTCTCCAGGTGCCCATAACCTGAAACACAAAGTATGCACAGGGAGCCCTTGAGATACTGTCCTATAGTACACATCTCACCTAAAAGCAAAGCAATATCAAGCTACTGAAGCTCAAGTCTCCAGGATACATCCATTTCGATATATAAAATGAAAATATAAGCAGGGTAACACTTGTAATATCAAAGGAGTGGTTTGATTTTCATCCCATCTTATAAGTATGCTCTAACTCATTGCTACAAGGGGTCATAACTCAAGGTGGCAAAGTGATGACTGAGAATGTTCTATATTTAAAACTTCACTGTCAAGAAGATGCACAGGTGTACCTGTGGTAAATCATGGAACGAGACTGAAAATGAGCATGACACACCCTTTCTGCCACACACAATAAGGATTCCTTTCCTCAAGCTGTAGGAGTCATTGTTTGCAAAGCTCCTCAAGACAAGCTGGGAAGCATGTTTGGAAAACAAAGGACTTTTTAATTGCTGCTGACATGAATGAACTCTCTGAAACAACAGCTGTGTCTTGAGATTACATTACAAGGCATGTGAGCAGGATGCAAAGCATCCTCATAAAAAGACAAAGCCAAAGAAGTCTTTTATTGCTTCTGAAAAATATTCCCAAAGCTGGGATGCTTAATTTCAATTCCTGGAGGATGCAGCAATCATATGTTTACAGAACAAAATTGAGAAACAACCTTTGTATTTGTGGTGGCTGACAAGAAACAAAATCCAGGTAGACAGTTTGGATAAGAGTTGGAAATCAGTCAGCAAGGTTATACTTGTATACAGCCTAAACATTGGTTAGTGGCAATGACATCTGGCTATTAAAATATTGTCCCAAGGTATTATTTCCTTTCTGTCTTTCTAGTCACAGAGTGTTTGCCACTGGGTATAAATTATGGACAAAGGAGCTCATTTAGAGAAATATTGACCTAGTCATACTTTAAAAGTTTATTACTACCCTGAGAGAAATGAACCTTGTGAAATTATAACTGCTGAACTACAACCAAGATCCTTTCAAAGACAGACCTCAAGAGGAAAGGAAGAGAAGGTTAAGGTTGGAGGAGACGAAAATCAAGAGTGCTTAAAGAAGAATGAAGAGGACAAAGAAGATAGGGATTTAGTGAACAGACCAATGGATCTGACATCAAGGTAAGGATTATATACTGTTTCTATAATTCCATTCATCAAGCAACTTATTTTAGACATTAAATCTTCAGGGTAAGTGTTTCCACCAAAATTGCATACAAATGTGATGAAAGTGCATTTTCCCATATTTTTCATCAGATTCTCAGAAGGCTCGACAAACTTAAAGGTTGATAAACTATAGTGTGGAGGGTTAAGAAAGCTGAAAAACTTCTGACCCTCCTTCCATGCAGAGGTGGAATCTATTTCTCTCTCTTGAATCTAAACTGGTGGACTACGCTTTGACAATAGAGAGCATCAGAGATTATTCCACTCCAGTTCCAGACTCAGCCTGTAGGAGAACTAGTGTCTCTTTCTTGATCTTCCAGAGCCCTGAGCTACTTATCCTGAAACCATTGTATGTGAGAAGCCCAGGCCACATTGGAGAGGCCCTGGAAATGCTGTATGGAAAGAAAGAGAGGCCAGGGAGCACCATGGCACCAGATATGGGGGTGGAGAAGCCATCTTGAGTGTATCCCACAGCTTCTACTGCTGCCAACCTGAGCAAAGATGAATCACCCAGCCTGGCCCTTCCAGAATTCCTGACCCACAAAATCATGAATGAAATAAAATTGTTGCATGAAATCATAAAATTCAGATGTTAGCTATTTTAGATCAAGAGATATCACAACACACTGGGATTTTTTATTAAAAATTCTTAAGCATTTTACATACAACTCAAAAATTTTAGACATGCTATTATAAACTAACACATAATTCTAAGCCAAAACTATTCATAATGTGTTCCTCCTTTCTGTCCATCATGTTGTTTACTAATGAAGCACTTAACAGTTTTGGGGGAGGGGTAAGAAAAGTTACCAAAAGAAAAATATAAACAAGCAAACAAAAAACAGAACTCATCATTTTCAAACACCTTTTCTTCAATGCAAATGATATTTAGTTTTTACTGTTCTTAAACTTTACATCATGCCTAATTTCTTTCCAGTCCTCTAACTTCTCTATATGGTCTGCTCACTGTTTTTTGTTGTTCTTGCCTTTTAATACCTAATGACACTAATTAGTTCACAGCTGTCATAAAATGCTTTTGTTCTCAAAGAACTCACAGATAAGGTTTCTTTCTTGAATAATCTGTAGACGCTTTACTGTTTATAAAACAGTTCTCATTTTATTTTTGCTAAAGATTGGTCTAAGTAATTTATATACACAAGAGAATTGAAAAATCATGATTTTTTTACTTGTTCAAGTTTAGATCCTATTACTTTTCTGAGTTCATATGACATTTTCCTTTCTCATAATTTTGAGACAAAAGAAAATGTTAGCTATATAAGGTTCAACCTGATTAAAGTGAAGATATTCTCTAAAATGTTCTATCTTCCCACTTACCTGGAATAAAGACTTGGGAAGTCTCAAAACTTAGGGGTCAATCTTAAGTAACTGCAATTTTAAACTCCAATCAGTTAAAAAATTAAATGATCTTGTTCCATGTAATAATCAAAAGCCCATATTTATTTTTACATTAATTTAACATTTATTTAGTTAGAGTCTGCTGGAAGCAAAAACCTTTGACATCTTCTGGCATCTTCTTTCTTTCCTACCAATTTTTTCCTTAGCCTACTCATCTTAGCTTCTACATCCTGTAATTATTTTAGGAAGAGGGTGGTAGAGGGGAAAAACTTAGAGAAGTCAAGTTCTTACCTCACCCGTATTGTTCAATTTGCTTTACGCTTTCTTGAATTTGAGAGGTTTCTCCAGCTCACTCTTTCCCTGTGTTAGAAACAAATGCTGGGTGCTGCAAAGAAAACCAGAACTTAGGCAGAAAATTTCTCAGCAACGCACATCTACTTCTGCAAAAGGGTGCTGCCTGTGTCAGTCACAATCACAAGAGCACACCTAGCCAGGTAGGGCAGGGGTTTTTATCCCTAACACAGTTCCTGTTCTGAGTCCTTTCCCCATTGGCTGGAGTCAGACCACACAGTCTAAGCTGACCCGATTGGCTAGTATTTGAAATTGAGTAAGGCCAATTAGGGGAGAAGGCAGAGGCTGTCCCTTACCAACTAGGTGGGAAGGCTTGTTTACAGAGTAAGAGGTTTGCTAGTTACAGATTAAGCAGAGAAACAAGTGCTCATTACAGACTAAGCAGGAAGGGCTGTGCACAGAGCAAGAAAAACCAAGGAAGCTTAGAAGAGGAACTTACTATTTCTGGCACCTGGTACATGTAGGGGTTCTTAAGAAATTCCTTCATTTCTGCAGACCCCTTAATAAGGATCATTCACTCTCTTCTGGTTTGTGTGTCTGCAGGGCCCTAAAATCCAAGATTTCACCTCTAGCTCCTTCCACTGGGCTCCCATTTCCCCTCCAGGACTCTCATTAAGTTAAGATCTAGGATAACTCGACCCTGCACCTCTCAGCATAAGATAGATAAGAGTAGAGATAGAGATTTTGTTTAAAACCCCATATTGCCACCTCCTCTCCCTATAGCTGAATTTCTTCTTTTACTTGACCACGATGATTTGGATACATAATTAGATAATAATACAGCATAATTCTGTTCCAAAATCTATAGACTTGTGCTCATATAACCCAACTACCTTTTTCTTTCTCACTGGTGTTCACCTTTCCCAAAATGTTTTCTCTGCAATAATAGTTACTGTTATAAAATGTTGCCTGATAATATTTTCTAATCTGTATTAAGCAGTGTTGTGAGTCCCCAGAGTTAATATCAACTCAAAGTTATTCTTTATTTATTTACATTTTTTTTCATAGAGGCAGGGTCTCACTACATTGTCCATACTCCTGGGTTCAAGCAATCCTCTTGCCTCAGCCTCTCAAAGTGCTAGGATGACGGGCATGAGCCACTGTACCCAGCCACAAAACTATTCTTTAAAGGTGGTTATAAGTGGTCCTTCAATCATAATCATAGTATTTTTAAACTTTTAACTTTAGTGTATAGTTTCATTTAGCTGGCTTTGACATAAAGGTATAGTTATAATGAAAGATATCTGCTAATCTCACCTTTCCTGGAACCAGTGCCTTACACACAGATCCTACTACCAGCTCTAGAGAGAAAATTCTGGAAAAAATCATCTGTCTTGTTAGTTCCTAGTGATAGCACCTGAGGGACACGAGTATCAAAACTATGTTCTATCTTTCTTACTCAATCTTTGTTTTTTAAATTATAGAAATAAAAGTAAATATTATGATCATTTGCAGTCATTTGGTATTTCTCTTCTCAGTATCAGAAAAGGTGATTTATTTTTAGTACCTGAAACATCACACCTATATTAGCAGTGTGTAATTTCTTGTTTTCCTTTTTTGTTCCTCACAGATTTTTCTAACCCAAGCTATAACAATCCTCAATGGAAAACACATTATCATTTAATTTCTTCTTTGAACTTGTTATTACTCTTCTTTATAAAGAAATTTACAAGAAAATTTTAAATAAGAAATAGCTCTTTTTCAAATGCCAGGATTTGAGTCTCTTTATATCTCATTTCTTAATTTAATTTGACATCTTTTCACCACTAAATTCTGAAAATATAGAAACTACTTGATTATCATGCCCCGTGCGTACAAGTCAAAAGGTGGTGATCACTCATGTAATTGTTCCTTTTGAGTGTGAATTTGACTGGGCTATTGAGTGCCCAGATTACACGTTTTTCTGTTTTGGTCTATAACAGTGTTTTCAGATGAGATTAGTATTTGAACTGATTAACTCAGTAAAGTAAAGTTAACTCCACAATGTGGGTGGTCATTTTTCAGTCTATTGAGAGCCTGAATAGAACAAAATGCAGGGAAATTAAGAATTCTTTCCCTTACTACCTACCAGGTTGTGCTGTGACATTGGTCTTCTCATGCCTTTGGACTTGGAGTATACCATCAGTTATAAGGCCTTCAGACTCAGGCCAAAATTACACCACCAGCTCTCTTGGATCTCCAGTTTGCAGGTGACAAATGTGACAAATCATGGGAATTCTCAACCTCAATAATTCATGTATGTACATGATTTCATTTATATGTAATGTCTAGAATATGCAAAAATATAGAGTTAGTAGATTCATGATTGCCAAGGGCTATAGGAATTAGAAGAAATAGAAACTACTGCTAGTGGCTACATAGTTTCTTTTGTAGTTGATAAAATTTTCTAAAATTAGATTACAGTGATCGTTAAATAATGTGAATACACTGTTATCTACTGTAACTATGAATGTGATCTATTGTGAATATACTAAAACTATTGAACTGTACACTTTAAATGGGTGAATTTTATGGTTTGTGAAATATATCTCAATAAAGCCACTTTAAAAAGATGATAGGTGGTTGCTTTCTTAAATGTTCTTTTAAAATTTGTTTGTAGAATCATGTTTTAATATACATAATTACTTGGGGAAAATAAAAGTATACTCATTATTAATATGATAAAATTCTACTGACTTTTATTGATACATAATAATTGTACATGTTTATGGGGTGCACATAATATTTTGGTACACTCATACAGTGCATAATACTCAAATCAGGGTAACAGGGATTCCTATCACCTCAAACATTTATCATTTTCTGTGTTAGCAACATTCAAATCTTTTCTTCTATTTTTAAATTTGCAATGACTTATTATTAACTGTAGTCACCTGCAGTGCTATCAGACACCAAAAATTATTCCTTTTATATAATTGTATTTTTGTACGCGTTAACCAACCTCTCACCATCTCCTCCCCACCTTACCATTCTGGTAACCCTCATTCTACTCTCTACCTCCATGGAATCAATGTTTTTAGCTTCCACATATGAATGAGAACATTCAATATTTATCTTCCTGAACTTGGCTTATTTCACTTGACATAATGTCCTCCAGTTTCATTCATGTTGCTACAAATGACAGCATTTTATTATTTTTTATGGCTGAATAATATTTAATTGTGCATATATACCACATTATCTTTATTCATTCATCCATTGATGTTCACATACGTTGATTCCATATTTTGACTATCGTAAACAGTGCTGCAATAAACATGAGAGTGCAGATAACTCTTTGATATACTGATTTCCTTTCTTTTGGGTATATATACCCAACAGTGGGATTACTGGATCATATTTGTAGATCTGTTTTTAGTTTTCTAAGGAGCCAGTACACCATTTTCCATAGTGGCTGTACTAATTTACATTCAGACCAACAGTGTACAAGAGTTCTCCTTTCTCTATATCCTCACCAGCATCTGTTATTGCCTTTCTTTTTGACACAAGCCATTTTCGTTGGGGTGAGATGATATCTCATTGTGGTTTTAACTTGCATCTAACTGATGATTAGTGATGTTGAGTATTTTTCCATACACCTTTTGGGGTTGGCCACATTGGCTCACTCCTGTAATTCCAGCACTTTGGGAAGCCAAAATGGGAAGATCACTTGAGCCCAGCAGTTTGAGACCAGCCTAGGCAACATAGTGAGTCCCAGTCTCTACAGAATATTTAAAAATTAGCCAAGCATGGTGGTATGCACCCATGGTCCCAGCTACTTAGAAGGTTGAGGTGGGAGAATCACTTGGGCCCGGGAGCTTGAGACTGCAGTGATCCAGGATGGCACTACTCCAGCCTGGGTAACAGAGTGAAACTCTGACTCAAATACACACACACACACACACACACACACACACACACACACACACACACCTGTTAGTCATTTGTTTATCTTCTTTTGGGAAATGTCTGTTCAGATCATTTGCCTATTTTTTAATTGGATTATTTGTTTATTTTTCCTATTGAGTCATTTGTGTTCCTTATGTATTCTGATTATTAGTCCTTTGTCAGATGAATAGTTTGCAAATATTTTCTCCCATTTTGTAGGTTGTCTACATTCTGTTAATTTCTCACTTTGCTGTGCTGAAGCTTTTAGATTGATGAAATCCCATTTGTCAATTTTTCCTTTTGTTGCCTGTGCTTTTTAGGTCTTGTTTTTAAAACAAAAAACAATCTTTGCCCAGACCAATATCCCGAAGTATTTCCCCAGGTTTTTTCTAGCAGATTCATAGTTTTAGGTCTTATATTTTAGTCTTTAATCCATTTTATTTAATTTCTATATATGGTGAATGGTAGAGATCTAGTTTCATTCTTCCGCATGTGGATATCCAGTTTTCTCATCACAATTTATTGAAAAGACTATCCTTTCCCCAGTGTGGGTTCTTGTAACCTTTGTTAAAAATAAGTTCACTGTAGATGTGTGAATTTATTTTGATTTCATTGGTCCATATGTCAGTTTTTATACCAGTAGCATGCTGTTTTGATTACTGTAGTTTTGTAGTATATTCGAAGTGAGGTAGTGTGATTCCTCCAGCTTTGTTCTCTTTGCTCAGGACTGCTATGGCTATTCAGGGTCTTCTGTGATTCAATACAAATGTTGAGACTTTTTTTTCCATTTCCATAAAGAATGTCCTTGGTGTTTTGATAGAGATTGCATTGAATCTGTAGGTAGCTTTGGGTAGTATGGACATTTTAACAATAATATGTTCTTCAGAGATATTAGTCTGTAGGGTTTTGTTGTTGTTGTGTTCTGTCCTGGTTTGGGTATTAGGGTAATGCTGCCCTCTTAGAATAAGTTTGGAAGTCATCTTAGTTCATTTTTGTGCTGTTATAAAGGAAAACCTGAGGCTAGGTAATTTATACAGAAAAAGAAGTTCATTCGGCTGATGGTTCTGCAGACCGTACAAGGAGCATGGTACCAGCATCTACTTCTGGTGAGGGCTTCAGGCTGCCTCCACACATGGTGGAAGGCAAGCACAGGGAGCATGTGCAGAGATCAATGACAAGAGAGAGAAAGCAAGAAAGGAAGGAAGGTTACAGGCCCCTTTTAAGGATCAACTGTTGGAGGAACTCTCATGGGAACTAATAAACCAAGAATTCACTCATTACCCCAAGGACAGCACCAAGCAATTCATAAGGGATCTAACTCCAAGACCCAACTACTTTCCCTTAGGCCCCATCTTTAATGTTGGGGATCAAATTTCAACATGAGTTTGAAGGCACAAATACCCATACTATAGCATAAGTATTACCTTCTCTTCAGTTTTTTTGGAATAATTTAAGAAGACTTGGTATTTGTTCTTCTTTAAGTGTTTGGTAGAATTCAGCAGTTAAGCCATCATGACTGGGTCTTTTTTTTTTAATTGGAGACTTATTACAGACTCAGTCTTGTTACTTGTTTTTCACCTCTTCTGTTTCTTCATGGTTCAATCTTGATAGGTTTCATGGGTTCATGAATATATCTATTTCTTCTAGGTTTTCCAATTTGTTGGTATTCACAATAGTCTCTAATGATTCTTTGAATTCCTGTGATATCAGTTGTAATGACTCTTTTTTTATCTCTGATTTTATTTATTTGGATTTTCTCTTTTTTTGTTAGTCTACCTAAAAGTTTGTCGATTTTGTTTATCTTTTCAAGAAAACAATTTTTTGTTTGGTTGATCTTTTGTACTTTTTTAAATCTCCATTTTCTTTATTTCTTCTCTTATCTTTATTATTTCTTTCTTTCCACTAATTTTGGGTTGGGCTATTTCTTGTACTTCTAGTTCCTTGATGTGAGTCATTACATCGTTTATTTGAAGTCTTTCAACTTTTTTCACATAGGTGTTTAATGCTTTAAACTTCCCTCTTAGCATTGCTTTTGCTGTATCTCATAGATTCTGCTATGTTGTGTTTCCATTTTCATTTGTCCCAAGAAATTTTTTAACTTCCTTTTCAATTTCTTCATTGGCCAATTTGTTATTCAGAAGTCTGTTGTTTTATTTACGTATACTTGAATACTTTCCAATATTCTTTCTGTTACTGATTTTTAGTTTCATTCTATTGTGGTCAGAAATACTTGATATGATTTCTACTTTTTGTCAGTTTATTAAGACTTGTTTTTGACCTAACATATAGACTATTCTGGAGAATGCTCCATGTGCTATTAAGAATTGAATTGAATATTCTGTAAATGTCTGTTAGGTCCACTTGGTCTAGAGTGCAGTTTAACTCTGATGTTCCTTTCTTAATTTTCTATCTGGATGGGCTGTCCATTGCAAAAATAAGGTGTTGAAGCCTCCTGCTATTATTGTATTGCAGTCTTAATATTTGTTATATATTTGGGTGCTCCAGTGTTGGGTACATATATATTCACAAGTTTTATATTCTCTTGCTGTTTTGATTCCTTTATCATGATATAATGACCTTCTTTGTCTTTTATTTACCATTCTGACTTAAAGTATACTCTCTCTTATACAGTATAGCTACTCCTTCTCTTTTTTGGTTTCCATTTGCATGGAATATCTTTTTCCATCCCTTCCCTTTCAGTCTGTAAGAGTCTTTATAGGTGAAGTGAGTTTATTTTAGACAGTATATATATTTGTGTCATTGCCTTTTTTATACATTTAGTCACTCTGTTTTTTAATTGGGGAATTAAATTCATTTACATTCAGGATTATTACTGATAGATAAGAGAATATTACTCCCATTGTGTTACCTGTTTTCTGGTTGTTTTGTAGATTCTTTCTTCTTTTTTCCTCTCTTACTATCTTCCTTTGTGATTAAGTGATTTCTGTTAGTAATATGTTTTGATTCCATGCCATTTATTGTTAGTGTGTCAATTATAAATTTTTGTTTTGTGGTTACAGAAAACATCTTACAGTTTTTTGTGGGTTTTTTTTGTTTGTTTGTTTGTTTGTTTTTGAGATGGAGTTTTGCTCTTATTGCCCAGGCTAGAGTGCAATGGCAGGATCTCAGCTCACCACAACCTCCACTTCCTGGGTTCAAGCAATTCTCCTGCCTCAGCCTCCCGAGTAGCTGGTATTACAGGGAGGCGCCAACATGCCCAGCTAATTTTGCATTTTTAGTAGAAATGGGGTTTCTCCATGTTGGTCAGGCTGGTCTCAAATTCCCGACCTCAGGTGATCCAACTGCCTTGGCCTCCCAAAGTGCTGAGATTACAGGTGTGAGCCACCATACCTAGCCCATCTTACAGTTTTATAGTTATAGCAGGTTATTATAAACTGATAACAACTTCACTTTGATCACAAAAAAAGAAAAGTAACAAAAACAAACAACACTGTAACACCATTCTCCTCCCACATTTTGACTTTTTAATGTTTTCATTTAAAACTTTTTATATTGCGGGTCTATTAATCAATTGTCATAGTTATTGTTTTTAATAGTTTCATCTTGCAGTCTTCACAATGAAGATATAAGTGGTTTACTTACCCCAATGACAGTATTTTATTGATTTTACTGATTTGTCTGTTTTCTTCAAACAGTGAGTTTTCTACTTGTGGACATTTTTCTGGTTACACATTAGCATCTAGTTCTTTCCAGTTGAAGACATCTTTTTAGCATTTCTTACAAGATAAATCTGATCTGAAATTCTGATGAATTCCCTCATCATTTGTTTGTCTGGGAAAGTCTTTATTTCTCCTTTATGTTTGAAGAGTTGTTTTGCTGTGTAAAGTATTCTTGCTTGGCAGATTTTTTCTTTCAGCACTTTGAATATAGCATCTCACTCTCTCCTGCCCAGGAAGGCTCCTGCTGAAAAAATTACTAATACATATATTGGGGCTCCATTGAGTGTAATATTTTTTTCTCTTGCTGCTTTGAGTATTTTTTTCTTTGTCCTTGATTTTTTTCTAATTTGATTATAATAGGCATTGGGGAATTCCTCTTTGGGCTGAATTTTATTGATGACCTTTGAGCTTCCAGTACCTGAAAACTGTCATCTTTCTCCAGATTTAGGAAAGTTTCAGACAATAGTTTAACATGCTTTCATGGACTTTTCCTTCTCATCTCTTTCAGGAAATTATATTATATGAAGATTTGATTGCTTGTTGGTGTCCCATAATTTTCATAGGCCTTCATCACTTTTTATTACTTTTTTATTTTACTCCTCTGTGTAATTTCATATGTACTGCCTTCAAGATTTCTAAGTCTTCCCTCTGTTTATTCAGTTCTCCCATTGAAGCTTTCCAATTAGTTTTTCAGTTCAGTTATTGTGCTCTTTACTTCTAGGATTTCTATTTTTTTAATTGTTTTGTTTTGATTTTTAAAATTTCTCACTTTGTAGCCAGGCGCAGTGGCTCACACCTGTAATCCCAGCACTTTGGGAGGCCGAGGTGGGTGGATTACAAGGTCAGGAGATCAAGACCATACTAGCTAACATGGTGAAACCTCGTCTCTACTAATAATACAAAAAATTAGCTGGGTGTGGTGGCGGGTGCTGTAGTCCCAGCTACTCAGGAGGCTGAGGCAGGAAAATGGTGTGAACCCAGGAGGCGGAGCTTGCAGTGAGCTGAGATTGCACCACTGCACTCCAGCCTGGGCACAGAGCAAGACTCCATCTCAAAAAATATATATGTATCACTTTGTTCCTGGGTTATTTTCCAAATCGTATTAATTTCCTATTTCTATTTTCTTGTGATTCCCTGAACTTCCTTAAGGGGATTGTTATTCATTCTTTTTGAAATATTTTCTAGATCTTCAATTATTCTTGATCTATTGCTGGAGCTTTGTTGATTTCTTTTGGCGGTATCATATTTCTCTGAGTTTTTACAATTATTTTTATCTTTACATTGATGCTTACACATTTGGGCCACCTCTTCCATTATTTGCATATGTTCTTTGGTAGTGTTAGACCTTTACTCCTCAGTATCAAAACTTAAACACCAGCTTGTTAGTGCTTCCTATTCTGGGGATAACTTGTAGTAAACACCTGAACTTAAACACTACTCTGGAACTAAATCTCTGCCCTGCCATTGCTTTCTGGTCTGGGAAAGACTTATAGTGAGCCCTGAAATCTCGCCCATTGCCTCAGACCTATATAGCTACCCTGCATTGTTCTCTGGTTTGGAAAAACTTAAGTGAGCACCAAAACTTAATCCTGACCCTTTAGTTCCTTTTTTTTTCTTTTTGAGACAGAGTCTCACTCTTTCACCCAAACTGGAGTACAGAGGCACAATCTTGGCTCACTGAAACTTCTGTCTCCTGGGTTCAAGCGATACTCCTGCCTCAGCCTCCCAAGTGACTGAGATTACAGGTGTGCAGGATCTCTAGCTAATTTTTGTATTTTCAGTAGAGATGGTGTTTCACCATGTTGGCCAGGGTGATCTTGAACTCCTGACCTCAAATTATCAGCTTACCTCAGCCTCCCAAAGTGTTGGGGTTACAGGCGTGAGCCACTGTGCACAGCCTGACCATTTAGTTCTTTCCAAGTCAAAAGAAGGCTCCACACAAGCACCTGGGAGTGCTTTGTGGAAAAGCTTTCTGAAAAATATGGCTAGGGATTTGGACTTTCCCATGAATTGTGCTACCTGAAGTGCTATGACACCAGCTAGTCTCTTCTATATGGCATCCTCACTGATCAAAGTACTGAGTAGCTATTAAGATTCCTGTGCCAATAGCTGTGATCAGAACTCTGCTCTTTATCCTCAATTCACCCCAAGTTTTTAGTCTCTCCTGGCACTTTCCAGGGTTCCTGTGAGATAGGACCAGAATGGGATTTCTCACAAGATTCCAAGACTGGTATGGAGACTGAACGTTAACCTCCAATTCCCTCTTCTCACCTCAGAAACTGTATGTCTAGGGAAATTCTTTGTGAATGACATTATGCTGGCTTAGGGGAGAGGGTGGTAGTCTAAAATGACAGTTTCTGTCAGTGCTTGCAGCTTGTCTCAATTCTTGCCAGCCCAGGAAGTTTTTCTGCCAGTAGTAAAGTCAATCACTGTTAACCTATTGGAGCTTCAGTCACTTTTGTTGGTTTTTTTCTTTACATCTGTTGTGTCTTGTTTATGTATCAGATCTTCCATTCTTATGCCTTTTTCTTTGTTGCATCATGGCACTCTGCAATAAATAAAATTGCAGATCCTGAGGATTCTCAAAACCTAGCAACTAACTAAAGAAGGAGATTGGGACTTGGGAGAAAGAAAGGTGTTTCATCATTTCTATCCTCATGAGCCATACCCTGTCCTAACAGAAATGTTCATGGGCCCCAGGTATGTGACAAGAGGTCATGGTTATCATTCTCAAGTTATTAGAAGAGGCCCTTAGAAGTAAATTTTCCAACCCCCACATTTTATAGATGAGGAAACTAAAGTCAGGAGAGGTGTATATTAGTCCATTTTAATGCTGCTGATAAAGATATATCCAAGACTGGGCAACTTACAAAAGAAAGAGATTTAATTAGACTTACAGTTCCACATGACTGGGGATGTCTCACAATCATGGCAGGAGGCAAGGAGGAGCAAGTCAGGTTTTACATGGATGGCAGCAGGCAAAGAGAGCTTGTGTATGAAAATTCCCGTTTTTAAAAACCATCAGATCTCATGAGACCCATTCACTATCATGAGAACAGCACGGAAAAGACCTGCCCCCATGATTCAATCATCCCCACCACGTCTCTCCCACAACGTGTGGGAATTATGGCAGCTAAAAGATGAGATTTGCGTGGGGACACAGAACTAAACCATATCATTCCACCCTGGCCCCTCCCAAATCTTATATCTTCACAATTCAAAACCAATCATGCTTTCCCAACAGTCCCCGAAAGTCCCAACTCATTTCAGCATTAACTCAAAAGTCCACAGTCCAAAGTCTCATCCAAGACAAGGCAAGTCCCTTTCACCTATGAGCCTGTAAAATCAAAAGCAAGTTAGTTACTTCCTATAAATACCATGGGATTACAGGCATTGGGTAAATACAGCCATTCCAAATGGGAGAAATTGGCCAAAACAAAGGGGCTACAGGCCCCACGCAAGTCCAAAATCCAGTGGGTCAGTTCAACCTTAACGTTCCAAAATGATCTCCTTTGACTCCATGTCTCACATCCAGGTCACACTGATGCAACAGATGGGTTCCCATGGTCTTGGACACCTCTGCCCCTGTGCCTTTGCAGGATACAACCTCCCTCCCAGCTGCTTTCATGGGCTGGCATTGAATATCTGTGGCTTCTCCAGGTGCATAGCGCAAGCTATCAGTGGATCTACCATTCTGTCTCTGGAGGATAGTGGCCCTCTTCTCACAGCTCCACTAGGCAGTGCCCCAGTAGGGACTCTGTGGGGGCTCTGACCCCACATTTCCCTTCCGCACTGCCTTAGCATAGGTTCTGTATGAGAGCCCTGCCCTTGCAGCAAACTTCTGCCTGGAGATCCAGGCATTTCCGTACATTCTCTGAAATCTAAGCCAAGGTTTCCAAACTTCAATTCTTGACTTCTGTGCACTTGCAGGCTCAACACCATGTTGAAGCTACCAAGACTTGAGGCTTTCACCCTCTGAAGCCACAGTATAAGCTCTACATTGGCCCCTTCCAGCCATGGCTGGAGTGGCTGGGACGCAGGGCACCAAGTCCCAAGGCTGCACACAGCACAGGGACCCTGAGTCTGGCCCACAAAACCAAATTTTTCTCCTAGTCCTCCAGGCCTATGATGGAAGGGGCTGCCATGAAGACCTCTGACATGCCCTGGAGACATTTTCTCCGTTGTCTTGGGGATTTATATTATTTATATATTTTATACATATATATTTATTTATTTTAATATTTTTATACTATTTAAATATATATTATATTATTTATACCTATATTTATATTATATTTCTGCATTGTCTTGGGTATTTCTGCATTGTCTTGTCTTACTTATGCAAATTTCCATAGCCAGCTTGAATTTGTGCTCAGAAAATGGGATTTTCTTTTCTATCACATTGTCAGGCTGCAAATTTTTCAAACTTTTATGTTCTGCTTCCCTTATAAAACTGAATGCCTTTAACAGCACCCAAGTCACATCTTAAATGCTTTGCTGCTTAGAAATTTCTTCTGCCAGATGCCCTAAATCATCTCTTTCCAGTTCAAAGTTCCACAAATATCTAAGGCAGGGGCAAAATGCCACCAGTCTCTTTACTAAAACATAACAAGAGTCACTTTTGCTCCAGTTCCCAGTAAGTTCCTCATTTCCATCTGAGACCACATCAGCCTGGACTTTATTGTCCATATCACCATCAACATTTTGACCAAGGCCATTAAACAAGTCTCTAGGAAGTTTCAAACTTACCCACATTTTCCTGTCTTCTTCTGAGTCCTCCAAACTGCTTCAGCCTCTGCCTGTTACCCAGTTGCAAAGTCCCTTCCACATTTTCAGGTATCTTTCCAGCAGCACCTCACTCCTGGTACCAATTTACTATATTAGTCCATTTTCAGGCTGCTGATAAAGACATACCAGAGACTGGTCAATTTACAGAAAAAAAAAAAAAAAAAAGAGGTTTCACTGGACTTACAGTTCCACATGGCCGGAGAGGCCTCACAATCATGGCAGAAGGCAAGGAGGAGCAAGTCACATCTTACATGGATGGCAGCCAGCAAAGAGAGCTTTTATATGGAAACTCCCATTTTTGAAAACCATCAGATTTCATGAGACCCATTCACTATGACAAGAACAGCATGGGAAAGACCCACCCCCATGATTCAATCATCTCCCACCAGGTCCCTCGCACCACACATGGGAATTATGAGAGCTACAAGAAGAGATTTGTGTGGGGAAACAGGGCCAAACCATATCGGGTGTTAATGCTAATTACACAGCTAATGATGAGTTGGTACTAGAATCTGTTCTTTGCTTAATGACTCACAGTTATAAATGAAAGTTTGCACTGAAAAGATACGTTGAAGTCCCAGCTCTCCAGTACCTAAGAAGGCAAACTTATTTGGCAAGAGGATAATTGCAGATGCAATTCATTAAGATGAGGTCATACTGGAGTAGGTTGGGCCCCTAATCCACTATGGCTGCTATCTTTATAAGAAGACAGCAATGTAAAGGCATGAAGATATAAAGGGAGAACACCATGTGAAGATGGAGGCACAAATTGGAGTTAATCACCTGTAAACCAAAATACACTAAAGATTGAAGCAAAACAGCAGAAGCTAGGAAGAAGAAAGAAGGTCTGCCCTACAGGTTCCAGAGGGAGATTGAATCTACCAATCACTTAATTCCAGACTTGTAGCCCCCAGAACTGTGAGATACTAACATTTCTGTTGTTTTAAGCCACTCAGTTTGTGGCACTTTGTTATGGTAGCCCTAAGAAACTAATAAAAACACCCTCAGAAAATATCAATTCTTACCACATCATCCATACTGAGTTCTGGGGGACAAAATCACAAAACCTACTAAGGAACTGCTCTGAGTAGAATACTATGATTTTTGTTTGTTTGTTTCTAAATGTTTTTTAAATTCTACTTAAAGTTCTAGGGTACATGGGCACAACGAGCAGGTTTGTTACATATGTATACATGTGCCATGTTGGTGTGCTGCACCCATTAACCCAACATTTACATTAGGTATATCTCCTAATGCTATCCCTCCCCCTTTCCCCCACCCCATGACAGGCCCCAGTGTGTGATATTCCCCACCCTGTGTCCGAGTGTTCTCATTGTTCAATTCCCACCTATGAGTGAGAACATGTGGTGTTTGGTTTTCTGTCCTTGCAATAGTTTACTCAGAATGATGGTTTCCATCTTCATCCATGTCCCGACAAAGGACATAAACTCATCCTTTTTTATGGATGCATAGTAGTCCATGGTGTATATGTGCCACATTTTCTTAATCCAGTCTATCACTGATGGACATTTGGGTTGGTTCCAAGTCTTTGATATAGTGAATAGTGCCACAATAAACACATGTGTGCATGTATCTTTATAGCAGCATGATTTATAATCCTTTCGGTACATACCCAGTAACGGGATGGCTGGGTCAAATGGCATTTCTAGTTCTAGATCCTTGAGGAATTGCCACACTGTCTTCCACAATGGTTGCACTAGTTTACAGTCCCACCAACAGTGTAAAAGTGTTCCTATTTCTCCACATTCTCTCCAGCACCTGTTGTTTCCTGACTTTTTAATAATTGCCATTCTAACTTGTGTGAGATGGTATCTCATTGTGGTTTTGATTTGCATTTCTCTGATGGCCAGTGATGATGAGCATTTTTTCATGTGTCTGTTGGCTGCATAAATATCTTCTTTTGAGAAGTGTCTGTTCATATCCTTTGCCCACTTTTTGATGGGGTTGTTTTTTTCTTGTAAATTTGTTTAAGTTCTTTCTAGATTCTGGATATTAGCCCTTTGTCAAATGGGTAGATTTTAAAAATTTTCTCCCATTCTGTAGGTTGCCTGTTCACTCTGATGGTAATTTCTTTTGCTGTGCAGAAGCTCTTTAGTTTAATTAGATCCCATTTGTCAATTTTGGCTTCTGTTGCCATTGCTTTTGGTGTTTTAGACATGAAGTACTTCTCCATGCCTATGCCCTGAATGGTATTCCCCAGGTTTTTTTCTAGGGTTTTTATGGTTTTAGGTCTAACATTTAAGTCTTTAATCCATCTTGAATTAATTTTTGTATAAGGGGTAAGGAAGGGATCCAGTTTCAGCTTTCTACATATGGCTAGCTAGTTTTCCCAGCACCATTTGTTAAATAGGGAATCCTTTCCCCATTTCTCGTTTTTGTCAGGTTTGTTTGTCAAAGATCAGATGGCTTAGATGTGTGGTATTATTTCTGAGGGCTCTGTTCTGTTCCATTGGTCTATATCTCTGTTTTGGTACCAGAACCATGCTGTTTTGGTTACTGTAGCCTTGTAGTATAGTTTGAAGTCAGGTAGCATGATGCCTCCAGCTTTGTTCTTTTGGCTTAGGATTGTCTCAGCAATGCAGGCTCTTTTTTGGTTCCATATGAAATTTAAAGTAGTATTTTTCCAATTCTGGGAAGAAAGTCATTGGTAGCTTGATGGGGATGGCATTGAATCTATAAATTACCTTGGGCAGTATGGCCATTTTCACGATACTGATTCTTCCTATCCATGAGCATGGAAGGTTCTTCCATTTGTTTGTGTCCTCTTTTATTTCATTGAGCAGTGGTTTTTAGTTCTCCCTGAAGAGGTCCTTCACATCCCTTAAAAGTTGGATGCGTAGGTATTTGACTCTCTTTGAATCAATTGTGAATGGGAGTTCACTCATGATTTGGCTCTCTGTTATTGATGTATAGGAATGCTTGTGATTTTTGCACATTGATTTTGTATCCTGAGACTTTGCTGAAGTTGCTTATCAGCTTAAGGAGATTTTGGGCTGAGAAAACGGGGTCTTCTAAATATACAATCATGTCATCTGCAAACAGGGACAATTTGACTTCCTCTTTTCCTAATTGAATACCCTTTATTTCTTTCTCCTGCCTGATTGCCCTGGCCAGAACTTCCAACACTATGTTGAATAAGAGTGGTGAGAAAGGGCATCCCTGTTTTGTGCCAGTTTTCAAAGCAAATGCTCCCAGTTTTTGCCCATTCAGTATAATATTAGCTGTGGGTTTGTCATAAATAGCTCTTATTATTTTGAGATATGTCCCCTCAATACCTAGTTTATTGAGAGTTTTTAGCATGAAGCGCTGTTGAATTTTGTCAAAGGCCTTTTCTGCATCTATTGAGATAATCATGTGGTTTTTGTCTTTGGTTCTGTTTATATGATGGATTACATTTATTGATTTGTGTATGTTGAACCAGGCTTGCATCCCAGGGATGAAGCCAACTTGATCGTGGTGGATAAGCTTTTTGATGTGCTGCTGGATTCGGTTTGCCAGTATTTTATTGAGGATTTTTGCATCGATGTTCATCAGGGATATTGGTCTAAAATTATCTTTTTATGTTGTGCTTCTGCCAGCCTTTGGTATCAGGATGATGCTGGCCACATGAAATGAGTTACGGAGGATTCCTTCTATTTCTATTGATTGGAATAGTTTCAGAAGGAATGGTACCAGCTTCTCCTTGTACCTCTGGTAGAATTCAGCTGTGAATCTATCTGGTCCTGGACTTTTTTTGGTTAGTAGGCTATTAATTATTGCCTCAATTTCAGAGCCTCTTATTGGTCTATTCAGGGATTCAACTTCTTCCTGGTTTAGTCTTGGGAGGGTGTCCAGGAATTTATCCATTTCTTCTAGATTTTCTAGTTTATTTGTGTAGAGGTGTTTATAGTATTCTCTGATGGTAGTTTGCATTTCTGTGGGATCGGTGGTGATATCCCCTTTATCATTTTTATTGCATCTATTTGATTCTTCTCTCTTTTCTTCTTTATTAGTCTTGCTAGCGGTCTATCAATTTTGTTGATCATTTCAAAAAACAAGCTCCTGGATTCATTGATCTTTTGAAGGGTTTTTTGTGTCTCTATCTCCTTCAGTTCTGCTCTGATCTTAGTTATTTCTCACCTTCTGCTATCTTTTGAATGTGTTTTCTCTTGCTTCTCTAGTTCTTTTAATTGTGATGTTAGGGTGTCAATTTTAGATCTTTCCTGCTTTCTCTTGTGGGCATTTAGTGCTGTAAATGTCCCTCTACACACTGCTTTAAATGTGTCCCAGAGATTCTGGTATGTTGTATCTTTGTTCTCATTGGTTTCAAAGAAAATCTTTATTTCTGCCTTCATTTCATTATGTACCCAGTACTCATTCAGGAGCAGGTTGTTCAGTTTCCATGTAGTTGAGTGGTTTTGAGTGAGTTTCTTAATCCTGAGTTCTAGTTTGATTGCACTGTGGTCTGAGAGACAGTTTGTTATAATTTCTATTCTTTTACATTTGCTGAGGAGTGCTTTACTTCCAACTATGTGGTCAATTTTGGAATAAGTGCGATGTGTTGCTGAGAAGAATGTATATTCTGTTGATTTGGGGTGGAGAGTTCTGTAGATGTCTATTAGGTCTGCTTGTTGCAGAGCTGAGTTCAAGTCCTGCATATCCTTGTTAACATTCTGTCTCGTTGATCTGTCTAATATTGACAGTGGGGTGTTAAAGTCTCCCATTATTATTGTGTGGGAGTCTAAGTCTCTTTGTAGGTCTCTAAGGACTTGCTTTCTGAATTTGGGTGCTCCTGTATTGGGAGCATATATATTTAGGATAGTTAGCTCTTCTTGTTGAAATGATCCTTTTACCATTATGTAATATCCTTCTTTGTCTCTTTTGATCTTTGTTGCTTTAAAGTCTGTTTTATCAGAGACTAGGATTGCAACCCCTGCTTTTTTTGTTTTTTTTTTTTTTTTTTTTGGTTTTGTTTTGTTTTGTTTTGTTTTTGTCTTCCTCCAACCCTTTATTCTGAGCCTCTGTCTGTCTCTGCGTGAGATGGGTCTCCTGAATACAGCACACAGCACACTGATGGGTCTTGACTCTTTATCCAATTTGCCAGTCTGTGTCTTTTAATTGGAGCATTTAGCCCATTTACATTTAAGGTTAATATTGTTATGTGTGAATTTGATCCTGTCATTATGATGTTAGCTGGTTATTTTGCTCATTAGTTGATGCAGTTTCTTCCTAGCCTTGATGGTCTTTACAATTTGGCATGTTTTTGCAGTGGCTGGTACCGGTTGTTCCTTTCCATGTTTAGTGCTTCCTTCAGGAGCTCTTGTAAGGTCAGCCTGGTGGTGACAAAATCTCTCAGCATTTGTTTGTCTGTAAAGGATTTTATTTCTCCTTCACTTATGAATCTTAGTTTGGCTGGATATTAAATTCTGGTTTGAAAATTCTTTTCTTTAAGAATGTTGAATATTGGCCCCCACTCTCTTCTGGCTTGTAGAGTTTCTGCTGAGAGATCCACTGTTAGTATGATGGGCTTCCCTTTGTGGGTAACCTGACCTTTCTCTCTGGCTGCCCTTAACATTTTTTCCTTCATTTCAACTTTGGTGAATCTGACAATTATGTGTCTTGGAGTTGCTCTTCTCAAGGAGTATCTTTGTGGTGTTCTCTGTATTTCCTGAATTTGAATGTTGGCCTGCTTTGATAGGTTGAGGAAGTTCTCCTGGATAACATCCTGAACAGTGTTTTCCAACTTGGTTCCATTCTCCCCATCACTTTCAGGTACACCACTCAGACATAGATTTGGTCTTTTCACATAGTCCCATATTTTTTGGAGGCTTTGTTCATTTCCTTTTACTCTTTTTTTTTCTCTAAACTTCTCTTCTCACTTCATTTCATTCATTTGATCTTCAATCACTGATACCCTTTCTTCCACTTGATCAAATTGGCTACTGAAGCTTGTGCATGCGTCACCTAGTTCTCATGCCATGATTTTCAGCTCCATTTAAGGTCATTTAAGGTCTTCTTTACACTGTTTATTCTAGTTAGCCATTTGTCTAATCTTTTTTCAAGGTTTTTAGCTTCTTTGTGATAGGTTCAAAATCCTCCTTTAGGTTGGAGGAGTTTGTTATTACCAATCATATGAAGCCTTCTTCTCTCAACTCATCAAAGTCATTCTCCATCCAGCTTTGTTCCATTGCTGGTGAGGAGCTGCATTCCTTTGGAGGAGAAGAGGAGCTCTGATTTTTGGAATTTTCAACTTTTCTGCTCTGGTTTCTCCCCATCTTTGTGCTTTATCTACTTTTGGTCTTTGATGATAGTGATGTACAGATGGGGTTTTGGTGTGGATGTCCTTTCTTTTTTGTTAGTTTTCCTTCTAACAGTCAGGACCCTCAGCTGCAAATCTGTTGGAATTTGCTGGAGGGCCACTCCAGATCCTGCTTGCCTGGGTATCACCAGCAGAGGCTGCAGAACAGCAAATATTGCAGAACAGCAAATGTTGCTGCCTGATTCTTCCTCTGGAAACTTCGTCTCAGAGGGGCACCTGGCTGTATGAGGTGTCAGTCAGCCCCTACTGGGAGGTGTCTCCCAGTTAAGCTACTCAGGGGTCAGGGACCCACTTGAGGAGGCAGTCTGTCTGTTCTCCAATCTCAAACTCCATGCTGGGAGAACCACTACTCTCTTCAAAGCTGTCGGACAGGGATGTTTAAATCTGCAGAAGATTCTGCTGCCTTTTATTTGGCTATACCCTGCTCCCAGAGGTGGAGTCTACAGAAGCAGGCAGGCCTCCTTGAGCTGCGGTGGGCTCCACCCGGTTCAAGCTTCCTTGCCGCTTTGTTTACCTACTCAAGCCTCAGCAATGGCAGACCCATTCCCCCAGCCTCACTGCCACCTTGCAGTTCGATCTCAGACTGCTCTGCTAGCAGTAAGTGAGGCTCCATGGGTGTGGGACCCTCTGAACCAGACGTGGGATATAGTCTCCCAGTGTGCCATTTGCTAAGACCACTGGAAAAGTGCAGTATTAGGGTGGGAGTGTCCCGATTTTCCAGGTACCGTCTGTCATGGCTTCCATTGGCTAGGAAAGGGAATTCCCTGACTCCCTGTGCTTCCCAGGTGAGGCAATGACCCGCCCTACTTTGCCTCACACTTCATGGGCTGCATCCACTGTCCAACAAGCCCCAGTGAGATGAACCTTGTACCTCAGTTGGAAAGACAGAAATCACCCATCTTCTGCGTTGCTCATGCTGGGAGCTGTAGACTGGAGCTACTCCTATTCGGCCATCTTGGAACCTCCTCCTGTGATGTTTTATAGCAAGAGAAGTTGCAGAAATACTACTTAATGTCTTCAATATTGTCTCCATAACTGCACACTCATTCACCAAATTTCACAAACCTAGAAGTACAAAGGAAAATTTTTGTTTCTTTGTTTTCCCAGTTTCACTGACATATAACTGACAAATAAAAATTATATATATTAAAATGTACAATGTGATATTTTGATATATATATATAGAGAGAGAAATGACTACCACTATGAAGCTAATTAATGCATCTATCATCTCACATAGTTGTGTGTGTGTGTGTGTATGTGGTGAAAACATTTAAGATCTACTCTCTTAGCAATTTTCAAGTATACAATACAATACCATTAACTATAGTCACCATGCTGCACAATGGATTTCCAGAACTTATTCATCCTCTCTGACTGAAACTGTCTATCCTTTGACCAAACCTTCCCATTCTCCCACACCCCATACAAAACCTGGCAATCCCCTCTCTACTCTCTGCTTCTATTAGTTCAACTTTTTGGATTCCATAGTGAGATGATGCAGTATTTGTTTTTCTGATCCTGCCTTATATGTATACCACATTTTCTTTTTCCTTTCATCTATCAGTGAACACTTTGGCTGTTTCCATATCTTGCCTATTGTGAAAAATGCTGCAATGAACATGGGAGTGTAGATATCCGTTCAACATACTGATTTTTTTTTGTATGTATACCCAGAAGTGGGATTGCTGGATAACGCGGTATTTCTGTTTTTAATTTTTGAGGAACCCTCATACCATTTTCCATAATGACTGCACCAATTTACCTTCCTACCAACAGTGTATTAGGGTTCTCTTTTCTCCATGTCCTTGCCAACATTTGTTATACCTTATCATTTACATACTAGCCATTCTAACAAGTGTGAGATGATATCTCATTGTGATTTTGGTTTGCATTTTCTTGAGGATTAGTGATATTGAACACCTTTTCATATATGTGTTGGCAATTTGTGTGTCTTCTTTGCAGAAAGTTCTATTCAGGTCCTTTTCTCATTTTTAAATTGGAGTTATTTATTTTCCTTTGATAAAGCTGAATGAGTTTCTTATATATTTTGGATATTAATCCATGCCAAATATATGGTTTCTAACTTGTATTTTTCCAGTGATTATTCATGTTCAAATACTTTTCATATACCTTTTGGACAGTCTATTTCTTCTTCTAAGAAATATGTATCTATATCATTTGCCCCTTTTTTTTAACTCAGATTGTTTTCTGGCTATTGAGTTGAGTTCTTTTTACATTTTAAATGTCAACTTTTTATTAAATAAGTGATTTGCAAATGCTTTCTTCTATTCCATAGGTTGACTCTTCACTGAGTTGATTCTTTCCTTGCTGGGAAGAAGCTGTTTAATTTGATGTAGTCCCACTTGTTTACTTTTGTTGCCTGTGCTTTGGAAGTCATACTCAAAACATCATTGCCTAGACCTATGTCAAGAAGACTTTTTCCTGTTTTCTTCTAGTAGTTTCACAATGTCAGGTCTTACATTTAAGTCTTTAATTTCTTTGGAGTTGATTTTTTTATGGAGTTTCATTATTGTCACCCAGGCTGGAGTGCAATGGTGTGATCTTGGCTCCTGCAACCTCCGCCTCCTGTGTCCAAGTGATTCTCCTGCCTCAGCCTCCCAAGTAGCTGGGATTACAGGCATCTGCCACTATGCCCAGCTAATTATTGTATTTTTAGTAAAGATGGGGTTTCAACATGTTGGCCAGGCTGGTCTCAAACTCCTGACCTCCAGTGATCCACCCATGTTGGCTTCCCAAAGTGCTGGGATTACAGGCATGAGCCATCACTTCTGGCCTCGAGTTGATTTTTTTATACAATGTGATATAATGGTGCAATTTCATTCTTCCACATGCAAATATCCAGTTTTCTCAACAACATTAGTGGAAGAGACTCTCCTTTCCCCCACAGTGTGTTCTTGGCACCTTTGTCACAAGTCAATTGACCATAAATGTGTGGATTTATTCGTGAAATTTTTCTGCAGTTCCACTGATCTGTGTGTCTGTTTTTATGCCAGAGCCATATTGTTTGTATGCTATAGCTTTCTAGTCTACTTTGAATTTAGGTAGTGTGACGCCTCCAACTTTGCTCTTTTTGCTCAAGATTGCTTTCGCTATTTGAGGTCTTTTTGGTTCCATATATATGTAGGATTCTTTTTCTGTTTCTATAAAAAGTGTAGTTGGAATTTTGATGAGGTGTGCATGAATCTATAGATAACTTTGCATAGTATGGACATTTAACAGTATTAATTCTTTCAATCCACAAACTCAGGAAAGTTTTCCATTTGCTGGTTTCTTCTTCAATTTTTTCCACCATTGTTTGGTGGTTTTCAGTGTACAGATCTTCAACATCCTTAGTAAAGTTCATTTCTAAGTTTTGATTTGCTTGTTTGTTTTGAGACAGGGTCTCACTCTGTCACCCAGGCTGGAGTACAGTGGCACAAACACAGCTCACTTCAGCCTCAATCTCCTGAGTTCAAGTGACCCTCCCACCTCAGCGCTCCCAAGTAACTGAAACCACAAGTGCACCCCACCACACTTGGCTAATTTTTTTTAATTTTTTGTAGTGATTGGGTCTTGCCATGTTGCTCAGGCTGGTCTCAAACTCCTGGGCTCAAGCAATTCTCCAACCTCAGCATCTCAAAGTACCAGGAGTACAGGCATAAGCCACTGCACCCAGTCTTATTCCTAAGTATTTTTCATGCTGTTGTAAATAATATTGTTCCTTAGTTTCCTTTTCAGATAATTTGTGGTTAGTTTCTAGAAACACAACTGATTTTTGTATGTTTAAGATCATGTCATCTGGAAACAGAGAAGTTAACTTTTTTTATTTGGATGCCTTTTATTTCATTTTCTTATTAATTGCTCTGGCTAAGACTTCCAGTCTTACATTAAATATAAGTGGTGACAACAGGAATTTTGATCTTGCTCCTGATCTTAGAAGAAAAACTTTCAACTTTAAACCATTAAGAATGTTATCTATAGCAAAGACTTGGAACCAACCCAAATGCCCATCAGTGACAGGCTGGATAAAGAAAATGTGACACATATACACCATGGAATACTATGCAGCCATAAAAAAGAATGAGTTCATGTCCTTTGCAGAGACATGGATGAAACTGGAAGCCATCATTCCCAGCAAACTAACACAGGAACAGAAAACCAAACACCACCTGTTCTCACTCATAAGTGAGAGTTGAACAATGATAAGACATGGACACAGGCAGTAGAATATTGACACACTAGGACCTGTCAGGCAGTGGCGGGAAAGGGGAAGGAGAGTATTAGGACAAATACTTCATGCATGCGGGGCTTAAAACCTAGATGATGGGTTGATAGGGGCAGCAAACCACCATGACACATGTATACCTATGCAACAAACCTGCACATTCTGCACATGTATCCCAGAACTTAAAGTAAAAAAAAGGGAGAATGGGATAGCTGTGAATTTCTCATATATGGCCTTCATTGTACTGATTTACATTTCTTCTATACTAAATTTTTTGAGAATTTTTATCATAAAATAGTCTTGAATTTTGGCAGATGCTTTTTCTGCATCTATTGAGATAATTACATGACTGCTGTTCTTTATTCTGTTAATGTAGTGTATCATGTTCCCTTGTATATAACGAGGCATTTTTCTCTGGCTACTTTCAAAGTTACCTTTTTCATTTTTGAGAGTTTGATTATAATGTATCTTGGTGAAGATCTCTTTATGTTTAGTGCACTTGAAGTTCTCAAGGATCTCAATGTTCACTTCCATCTACAGTTTGGGGAAGTTTTCTGTCTTTATTACTTTGAATAAGCTTTAGGTAAGTTTTCTGTCATTATTTTGAATAAGCTTTCTGCCTCTTCTCTTTCTTTGCTCCATCCGGGATTTCCTGATGTGCACATCAGTTCACTTGATGTTGTCTCAGTAAGTCCCATAGCTTTTCTTGACTCTTCTTTATTCCTTTTTCTTTCTCTCCAGCTGGGTGTATTAGTCCACTTTCACACACTATAAAGAAGTACATGAGACTGGGTAACATAAGAAGAAGAAAGCTTTAATTGACTCACAGTTCCACATGGCTGGGGAGGCCTCAGAAAATTTACAATCATGGCGGAGTGCAAAGAGGAAGCAAGGCATATGATCACACGGCCAAAGCAGAACAAAGAGAGAGAAAAGGGAAGTGCCATACACTTTTAAACAACCAGATCTTGCGCAAATTCACTCACTATCATGAAAACAGCAAGGAGGAAATCCACTCCCATGATGCAATCAATCACCTCCCACCAGGTTCCTCCCCCAACACTGGGGATTACAATTGAACATGAGATTTGGGTGGGGACACAGAGCCAAACCATATCACTGGATAATATCAAATGACCTGTCTCTGAGCTTTGCTGATTGTTTCTTCTACTTGATCAAGTCACTGTTGAAGCTGTTCATGAAATGTTTCAACTGAATCCTTGTGCTTTTTAGCTCCAAATTTCTATTTGGTTCTTTTTTATGGTTTCTCACTTTATAAAACTTCTCATTTTATTCACATATTGTTTCCTTGACTTCATTTTCTTGTCTATCTGCATTCTGTTATAGCTCATTGAGTTTTTAATAATACCTGTTTTGAATTCTTTACCTCACAGTTAATAGCTCTCCATTTCTATAGGGTCAGTTTGTGATTCTTTGTTTTGTTCTTTTGGTGGTGTCATGGTTTCCTTGCTTATTCATAATTTTTGAGGCCTTGCATTGGTGTCTATACATTTGAGAAAGTAGACACTTCTTTCAGTCTTTATCCATTAGCTTTGGCAGGAAAAGCTATTTGCCAATCAGTGTATCCAAGCATTCTAGGTGGGCTGGCCATTGAGGTCCACTGGCTAGCTTGCTGCTGGAGTCCTTGGGCAGGCTGGGCTGGTGCTTGGATCCATGTGGGTGGACTTTAGAGTCTCAGTTCATGGATGTGGACCTGGGTTCTGGGTTCACAGGTGCCAAGTTAGTGCTTGGGGCTGTGTGAGCCAACCTGAAGCTTAAGACTGTAGGGACTGGCCTAACACTGGGCTATCTAGAAGCGTGAGTCTGCAAGGGTGGGCATGGGTTCTTGTTCCACAAGCTCTGGCCTGGAATCACAGTTCACAGGTGCAAGCCTGGTTCCTGGGACTGCAGGGGCTGGCATCGCACTGGAATTTACTTCTTCAGCAATGGGTAATTTTTTATTTTTCCTTTGTGCTACATTTTAAGTTACATCAGAACCAGTGAGGTAAGAGTCACTGGCATACTTCATATAAGTAATAAGGAAAATATTTTTCATGGCAACACATCTCTGTTACTATTCTGAAACAGTTCATCATCAGAAAGAAAGCCTATTAAGTTAATCATTGATCTTCCCAATCTTCTTAAATACAAATCAACCTGTGAAAGGACATACGTATTATCCCAACACCTCTGCATGAAAGAATCAATCTGATGTTCTCAGATTTTTTTAATGCACACAATAAGGTAGCTCTGAATAGGAAGCAACATGGTGTGGTGAGAACATAAGCCTTATAGTTATAAAAATTCCAACTGAAATTGGTTTTCTGTTTTGTGCTCCTGGGAAAGCCATTTTACTGTAAGTTTCATTATCTATAATGATATTAGTATTCACCTTTCTGAATTCATATAATAAGCATAGATAATATATTTGAATCATGTAGCCCATTTACATATACAATAAATTATTTAATGTGGTTTTGTTGATATTATCATTAGTTTATTAAATCCCAGTCCTAGATAGACACCATGGTGGAAAAATCTAATTAGATCTACTCAATTCCTCTCCATTTATTACTGTAACCACAAAACAACAAAAAAGGAGTCCTATTTGACTTCGAGTTTATCTGTTCTGGCAGAGCATACATTCATCAGGCTATTGGGCTAAGTTTCTAGGCACAGCGTTTGCTATATAATAAGCAGTCAAAAAATACTTGTTATATGTTGAATGTATGCTACGTGATAAATTTTCCTCAAGGTTCACATTCAAAAAGTCACTTAAAATCGGCAAGTTAAAGATTATTATCATAAAACAATAACTTTTTTTAACTTTTAAGTTCAGGGATACAAGTGAAGGTTTGTTACATAGATAAACTTGTGTCATGGGGTTTTTTTGTATAGATTATTTCATCACATAGATATTAAGCCAGGCTAGTACCCATTATTGTTTTTCCTGATTCTCTCCCTCCTCACACCCTCAGCCCTCCGAAAAAAACCCAGTGTGTGTTGTTCTCCTCTATGTGTCCGTGTCTTGTCTTCTCATCATTTAGCTCTGACTTACAAATGAAAACATGTGGTATTTGGCTTTCTCTTCTTGTGTTAGTTTACTAAGGATAATGGCCTCCAGCTCCATTCATGTCCCCGCAAAGGACATGATCTCACTCTTCTTTATGGTTGCATAGTATTCCATGGTGTCTATGTACCACATTTTCTTTATCCAGTCTATCATTGATGGACATTTATGTTGATTCCATGTCTTTGCTACTTTGAATAGTACTGCAATGAACATACACGGCATGTGTCTTTGTAATAGAATGATTTCTATTTCTTTGGGTACATACCCAGTAATGGGATTGTTGGGTCAAATGGTATTTCTGGGTTTAGGTCTTTGAGGAATCACCACACTGTCTACTAAAATGGCTGAACTAATTTACAATCTCATTAAGAGTGTATAAACATTCCTTTTTCTCCAAAACCTCACCAGCATCTGTTATTTTTTGACTTTTTAATAGTAGCCATTCTGACCGGTGTTAGATGGTATCTCATTGTGGTTTTGATTTGCATTTCTCTAATAATCAGTGATGTTGAACTTTTGTTCATATGATTGTTGGCTGTATGCATATCTTCTTTTGAAAAATGTTCACGTCCCTTGCTCACTTTTGTATAAAATTGTTTGGTTTTATTTTTTCTTGTAAATTTGTTTAAGTTTCTCATAGATGCTGGATATTAGACCTTTGTTGGATGCATGGTTTGCAAAAATATTCTCCTATTCTATAGGTTGTCTGTTTACTCTGTTGATAATTGCTCTTTATAGAAGTTCTTAAGTTTATTCAATCCCATTTGTCAATTTTTGTTTTTGTTGCAATTGCTTTTGGCATCTTTGTCATGAAATCTTTGCCCATGCCAATGTCCTGAATGGTATTGCCTAGGTTGTCTTCCAGGGTTTTTATAATTTGGGGCTTTACATTTAGGTCTTTAATCCATCTTGTGTTAATTTTTGTATATGGCATAAACAAGGGATTCAGTCTCGATCTGCATATCACTAGCCAGTTATCCCAGCACCATTTATTGAATAGGGAATCCTTTCCCCATTGCTTTTTTTTTTTTTTTTTTGTCATGTTTGTCAAAGATCGGATAGTTGCATGTGTGCAGTCTTATTTCTGGGCCCTCTATCCTGTTCCTTTGGTCTATGTGTCTGTTCTTGTACCAGTACCATGCTGTTTTGGTTACTGGAGCCCTGCAGTATAGTTTGGAGTCAGGTAGCACGATACCTCCAGCTTTTAAAAGCAATAACTTTTGCTCTTAAGGAGCACCAATTTCATCTAAGTTTACCTGGACTCAATCCTCACATTGCACTAGAGCTTCTCAAAAACCAATGTTGCATTAATGACACTTTGCTTTTAATTGTGTTTTTTAGTGACTGGAAGTCCTCTGGATATAGAAGACTAAGAATGGAATGCAGAAGATATATAAAATGTGATTGGATTTTCTCTTGCCCCAAATTCAAATTCATGCACTTCCAAATAGTCATTCTCCTTCACATAACAACTGGCTTCATTTTTTAAGTTTGAAGTCTTCAAAGAGGAAACAATGTACAAAATATGTGATAGCTGGCAACATAGACTAGGATCAAATTTTAGTCTGTGGATTTTATTTTCCCTCATTCTCTATGTACTCTTTATGCCCCTTGTTTTCATGTCCCAATGTAAAGCCCTAAGATGTGCATCATTCACTATATCCATTCTATTTTATCACAGTTCTGTCATTTTCCTAGGCTTAACATTCTCATCAGCATTATTTGAGGACTGTGACAAACAAACAAAAAAAAAACCCAGATACAGAAATTCTGGAGCATTCTTAATGTGGATTTCAACAAGAACAGTTTTTAAATCCCTGTAGCATGACTGCCATCTAGAGAAGACTAGAGATATTGAAATTAACCAAGCTAATCAAGTATCTTTATGGGATTACTTTTTTCTAACCCTTTGATAAAAGCCATAAAGAAAGACATTTCAAACAAGAAATGTAGAAAATACTTAAATGTTGTATGGTGCCTTCAGACGGGGCCATTAATCTGTTTTTCACAAAACAATATTTAGAAATTGTATTCTGTTTCTAAGGAGAAATGATGTTATTAGTGATAGCAATCTGCTTGCCTTTGAATTTATTTTATGGATTCCTTATGAAAATATACATCAAGGAAATGTAGTTATTATAGCTGCACATTTGCAAAACTGTAATTAAAACTAGATACTTGTTCCAATTAAATTCTCCAGATTGTGGTTTCTTTCCTTCTGCCATATGAGGTTTCATCTTAAAACAGATTTCTGAACCTCTCTATGATGTTCTTATTATATTAATACTGATATTACTAGACAATAAATTTCTCCAGCTTTGTAAAGTGCCCTTTTAGCAATCATATCATTCTGTGGCTTAAAAAAATAAAGGTAGACATGAGGAATTTAAAACATAATTTTAAATGTTTAAATATGGTTTCTGTTAGAAAACAACCCTAAGTTTCCTTTGTTTATATGTATCACATATGTTGATTTCCACTGACTTCTACTACCAAGAAATCTAAAAGACTTGATGGAGTTCATTGTCTTTCACATTACTCTAGGAATTGTCTGTTACTCAAGTATCAAGGAGTCAAAACTTGAGCTTATTAAAATCCTCAATCATTTCCAAAGCAGGATTTTCCTTTGTCACCATTTGCAAATAATAGTGATAGGAGTGTTAAATTCAGAAAATTGGTAAAACCGAAATATAATGGGGTAAATACAGAGAATAGTTAACATCTTAAGACTCTATATAGTTGGACATGATGGCTAACGCCTGTAATCCCATCACTTTTGGAGGCTGAGGCAGATGGATTGCTTGAGCCCAGAAGTACGAGACAAGACTGAGCAACATGGTGAAACAAAAAAAAAACTACAAAAATTAGTGGGACATGATGGTGCATGCCAGTAGTCCCAGCTACTCGGGAGACTGAGGCAGGAGGATCACCTGAGCCCAGGGAAGTCAAAGCTGCAGTGAGCTGTGATGGCATCACTGCACTTCAGCTTGGGTGACAGACTGAGATCCTGCCTCAAAAAAATAAACAAAACAAACAAAAAAAACTGTATACTGGGACAAAGAGGCAAAGGATATGAAGGATTTATAGAATATTAATTGAAACCCACAGACTAAATTTCATCTCATTCCATGTTGCCAGGTATCACATTTTTGTTCACTATACCCTCTTTGAAAATTTTATGTTTAAAATTGAGACCAGATGAGCTTATGTGAAAGAGAATTATTATTTGGAAGCATATAGTAGCAAATTTGTGGGAAGAGGAAATCAATAAACTGTGTGTATTTTATTCCTAGTTTCCTTATTCAAAATACTTTAAACTATTTTAAAATATGATTACAAGGAAAGTTATTAAAGTAACATTAGCTCTGAAAAATTCAAGTGTGAGATTACTTATTTTTAGAAGAGTCCAGGTAAGTAAACATAGGTGAAGTCTGAGTACTTCCAATAGGGATCAGAAAAATTTTTCTTAAAGGTCCAGACAGTAACT
Source organism: Homo sapiens (assembly GCF_000001405.40). Taxonomy (NCBI): domain Eukaryota; kingdom Metazoa; phylum Chordata; class Mammalia; order Primates; family Hominidae; genus Homo; species Homo sapiens. The sequence continues at coordinate 170,197,281 of NC_000004.12, read as the reverse complement.
ATCTTTGGCTTTCCAGACAGTATAGTCAAAACTACTAAATTGCCAGGGTAGCATGAAAGTCACTACTGACAATATCAACATATGGGTGTGGCTCTGTTCCAATAAAACAAATTTATAGAAACAGGCAGCTGCAGTTTGCCACCTATTGTGTTGGAACAAGAACTTTTAGAAATGTCAGGCAACCCACTTTGGGTCCCCTCCCATTTTATGGGAGCTCTGTTTTCACTCTATTAAACCTTGCAACTGCACACTCTTCTGGCCAGTGTTTGTTACAGCTCAAGCTTTTGCTCACCATCCACCACTGCTGTTTGCCGCTGTTGCAGACCCACCACTGACTTCCACCCTCCAGATCTGGCAGGGTGTCCACTGTGCTCCTGATCCAGTGAGGCACCCATTGCCACTCCCATTCGGGCTAAAGGTTCATCATTGTTCCTGCATGGCTAAGTGCCCTGGTTCATCCTAATCAGTTCATCCTAATCGAGCTGAATACTAGTCACTATGTTCCATGGATCTCTTCTGTGACCCACGGCTTCTAATAGAGCTATAACACTCACCGCATGGCCCAAAATTCCATTCCTTGGAATCCGTGAGGCCAAGAACTCCAGGTCAGAGAACAAGAGGCTTGCCGCCATCTTGGAAGTGGCCCACCACCATCTTGGGAGCTCTAAGAACAAGGACCACCCCCCTGGTAACATTTTGGTGACCACAAAGGGACTTCCAAAGTGGTGGGTAATACGGGACCACTTTCATTTGCTATTCTGTCCTATCCTTCCTCAGAATTGGAGGAAAATACCGGCACCTGTCAGCTAGTTAAAAACAATTAGTGTGGCCACCGGACTTAAGACCCAGGTGTGAGGCTCTCTGGGAAAGGGCTTTCTAACAACCCCCAACCCTTCTGGGTTGGGAGCGTTGGTCTGCCTGGAACCAGCTTCCACTTTCAATTTTCCTGGGGAAGCTGAGGGCCGACTAGAGGCAGAAAGCTGTCATCCCGAACTCCTCCCATTAGCTGGTTGAGATCGTGGCGCAGCCAGAAGTCTCTACTCAACAGTCGCCCATGCATGCAACCCTTTCCTTCTGACCCATACCTCCTGGGCCCCAACCATGACTTTTTTGAAAGTGTAGCCCGAAAATTCTCCGTACCTCTGAATCTACTTCCTCTGATCCCTGCCTCCTAGGTACTAATGGTTCAGACTTTCATTTCCTCTCCTAAGTATTAGAGCAAGTTGTATCTCCCAAGGGATCTAAAGAAGCTCTATGCTCTGTCCCTAGGCATCTAGGCTATGAACCCAGGGAATCTTGTCCCTGGTGTCTCTCCCAATTTAGGCATGCAGCTCTCGACATGGGCAGTTATATGGGACCTGTTCCCCACCACCCTTGCCAGGGCCCCAAGTTTGTAAATGGCTAGGAGGATTGCTCTCCCATTGTGTAAGATGCTCTCCTCCCCTGATTTCTACCCAGCTTACCCCTCAGCAATACAATCTCCAAGCCTTGGCTCCTTGGCCAGGGCCTTAGAACTGATGGCCCAGTACTTTAACAACTGGAAATGGGTCTATGACAACATAATAGATCAGGATGAAAGTGAATTGAGTAAGTCAAGGAGAGAAGAGATAGAGAGAGAGAGAGAGAGAGAGACATAGAGAGAAAAGAGAAGGAGAGAGAGAAAAAGAGATAGAGTAGTAAAGAAAAAACAGTGTGCCCTATTCTTTTAAAAGCCGGGGTAAATTTAAAACCTATAATTGATAATTGAAGGTCATCTCCATGACCCTGTAACACTCCAATACTACCTTGTCAGTGTAAACAATGGCATAGCCTGAAAACACTGAAACCACTGACAACCAGTAGCCTTCCTATCAAAAATCCTTAACCCAGGAACCAGCAGATGGCCCAAATGCATTCAATCTGTAGTGGCAACTGCTTTGCTAAAGGAACAAAGTAGAAAAGTAACTTTTAGAGGAAACCTCATTGTGAGCACACCTCACCAGTTCAAAATTATTCTAAGTCAAAAAAGCAAAAAGGTAGCTTACTAACTCAAAAATCTTAAAGTATGGGGCTGTTCTGTTAGAAAAAGGTGATTTTACATTAACCACTGAAAAATCCCTTAACCTAGCAGATTTCCTAACAGGGGATTTAAATCTTAATTACCATAGAAAGGTACGACCAGACCTAAGAGGAACTCCCTTCAGGACAGGAAGATACATGGCTCCTCCCAGTGATTGAGAAAAAAAACCACAATGGGTATTCAGTAATTGATAGGGAGACTCTTGTGGAAACAGAGTTAGGAAAATTGCGTAATAATTGGTCTGCTCAAATGTGCAAGCTGTTTGCACTCAGCCAAGCCTTAAAGTACTTACAGAATCAAAAAACTCTATCTCAATCCTTACTCAATCCTTACTCAAAATCCTTACTACACCCTCTCTGAAACAAATTTGCATAAGAACTGTTGTTTATGGGAATGCATACTGATAGGGCAGCTGGGTTGTTATGAAATACTCAGGAACACAGCCCAGCTCTAGAACTCACCCCTGAGTGCAAAGGCAATGTTGGGCAAGCTGGTAAAGGACCACTAGAATCCAGCAGCCTAGACCCCTTTCTTTGTGGTCCAGAAAGGCGGGAAAACATGTGCAGGACTGCTACATCAGTGAGTGTAAGTAATCCAATAAGCAGAGGTCCATGGGTGGTTATGCACCCTGGAAAGAAATAAGCATTAGGACCATAGAGGATGCTCTAGGACTAATGCTCATTGGAAAATGACTAGGGGTGCTGGCATCCCTATGTTTTTTTTTTTTTTTTCAGATGGGAAACATTCTCCCTTTGGCAAAAATGCCCCTAAGATGTATTCTGGAGAATTCGGCCCAGTCAGAGTGCATGTACCTTTTTCCCTGTCAGACTTAAAGCAAATTAAAATAGACCTAGGTAAATTCTCAAACAACCCTGATGGCTATATTGATGTTTTACAAGAGTTAGGACAATCCTTGAATCTGACATGGAGAGATATAATGTTACTGCTAGATCAGACACTAACCCCAAATGAGAGAAGTGCCACCATAACTGCAGCCCGAGAGTTTGGCGATCTCTGGTGTCTCAGTCAGGTCAATGATAGGATGACAACAGAGGAAAGAGAACAATTCCCCACAGGCCAGCAGGTAGTTCCCAGTGTAAACCCTCGTTGGAATGCAGAATCAGAACAAGGAGATTGGTGCTGCAGACATTTGCTAACTTGCGTGCTAGAAGGACTAACAAAAACTAGGAAGAAGCCTGTGAGTTATTCAATGATGTCCACTATAACACAGGGAAAGGAAGAAAATCCTACTGCCTTTCTGGACAGGCTAAGGGAGGCATTAAGGAAGCATACCTCTCTGTCACCTGACTCTATTGAAGGCCAACTAATTTTAAAGGATAAGTTTATCACTCAGTCAGCGGCAGACGTTTAAAAAAACTTCAAAAGTCTGCCTTAGGCCTGGAGCAAAACTTAAAAACCCTATTGAACTTGGCAACCTGGGTTTTTTATAATAGAGATCAGGAGGAGCAGGTGGAACAGGACAAACGAGATAAAAAAAAAAAAAGGCCACTGCTTTAGTCATGGCCCTCAGGCAAGCAGACTTTGGAGGCTCTGGAACATGGAAAGCCTGAGCAAATCGAATGCTTAAGGGCTTGCTTCCAGTACAGTCTACAAGGACACTTTAAAAAAGATTGTTTGAATAGCAATAAGCCACCGTCTCGTCCATGCCCCTTATGTCAAGGGAATCAGTTGGAGGCCCACTTCCCCAGGGGATGAAGGTCCTCTGAGTCAGAAGCCACTAACCAGATGATCCAGCAGTAGGACTGAGGGTGCCTGGTGCAAGTGCCAGCCCATGCCATCACCCTCACAGAGACCCAGGTATGCTTGACCATTGAGGGCCAGAAGGTTAACTGTCTCCTGGACACTGGCTCAGCCTTCTCAGTCTTACTCTCCTGTCCCAGACAACTGTCCTCCCAATCTATCACTATCCAAGGGATCCTAGGACAGCCAGTCACTAGATACTTCTCCCAGCCACTAAGTTGTGACTGCGGAACTTTACTCTTTTCACATGCTTTTCTAATTATGCCTGAAAGCCCCAATCCCTTGTTAGGGAGACACATTCTAGCAAAAGAAGGGGCTGTTATACACCTGAACATAGGAGAAGCAACAACTGTTTGTTGTCCCCTGCTTGAGGAAGGAATTAATCCTGAAGTCTGGACAACAGAAGGACAATATGGATGAGTAAAGAATGCCCATCCTGTTCAAGTTAAACTAAAGGATTCTGCCTCCTTTCCCTACCAAAGGCAGTACCCCCTTAGACCCGAGGCCCAACAAGGACTCCAAAAGATTGTTAAGGACCTAAAAGCCCAAGGCCTAGTAAAACCATGCAATAGCCCTTGCAATACTCCAATTTTAGGAGTACAGAAACCCAATGGACAGTGGAGGTTAGTACACGATCTCAGGATTATCAATGAGGCCATCGTCCCTCCATTCCCAGCTGTACCTAACCTTTATACTCTGCTTCCCCAAATACCAGAGGAAGCAGAGAAGTTTACAGTCCTGGACCTTAAGGATGCCTTTTTCTGCATCCCCGTACATCCTGACTCTCAATTCTTGTTTGCCTTTGAAGATCCTTTGAACCCAACGTCTCAACTCACCTGGACTGTTTTACCCCAAGGGTTCAGGGATAGCCCCCATCTACTTGGCAAGGCATTAGTCCAAGACTTGAGCCAGTTCTCATATCTGGACACTCTTGTCCTTTGGTACATGGATGATTTATTTTTAGCCACCCGTTCAGAAACCTTGTGCCATCAAGCCACCCAAGCGCTCTTAAATTTCCTCGCCACCTGTGGCTACAAGGTTTCCAAACCAAAGGCTCAGCTCTGCTCACAGCAGGTTAAATACTTAGGGCTAAAATTATCCAAAGGCACCAGAGCCCTCAGTAAGGAATGTGTCCAGCCTATACTGGCTTATCCTCATCCCAAAACCCTAAAGCAACTAAGAGGGTTCCTTGGCATAACAGGCTTCTGCCATATATGGATTCCCAGGTACAGCGAAATAGCCAGGCCATTATATACACTAATTAAGGAAACTCAGAAAGCCAATACCCATTTAGTAAGATCGACATCTGAAGCAGAAGTGGCTTTCCAGGCCCTAAAGAAGGCCCTAACCCAAGCCCCAGTATTAAGCTTGACAACAGGGTAAGACTTTTCTTTATATGTCACAGACAAAACAGAAATAGCTCTAGGAGTCCTTACACAGGTTCGAGGAACCAGCTTGCAACCCATGGCATACCTAAGTAAGGAAATTGATGTAGTGGCAAAGGGTCGGCCTCATTGTTTATGGCTAGTGGCGGCAGTAGCAGTCTTAGTATCTGAAGCAGTTAAAATAATACAGGGAAGAGATCTTACTGTGTGGACATCTCATGATGTAAATGGAATACTCACTGCTAAAGGAGACTTGTGGCTGTCAGACAACCATTTGCTTAAATATCAGGCTCTATTACTTAAAGGGCCTGTGCTGTGACTGCACACTTGTGCAACTCTTAACCCAGCCACATTTCTTCCAAACAATAAAGACAGAACATAACTGTCAACAGGTGATTGCTCAAACCTACGCCATTGAGGAGAACTTCTAGAGGTTCCCTTGACTGATCCCTACCTCAACTTGTATACTAATGGAAGTTTCTTTGTAGAAAAAGGACTTCAAAAAGCGGGGTATGCAGTGGTCAGTAATAATGGAATACTTGAAAGTAATCCCCTTACTCCAGGAACTAGTGCTCAGTTGGCAGAATAGCCCTCACTCGGGCACTAGAATTAGGAGAAGAAAAAAGGGTAAATATGTATATAGACTCTAAGTATGCTTACCTAGTCCTCCATGTCCACGCAGCAATATGGAGAGAAAGGGAATTCCTAACTTCCGAGAAAACACCTACCAAACATCAGGAGGCCATTAGGAGACAATTCTTGGCTGTACAGAAACCTAAAGAGGTGGCAGTCTTACACTGCTGGGGTCATCAGAAAGGAAAGGAAAGAAAATAGAAGGAAAACGCCAAGTGGATATTGAAGCCAAAAGAGCCACAAGGTGGGACCCTCCATTAGAAAAACTTATAGAAGGACCCCTAGTATGGGATAATCCCCTCCGGGAAACCAAGCCACAGTACTCAGCAGAAGAAATAGAATGGGGAAACTCACAAGGACATAGTTTCCTCCCCTCAGGATGGCTAGCCACAGAAGAATGAAAAATACTTTTGCCTGCAGCTAACCAATGGAAATTACTTAAAACCCTTCACCAAAACTTTCACTCTCACTGCACCTCCTCCATGCTGCTGTACTACCAGTAGCTCCCCTTACCAAGATCTTCTATGGAGAATACGGCTTCCCAGAAATATTGATGCCCCATCGTATAGGAGTTTTTCTAAAGGAACCCCCACTTTCACCGCCCACACCCACATGCCCCTGCACTTCAGGCCATACATTTCAATCCCTGTATCTTTAACCTCCTTGTTAAGTTTGTCTCTTCCAGAATCGAAGCTGTAAAACTACAAATCGTTCTTCAAATGGACCCCCAGATGCAGTCCACGACTAAGATCTACTGCGGACCCCTGGATCAGCCTGCTAGCCTATGCTCCAATGTTAATGACATTGAAGGCACTCCTCTCCAGGAAATCTCAACTGCACAACCCCTACTATGCCCCAATTCAGCAGCAAGCAGTTAAGAGCAGTCATCAGCCAACCTCCCCAACAGCTCTTGGGTTTTTCTGTTGAGAGGGGGAACTGAGAGACAGGACTAGCTGGATTTCCTAGGCTGACTAAGAATTCCTAAGCCTAGCTGAGAAAGGTGACCACACCCACCTTGTAAAACTCAGCTCACACCCAACCAATCAGGTAGTAAAGAGGGCTCACTAAAATACAAATTAGGCTAAATCATGAGGTAAAGAAATAGTCAAATCCTATATCGCCTGAGAGCACAGCAGGAGGGACAATGATCAGGATATAAACCTAGGCATTTGAGCAGGGAGCGGCAACCCCCTTTGGGTCCCCTCCCATTTTATGGGAGTTCTGTTTTCACTCTATTAAATCTTGCAACTGAAAAAAAAACAAAAAGAACTTTTAGAAATGTCAATGAGATAGTGAACTAGGAGATCCCAGCCTTGGACCCCCCAACAAAGAACAAATACTGTACCACTATGCTAACAAAAATAACTGAAAAAAATTCAGGAGTCCATTTGAGAAGCGACAGCTATACAGTGAGAGAAGAGAAACCTGAGAATAACCACACAAATGCATAATTACAATAGTTTTATTTTACCTGCATCTCCCCCTCTCCCATGTCAGCATTGCTAAGTATGGAGAAAGAATTCTCTGGTTCACAAGTCCCCTTCTCAGAGAAAAGAAGAGTGGGTGAACAACCAGTTCATTCAGCCTTTTGAAACACTTCAAGTGACCAGCTTTAGGCCAGGCATGGTGCCTGACACTTGTAATCTCAGCACTTTGGGAGGCCAAGGTGGGAGAATCACTTGAGACCAGGAGTTCAAGACCAGCCTGGCCAACATAATGAGACCCCTACAAAAAATTAAAAAATTAGCTGAGTATGATGGCACACACTTGTAGTTGTATCTACTTGGGAAGCAGAGGTGGGAAGATCACTTGAATCCAGGAGGTCAAAGTTGCAGTGAGCTATGATTGCCCCACTGTACTTAGGCCTATATGACATGGCAGAGTGAGACCCTATCTCAAAAAAAAAAAAAAACAGCTTTATTTTTACCCCTCCCAGATTACTAGGAAGACTGGCATAGCAAAGATGTCTGGAGACAGCTAGAAACAAAGAAGGAAAAGGGGGTTATTAGTGTCACCCACACAATGGGAGTCACCACAGTTCCCAGTGGACTCCTCTGCACAGGACTCAAGCAGCTTTCTTTGCTGAGGATCTCAGCTGCTGTCATGGCTGCTGTGTACTTTCTGTAGTTTTTATCACCAAGGACCCCACAGCGTTTACTGTTGCAGACCCTGGAAGCTTGCTTAACAAGGAACACCAGCAACTTTCACCAGTGAGAAAACCAACAGCCAGCACAGCCACAGCGGACCCCTTTCAACTTTTTCCACCAAGAACTAAGAATATTTTGCAGTGTCCAGGTTCCTGAGATACAATCCCCTTCTGTCTTCCTCCTTCCCAACACTGAAGCTGCCCCAGCTACTGCTGACATGGGCTTCCCAGTCCAAGGATCTAACACATACACCATATACATGCTCACAAATAATCTCCAGGACTCCACCACAGTCCCCAAACCCATCATTCTGTTCATGTCCACAAATGACCCCTACCTTTGGGCTTATGCATGCCACCAGTCACAGCCCCTACTAGTGAGTATGCATAAGCAGCATACCCTGAACTTGGACACAAACCTCCAACATGTTGCTTGTGATATGGCTGGAGGCATGCTAGAGCTAGGAAGCTGGTCCCTACAGTCATGCATCTACATGTCTCCAGCTCCAGTCCCTGCAGCTGTGTATATGCATAAAACTGTGTGACCCCTGTCACCCACCCTTACTGACACACACATGCCTATAGTTGGCCACTGCAGCTGCACACATGCTTGCAGCTGGCCTCTGCCCCAACAGCTGCATATAAGCACACAACCATTCTCGCCTACCAGTCCTCACCCTCATCACTGAGCTTGCATCTGGCCCTGCAGCCATGTGCCAGCATGCCACCAGCTCAGGCCCTGCAGCTGTGCAGACACTCACAGATGGCCTGGCCCCTATCACCAACCTGCTGCTTTCTCTTACAATCATATATACACACTGCTAGCTCTGACTTCCATAGCCATACACACACACACTGTTGGCCCCTGGTGTCATATGTGGACCCAGAGAAAGCTCCAACTCCTGCACCTAGCCCTGGCCCTTACCACTATGCATGTGCCTGCAACTGGCCCTGCATGGGCCTGTAGCCAGCTCCCACAGCAGAGTGTATGCACACTGTCAGCCCCAGCCCCCACTGTTGTCTGCCATGGCCCCTTGCTGCTGGACGAAGAGGCACCACTGAGGATCCTAACAACCCTCAGAGCCATGGCCAACCTGCACCAATTTGCCATCAAGAACTTTGTAGTTCCCAACGTTATGAACCCCAGCTACCTGAGCCAATAAGACACCATGACCCTCTCAGACCTGAAGACACCGAAAGCCTCCATACTTGGTTCCCCATACCACTAGACCCAGTGTAGCATGCTCCCGCCTACTCTTCCTCACCCCAAGTGAAGGTATTTTCTTACCAAAGCCAGTCTATAAAGTCTGGAGTAGGTGACTGCTTCTTCTAACGTGCAAAAAGCTGCTGAAGGCTACAAGGATTATGAATAATCAGGGAAACAACACCACTGAAGGAACACAATAAACTTCCTGAATTGCCTGAGAAAGAATTAAAATAATTGTTTTAAAGAAGCTCAGTGAGCTACAAGAGAACATGGATAATTTAATAAAATCAAGAAGAAAATACAAGAACAAAATTAGAAGACTGACAAAGAGACACAAAGCATAAAAAAGTGCCAAACTGAAATTTTGCAGGTGAAGAATCCAATAACTGAACTAAAAAAGCAATAGAGAGCTGCAATAGCAGATTAGATCAAGCAAAAGAGAAAATAAGCAAGTTCAAAGACAGATTATTTGAAATCATCCTGTCAAAGGAGAAAAAGAAATGAAAAGCAATGAAGAAATCTTATGTAAATCTATGGGACACCATGGGACACCATCAAAGGAACTAATATTCTAATTATAGGAGTTTCAAAGGAGAAGAGAATGAGAAAAGAATAGAAGCTGTATTTCAAAATAATGCCTGAAAACTTCTCAAATCAGAGGAAGATATGAATATCTAGGTATAGAAAGCTCAAAAGTCTCCAGTCAGATTCAAGCCAAAGAAGACTTCACTTAGACCCATTATAATTAAGTGGTCAAAAATCAAGGACGAGAGAATTTTGGAAGCAACAAGAGAAAAAAAAAACATTACACGCAAGAGAATCTTAATAAGGCTATCAGTGGATTTCTCCACAAAAACTTCGCAAGCCAGGAGAAAGTGAGGTGATAACTCAAAGTGCTAAAACCAAAAAATACTAACCAAATATATCTTACCTGGCAAAGTTGCCCTTCAGAATTGAAGGAGAAATAAACACTTCCCAGAAAAACAAAAGCTGATGTAGTTCATCACCACTAGACCTGCCTGACAAGAAATACTAAAGAAAGTTCTTCCAGCTGAAATGAAAGACCACTAATTATAACATGAAAACATAAAAGTATAAAACTCACAGGTAAAAGTACATGGTCCAATTTAGAATACTCTAATACTATAATGGTAGTGTATAGATCACTTATAACTCTAGGATAATCATTAAAAGACAAAAGCATTAAAAAGAATTGTAACTGCAATAACTTGTTAATGGATACACAGTATAAAAAATTAAATGTGATATCAAAAATATAAGGGAGAATAAAAAGTGAAGAGCTTTTGCATGCAATTAAAGTTAATTTGTTACAAGCTTAAAATAGACTTGTATAACTGTAAGATACATAGGCCTCACGGTAGCCACAAAATAAAAACATAAACACACAAAAGATAAAGAGAAAGGAATTAAACCATACCACTATAGAAACCATCAAATCACAAAGAAAAACAGCGAAAGCAGAAAAAAGTAACAAAGGACCTATAAAACATTTTTTTAAAAAAGACAAAATGTTGATAGTAAGTCCTTACCTATCAATACAGTCAGCCCTCCATATCCATGGGTTTCACATCTGTGGATTCAACCAAGCAAAGATAGAAAATATTTGGGAAAAAAATTGGATGATTGTACTGAAAGGTACAGACTTTTTTCCTTGTCATTATTTCCTGAAAAATATACCTATAATAACTATTTACATAGCATTTACATTTCATTAGGTATTAGAGGTAATCTAAAGGTAAATGAAAGCCTACAAGAGAATGTGCCTAGGTTATATGCAAATGCTACAACATTTTAAATAAAGGACAGAGCATTTGTGAATTTTGGTATCTGCAGGAGGCCCGGGAACAAATACCCCACAAATACCGAGGGAGACTATACTTATTTCAAATGTAAACAGATTACATTTTCCCATCAAAAGACATAGTGTCTGAATGAATAGAAAAACAAAAAAACAAGACACTAATATGCAGACATACTTTAAGGACATGCATAGACTGAAAGTGAAGGGATGGAATACTATTTCATGCAAATGGAAATCAAAGAGAGCAGGAGTAGCTATACTTATATCAGGCAAAATAGACTTTAAGTCATAAACTGTAAAAAGAAGTCATAAACTGTACAAAGAAGACTATTATGTAATGATTAATAGGTTAATCTAATAAGAGGATATAACAATTGGAAATATATATGCATTCAAAATTGGAGCACCTGAATCAAACATACAAAATCAACACACAAAAAGTAGTTGAGTATCTATACACTACCAACAAACAATCTGAAGGAGAAATTAAGAAAAAATAGTATGAAAAAGAATAAAATACTTAGGAATAAATTTAACCAAGGAGATGAAAAGCCTCTACACTGAAAACTATAAAACCTTATGAAATAAATGGAATAATATACAAATAAATGGAAAGACAGCCTGTGTTCATGGATTAAAATAATTAATATTGTTAAAATATCCCACTACCCAAAGTGATTTACAGATTCAATGCGATCCCTATCAAAATTCCAGTGACTTTCTTACAAAAATAGAAAAAACAATCCTAAATTTATACAAAACAATGAAAGACCTCAAATAGCCAAAGTAATCTTGAGCAATAAGAACAAAACTGTAGGCATCACTACCTAATCTCAAAATGTACTACAAAGCTATAGTAATCAAAACAGCATGATACCGGCATTAAAAGCAGACATATATACTGATGAAACATAATAGAGAGCTCAGAACTAAATCCACACATTTATGGTCAAATGATTTTTGACGATGGTACCATGAATACACAATAGGGAAAGGACAGCCTCTTCAATAAATGGTGTTGGAAAAACTGTTTAGAGAAAAATTATATTGAATTCTTGTCTCACACCACATACAAAAATCAACACAAAATGGATTAAAGACTTAAATGTAAGACCTGAAATTGTGAAGCTACTAGAAGAAAATTTAGGGGAATAGCTTGACATAGGTCTGGACAGTGGTTTTTGCAAATGACCTCAAAGGATAAGCAACAAAAGTCAAATAGACATATGGGATTACATCAAACAGCAACGGAAACAATCAACAGAGTGAAGAGATAACCCACAGAGTAGGAAAAATATTTGCAAACCACATATCTGATAAAGAGTTAATATCTACAATATATAAAGAATTCAAACAACTCAATAGAAAGAAAAAGAAATCCAATTACAAAGTAAGCAAAGGAACTGAATAGACATTTCTAAAAAGAAGACATACAAATGGCCAACTAGTATATGGAAAAATGCTCCATATCTGTAATCAGCAGGAAAATGCAAATTAAAACAATGAGATATTATCACATGCCTCTTAATGTGGCTATTACCAAAAAGACAAAAAATAAGCATTAGCAAGGATGTGGAGGAAAGGGAGCCCTTACACACTCTTAATGGAAATATAAATTGATACAGCCATTGTACAAAACAGTATGAAGGTTTGTCAAAAAATTAAAAACAGAACTATTATGCAACAATCTTTCTCTGGGTATGTATCCAAAGAAAATAAAATCAGGATCTCAAACTGATGAATAAATGAAGAAAATGTAATAGATAGACAGACAATGAAATACAACTCAGTCTTTCAAAAGAAAGAAATTCTGTCATCTGTGACAAGATGAATGAACTTGGAGGACTTTATGCTAAGTGAAATAACCAGTCACAGAAAGACAAATACTACATGATCTCACTTATATGTATAATCCAAAAAAAATTGAACTCACAGAAATGGAGAGTATAATGGTGATTGCCAGAGACTGCCTAGAGAGGAAGAAATAGGGAGATGTTGATCAAAAGTTACTAAGTTTTAGACAGGAAGAATAAAATATGGAAATCTATTTAGAGCATGGTGACTATAGTTAATCATAATGTATTGCATACCTAAAAATTGTCAACAGAGTAGATCTTAAATATTCTCACCCCAAAAAAGTGATAAGTATGTGAGATGATAGATATGTTAATAAGCTTGATTTAATCGTTTTGTAATATCTACATATATGTTGTATTATGTTGTATACTGTAAATATATACCCTTTGTATGTGTCAATTTTACCTTAAAAAAGTTGGGGAGGAGAAAAAAGGAACCTTTATGTTATCCATTGTAAATGATTGTCAGAATATAAAGCCTAAATATTATTGGTTATTCAAGTGTCCAAGGAGTCAACACTTAATGTAGAGGAGACTAAGAGCAGCTGGTATAAATACTCCAGCTTCAATTAACTGGAAATGGTTTCCTCTTTCAATGCATCTATTACATCTTCTAACATTACCAAACTTAACATACTATCAGAAAAAAAGAACTTTTTCTCAGATAATGAAGAATTCAACCATTTGCTCACAAAGTCAGACCTACATACACACACACACACACACATACTAGTCTCAGAGCAGAAATGACAGCAGTAAGTGAAAGAGAAGTAAATTTGGGGTGGACAAGTCTTTTATGCATTGTATGTGTATCCCCAAGTCTGTTTTAGATTACTATTATTATCCTATGCCTGGATTCTATAGGAGTTATCAGATGCATTTTCATTTTAAAACTTAGCTTTTGCTTAACAATTGGTAGTCTCCCATAACTCATGCCTATAAAAAGGACCATAAAAAAAATCTGTGTAGTAAAACAACTGTGGTGTACTGGGAATTTCCATGTAACAACTTTTCATCCTGTACTTTCACAACTGTTAATATTATATGGAACACATAAAGAGTTAGGGTGTAGGGGAACAGAAAACAAGCAGAATCTGAGAAATTCTGCGTTAAGCAAGTAATGAATGTTTTTCAGAGTTTTTACAATGTGTTTTTCAGTCTCTTTTACTATCTCAGGAGCAGTAAGAAAATGTCTGATTCCCAGTTTAATAGATTATCAGTTTCACCTTTATTTTTTGTGTATTCTTTTCTGCAAAAACACTATTATAAATTTCTATAACCATTTATTTTCATTGTACTTTTTATTTCTACCTTTTAGTGACCAGTGTAGTGTGCAGAAAGAAAACAGAACTAAGGTAAATCCTTTCTCCTATTCTAACCAGTCTTGTGACATTAGGGGGTGTTACTTAAATACCCTGAGACTCAGTTTTCTTGTTATCAAAGAAAGAAAATAGTAAGTATATCATGAGGTTATTGTTAAGTTTAAGTGAAAACATTTGTGAGTGATCTTGAACACTGATCAATAAATGATAGTTTATTTCCTCTCTCTCCCCCAGTTCCCTCTCTAAGACAGACTGCTGAAGTTAGGATGTCCCACCTCCCTACAGTATCTGATGTTAGATTAGACACAGAGTAGGTACTTCGTAAATGTTTCTTAAGTGAGCAATGAGTTCTTAAATTTTCCTTTGTTATTGAAGATCTTACCATATTAAACTGCTATGAAGATGTGCCAAAAGCTAATCTCTTATTTTTGGGGGAAGAAAAACATGTTTCATAAATTCAAAACAAAAAAAAAACTACTCATAATATTCGTATGCAATACATAGAGTAAGCACTCAAATATTTGTTGAAAAATATTGACACGTAAGTGTATGAGCTGCATTAAGGACATACATTTGTGATATTTTACTCCACTCTTGAGAGAAATGATTTGACCCGCAATATTATCAAATCCATGGAATAACAAGGTACTTTATCATGAGGTTTTATTATGTACTATTGACTTCTATAATTCTCATCATGAGTCATCAGTCACATTTATAGATCGCCTAGCATTACCCAGAAAAGAATCTTCATGTCCAGTATTCCTGTCAAAACTGGCCTCACATTTTAATTTTTTAAACCATACAAAGTACTGCATGCTGAAAAGTTTGTGGAAATTCCACTCAGGGAACATCAAGGTTAAACATGACTAATGCGGAGGCATCCAGACAAAGAAGTTTTGATCAGAAGAAGAAATTAAAGTCAAGAGTCACCTGCAGAGGGTAAAAGTGGAAAGAGAATAAGACCTAACAGTTATTTAAAGGCAAAAAGAAAAGAAATAGACCCAGAGTTGTCGGAAATGTTTCTAAAAATTGCTAGCTGCAGGGCACATGGAAAGAGGAGCTAAGATGTCAATAAAAAATAAAGTGGAATTATGAAATAGCAAAGGAGTAGGTAAAAAGAAACCAATTAAACAAAAAATTCCACTTTTCTGTATCCATTCTGGCTTTAAGGGATAGGAACTACAAATTTTTTTTCTTTGCTTTGTTTTTTCTAGTTTTATAATACATTTACACATATAGAAAGAGTTGTTATGCTGGCTCAGAATTAAATTTCTATTACTTTTAAAACGTGAATTTTTCTCATGAAGAACAAACTTTTCAGCATGACTGCCTATTTTGGCTATCATATCATATATGATTTTGTAGAATATCAGCATGACAATAAAACAAAGGTCATACAAGTGTTATGAATATATTAATAGGTTTGCAGAATCTGTGTAGTTCATGCTATACAACATTCCTGATAAGTTATCAGTCTGGCCTTGGAAGCCAGATTTTTGCAAAAGTATCTATACTTACCAATAACTAAATATCCTTGGATCAGAATATTTATACATACATTAAAAGTACAATTTCCATTCTAGCTTGGAAAAAATCCTGTTTCCACATGTCCCTACCTATCTACAAGATATTGTACATTATATCTAAAGGACTCTGTAAAATCCTATCCTCTACCATCATTTTAAAAGTAACAATAGGAAGGGAGAACAGCTGCCCCAAAGAGGCCAGACAACTCCATGATGGCCTTGATTTGGATTTGCTACCAGCTTATACTCAACAGTAGTTTAAAGCATATCAATTCTCTGAGCAAAAACTTCATTGGATTCCCATTGTCTTTAGAATGAAGTAAAACTACTTATCCCAGTCATCATGGAATATCATGACTCCCTTTTCAAGTTTAATTTTCATCACTCCCTTCCTCATTTATTCTATGCCAATAAAAGGGAACTCTATAGTTTTCTATACATATGCTGATTTTTTCTCATTTTCATCTTTATTTTCATGCTGTGCCTTCCATTTCTTTCTTCTTCAACTCTTTCTTCAAAGCTCAGCTCAAATACAATTTTTCACACACACTCAAAATACTGTCTCTCATTTATTTGTATAATGGTTAATTTTATGTCAACTTGGCTAAGCCATGGTACCCAGTTTTTGGTTGAATACCAGTCTATATGTTGCCATAAAGGTATTCTTAGATGAAATTCATATCTAAATCAGTAGACTTTGAGTAAAGCAGATTACTCACTGTAATGAGAGTGGGTCTCACCCAGTCAGTTGAAGGTCTTAAAAGAAAAGACCAGCCGGGTGCAGTGGCTCACACCTGTAATCCTAGCACTTTGGTAGGTGGAGGCAGGTGGATCACTTGAGGTCAGGAGTTCAAGACCAGCCTGGCCAGTATGGTGAAACCCTGTCTCTACTAAAAATACAAAAATTAGCCAGGGGCAGGTGGGGTGGCACAGGTCTGTAATCCTAGCTACTCAGGAGGCTGAGGCAGGAGAATTTCTGGAACCCAGGAGGTGGAGGTTGCAGTGAGCCAAGATCATGCCACTGCACTCCAGCCTAGGCAACAGAGCAAGACTCTGTCTCAAAAAAGAAAGAAAGAAAGAAAAGAACAAGGTCTCCTGAGGGAAAAGAAATTCTGCTTCCAGATTACCTTCAAACTCAAGATTTCAACATCACCTCTATCCTGTGTCCCCAGAATCTGGCCTACCCTGCGGTTTTCAGATTGGCCAGGCCTCACAACTGCATTAGTTACCTCCTTAAAAATCTCCCCTCGTCAATCTCTTTCTGTGTGTGTGTGTGTGTGTCTGTGTGTGTGTGTGTAAACACACACATAATTTTTCTACTAGACTATAAGCCCCTCAAAAGCAATTATCTTTCTATACATCAAAGAGCAATGCTTTAAAAACAGACTGAGTTTGAAGTGATATCAGAAAGATGGCAGAATAAAAGGACTCAGCTCTATCCTCCAAAAGAAACACTAATTTAATGACTATCCACACATTTGTGGATGAAAATATCTTTATGAGATCTTTGGAATCCAAGTGAAGATTAGAGCACCTTGATGGACCACAGAAATGAGAAAAGAAGCATTTAAAAAAGCAAGAGAATGGTTTTACTTTGTCTGTATCACCCCTCCCTCATGTTAGCACAGCGTAGTACTAAGAAAGATCCCCTCAGCCCACAAGTTCTCCTGTGAAGGAAACAGAGAGCAAAGTGAATGTTGGACATCTTCAGCATTTGGGGACACTATCTAAAAGGTCTGTTTCTGCAATGCCTCATTCAGAATATATTGAGGGAATTTTTACATCTAGATTATTGGGAGGATCTAATAAGAGTGGGGGTAGTTTTCCACACCCAGCACATGTTGAGACATCAATCCTGAGGCCCCAACAGCAAGTCCACTTGCCCACAGTCCCTGGCACCAAGCCTATTGCTTGCAGACCCTCCAACTGACTCAGAATCTCTGGCCAAGGTGACTGATAAGGTATTTTTCCTGCCAAATATAGGCTATAATAACTGCAGGAGGTGAAGGTCTCTTCAAATGCACAAAGTGACAAAGATCATGAAGACTCAGGGAAACTGGACACCATCAAAGGAACAAAATGAAGCTTCAGTAATAGACCCTAAATAAGTGGAGAGCTACAAATTCATGGAAAAAAAATTCAAGTAATTATCTTTTAAAAGTTCAGCAAACAAGAGAACAGAAGTAGACAACTAAAAGAAAACATAAACACAATACATAAAAGAAGATATTCAACAAAGAAAAAACATATTAAGAATACAATGAACTAAACATCTCAATAAAGTTTCAATAGCAGACTTGATCAAACAGAAGAAAAAAATCAGTGAACTCAAAAATAAGTCATTTGAAATGATCTAGTCAGAAGAATGGAAAGAATAAAACTAACAAAAACAAAGGAAGAAAACCTTCAGGACTTACAGTACATCTTAAAGTGAATCAATATTTGCATTATGGAAGTGCTACAAGGAGAAAAAGAGAAAGGAGCATAAGGCTTATTTTAAAAAATAATGACTAAAACACCCTTATCTAAGGAAGGAAATGAACATCTTGATACATGAAGCCCAAAGAACTCCAAATACATTGAACACGAAGGACTCTACACTAAAACATATTATAATTAAATTATCAAAAGTCAAAGACAAAGAGGGAATTTTTAAAGTGGTAAGAAAAAAACAACTCAATACATACAAGTGAACTTCCATAAGGCTATTGGCAGATTTCTTAGCAGAAACTTTGCAGGGCAGGAGAGTGTGATCATATATTCAAGGTGCTTAAAAGAACAAAAATTGCCAACCAAGAATACTATACCAGCCAAATTGTTTTTAAAAAATGATAGAGAGATAGAGACTTTCCCAGAGAGCAAAAACTGAAGGAGTTTGTCACCACTAAACTTGCCCTACAAGAAATGCTAAAGGAACATATTTAAGTTGAAACAACAGGATGTTAAACAACAAAATGAAAGCATATGAAAACATAAATCTCACCAGTAAAAGTAAATATATAGTCGAATTCAAAATACTGTAGTACTGTAATGTGGTTTGTAAATCACATTTAATTCTAGAATAAAAGTTAAAAGAAAAAAGCAGTAAGAATAAATTTAAAATGTTAGTGGATACACAATATTAAAAGATGTAGATTGTGGCATCATTAATATAAAGTATGTGGAGTGAGGAAAGAAGTAAAAGTATAGAATATTTGTGTGTGATTTATGTAAAGTTACTATCAACTTAAAATACAGTATTATAACTACAAGATGTTGAATGTAAACCTTATAATACCACACATAAAATACCTATAGTAGGTACACAAGAGAAAAAGTAAAAGGAATAAAAGCATAAAACTACAAAAAAATTAAAATTATAGAGGAAAATGAGAAAAATGAAAATAGGAACAACTGCAAAACAGACAAAAAGCAACTAACAAAATGGCAATAGTAAGTTCTTACTATCAATAATTACCTTAAACATAAATGGATTAAACTACCCAATCCAAACATATGCAGTAGCTGAATTGATCAAAAACACCAAGATTCTACTATATACTGTCTATAAACGACCCACTTTAGAATTAAGGACACACATAGGCTGAAACTAAAGGGTGGAAAAAGGTATTTCATGCAAGTGATCACCAAAATAAACCAGGAATAGCTATACTTATAGCAGCCAAAATAGAATTTAAGTCAAAAACTACCACAAAAGATCAAGAATGTCTTTATAGAAATTTAAAATGGTCAATTCAACAAGAAGATAACAAATATAAATATATATGCCCCCAACATCAGAGCATCTAAATATATAAAGCAAGCACTGACAGATCCAAAGGGATACATAGAAAAGACAATAGTAGTAGGGGACCTCAATACTTCACTTTCAATAATAGATTAAAATAATAGGTCAGACAGAAAATGTATAAGGAAACAGCAAACTTAAATAACACCATACAGCAGACTTAAAACCATAGACCAAGTGGACCTAATAGACACATACATTTCCCCATCAGAAGTAGAATACACATTCTTCTCATGCACACATGCAATATTCTCTAGGAAAAACCACATGCTAGGTCACAAAAAAATCTTAACAAATTTGAGAATATGAAAGTCATTCCACATCCAGGCAACACTGATGTAAGGGGTGGGATCCCAAGGCTTTAGGTAGCTCTGCCTAAAGAGTTTGTGGCTCTTCAGGGCACAACTCCTGCAGCTGCTTTAACAGGCTGGTGTTGAGTGCCTGTGGCTTTTCCAGGTACACAGTGCAAGTTGTCAGTGGGTCTACCAGTCTGAGGTCTGAAGGAGGGTGGCCCTCTTCTCACAGCTCCACTAGGCAGTGCCCAAGTGGGGACTCTGTGTTGGGGCTCTAACCTTACATTTCCCCTCTGCACTGTGTTAGTAGAGGTTCTCCATAAGGGCTCTGACCCTACAGCAGGATTCTGCCTGGACATCCAGGCATTTCCACAAATCCTCTGAAACCTTGGTGGAGTCTCCAAAGCCTCAACTCTTGCTGCCTGTGCACCCACAAACTTAACACCACATGGATGCCACCAAGGCTTATGGCTGGCACACATTCTGGAACAGTAGACTGAGACATATCTGGGTTCCTTTTAGCCATGGCTAGAGCAGGAGTGGCAGGGATGCTGGGAGCATTGTCCCAAAGTTGTGCAGGGTAGTGGGGCCATGGGCCCAGCCCATGAAACCATTCTTGCCTCCTAGCTCTCTGGGCCCGTGATGGGAGGAGCTGCTGAGAAGATCTCTCAAATGCCTTCAAGACATTTTCCCCACTGTCTTGGTTATTACCATTGCTCTCCTCTACTTACACAATTTATGCAGCTGGCTTGAATTCATCCCCAGAAAATGGGTTTTTCTTTTCTACCACATGGCTGGGTTGCAAATTTTCCAAACTTTTACTGGGACCACCTCAACCTGGACTTCATTGTCCATATCATTGTCAGCATTTTGGTCACCACAATTTAACAAATCTCTAGGAAGTTCCAAACATTCCCTCATATTCCTGCCTTCTGAGCCCTCCAAACTGTTCCAACCTTTGCCCATTACTCAGTTCCAAAGTTGCTTCCACATTTTGAAATATGTTTATGGCAATGCCCCACTTCTATGTACGAATTTTCTGTATTAGTCTCTTCTCACATTGCTATAAAGAACTACCTTAGACTGGGTAATGTATAAAGAAAACAGGTTTAATTGACTCACAGTTCCACAAGGCTGTACAGGAAGCATGGCTGGGGTGGCCTCAGGAAACTTACAATCATGGCAGAAGGCAAAGGGGAAGCAGGCATGTCTTACATGGCTGGAGAAGGAAGAACAGCAAAGGGGGAGGTGCTACACACTTTTAAACAATGAGATGTTGTAAGAACTCACTCACTGTCATGAGAACAGCAAGGGGGAAATCCACCCCCATGATCCAACCACCTCCCACCAAGCCCCTCCTCCAAAACTGGGGATTACAACTCAACATGAGATTTGGGTGGGGACACAAATCCAAACCATATTAAAACTCAAATGAAAACACAGAATACCAAAACTTATGAGATGCAGCAAAAGCAATACTAACAGGGAAGTTTATAGTGCTAAATATCTACATTTTAAGACAGGAAAAATCTCAAATAAACAATCTACTTTTATACCTCAAGGAAATAAAAAATAAGAAAAAACTAAGCGAAAATTATCAGACAGAAGGAAATAATTATGATTAGTGCAGAAACCAGTGAAATAGAGAATAGAAAAATAATAAGAAAGATTGGTAAAACTAACAGGTTTTTTAAAAAGATTTTTAAAAATCAACAAACATCTAGCTAGACAAAGAAAGAAAGGAGAAGACTCAAATAAATAAAATCAGAAATAACAAAGAAGACATTACAATTTATGCCACAGAAATAAAAAGGATCATAAGGGACTATTATACACCAACAAATTGTACAACCTGGAAACAATGTGTAAATTCCTAGAAACATATGACCTATCAATAATAAATCAAGAAGAAATAGAAAGACTGAAAAGATCAGTAACAAATAAGGAGAGTAAACAAGTAAAATTCTCCCAAAAAAGAAAAGCCCGGGGCCGGATTACTTCACAGGTGAATCTGACCACACATTTAAAGAACTAATACCAATGCTTTTTAGATTTTTAAAAAATATATTAAAAAGAATAGCACTTTTAAATTCATTTTATGAGGCCAGCATCACACTAACACCAAAATCAGATAAAGACAAAACAGAAAACTATAGGTCAATGTCCTTGATTAATATACATCCCAAAATCCTTAGCAAAATACTGGCAAAGTGTATTCAACAGCACGCTAAAAGGGTCATTCACTGTGATTAAATGTGATTTACTCCAGGGATGCAAAGATGATTCAACATACACAAATCAGTCAAGATAATACACATTAACAGAATGAAAGATAGAAGACACATGAGCATCTGACTACATGCAGAAAAAGCATTTTACAAAGCTTAACACAATTTTATTGTAAAAACTCTCAACAAATTAGGTATAGAAGAAGCTTGTCTCAACAAAATAAAAGCAAAATATGAAAAGTCTTTCGCTAACAACACAATGGTGAAAAACTGAAAGCTTTTCGTTTAACATCTGAAATGAGCTTAGGTTGTGCTCTCACCACTTCTATTCAATATAGCACTGGAAGTCTTTGAGCAATTAGGCAACAAAAAGAAATAAAAGACAACAAAATTTAAAAGGAAGAAGTAAAACAAAACAGTAAAACTGTTTGCCAATGACATAATCTTATATGTAAGAAACCCTGAAGTCTCCACAAAAAAAAAAAAGTAGAACTAATAAATTACATAGTTGCAGGATACAAAATCAACACACAAAAATCTGTTGTATTTCTATACAGTAACAATGAATTATCCTTAAAGGGAAATTAAATTTAAAAATCCCATTTATAATAGCATCAAAAAATAAACTTAACCAAGAACGTGAAACACTTATGCATCCAAAACACTGATGAAAGAAATTGGAACAGATACAAATAGATGAAAAGACATTCCATGTTCATAGATTAAAAGAATTAATATTGTTAAAATGACCACAGTGCTTAAAGTGATCTACAGATTCAATATAATCCCTATCAAAATTCCAATGGCATGTTTACAGAAGTAGAAAAAGAAATTCTAAAATTCATGTGGAATCACAAAGACCCCAAATAGCCAAAACAATTTTGGGCAAGAACAAAGCTGGAGGCATCACACTTCCTAATTACAAAACTACAGTAATCAAAACAGTATAGTTCTGACATAAAAACAGACACTTCAAACAATGAAACAGAATAAAGAGCCCAGAAATAAATTTACACATATACAGTCAACTGATCCTTGACAGTGTTCCAAGACTTCACAATAGGGAAAGGACAGCCTTGTCAATAAATGGTGCTAGGAAAATTGGACCTCCATATGCAAAAGAATTAAATTGGACCCCTATCTTTCACCATACACAAAAAAAAACTCAAAATGGGTTAAAGACTTAACTAAATGTAAGACCTGAAACTGTAAAACTTCTAGAAGAAAACAGAGAAAGCGTCTTATTGACATTGGCTTTGGCAATGATTTCTTGTATATGACACCAAAAGCATAGGCAACAAAAGCAAAAATAGACAAGTGAGACTATGTCAAACTAAAAAGCTTTTGTACAACAAAGGAAACAATCAACAAAATGAAAAAGGAACCTATAGAATGGGAGCAAAGGTTTTCAAGCCATGCATCCGATAAGGGGTTAATATCCAATATATGTAAGGAATAGCAATAAAATAAAACAAAATAAATTTTAAAATGAATAAAAGACTCAAATTGACATTTCTACAAAGAAGAAATTAAAATGTCCCAACGGATATCTGAAAAAACTATGCTCAATAGTAATAATCTTCAGGGAAATACAAATTAAAACAATGAGATATTACCTTACCATGTTAAAATGGCTATTAGCAAAAAGACAAAAGATGAGTGTTGAGAAGAATGTGGTGAAAAGGGAACTCTTGTACATTGTTGGTAGGGATATAAATTGGCACACCTATTACAGAAAATAGTCTAAAGATGCCTCAAAAGGGCCGGGCGCAGTGGCTCACGCCTGTAATCCCAGCATTTGGGAGGCCGAGGCAGGCGGATCACGAGGTCAGGAGATCGAGACCATCCTGGCTAACATGGTGAAACCCTGTCTCCACTAAAAATACAAAAAATTAGCCAGGCGTGGTGGTGGGTGCCTGTAGTCCCAGCTACTCGGGAGGCTGAGGCAGGTGAATGGCGTGAACCCGGGAGGCGGAGCTTGCAGTGAGCAGAGATCTCGCCACTGCACTCCAGCCTGGGCACCAGAGCAAGACTCCGTCTCAAAAAAAAAAAAAAAACCCTCAAAAAAATAAAAATAGAACTACCATATGATGCAGCAATCCACTTTTGAATATCTATCCTAAGGAAATTAAATCACTATCTTGCAGAGGCACTCCCACATTTATTGCAGCATTATTCACAATAGTTACAACATGGAAGCCACCTAAATGTCCATGAATGGATAACTAGATTAAGAAATGTGGTGTATATGCACAATAAAATACTACTCTGACTTTTAAAATGAGAAAATTCTGGCATCTATGACAACAAGAGTGAACCTTAAGGACATTATATTGATTGAAATAAACCAGACAAGGAAAAATATGCATAAGCCTACTTACATGAGGAATCTGAAATAGTCCAATTCACAGACGTAGAGAGTAGAATGGTGGTTGCCAAGGTCTGAGGGGAGAGGAAAATGGGAGATATTAGTACAAGGTTCGATGTTTTGTTTGTGCACGATGAATCAGTCAAAGAGATCTATCGTACAGCAGTAGTTAACAATAGTATATTGTATGTTTGAAATTTGATGCAAGGATAGATCTTGTGTTCTTATCACACAAAAAAGTAGTAATAAAGAAAGAAAGCAGAAGGGAACTTTTGAAGGTGATGGATATGTTTATAGCATGGATTGCGGTGATGGTTTCACAGGTGAATACCCATCATCAAATTTATCAAGTTGTGTACATTAAATATGTATAGTTTTTCTATGTCAATTGCACCTCAATAAAGTGTTTTTTAAAAATACAGTCTGTTTAATAAATATCAAATGAGTGATTAAATGTTTGGTCAATGAATGAATAAATATTTGGTGAATTCCACCAGTGAAACACCTCAACTTAATTTTTTATTCTTTCTTTCCTTTGGCAGCGCTGTTGTTCATATACTTAGCCTCTTTATCTACACTATTTGAGATTCCTGATGGGTATCTCTGTGATATGGCCAGGCTTTGTGTTCCCAACCAAATCTCATCTTGAATTGTAATCCACATAATCCCCATAATTCCTACATGTCAAGGGAGAGACCAGGTGGAGTTAATTGAATCATGGGGGTGGTTCCCTCATGCTGTTCTCATGAGAGTGAACGAATTCTCATGTGATCTGATGTTTGTTTTGTTTTTTGTTTATTTGGTGTTTGTTTGTTTGTTTTTGAGTCGGAGCCTCACTCTGTAACCAGGCTGGAGTGCAGTGGTACAATCTCAGCTCACTGCAACCTCCGCCTCCTGGGTTCAAGTGATTCTCCTGCTTCAGCCTCCCTAGTAGCTGGAACTGCAGGTGTGCGCCAACATGCACAGCTAATTTTTGTATTTTTAGTAGAGATTGGATTTCACCATGTTGGTTACGATGGTCTTGAGCTCTCGACCTTGTGATCCACCCGCCTCGGCCTTCCAAAGTGCTGGAATTACAGGCGTGAGCCACTGCGCCCGGCTCTGATGGTGTTATAAAGAGCTCTTCCCCCTTCGCTAGGCACTTCTCCTTCCTGCTGCCTTGTGAACAAGGTACACTGCTTCCTCTTCACCTTCCGCCGTTATTATAAATTTCCTGAGGCCTTCCCAGCCATGCTGAACTGTGAGTCAATTAAACCTCTTTCCTTTATAAATTACCCAGTCTCTGGCAGTTCTTTATAGCAGTGTGAAATGGACTAATATACTCTGCTTCCCAACTTTCAATCCCTTCCCAAGTCCAAATTTGTCCTTCACATTGCCACTTAGAGGTCTCTCCAAATCTCTCTCTCTCTCACACACATGCACACACACACACACACATAAACACACACATACACACTAGTCCTGCAATAAGATGTGTACTAGTTCTCCATTGCCTGGAACCCCT